>NC_000023.11:104337542-104962542 GCF_000001405.40 Homo sapiens
GTTGCAATGAGCTGAGATCGCGCCACTGCACTCTAGCCTGGGTCACAGACAGAGTGGATCCTGTCTCAGTGCTTACGCACCTCCTTTGAGCAAGCCGAGGTAGTTCTGGCCTGTTGTTTGCTTTTTCTAAGTCTTAACATTAGCTCCCATGGTGGCTGACAATAACACCAACTTTCCAGGGGAAGAAGAAATTTAGGAAATTCTGTTTTTCTTTGTATATGAATCTATAGATGCCTTGCTTTTAGCATCCCACTAATCACATAGGTGACAATAGTGATTTCCCCTGTATGTCTGCTTAAGGAATCTATAGATGCCTTGCTTTTAGCATCCCACTAATCACGTAGGTGACAATAGTGATTTCCCCTGTATGTCTGCTTAAGTGGTTAGAAAAGTTCTTAAAAACACAGATGAAAACTGACATCAGTAACTTTGATAGGTATTAGCTGGAGAAAGAATTGACACTTGCCCTTTTCTTGTTGTTGTGATGTTCCTTTCCATTGATTACGTGTGAGGAGTAACTATTCTCTTAGCCAACCGGAGTGTATGTCTGGTACTTTTCATTACTAAGCTTTCTACTGTTGTTTTCCTGGAAAAGGTATTCATTTTAGAACACTTTATTTTTAGATAATTTTAGACTAATTGTAAAAATAGTACAGATTATTTCTGCATACTCTTCATCCAGCTTACATCTTACATAACCATAGTACAATTATCAAAAGAAAACAACATTGGTATAATACTATCAACTAATGCACAGGATTTATTAATATTTTACCAGCTTTTCTACTAATGTCCTTTCTCTGTTTCAGAATCTAATTCAAGGCCTCACATTGCAGTTAGTTGTCATTCTCCTTCAACTAGTGACAGTTCTTCAGTCTTTCCTTGTCTTTTGAGACCTCACCACTTTTAAAGAGTACTGGCCAGTTTTTGTAGAACATCCCTCCATTAGGGCTTTTCCAATGCCTTCCCATGATTAGATTGCAGTTATGCATTATTGGGAAGGATAGCACAGTGGTGATATGCTTTTTTCTGTGCATCTATCAAGGGATTTATGATGTCGCTATGTATTACGGTTGATGATAACCTTGATTACTTGGTTAAGGTGATGTCTGTCAAAATTCTTCTACTGTAAACATACTATTTTTACTTTCTAATTGCTAAATATTTTGGTGGAGATACCTAGAAATTATGGAAATTCCCTCCTATGAATATTAGCATCAGTTGATCTTGCTTGCAGCAATTATTACTGTGATGTTGTAATGGTGATTCTCTACGTCCCTCTTTCCTTCTACATTTATTAATTGGAATTCTTCTGTAAGGAGGAGTTGTCGCCACTCCCCACTTACTTATTTTTTCACCTATTTATTCTGATCAGCATTTACCAATGGACATTTATTTTATTCTTTGGGTTATACTCCTAGATTATCTTTAGTTTATTGGTCAAATTGTTCTGACTTCGGCCGTTGGAATTTCTTTCAGGTTGGCTCCTGCGCCCTTTCAACAAGCCCTCTCATCTTTTCTTTTTTATGACACCCTTGTTTTCCTCACCACAAGATGTGCCAGGCCCACTGTCTATCTTCCCTTCAAAACCATCATCTATGCCTTACAGTGTGTTTGCTATTGGGATATCACTGCTTCTAGTCCCTCTTGGTGCATATAGCTAGGAAATATATGTATGTACTAACTTATGCATACACACACCTATGTTTATTTCTGTATCTGTCTGAATTACATTAAGAAAAAAACTCATGAGTCCATATTGATACCTACAATTCCAACCCAGCACCGAAAGATTCATGTTAGCCTTGCTCCTTTCCTTGTTTAAACCTTTTTACTTGAGAAACCTGGTTCTCATTATCTACAAATATATATAAATATAAATATATATATATATACATATATATACTAGATTTTCAACTCCAGTATACTGATAAAGTAGTTTCAGAATCCCTAAGCCATATACCCTTATGAGAAACAAATTTATGAACTAGAGTAGTGTTTGTGTATAGTTTTTTGTCCTTAGCCCTATAATATTTCATCCAAACCCTGTTTTCCAAAGTTACTTAGGTCAGTTTCTTTCTTCCCCATACCCTTCATCATGTGACTAATTTGTAATACAGCTAGATTCATTTGTCACAGTTTGTAGTCTATCCTCTTTCCCCCAAAATCTTGGTTGCAGTTTAAAAAATTTACATGCATTAAAACCCACTTATGATGTTATAGTTCTATGGGTTTTGATAAATATATGTAGTGTGTGTCCACCAATACCATACAGGACACCATCAACTCCCCAAATCCCTCATACTGCCCCATTAGAGTCCAACTTTTCCCCCCACCCTTCACCTATATTCCATTCATATGGTTTAAGTAGTAGGATGTACCATAGTTTAATTATTAACTTGCTGAAAGGCCTGTGAATTGGTTCACCTTCTTGTCTATTATGAATAAAGCGCTTTAAGCATTCATTTATAGGTTTTTGTGAGAATATAAGTTTTCGTTTCTCAGAGTTAGATACCTACTGGTGCCACGAGTAAGTTTTAAAAAGTATTTATTCAAATATCCAGAAAAGTAAAGGAAAAACATGTATTTAGAAATATTGGGCTGGGCATGGTGGCTCACGCCTGTAATCCCGGTACTTTGGGAGGCCGAGGCAGGCAGATTGCTTGAGGTCAGAGGTTTGAGATCAGCCTGGCCAACATGGTGAAACCCCGTCTCTAATAAAAATACAAAAATTAGCTGGGTGTGGTGGTGGGCACCTGTAATCCCAGCTACTCGGGAGGCTGAGGCAGGAGAATCGCTTGAACCTGGGAGGTGGAAGTTGCAGTGAGTCAAGATCATGCCACTGCATCCAGCCTGGGCAACAGAGCAAGACTCCGTCTCAAAAAACAAACGAACGAAAAAAACAAAGAAATATATTTCAGTACTACCACTATTAATCCTATATCATTTCAGTGTAGTTTCATAACTTTTTTTTAATTAAAGGAAGGCAAGGGGTTATCGGATTCAAACTGGAGTGTTTCGTAACTTTTAACTTCGTATCTCTATCACCATTTACTTTCAGAATCTTTTGATTTTGGTCAAACTGGGTACAATTCTGGGTTCTCCCAGAATTTCTGTCATGTAATCTTACCGGTGATCTAACATGATATATTCGAGCTTATTGTTACATGGATTAGGATAGGCTGTGGTTCACACCTTCCTTGAAGTAAGTGTATATGGGTACAACGTGGGTAGCCTTTAAGCCAGGTACTGGCCCGGTTTACTAGCCCGTAAAAAACATCACCTTTGTAATGATGAAGATGCCCTTTGTGCAGTCAGAATCAGCAATGACCTACCTGGTGTTAATTGAGGGATTGAGGGTCTTCCTGAAGAACCCCTGTCCTCATAGATCAAACCTGTCAGCTTGCTACAGAACCTGGAGTTGCTGTCATTGGCATCGCCCTACTGGGCCAAGGCTCTATCATTGTCTTCCGAAGGTTTCTGCTGAAAACACACATTTGTAAGCTGTGAGGGAAGACGTTAAGCACATTAGCTAGCTGTTACCTCAGTGAGATCGTGGCTCTGATCTCTGAGATCCCTCTCTACTGGTACCTTCTCTCAGTCATCAAACACTCATCTCCGTTTCACTAAATTGTGAACTCTTAGATTGAGGGCAGAGTTCATCCGTAATTCCAGTGCCCGTCACATACTAGGTAGTTTATATATATATTTCTTGCATGGATGAATAAATGCTTGATGGCTATGTGATTCTTGAGGATAGAGGGTGGGGTATAGATGGTAGGGACAGGCTTCTCATATGTGGCATAGCCAGGAAAAGGCAAGGCTAGGTGGAAGGGCATAGGAGGCTTCTGGGGTACTATAGAGCAGCAAGATGGTACAGGTCTGCGGTGGGAGCATTGTACAATTAAAAATGGGAACTAATTGAATGAAGCTTCAAAGTTCAAAGCTTTCGAGAAGCTGTGGATAAGGGAGTACGCTATGGAAACAGATAGAATAGGTTATACTCCCAGTGTAGCTACTTCCTATTGAAACGTGGCTTTTTTTCAAGTGGGCTGGGGACCAACTTGGAATGGGATGTTTGAGTAGAAGAATGACATGATCTAACTTATTTTAATAGGATCACTTTGGTTACAGTGTTGGGAGGAGAATGAGATGGGAGGGCTAGGACAGCACTGGGGCATTAATAAAGAGGTTATTACAGTAATCCAAGCTACGCATGAGTGTGGCTTGGACCAGGCTAAATGCATTGGAGGTGGTGATAAGTGGTCAGATTTAGCATATATAGTGAAGGTAGAACTGTCAGGATTTAATGATGGATAATACTAGATCTCTTTCCTCTACGCCTAACAAAAGAAAACAAAACACTTTGTGATGGCTATAAATTAGAAAATAGAAGTTGATGCTAGTGATTTAAACAGAGCTTATTTCCCAGTAAAGCAGAGCTTCCTTGATGTTGAGGCAACCTTGGGTTCAGTAAGCTTTCAAGTCCATGTTTTCCAGCCGCCTTCTATAAGGAGCTTCAGCAGAGTGGTATTTACATTACCTCTTTTCCTGTCGATGGAATCTGTAGCAAACAGAGCAGCATGTATAATTTTATCACACTTGAGAGCATTTCTGACCATGGATCTGTCACTCCTTACATAGGGAATAGAGTTTTTTTCAGGATGTACTTCTTTCAGGGAAAGCCTTTACCCAGTGAGGTAAATATGCTATGAAAACAACCTGATCAGATAAGGGTTCAAGGACCTCTCTCTATTCACCCATGTAAACATACTCAGCTTCATTTATTTTAAGTGCAGTTTTCTGGCCCCGATAAGAGAGGACAGCCTTGATTAACATAGCAATTGATATTCTATTCCCTGGATAAGATATTCATTGTTGAACTTCTTCTATTGGTTTTATAAGATGATTTTATAGGATTGTGTAACAGTTGCACTGAGAGGATATTTAGGAGTAGGGAAGCCTCTGAGCAAAGTATCCTTACGCTACTCCGCTACTCCGATGAGAAACTTCTTAATTCATTAGCACCTCTAAGAATAGCGCCTCACCCACTGCCCACTCTGACTTAACTAGGCATACAGGCAGGAAGGGGAGTGTTGGCAAGAGGACTTGAATCCCTCAGAAGATGTATAGTCTCATGATTGAATCTAACTGTGATTGAAAAACATAATCGACCTTCAACCCTGGGTCAGTGGTAGCATCTGAGAGCAATCTCTGGGACATCCGTGTCTGGGGAGGTCACCAGGCACAGTGGACAGATGCAAATGGCTTTGGGCAATTTGGTTAAAATCTCTCCTTTGCAGGGATGATATTTGATTCATTGGCCATTTCTTTGAGGCAAGTGACAAAGAAGTCATGATTTCTGTCAGCGTGCCTACCCACAGGGTAGTAGCCAGAGGCTGAAGCTGGCAGGCAAGAGGGTGCCTGTCAGTGAAATAGTTATATCTCAGTTTGAAAACTCAAGGGGAATTCCATTTTGATGGGCTCCTCTTTACACAGAAGTAAAATTTCCAGAAGTGGAAAAGTGTTGAAGATTTAAGTGATATTTCTGGATCTTTATGTCTTTTGTTGTGCTTCAGTGTATTCTGAAAATTATAACCAAAGGTTTTCTCTTCCATCATTATTCAAGTAGATTAGAATTCACAGTACATTCATAGGGCATATTACTAATTTCTGGAAAATCTGTTTTTACAGTGTAAATTTTATATATTTTACTGAGTGAATGTCTAATATATTCAGAGCCAGTTTATGAAGCAAATAAGAAAATCAGCCAGGCATGGTGGCTCACACCTGTAATCTCAGCACTTTGGGAGGCTGAGGCAGGAGAGTCACTTAAGGCCAGGAGTTCAAAACTAGCTTGGGCAACCCCTTCTCTACCAAAACAAACAAACAAACAAACAAACAAAAAACTAGCCAGGCTTGGTGGCATGCACCTGTAGTCCCAGTGATGCAGAACAGGCAAGTGCCAAAACTGGGGCTTAGCCCAGAGTTCTTGGCTTTTGCTCCTGAAAGAATTCAAGTGTGAGCCAGTGGTATTAGACAACAGTCTTTTATTGTTGTTCCGTGTTCTTTGTGGGCAGTGCACCCGGAGTCAGCAACTGTATTTGTACTCACTTATACCCACTTTCAATTACATGCAAATTAAGGGGCAGGTTAATGCAAATTGAGGGAGCGGGTTATTTATAACTTTCTAGGAAAGAGGTAGCAACTTTTGCTTTGTTGCCATGGAAAAGGCTGTAACTTCTGGTTTGTTGCCATGGCATTTGTAAACTGTCATGAGGCTGGTGGGAGTGTCTTATGTTAATGAACAATGAGGGCCGCTAGGGATCGTGTTTGTCGCCATCTGCTGGTTTCTTCTGGTTTTTCCACTTTATCCTGTCTGGATCACAACCTGTTTCGGTCAGCAAGGTTGTGACCAGAAAACAAGTTTGTCCAGCCTCCTACCTCACCAGCCACTAGGGAGGCTGAGTGGGGAGGATCACTTGAGCCCAGGAGTTCAAGGCTATGACCGCTTCACTGCACTCCAGCTTGGGTGACAAAGTGAGACTTTGTCTCAAAAAAAAAAAAAAAAGAAAAAAGAAAAGAAAGAAAATCAGTCTTGTGCCTTTATGCTTTCTTGATATATAGAGAATAAAACAATATGGTCCAGAAACAGGCAGTGAGAAACACAAGGCCTCTGGATGATAAAAATACTTTCATTCATTCTATGTTTAAGTATTTGTTGAGCATTTATTAAGTGCTAAAGATGTAAATATAAATGTGAGCAAAACATAAAAAATCCTGCCTTCTTTTTATGTTCCAATGTGTGTGTTGGGGTGGGGATGTGAAACAGACTATTAATAATAAATGAGGCAACCTAGAAGATGATTTTCATAAACAGAAAAATGCTATGGAGAAAGATGGGATTTCGTGACAGAGTGACTTGTTTGCTTGTGTGATGAAGACAGGCCAGAATCAACAAGGTAGTCAAGGAAGGCCTTTCTAAGAATAAGATATTTGAGTTGAGATTTAAACAAGAAAAAGGAGTGGAGGGTCAGGAGAAAGAACTTCAGACAGTGGGATTAGCAAATTCAGAGGCCCTAAAGTCAGAACCACCTTGGCTTGTTTGGGCAAGAGTAGTGATAGCTTGGTCAGTTAGGCTGTTTTTGCAGTGGTCTAGGCCTGTGACAATGATGGCTTGGACTAGAGTAGGAGAAATGGAAATGGAAAGAAGTGAATAAATGTATGATATATTTTGGATGTGGAGTTGACAAGACTTGCAGGTGGATTGGATATGGAAGGTAAGGGAGAAAGACTTAAAGAATAACTTCTAGGCTTTTGGATTTAGCAGCTGTGTGGGCAGTGGTGTGCCATTAGCTGAGATGAGGACTCGAAGAGAAATATGTTGGGGTGTGAGTGGAAATCAAAACCTGCTTTATACATGTTACGTTTGAGATGCTGATTAGACACACAGAAGTGTTGCCAAAAAGTCCTCAGGTCCTCTGTCACAGCAACTTTTCTTATTTTATGCACAGATTAAATGAACTTGGCTTTCTTTTTTTTTTTTTAAACCCACAAGATTAAAAGCTTGGCATCTCTTTCTCTCTTGCACATCAGATTCCATATATCAAATTGACTACTGAAAATATCCACCCAAACCTAACTTGTTCAAAGCTAAAGCTGTTATCTTGTTCTTCACACTTGTTCCTTCTGTATTTTTTTATCCTGCTCAGTGATTCCTTTGTTTGCCCTATGACCCAAGCTTATTTCTAGACTCTATCCCTCCCTCACCCCAACATTCAATGCATTACTAAGTTGTGTTGAAAAATGTCTCCCAAATGTCTCTCTAATCTGTCTCCTACTCTCCATCTGAGCTGCTACTACCATTCAAGACCATGTTACCTCTTGCCTGGATTACCATATCAGCATATGCTGCTGTACCATTTTAGTAAATCACCTTTAACCTCCTACATTTTGAGTAACTTCTGATTTTTCTTCAAAACTCAGTTTAGCGATAATTTCCTGCAGGAAGACTTCACTGACATCCCAAGTCATCCCCCATCCTATCTAGATTAGGTAACCCCTCTTAGATGTCCCTATAGTGCCCTGCGTTTACTTTTATCGTAGCACATATCACACAGTATTATAATTGCCTCTTTACTTATCTGACTATTTAACTATACTGTGAGCTCCCAGGTGTCAGAGACTGTTTCTCTTATTGTCATATCTCCCATGTCCAACATGGTGCCTGACACATGATTGGCACTCAGTAAATGTTTTTCAACGAATGAATGCTTGAAGCAAATTAAAAGGAAAGGCTGCTTGAAGGCAAACTGACAACAGTAAGAGATGGTAGTTTATATTTCTGTAAGTGAGGAAGTAAACAGCAAAATAAGCCATAGAATCTCAAAAAGTACCATAGTCTAGGGGCACTTAGCATAAGAACAATTAATATTATAATCTTGTTTTGTATTACAAATTTATAGGATAATGCAATCATTTCCATTCATTGTAAAGACAGTGGTGCATCCAGAAAAGACTAAATTGTATTTAGTAGCCTTTGGTTAAGAATGTTTGGGGGTATGCACTACATAATAAGACTTAGGAGTTAAGACTGACCCAGGATCTACATCAAACCAGGTTGGGGATAAATGATTATATAATACATCGACAGTTTAACACAACCAGTTCTAGAACTTACATGTTTCCCTGCATATTGATTTATAGTTTTGGATATATGTAGAAAATATTAGAACTGAAGCCCAAGCCATCATTCTATCTTTTTAGAAAGGTAGTATTGAGTCCACTTTCTGAAAGCATCCAAAAAGTCTCTCATATACTAGACAATTAAAGACATTTTCTCTAAATAGAAATATTGGCTTTGCTGAAGCCAAGGTGTGAATGTGGAAACACCTGGTCACCAGCCTATAACCCCAGAAATGCCTGGAGTGTTTGCACAAGTGCCTCATAGCAGGAGTGGTTTTAATATGATGTGAGGACTGCATAACATGAGGAGGTTGGCGATCTCTCTCCACCATGCCATGTGGGCCAACTGGGGCCGTATTTTTGAGTACTAGGTAGAAATGAGAGCCCTGTGGGAGTGAGGGAATAGTCCTGCTGAGTCCTCAGCAGTACTCAGACACCTGTAAGATGCTCACCTGGAATGGGCTTTCAGGATGAAGTTACATTAAGGCTTCAGCATAGAATTATGTGGCTTATGAATATATTTGTTTCAGCCAAGTGTTTCACCTCTGATGGTTACTAATGGATATGCTAATTCTAATCAGAACAGGACTTTTAAAGGAACTATCAGAATGCATTTCATGTTTTGCACTGGAGAAATGACAATATTTCTTTCAACTGAGATAGAAACCAAAATATTTCAGTCGCTCCTGTGACACTAATGAATCACAGACATGGTGTGCTTGCCAAAGACACAGAAGCAAAATATATTCTTTGTTCTGCCTGAAACATGTCAGGATAGTAGTAGATTTTTGTTCTGGTTTCAACTTTCAATGAGTGAATGAGTAAGAAGTGTTTCAGAAGTTTTTTGGTAAGATGTCTTCTGCTCCCTCCTGAAATTCTGAAAACATTTTCTCACAGAAACAGTGTTAGAAATAGTGTTATTTGCTGGGCACGGTGGCTCACGCCTGTAATCCCAGCACTTTGGGAAGTGGGAAGATCGCTTGAGCACAGGAGTTTGAGACCAGCCTGGGCAACACGGTGAAACACTGCCTCTACAAAAATACAAAAATTAGCTGGACGTGGTGGTGCGTATCTGTATTCCCAGCTACTTGGGAGGCTGAGACAGGAGGATCTCTTGAGTCTAGGAGGTGGACATTGTAGTGAGCCAAGATCATGCCACTGTACTCCAGCGTGGGAGACAGAGCCAGACTCTGTCTTGAAAAAAAGAAAGAAAAGAAAGAAGGAAGGAAGGAAAGAAGTAAGGAAGGAAGGAAAGGAGGAAGGGAGGAAGGAAAGGAGGGAGGGAGGGAGGAAAGGAGGGAAGGGAGGGAGGGAGGGAAGGAAGGAAGGAAAGAAGGAAGGAAGGAAGGAAGGGTGTTATTTCTGCCAGTCTGAAAAATCCACTAAAATCTATCTGTATATAAATTGAATCAACTGTTTGTTGAGCACGTATTTTGCTTTTGCACCAACCTATATTAATAATAGAATTTAACCTCAGGGAGGTTACATTTCTTGACCCAGGTCACACAACTAGAGATTGGTGATTTTATTTGACGCCACAACTCATATGCATATGCATAGAGTACCCTTAAGTAACTAGTCCAAGACAAAGAACATAGGTAGTGGTAGAGATAAAGAATTGAACTCAGGCAATCATAGTTGAGGAACTGAACATTTAACACTACCTTAGAATGTCTTAGAAGTGCCTAACTAACGTTACTGAGTAACTGGCACAAAGTTTGTGTCTATAGATAGACATAACTCATGTGATGTAACTCCTGTCATTGATTGGTACAGTGTGGGAGTGAAAGGGCAAGGCAGTCAGTGTGTCCGTCAGTCCTGGGTGTGCCTGGAACAGGTCTGGTTTATGTCTGTTGTCATGGTGTAATTCTTACTGGTGTACCCTTTTACTCTTAAGAATGTCCGGGTTTTAACGATAAATGTTGTGGTCACCCTAACCACAAGAGAAGAGAAAACACTTGGTCAGTTAGTTCTGAGGTGGCTGAAGCCATACCCATTTTATGGTGAAGGAGAATCTGAAAAGGCTGTATAAAGAAGTGGCATTTGAAAAGAGCACTGAAAGATGAATATAATTTCTACAGGTGGAAATAGTCAAGGGGCCAGAGGAAGAAGGAGCAGGGCATAGGAGGAGCAGGGATATCACCTTCAAAGGTCAACAGGGAGTGGGGTCAACTTAAGCAAAATCACAAAGCCTGCAGGTAGGCACATAGCATATTCAAAGAGCAAGTAATGCAGCTCATTTGGGGGCATTTGCAAATAGCCTAAAATGAAACTGGCAAGTTAGGTTGTGGCCAACTTGTGGCAGATCGTGAGTACTAAGATAAGGAATCAGACCTTGATTCTTCAGGCAGTAGGTCGACACTAAAGGTTTTTAAGCAGGAGAATGGAGTACTTTTCGCATGGTTATAATGTAGAGAAGTAACTGCCTTGCCCTTTCACTCCCACCCTGTACCAATCAATGATGGGAGTTACATTACATTACATTACAAAGTAGAAACTTTGGGCTAGTTGCCTACTAATGTTAGGCACTTCTGAGGCATTTTAAGGCAAATAATACCTTATTTTAAGGTAAACAAGGCATGGCTTACTTTATCCATATTCTGGTTATTTCCAAACTTAAAAAGGATTTTGTCAACTCCTTGGTATCTTTATTATCTGAAATTTATAACACAGTATTTTGAATGTACATAGAAGCCCTCTTATTTTTATATTTATTTATTTTTGAGATGGAGTTTCACTCTTGTTGCGCAGGCTGAAGTGCAGTGGCGCGATCTTGGCTCACCGCAACCTCTGCCTCCTGGGTTCAAGCGATTCTCCTGCCTCAGCCTCCTGAGTAGCTGGGATTACAGGCTTGCGCCACCACGCCCAGCTAATTTTTTGTATGTTTAGTAGAGACGGGGTTTCACCATGTTGGCCAGGCTGGTCTCAAATTCCTGAACACAGGTGATCTGCCTGCCTTGGCCTCCCAAGGTGCAGGGATTACAGGCATGAGCCACCGTGCCCTGACTAGAAGCCCTCTTATCTAAATTGATTCTTTTCACTGAGTTAATTGAAAAAGTCAGATTAAGGAAAATATTAATCAAACATGGTACTTTAAGCGTGATATTTTTCTCAATATATATAAATATTTACTTATTAACTGATCTTTTGATTTAGGACTGACCAAGCCCTTTTCTTTGAAGATGAGCCCATTGACTGGTGTTTTATGATTTCTCTCTCTTTCTTTCTTTGTGTGTGTGTGTGTGTGTGTGTGTGCAGAAACTACACCTATAGGGTATCAGCTGATTTTCAGGGCAGTGTCTTTAAAGTAGAGTGAGCTCCTAAAGATAATTGCAAAATCATAAGTAATAATTCTGTCCTTATTATTACTATTTTTTTTGAGACTGGGTCTCACTCTGTTGCCCAGGCTGGAGTGCAGTGACGTGATCTTCACTCACTGCAGCTTTGACCACCTGGGCTTAAGCAGTCCTTTCACCTCAGCCTCCTTTGTAGCTGGGACTATAGGTGCATGCCACCACACCTGGCTAATTATTTTATTGTATTCTATTGTTATTTTTTGTAGAGACAGGGTTTCACCATGTTGCCCAGGCTGGTCTCAAAAGCCTGGGCTCAAGCCATCTGCCTGCTTCAGTCTCCCAATGTGCTGGGGTTACAGGCATGAACCACCTCACCCAGCCCCTCCTTAATTCTTTATAGTTGTTTCACACACAACTAATTGAACAGTAATTTTTAAGTGACTCTCCTTTAACTAGTCTTTCCAAATCTTTTCATGTAATTTTTTCATAGAAGCAACTCTCTTTTCTCACGAACACTTTAAAAATTTGCGTAAAGTTTTATTAAACTACACAATCAAATGGCAAGTAGAATTGGCAGAAGCAGGTTTTGGAAACAAACGTGACTGACTTTTGGTAAGCCCAGAGCACTATGCTTGGGAGCTGATGCAAATGGAAAAACTGGCGATTAACCTACCAAAAACAAAGGCTCAGTGCACTTCACACATTAGTCAGTAGGTTTTACAATTTGTTAAGTGGAGAATTGGTTAAGAGAATATTTACTATAGAAGGTTCTAGTAAATATTTGTTGAGTTTAATTTAATTCAATTGGATCTTTAGGAAGAAATGTTTCCACCATCCATTTGTATTGGTCATTTATCTAGTATGTCCATGAAAGGGGAAATGCAGATAGGACGACCAGTTTTATGAAAATTAAAATTTCAACTCTTTCCCCCCCACCACCCCCACTCCCCCAGCCATGGCGCTCTTTATCCTTCCTCTGTACTCATGTTTTCTCCACAGTACTTGGCCAGCAGCTGACATATTTAAGGTATTAATTATTTGTTTATTGTATGTGTCTATACACTAGAATCAAAAGTCAATAAAGAGAAAGAATTTGGGGCTTTTTTACTCTTATATTTCCCTAAAGCCTAGAAACAGTGGTTAGCATAGAGTAGGTGCTCAGTAACTATTCATAGAATGCGTAAATGTATGAATGACTGGCTTCATAGACTGTCAAAGCTGCAAGCAACCTTTGAAATTATCTAGTTCAATATAGCATTGTGTAGAGGTTTAGTATGGAACATAAAGATGGATCTGGGTTCAAATCCATCACTTACTTGCTGTGTGATTTTGGGCAAATTACTCGACATTTCCGTGCCTCAGTTTCCTCATCTTTGAAATGGGGATAATAATAGTGGGCTGTATTTTAGGGTAAATTGTGAGGATTCAATCAGATAATGTATTCAAAACACTTATTGTAGTGCCTAACACATGGTAGCTTTGCATCAGTGAAGGTTTAGAAATAGAAATCACTTCATTGGTTGACAATAGAGAGAATTTAATTCAGGGAACTGGTAATAAAGGAGCTGAGAAACCAAACAGGGGATGGCGAGGTAACCCATAGATTTGCAACAGCAGAGCTAGGGCTCTGAAGGACAGTGGCAGGGGATGGTGTTATCAGAACCCGGAGGCCTGGTCATGTGAGGTAAGCTAGAACCTTAGTGAGAATGTCTGTCAGGAACTGAACCCACATGGAAGATTTAACTGGTATAGGAGATGCCACCCTCAGAGGAGAGGGAGGGAGAGAAATACTTGCTCCTGCTTTCAGTCACCCTCCAATACCTCTCATTGGCTGAACCTAGCTAGAAAGCAACAAACAAGGGAACCTGGGAAAGGCAGCTTGGAGAGGTCAAGTCCTTCCTCCTTCTATACAGAGCGGAGCTGAAGAAGGGTGAGAAAGAGTGTGCTGTTTAACCAACAACTATTATTGCTATTATTGGCCTAACTAACACAATGCTGAGCTAACCAGCTAGAGGCAGCCTGTTACATAAGGGGAAATGTGTTAAACGATGAATCAGAGCCAGATTTTGTCATGTTCAACCCCATTTACATTAGTCATGGTGTGATTGACTCACAAGGGATTGGCTGGATGTTTTAACCCTTTGAGGTCCCACACTTTGTGCTTCTGGGCTGGGATATCATGAGTTAGCTATGGACATAAGCTTTTCCTCACTCCTAAACTGAGACTACTTCTCAATTACACAGCTAAATGTTACAGTTCCATAAGTTCCAACCAAAATTAATGTAGACTGAAATGTTTAATTTTTTTTGATGTTCTGCTTAAACAGCCTAATTATGGACTAAATTTAAATTAAAAACTCAGCATGATTCGGATGGCTTATGTCTCTGTGTGATGGCTTTTATATTAAATGGTTTACACGAATGCTGTTGTTTATCTTGGAAACAGGTTGTCACGCATATTAATGAGACCCAGGTGTTAACTTCATGCTGTTTTCTTTCCAACCAAGAAAATCTTTACATTAAGTTAAAGTGTTTTTACAAGTATTTGTTGTAATAATTATAAGACAATGCTTTATGCATCATAATGTTTACTAAGTTCATTTCCTAATTCCAGTTTATTTCTTAATTCCTCTCCTATCTCATTGCACTTTTGCTTTTGGATGCTGAGGGCTTCCAGCCAGACATCTTAGTAGATCGTGGTAGCCTGAAGGTCCTAAAGAGCTAAAGAAGGATAAACTTTCCTCCAGCAGCTCTTTAAATGGCAAGACTTCATGTCTGCCCAAGGACATTTAATACTCACCTCTTGTGGCTTTCTCCTTTCCTACCAGGCAGGAAGAGTGGCAGAGATTATAGATTAAAAGGCCCATATCTCTTATAATTTTAAAATTTTCCTTGGGGTACTTAAAAAAACTCTCTTGATCATTTCTGTGACTTCTTTGTAGCTCTTAAGCTTTTCTTGAGGTGCAGAAGCCTGGGCTGGTTAAAATTCTTTAAGAGGAACTGACCAATGTTACATATAGTGAGACAATACTTTGTGGATCTTATTCATTTTAGAGAAGGTTCATGGAGCAGCAGTAATCTACCTAATTTTATGAGATTGATGTGGGGCTTGTGTTCAAAGAGGACACCTGTCTGAGGGGTGG
This sequence comes from Homo sapiens, assembly GCF_000001405.40. NCBI lineage: Eukaryota > Metazoa > Chordata > Mammalia > Primates > Hominidae > Homo > Homo sapiens. Next base: position 104,352,667 of record NC_000023.11, read on the forward strand.
GGGCATACTCCTCAATTTTTTGAACAGTTCTTGAGTCTCTACTGTAAGCTCAGCACTGTTGCTATGTGCTGGGAATACAAAGTATGTAAGACATCATCTCAGCCCTTTGAGAATCTATAGTCTCACAAGGAAATACTGGTACATATAGCTTTTTAGAAGTATAGTATGGACTTGGAGGTGTGCATAGGGTCATTCCAGAGCTCGTTAGAAGCACCCAAATCAGTCTTGGGATCTGGGATAGGGGTTCTAGAAGAAATGATACATGTATGAAGTCTTGAAGTAGGGGTGATTTGGGTGAAGAGGTGAGGGAAGTGTGTTCCTCGAAAAGAGGATAACATGAGCAAAGGCATGGGAATGTGAGGAAACACAGTATATTCATCAGTTCAGTGTTACTACGGATTGATGAGTGAGGTGAGGTGTGAAGGGAAAGTGATGGGAGGTGGGCTTGGGTTGTGCAAGGCCTGCTGGCCAGGTTGTGGACTGTGGCCTTTCACATGGAATTTGTTCTTGGGGTAGGGATGGAGTTAGATGGGATGAGGAGAGATGGGAGGTTTTAAGGGAGAGTATGTATTTTCTGTGAGGTTTGAAAGGAAGAGATGGGATGAACAACACTTTATCTTGAAATGGCACTTTTTTCTTTAAAGATTTTCCAGAGCTGACATGTACGCCCTGAGGCTTCTGTCTCCGTGTATGGGCGTGTGAAATTTTTTTTAATCACAAAAAAAAAGAGCCAAAATCCAAAGGACTCAATTTTTAAAATAACATTTATTGTGTTTTTCTGATTCAAAGTAGCACATGTTCATTTTTAAAATGTGGAAAGTACAGAAAAGTACAACGAAGAAAATTAAAATTACCAATAATCTTGATACTCAGAGATAATATGGTTAACATTTTGGAGGTTTTTTTTTTCCTAATCTTTTCTACATACATCCATACACATACATCTGTACACACCCCCACATATGTATGCATTTTACAAAATTAGGATTATATTAAATACTGTGTTTTCTAACTGGCTTTTTTATAACATAATTACATTATGTGGTGACCACTTTTACAGGTTATTTGTTAGTTATTCTTTTACAAAATAATTTTTTTCTTTCTTTTTTTGGAGACAGGGTCTCACTCTGTCACCCAGCCTGCAGTGCAGTGGTGCAGTCTTGGCTCACTGCAACCTTTGCCTCCCAGGCTCAAGCAATCCTCTCACCTCAGCCCCCCAAGCAGCTGGGACCACAGGGGCACCACCGCATCCAGATACTTTTTTGCATTTTTTGTAGAGATGGAATTTTGCCATGTTGCCCAGGCTGGTCTTGAACTCCTGAGCTCAAGCGATTCTTCTGCCTCGGCCTCCCAAAATGCTGGGATTACAGGCGCGAGCCACTGCACCCGGCCTCCTTTACAAAATAATTTTAATACTTGTACAGTATTTTATTAAACTTACGTGCAAGCTATTTACCCCACTTGTACTGTTAGACATTCCTTTCCCACCACTTTTTTTGCAATTATATGTAATGCTGTGATAATCGTGCCCTTACGTAAATATTTGAGTACCTCTTACTAATTTTCCATTGGATAAATTCTTAGAAGTGGTATTTCTAGAACAAGGGGACTGTATATTTTTTAAAACTTTTAATGGACTTTCCTAAATTGTCCTCTAGAAATATTCCATTTTGCTTCCATTTGTTCTAAATGTTAAAAGGGGGCTGCTTGTTTCTCCACATCTTTGCACATTTTATAGATAAAACTGGTATCTCATTTGTTCTAATTTATTTGACCACTAGTGAAGTTTATCATCTTTACTTATGTCTATCCATCATTCAGATCTTTTATGAATTTCTTATGTGCATTATTTCTAAATTTTCTATTGGTGTGCTTTTTATTATTGATTTTTGAAAGTCTTTATATAGTAAAGATATATTGCTATTTGTCCTTTATGTTGCATTTTTCTGTTATTATCCTTTATTTTTTATTCATGGCATTTTAATACACATTTTGATGTAGTCAAATCTATAACTTTTCATTACGGTTGCTTTTTTACTTTTGTTCTTAGAATAAAGGATTCCCCTTCCCCCTGATCAGATAGTCACCCATAGTTTCTTTTTGAAAAATCTTTTTATTGGAAAATTTTTACCTCCTACTTTTTTATTTTTATTTTTGTTTTAATTTTACTTTGTGTTTTTTTTTAAATTAGAGACAGGGTCTCATTCTGTTGCTCAGGCTGGACTACAGTGGGGTGATCATAGCTCACTGTAGCCTCAAACTCTTGGGCTCATGGGTTCAAGCAATCTTCTCACCTTAGATGCCACCACATCCAATTAAGTTAAAATAAATATTTTGTAGAGAAAGGGTCTTACTTTGTTGCCCGGGCTGGTGTCGAACTCCTGGCTTCAAGTGATCCTCCCACCTCAGCCTCTCAAAGTGCTGGTATTACGGGTATGAGCCACCATGCCCGGCCTACCTTTCTACTTTATATGAAATTTAGTTGACAAATATTGTGAGAGAGGGGTCTAAGTTTTTTTTGTTTTCAAATTTTGTGCCACTTAGTCCAGTGTTTATTGAATAACTTATCCATTCCCCTGCCATACTAAAATGGCATGTATATTGTATATTGAACTCTCATGTAAATCTGTATCTCTTTCTGGACTTGTTATTCTCTTGCTGTGAGCTATCCTGGCACCAGTATTTTTTTATTATACATATTATAAAGTTACAATAATATCTGATTGTGCATGTTCTTCCTGAATAATCATACTTTAAAAATTTTAGCTACTCTGTCCTGTTTATTGCCCATATGACCTTTAGAATTATTTTGTCGACTCCCAAAGTAAAATCTATTGTGCTTTTGATTGGAATTATGGTACATTTATGGAATAAAAAGAGCAAGGAAGTGATATGTTTATGTTTGGTCTTCACTTATCTGAATTAAAAAAAATGCATGTACTCAGAACTCAATGTCGAAAGTGCCCTTTCTGTTTTCTGTAGACTGGGACAGAGAGCTTGAGTGTGGAACCTGCATCTTTACATTGAGGATCAATTTGTTCATCATCTGACCTGATTGGACAATTTGACAACTGCAAACACAGGAAAGAGAAAGCAGTACAAAAAGACTGGAAAGGCCCTTTCAACATTTAGCCCCCAGTGTTCTTCACATGTTCACAGTTGCACATATCCTCCTAGGTTACTTTGAACTTTTATCTTGGCAAAAGCACTCTGCTTGAATTTTATTACTCTTAGGGAAGAACCCGGAGTCTCCCAAGTGAACAGCAATATGTCAACACTTCACTAATCAGAAGAGACCTTAGAACTGAAAAGAGCCAAGGAAGGGCTGGGATTTCAAGCAGAGACCTAATTTTAAAGCACAAAATGTAGCCAGAAAACTCTATGTAATGAGATTCTCTAACTTGGTTGTTAGCATTCCCAGACATACCCACGCAGTGTCAGACATACACACACACGTGCACACACACACACACATGCGTGCACACTCACACACGCAAACTTGTGGCTTGATTTGTTGAAGTGGGAACAATTTCATTGCTATGAAGAAAAAAAGTAACTTGCATTACTATATCACTTCATCTTATTTGAAAATTGGAGGCATTAAAAAATTTCCTTTTTCGGTTAGGGAAATACAAAGATTATTGGGTTTGATAGCCTTTGGAGATAACTTGAAAATGGGAAAAGCCGAATTCTGAAGCAAATAATCACCAGTGGTGGAGGAAATATTAGTGATTACTTCAAAGAACAGACTTCCATTGGCCAGGTGGATTTGGATATATTTTGGGGGACAGTAACATTCATTATTAGACTCTATATAGTAATAACCTGGTGAGACAGGATTAATTTGTAAGGTAGTAATTATAATGAGTTCCACTGTATGCAAATAAGTATCAGGATTCTTATTTGATCTCTGTCATATCAGGGTATAAGTGTCAACAAGGTAGAGTTGGTTATAAGAGTGGACGGGAAGACATGACTTCTCGAATGGTGGAGTGAGTACCTCCATAAGTCTGGATGAACCGTGAATACACTATGCTACATGAAAGAGCCCATCACAAAAGACTAGATATTGTATGACTGCATTTATATGCAGTATCCAGGATGAGGAAATCTACAGAGACAGAAAGTAGATACTAATTACCTCGGATTTGTTGTAATAATTAAATGGTTGCCTAGGTTTAGGGCAGGGCATGATGAGGTTGAGAAGTGACGGTCTACGTGTAGGATTTCCATTTTGGGGGAACGAAAATATTTTAAACTTAGATTGGGCAAATGGTTTCATGTCTTTGTAAATATAGTGAAAGCTACTGGCTGGGCGCAGTGCACACACCTGTAATTACAGCACTTTGGGAATCTGATGAGGGAGGATTGCTTGAGGACAGGAGTTGAGACCAGCCTGGGCAACATCATGAGACCCCTGTCTCTACAAATAATTGAAAACAATTAACCAGGTGTGGTGGCTTACACTTGTAGTTCCAGCCACTTGGGAGGCTGAGGAGGTGGAGGCTACTGTGAAGTGTGATCAAGCCACCGTACTCCAGCCTGGGTGACAGAGTGAGATCCAGTCTCAAAAATAATCAAACAAACTACTGAATTATATACTTCAAATGAATTTTATGATATGTGAATTAAATCTCAATAACTTTTTTTTTTTGAAGAGGGTGCAGAATAAGAATTTAGCAGAATGGGAATGATTGGGCTGATACCATCAGTCTTGAGCAAGTACCCAAGTCTTCTGGGCCTTGGTTTCTTCATTTATAAAAATAAGAGTAATAACATCAACATCAGACAGTTATTCTGATAATTAAATGAGGTAATTTTAAAGAATTTAACTTAGTAATTGACACATAGTAGCTTTATAGGCCATCAAAAAAGAGGTCAAATTCTGAGTGGCCAGTTGCTAAGGTGGAGAAAAAGAAAGCACAATAGAGCCAAGTGGGCAATTCTGAGAAGTCAGAGAGGCAGCAGAAACAAAAGTGTAGGGTTGGTGCCTACCAGTCCTTAGGGTATGTGCCCTTGTGCTCTGCTTTTTTGTCTTCTGGGTTGTGCAGCCTTGTGTGAGTTTGGGAAAGACGTTGGGTAGTGATTTCAATTAGATGGAGACAAGGGCCTGCAAGTAAGTCTGCCCTTAGGTGGTAACGCACAAAAGTTCTTACTTTTGGTGGCTTCCACCAAAGTCATGCTTTTTCTAGCTAATTGAATCATCAAATAGAAAAATACAGTACTTGCCATGTTGCCTCTGTTACAGGATCAACAGATTTGTATGCCTGCTGTGCAGTAACAGATGACTACAATGAGACAGTAGTGTTTGCAGCAGAGAAAGAGTATAATGACTGCAGGGCAGCCGAGTGAGGAGATGAGAGGAGATCCTCAAATCCATCTCCCCGAGGAGTGCTGGGTTGGGGTTTTTAAGCGGATTGTGGAGGGCAAAGGGGTGGAAAATTGGGTTCATAGATTGGTCAGGGTAAGGGGGATGAAGTCACCAGGATGTGGAAGCTGCATTCTTTGGTGAGTTGGCTTCTCGTGGAGTCCTTCAGACCAGCTGACCTCAGTAGTTTCACTAGTACTCAGGACCTGAAAGAATATATCAAATGGAAAACTTAACATTTCAGAATGTTCTAGTTGTTATCTATAGAGCAGTTAAAGTAAACGATAATCTTCTGACAGAGTCTACATGATTTCCGGGGCAATAGGCAGCTGAAAAATTATGAGGATGAGGGTCAGAGAGCCAGCTGACCTAATGATTAATTCCGAATGTGCTGTAAGCTTGGTTTATTTTTGTTTCTCTCCTCCCTTGTTCCCTATTAACTCCATAAAGTTTATAGGGACCATTTCACCTCCCTATGCATTGCTACCAACTTAAGCAGCTCTGCATTTTCATGAAATGAAGCAAAAAATTATGATTTCTGAGTGGCGAGCTGGCTTGGGACCATGTTTTTCTCATGTGTGCTGGTGAGGAAATCAATCTTCATCTATCAGTCATCCATTTGCCTCTCCTAGAAACAAACTGTGGGCCATCTTCCCTATTCTTGGAATTATCTGGTCTGTCCACTTGGCTTTCCAATAACAACTGCTTGCTTGGTCAGCTTCTGCTAGGTGGTCTGGGGGAACTGGGCCACTGTTGAACACTTGTCCTTGAGCACTTGTCTGAAGCCAACGTAGCTCTTTCCCATTTGCCAACTAACTTAATGAGGTTCCTCAGGATGGCTCCAGTGAGGTTTCAGAAAAGTGAGAAGGAATATTGAAACCAATTAAACTTCAGTCTTGGAAGAAGAAGCCTAACTGGTGGATCCAGTGTTACTGCCAGAGACAGCAGTAGCTCAGGACCTTGGCCCTGAAGGATCATAATGCGGCTGGTGGGGAAATGGGAGGCAGGTGGGGTCCTGGAGCTGTGCAAGTTGGAGGCAAGAGGACTGCTAGTCAGAAAAGTTTTGTAAATCACTTTCATCTTGCCCACACTGGTGTTTATAGAAAAGTTGACATCTAGGTAACTGAAGTTATTCTTTGTGGAATCTGTGCTGCCATGCTTCATCTTAGTTGAGATAAAATGAGTCAGGATTTTGTGATTCTTTAGAACCTACAGACATGCTAATCATTTTTACAGGATTGCCAAAATATGCCAGTTTTCTTGACTGATTGGTAAGTACTGTTCCTGAGATGCAGTATGATAGTTTTGCAATTTTATGTGGCAGTTTGATGATAAAATCTTGGCTGCTAGGTCACAAGACGGCTTACAATGTCTTGGAGGCATTCCTCCAGTGAACTGCATTGAAGCAGGGAATGCTTTGGAGTTCTATGAGGGGAAATCAATCTTTGAGAAGAGCAGGGAGGTGCTGTGCCTGGCTCTAAAGCAAATTTGGTAAGACATTAACAGTAGGGAAGAGAGGAAAGGCATTCTGGAAGTTTGTGTCAAATAACAGCCTAGGGATTGAGTTTGCTTGTAGTGGAAGATGAGTATCACACTTAAAATGCTGCTGGGAATATTTCAGTTGAGGTAACACACTTTGGTAATGGATTCCTTTAAGCAGCTGAATGCCTTGGAGGAAGTGAATAGTTATTCTCCTCCTCTCACGTCAAGGAGACCAGGTGGCTAAGTAGAAGAAGAAATAGTAACAAGTACCCCTAGATCCCTGACCTAGCTTCACTAGAGATTTCCTATTTTCATTGGTCCTTAACTATTTAATGATTCATTTATAACACGTCTTGTGTGTTGAATGGGGCATTAGGATCCTCTATTAACATTATTTACAGAAATGTGAAATCTGAGCAGAAAGAGTTTCGGTCAAATGCCTTGCTTACAGTGAATGCTACTGCTGGTGTTTCAGAAGGAGAAAGTGAAATAGTAACAAAACTCACGTAGCCCTATACAACCCTATGAGGTATCATTATTATCTTCACTATACAGACAAGGAAACCACTACTTAGGGAAATTAATAACTTGCCCAAATGTATACATCATCTAAGGGGTGGAGTCAGAACTGGAACCCAGGTCAGTCAGATTCCAGAGTCTGCATCCCTAACCACAACACTCTGCTGCATCTTTGCATGGGGAAGTGACTTTCCCCAAAGCAAATAGCACTTACCAGTTTTATCATATGAAATACAGTTTGCTTCTATGAACTTAGGAAAGAGCCCATTTTCAATCACTCATACCTTTCTGGCTAACTGAGACTATTCATGGATGTTTGTTCCATTCCTCGTTCACAAGGTGAAGGTTGCAGGGTTACCAACAGCAAAAGAGGGCAACCTTCAATTGCTAATGTTTTCAAGCCTCACAATTGCTATGGTCACATTGGCTGGAACAAGTAAAATGGCTGAGCCCAGACTTAAAGGGTAGAATAACAGTTTACCTTTTGGTGGTGGGGTGGCAGAGTTGCAAAGGGGTGGTATACATGTAGAGATCGGTGGACAAATTGAGGGCCAATCACTAAAACAATCTACCACACCTGCCTATTTCATGTCTCACTTAGAGCTTGTTCTTTTTTTTTTATACTTTAAGTTCTAGGGTACATGTGCACAACATGCAGGTTTGTTACATATGTATACATGTGTCATGTTGGCGTGCTGCACCCATTAACTTGTCATTTACATTAGGTATGTCTCCTAATGCTATCACTCCCCCCTCACCCCACAACAGGCCTTGGTGTGTGATGTTCCCCTTCCTGTGTCCAAGTGTTCTCATTGTTCAATTCCCACCTATGAGTGAGAACATGCAGTGTTTGGTTTTCTGTCCTTGCAATAGTTTGCTGAGAATGATGAATTCCAGCTTCATCCATGTCTCTGCAAAGGACATGAACTCATCCTTTTTTATGGCTGCATAGTATTCCTTGGTGTATATGTGCCACATTTTCTTAATCCAGTCTATCATTGATGGGCATTTGGTTTGGTTCCAAGTCTTTGCTATTGTGAATAGTGCCGCAATAAACATACGTGTTCATGTGTCTTCATAGCAGCATGATTTATAATCCTTTGGGTATATAACCAGTAATGGGAGAAAATTTATGCAAACTACTTGGTATTTCTAGCTCTAGATCCTTGAGGAATCGCCACACTGTCTTCCACAATGGTTGAACTAGTTTACAGTCCCACCAACAGTGTAAAAGTGTTCCTATTTCTCCACATCCTCTCCAGCACCTGTTGTTTCCTGACTTTTTAATGATCGCCATTCTAACTGGTGTGAGATGGTATCTCATTGTGGTTTTGATTTACATTTCTCTGATGGCCAGTGATGATGAGCATTTTTTCATGTGTCTTTTGGCTGCATAAATGTCTTCTTTTGAGAAGTGTCTGTTCATATCCTTTACCCACTTTTTGATGGGGTTTTTTTTTTCCTGTAAATTTGTTTAAGTTCTTTGTGGATTCTGGATATTAGTCCTTTGTCAGATGGGTAGATTGCAAAAATTTTCTCCCATTCTGTAAGTTGCCTGTTCACTCTGATGGTAGTTTCTTTTGCTGTGCAGAAGTTCTTTAGTTTAATTAGATCCCATTTGTCAAGTTTGGCTTTTGTTGCCATTGCTTTTGGTGTTTTAGACATGAAGTCCTTGCCCATGCCTATGTCCTGAATGGTATTGCCTAGGTTTTCTCCTAGGGTTTTTATGGTTTTAGGTCTAACATTTAAGTCTTTAATCCATCTTGAATTAATTTTTGTATGAGGTGTAAGGAAGGGATCCAGTTTCAGCTTTCTACATATGGCCAGCCAGTTTTTCCAGCATCATTTATTAAATAGGGAATCCTTTCCCCATTTCTTGTTTTTGTCAGGTTTGTCAAAGATCGGATGGTTGTAGATGTGTGGTATTATTTCTGAGGGCTCTGTTCTGTTCCATTGATCTATATCTCTGTTTTGGTACCAGTACCATGCTGTTTTGGTTACTGTAGCCTTGTAGTATAGTTTGAAGTCAGGTAGCGTGATGCCTCTAGCTTTGTTCTTTTGGCTTAGGATTGTGTTGGCAATGTGGGCTCTTTTTTGGTTCCATATGAACTTTAAAGTAGTTTTTTCCAATTCTGTGAAGAAAGTCATTGGTAGCTTGATGGGGATGGCATTGAATCTATAAATTACCTTGGGCAATATGGCCATTTTCAGGATATTGATTCTTCCTATCCGTGAGCATGGAATGTTCTTCCATTTGTTTGTGTCCTCTTTTATTTCCTTGAGCAGTGGTTTGTAGTTCTCCTTCAAGAGGTCCTTCACATACCTTGCAAGTTGGATTCCTAGGTATTTTATTCTCTTTGAAGCAATTGTGAATGGGAGTTCACTCACGATTTGGCTCTCTGTTTGTCTGTTATTGGTGTATAAGAATGCTTGTGATTTTTGCACATTGATTTTGTATCCTGAGACTTTGCTGAAGTTGCTTATCAGTTTAAGGAGATTTTGGGCTGAGATGATGGGGTTTTCTAAATATACAATCATGTCATCTGCAAACAGGGACAATTTGACTTCCTCTTTTCCTAATTGAATACCCTTTATTTCTTTCTCCTGCCTGATTGCCCTGGCCAGAACTTCCAATACTATATTGAGTAGGAGTGGTGAGAGAGGGCATCCCTGTCTTGTGCCAGTTTTCAAAGGGAATGCTTCCAGTTTTTGCCCAATCAGTATGATATTGGCTGTGGGTTTGTCATAGATAGCTCTTACTATTTTGAGATACGTCCCATCAATACCTAATTTCTTGAGAGTTTTTAGCAAGAAGGGTTGTTGAATTTTGTCAAAGGCCTTTTCTGCATCTATTGAGATAATCATGTGTTTTTTGTCATTGGTTCTGTTTATATGCTGGATTACATTTATTGATTTGCGTATGTTGAACCAGCCTTGCATCCCAGGGATGAAGCCCACTTGATCATGGTGGATAAGCTTTTTGATGTGCTGCTGGATTTGGTTTGCCAGTATTGTATTGAGGATTTTTGCATCGATGTTCATCAGGGATATTGGTCTAAAATTCTCTTTTTTTGTTGTGTTTCTGCCAGGCTTTGGTATCAGGATGATGCTGGCCTCATAAAATGAGTTAGGGAGGATTCCCTCTTTTTCTATTGATTGGAATAGTTTCAGAAGGAATGGTACCAGCTCCTCCTTGTACCTCTGGTAGAATTCAGCTGTGAATCCGTCTGGTCCTGGACTTTTCTTGGTTGGTAGGCTATTAATTATTGCCTCAATTTCAGAGCCTGTTATTGGTCTATTCAGGGATTCACCTTCTTCCTGGTTTAGTCTTGGGAGGGTGTATGTGTCCAGGAATTTATCCATTTCTTCTAGATTTTCTAGTTTATTTGCATAGAGGTGTTTATAGTATTCTCTGATGGTAGTTTGTATTTCTGTGGGATTGGTGGTGATAACCCCTTTATCATTTTTTATTGCATCTATTGATTCTTCTCTCTTTTCTTCTTTATTAGTCTTGCTAGCAGTCTATCAGTTTTGTTGATCTTTTCAAAACCCAGCTCCTGGATTCATTTACTTTTTGAAGGGCTTTTTGTGTCTCTATTTCCTTCAGTTCTGCTCTGATTTTAGTTATTTCTTGTCTTCTGCTAGCTTTTGAATGTGTTTGCTATGGCTTCTCTAGTTCTTTTAATTGTGATGTTAGGGTGTCAATTTTAGATCTTTCCTGCTTTCTCTTGTGGGCATTTAGTGCTATAAATTTGCCTCTACACACTGCTTTGAATGTGTCCCAGAGATTCTGATATGTTGTGTCTTTGTTTTCATTGGTTTCAAAGAACATCTTTATTTCTGCCTTCATTTCGTTATGTACCCAGTAGTCATTCAGGAGCAGGTTTTTCAGTTTCCATGTAGTTTTGTGGTTTTGAGTGAGTTTTTAAATCCTGAGTTCTAGTTTGATTGCACTGTGATCTGAGACACAGTTTATTATAATTTCTGCTCTTTTACATTTGCTGAGGAGTGTTTTACTTCCAACAATGTGGTCAGTTTTGGAATAGGTGTGGTGTAGTGCTGAGAAGAATGCATATTCTGGTGATTTGTGGTGGAGAGCTCGGTAGATGTCTATTAGGTCCGCTAGGTGCAGAGCTGAGTTCAATTCCTGGATATCCTTGTTAACTTTCTGTCTCGTTGATCTGTCTAATATTGACAGTGGGGTGTTAAAATCTCCCACTATTATTGTGTCAGAGTCTAAATCTCTTTGTAGGTCTCTAAGAACTTGCTTTATGAATCTAGGTGCTCCTGTATTGGGTGCATATATATTTAGGATAGTTAGCTCTTCTTGTTGAATTGATCCCTTTACCATTATGTAATGGCCTTCTTTGTCTCTTTTGATCTTTGTTGGTTTAAAGTCTGTTTTATCAGAGACTAGGATTGAAACCCCTGCTTTTTATTTGTTTTCCATTTGCTTGGTAGATCTTCCTCTATCCCTTTATTTTGAGCCTATCTGTGTCTCTGCATGTGAGATGGGTTTCCTGAATACAGCATACTGATGGGTCTTGACTGTTTATCCAATTTGCCAGTCTGTGTCTTTTAATTGGAGCATTTAGCCCATTTACATTTAAGGTTAATATTGTTATGTGTGAATTTGATCCTGTCATTATGATGTTAGCTGGTTATTTTGCTCGTTAGTTGATGCAGTTTCTTCCTAGCCTCGATGGTCTTTACAATTTGGCATGTTTTTGCAGTGGCTGGTACCAGTTGTTCCTTTCCATGTTAGTGCTTCCTTCAGGAGCTCTTGTAAGGCAGGCCTGGTGGTGACAAAATCTCTCAGCATTTGCTTGTCTGTAAAGGCTTTTATTTCTCCTTCACTTATGAAGCTTAGTTTGGCTGGATATGAAATTCTGTGCTGAAAATTCTTTTCTTTTAAGAATGTTGAATATTGGCCCCCACTCTCTTCTGGCTTGTAGAGTTTCTGCCGAGAGATCAGCTGTTAGTCTGATGGGCCTCCCTTTGTGGGTAACCCGACCTTTCTCTCTGGCTGTCCTTAACATTTTTTTCCTTCATTTCAACTTTGGTGAATCTGACAATTATGTGTCTTGGAGTTGCTCTTCTCAAGGAGTATCTTTGTGGTGTTCTCTGTATTTCCTGAATTTGAATGTTGGCCTGCCTTGCTAGATTGGGGAAGTTCTCCTGGGTAATATCTTGCAGAGTGTTTTCCAACTTGGTTCCACTCTCCCTGTCACTCTCAGGTACACCAATTAGACATAGATTTGGTCTTTTCACATAGTCCCATATTTCTTGGAGGCTTCGTTTGTTTCTTTTTACTCTTCTTTCTCTAAACTTCTCTTCTCGCTTCATTTCATTCATTTGATCTTCCATCACTGATAACCTTTCTTCCAGTTGATCGAATTGGCTACTGAAGCTTGTGCATGCGTCACGTAGTTCTCATGCCACGGTTTCCGCTCCATCAGTTCATTTAAGAACTTTTCTACACTGGTTATTCTAGTTAGCCATTCATCTAATCTTTTTTCAAGGTTTTTAGCTTCTTTGTGATGGGTTGGAACATTTTCCTTTAGCTTGGAGAAGTTTGATTGTCTGAAGCCTTCTTCTCTCCACTCATCAAAGTCGTCCTCCGTCCAGCTTTGTTCTGTTGCTGGCGAGGAGCTGCGTCCCTTTGGAGGAGAAGAGGCGCTCTGATTTTTAGAATTTTCAGCTTTTCTGCTCTGGTTTCTCCCCACGTTTTTGGTTTTATCTACCTTTGGTCTTTGATGATGGTGATGTACAGATGGGGTTTTGGTGTGGATGTCCTTTCTGTTTGTTAGTTTTCCTTCTAACAGTCAGGACCCTTAGCTGCAAGTCTGTTGGAGTTTGCTGGAGGTCCACTCCACACCCTGTTTGCCTGGGTATCACCAGTGGAGGCTGCAGAACAGCAAATATTGCAGAACAGCAAATGTTGCTGCCTGATCATTCCTCTGGAAGCTTTGTCTCAGAGGGGCACCTGGCCGTGTGAGGTGTCCGTCTGTCCCTCCTGGGAGGTGCCTCCCTTTTTGGCTACTCGGGGGTCAGGGATCCACTTGAGGAGGCAGTCTGTCCGTTCTCAGATCTCAAACTCTGTGCTGGGAGAATCACTACTCTCTTCAAAGCTGCCAGACAGGGACATTTAAGTCTGCAGAAGTTTCTGCTGCCTTTTGTTCAGCTATGCCCTGCCCCGAGAGGTGGAGTCTACAGAGGCAGGCAGGCCTCCTTGAGCTGCAGTAGGCTCCTCCCAGTTCGAGCTTCCCGGCTGCTGGCTGCTTTGTTTACCTATTCAAGCCTCAGCAATGGCGGGCACCCCTCCCCCAGCCTCGCTGCCACTTTGCAGTTTGATCTCAGACTGCTGTGCTAGCAATGAGTGAGGCTCCATGGGTGTGGGACCCTCTGAGCCAGGCACGGGATATAGTCTCCTGGTGTGCCGTTTGCTAAGACCATTGGAAAAGCGCAGTTATTAGTGTGGGAGTGACCTGATTTTCCAGGTGCAGTCTGTCACAGCTTCCCTTGGCTAGCAAAGGGAATTCCCTGACCCCTTGCAATTCTCAGGTGAGGCGATGCCTCGCCCTGCTTCAACTCTCGCTTGGTGGGCTGCACCCACTGTCCTGCACTCACTGTCCAACACTCCCCAGTGAGATGAACCCTGTACCTCAGATGGAAATGCAGAAATCACCCGTCTTCTGCATCGCTCATGCTGGGAGCTGTAGACTGGAGCTGTTCCTATTCGGCCATCTTAGAGCTTGTTCTTTAGCCATATAGAATTCTTTTTTATTCCCTGGAAACCTCAGGCTGTTTCTTGTTTCTGTGCCTTTGCTTGTGCCATTCCGTCTGCTTGAAATACACCCTTCATACCCACATCCCCTCACCCTCACCCCACCTTCATCCAATTGGTTAGTACCTATGCATTCCTTAAAGATCACCTCCTATTTCCTCAGCTTCCTTGATGCCCAGGGTAGACTTCCATCGTTACACTCTACTGTGTTCATCTGTTGATGAATCTGTCTCCACTTAGCAGATTTTAATCACCTTGAGGGCAAGCACTGTATCCTGCACTTGTCAGTGTACTTGCGACATAGCAGGAGTGTAATATATGTATGCCAAATGAAAGAATTAATCAAATGCTTCCAGATATTTTGCTAGCTGTGGCTGCCTTGCCTTTTTACCCTGCTAACTGATGTTTTCACTGAAGTTATAATCACTTGTCCAGTTTTCTCACTGTGTTACAAGGCTTTCAAAAAGTAGAGCGGATTTTCATTGAGACTTTGCAAGACCACCTTAACATATAGGAAAATACTGTGTTTTGTTATCAAAACCAGGACTGGAAAGCACCTGCTTAGATGGACATTAGCCAAAACTATTGCCTCCCGCTCTGCCTGCTGGGAAGAATGCTTCAGATCTCACATTTGTTGTGAAAATACAGTCTCATAGGTAAGAAGTGCTAAGTAAAGTAGCGGAGTGGAAGGTAAGAATGTTTCCTAGCAATTGAACATTTGTATCGTCTACAGTATTTGTGTTTCTGGATGGCAGGGGTCAGAGAGATATTTAATGTGCTGAAGAAATATGATGACAGCCATTTGTATCCAGAGATAAGAAAATGAAAGGTGGCTCATGATGTACAGGAGGTGCTGAGAGTGATTGAAAGTCTGTGAACTTGTATGTTTTCATGTCTGTCAGTGGGTATTTTTTCTCCTTCCTTCAAAGTGCCAGCCTTTTTATAAACAGTCTTTATTCTTCACCCCCTTTGAAAGAACAAACAAAGAAAAAAATCAACCTAGCATTTAATAGCCTTCGCTGAGAAAGAAGCAAGCGCATTCCAATGTGTCACATACCCACTTAGCCTAGCCTGGCAGAGGCTCTCACTTAGAAAAGGCTGCCATGATGTACCTGCAGAGCTTTGGCTGTGAAGGGATTTCAAAGGCTTTAGTGGTCCCAGCTTATTGTTTTTCACCAATGCCATCATCTCCAACAAAAGAAGCAGTGGCCCCATTGAGCCTTTCCTGCCTTGTTCTTTACTTCGGCAAGCTTCATCTTCTTTTGTTCCTGCTCAATCTTCACCTCTTTCAAAAGCATTCATATCTAACTCTCTCCGGGTTGGATGTTAGCACTGCCTTTTTCCTCCAATAGTAGGAGTGTATCCAAGGGAGAAGTTCAGTCCTTTGAAAGGAGCTGGATGTTGGCGGGAAGGTGGAGCTTGGGGATAAAGTTATAAAAGCAAATGCTGTATTTTCTTTTCAATAAATGCCCTTCAAATCTCACAGAAATCTTTGTCATAGGTTAAAATTGCTAAAGTCTCAGACTCTAATGCAGATCTTTATGGGGTTTTGTTCTTAAAAATTTGAGGACTTGATTTCAGTGGGCAATATTAGCTTGTATTGGATCTTTCATTTACTAAGTGGATTTTTGCAAAATGCAAGGTCTTTGCAAATCCATAAATACACAAAGGGTAGCTCCTTCTTTCTCAGCCCTGGTCCTCTAATTAGCTTCATAAGGTATGAACCTCCAAACACCTACCATTTACCTTAAGGGTTCTGAAAGTACTGCCTTGGGAAGCTATTTCCCCCCACCCCCACCCCAGTGTTTTCTTTTTTGTTTTTACCCAGGTTGGAGTGCAGTAGCATGATCATAGGTCACTGCAGCCTCAAACTCCTGGGCTCAAGCTATCTTCCCATTTCAGCCTATGGAGTAGCTGGGACTAAGGTATGTGCCACCATGCTCTGCACATTTTTTTTTTAGAGGTGGGGTCTCGCTATGTTGCCCAAGCTGATCTCGAACTCCTGGCTTAATGGGATCGTCCTGCCTCAGCCTCCCAAAGTGTTGGGATTAGAGGCGTGAGTCACTGCACCTGGCTGCCCTGGAAGGTATTAGCAAATCAATTCAACATAGTTTATCAGCACAAGTTGGGGAGATCAATAGGATGTTGAAGGGCATACAGGAGTATAAAGGGGTGCCTCATAGAGTTGGGGGAGGGTGTTTTTTACTTCCTCTAAAAGATTGGTGGATGAAGAGAATTGGGAAAGGGCAGATATTTGACAGAAGGTCATGAGCTCCTGAGGGGAAGGAAAAGAATTTTCGTGAGATTCCTCCAAAACACTGTTTTTGGTTTCTTATGCATAACTCTAGACTCTTTTTTTGCTTATACAAACAAATATGAATTAATGATTATCCACATCTCTTTTTACACAGACAGTAGTATGGTATACATAGTATTCTGCATTTTGCTTTTTTCACTTAACAAGATTCCTGAATAATATTTCAGTGTCAGCTGGGCATGGTGGCTCATGCCTGTAATCCCAGCACTTTGGGAGGCTGAGGCAGGAGGATCACTTGAGCCCAGGAGTTCAAAACCAGCCTGGGCAGAATAGCAAGATCCCATGTCTATAACTATAACTATAACTATAACTATATATATATTTCAGTGTCAATATATATAGAGAGACTTATCATTCCTTTTTACGGCAGTATATTATTCTATTTACTGCGTGTGCCTATTTTTCTAACTAAATCCCGATTGATGAAATTGCTTTTTTTCTCAGTCCTTTGCCTCCATGTGTTTGCAAGTATATCTGTAGGATAAATTCCTAAAAAAGAATAGCTGGATCAAAGGGTAAGTGCATTTGTAATAACTGTGTTCTATATGTTGCCAAATTGCCCTCCATAGAAGCATGTGGATTATTAATATGATCCCACCAGCAATGTATTAGAATGCCTTTATAGCTTCATTATGTAATGAGTTGTCAAAGTTGATTTTTGCCAGTCTGATAGATGAAAAAGTTGTTTGATTTTGCATTTATATTTAAGTTGTTTGAGTTTGCATTTATATCATTATCAGCGAGATTGCATGTATTTTCTTATGTATAAGAACCACTTGGATTTTCTTTTTGGTTAAGTGCCGTTTGACCATCTTTTCCTGTTGGGTTCTTGCCCTTTGGACATAGTGTAATGATCTTTAGGATATGAACTTACTGAGACACCTTCCTCCAGTGGTGTAAAAAATTGGGATGCAGAACTCCATTACCTTGAATGTAAAACACTGGGCATCGCACTGTCAGGAGTAGAGCTGGGTTGAGATGAGAGGAGCACAGGGAGAGGTTGGTCTCTGTGAACATAATCTCTAAAAGGGGTGCCTTTTCAACAAATATTGTAAAGGTTTTCTGCTGACTATGATGAAAAGACATCAGAGGAAGCAGTGTGAAAACTAGACACATGAGGAAGATAGCCAAGGATGACATGTGTCCACTCCCCCTACTGGCTAACAGCCCAGGCCAACATAGCTTCATTCTGTCTAGCTCGGTCCCTGCCCCAATTGGAAACTGGTTATGCTTCTTTCCACTGACTGCTGGCAAACAGTTCTGTGTGACTGGGATTTGTGAGTAGTGGCAGCTTCAGGTCAATGCAGGCAGAGCTCACTCTGTGAAGACTTCATTTTCCTTCCTTTTTTCATTTTTGATAGTATATTTTATTTAACCTAATATATCCAAAATATTAAAATTTCAACATGTAATCAATATAAAAATAGTGAGATATTTTACATTCTTAATTTTCATATTAAGTCTATAAAATCCAGTGTGAATTTTGCACTTACAGCATATTTCACATTACACCAGCCACATGTCAAATGCTTGATATCCACATGATCTAGTGGGTACAATATCGAATAGCAGGATAGCACACTTATAGGCAATGGTGAACTGTTTTTTTTTTTTTTTTGAGACAGAGTCTTGCTCTTTCCCTCAGGCCTGACTGCAGTGGTGCTATCTAGGCTCACTGCAAGCTCCGCCTCCCGAGTTCACACCATTCTCCTGCCTCAGTCTCCCGAGTAGCTGGGACTACAGGCACCCGCCACCGCACCCGGCTAATTTTTTGTATTTTTAGTAGAGACAGGGTTTCATCGTGTTAGCCGGGATGGTCTCGATCTCCTGACCTCATGATCCGCCTGCTTCGGCCTCCCAAAGTGCTGGGATTACAGGCATGAGCCACCGCACCCGGCCTGCAATGGAGAACTGTTGAAGCATTTTTTTTTCAATAACTATACTTTTTACATGTCTTACATTTAAATAATATTTGCTTTATGTAGAGTTCCCATGTGCTCTTTATCCAGTTTTCCCAAGGTGAATGTTTTCATTTTTTCTATTTTATAACTTTTTTCGTTCTACCTCTTAGAAGATTTCCGTCATGTTTCTCTTTAAAATTATGAAGATTTAAGAAAATTCAAAATCTACATTTTATTTCATATTTTTATTTTCTTAGAGCTTTTTCCTGTTTTCTGGATGTTCCTTTTTATAACCTACTGTTTTTGTTTCATGGATGTAATATCTCCTTTTATCTTTCTGGAGATATTAATTATAGCCTTTATCTACTACGCCCCACATTGTTTCTATTGCCTTAGTGGTTTTTTTTTTTTTTTTAAACTGTTTCCTGTCAGTGGTTTTCCTGAAATGTTTGGTGATTCCTGGTTGTCTTTTTATATTTAAGCATGCACCATTATTACATATTAAAGGACATAAATGGACATGCACATTGACTTGTCAACTAGTAAAAAAATCACATTGGGTGATTGTGTGGGGACACAACTTATTAATTTGGGTGGCGTATTAATATCTATAGATATTTTCTCATGGACCACTCTGTATCCCCATAGAGGTACCTTTCAATTTCCTGCCTGGGCAGTATAATCATGTCTGCAGGTATTGTCAAAGATACATGAGGGAAGGGAGCTGAGGGTTTCACCATTCACTATGTGGCCATTCATTTAATGCCTTTCATTTCCATCCTTCACTTGTATCTTCAACTGTTCTTAGTGTCTCCAGGTACAGATTATGTCTGGTTTAACCTTACTAGAAATTGATCCTGGAGTAGTAGTAAGTAGTTGTCTGTTATCAGCCCCATTTTGCATCCCTTCTTTTAGTTATATCTTGCACCTCTAATTCTTGTGCCTTCCCAGGACTTTTGAGGTCCAGATAAGCTTGTGCACTGATGAGTACTCTTAATGAAGGTTTATATTTCAACTTTCTTTAATCTGCTGTCAGTTACTGCCTAGTTTTTGGCTTTCCAGTTTTCTAAGATGTTTACTTCTTTTGTTTTCTGTTGCCTCTTCTCCCGTTCTCTTTGTACATATGGGTTTACGCATTTATTATTCACTTACTGTCATTGCAGTGGGGATTCAGGAGAAAATGGAGATAAATGTGTGTGTTTAATTACATGTATTTAGCCAGAAGTGTCAATATTTGATTATAAGAATTACCCTGATATAAAAATGGTTACTGCCTGATGTGCTCTGTAACCGCCAGAGGCTGAAAAATGTCTCCTGTATGAACTTTGTCATGTTTTGGTGCCCTGAATGCTTAAAATTTCAAAGCTGTCATGGACAACGCTAACCCAACTGCCTCAAAGTGAATAACTGAATAGTTTTCCTCTCTCAGAACCCTGGGATTTTTCTCTGAAGGCACAAAGGGACAGAATTATAGCATGTTGGAGGTGGAAGAGTACTTCCAGATCATTGATCACAGTGTTTCCCAAGTTGTGATCTATGGAACATTTGTTCCTCAAGGTTCTCTGAGAGAAAAGGTTTCTGTGGTCAAATAAATTCAGAAACTCTCTATAGTAGTGCCCCACTTTGAGATTTCACAGAACATACTTTTTTAGTCTCTGAGAAGTTTGCAGAAACTTTCATTACCAACATATGGCAGACTTTGCTGAGCTGGCACAAAAGGAAGGATTCTACAGAGGCCAAAAGTAGTTGAAAACAGGAGGAATCCTGAGAAGTAAACCAGCCTCCAAACTGGCATTTTCCCTGAGGACTTTTTCTCAACTCTGGAGAACTTGAGCTCCTCCTCCCCGTTAGTAACTGCTTAGGGGTCAGGAACAGAAGGTGCAGCCTAGAGCCTAGACAGACAGTTTTACAGGAAATCCCTGCATAAAGCTGGGATCCCAAAAGCCACACCTTAATGTGATGGTGAATGATAACTAGTCCTGTAAGTATTAAAGAAATAAAATCAGTAGTTCAAATCATCCTGTGATGAGAACAGCAGGCTCAGATTGTTCAAAGGAGAGTTCAGCCTAACACTTTAAGAAGACATAATTTCAATTTTATACAAATTATTTTAGAGAAAGTAAGATGGGGAATACACCGCAACTTTTTCTGTGGAGTCAATAAAACCTTGATAACAAAATCAGATAAAGATAATTTAAGGAAAGGAAAATTACAGGACTAAGTCACTTATGAACACGTTTAAAAATCTCAAACAAAATATTATAAAATAAAACCCAACAAAGTATAAAAAAGATAATTCTTCAGAACCAAGCAGAGGTTACCCTAGAAATGTAAGGTCGATTTAATATTAGAAAATCGGCCGGGCGCGGTGGCTCACGCCTGTGATCCCAGCACTTTGAGAGGCCGAGGCGGGTGGAATGCTTGAGGTCAGGAGTTTGAGATCAGCCTGGCCAACATGGTGAAACCCCATCTCTGCTAAAAATGCAAAAAGTAGCCGGGTGTGGTGGAGGGTGCCTGTAATCCCAGCTACTTGGGAGACTGAGGCAGGAGAATCACTTAAATTTGGGAAGCAGAGGTTGCAGTGAGCTGAGATTGTGCCTGGGCAACAGGGTAAGACTCTGTCTCAAAAAAAAAAAAAAAAAAAAAAAAGAAAAGAAAAGAAAAAGAAAATCAATTAATGTAATTCACTATATTAACAGAAAATAATGTATGATGATGTCAATTGATGTAAAAAAGCATCAGGCAAAATTCAAAGTCCATTTATTTTTTTGAAAAAAGCTTTTCAAACCAGAAATAAAAGGGAACTTCTGTGTAACTTGATGCAGGAAATCTGTAAAAATCCTACACTGAACGTCTTTTTTCTTTTTCTTTTTTTCTTTTGAGACAAGGCATTGCTCTTCATCCCAGGTTGGAGTGCAGTGGCATGATCATAGCTCACTGTTATCTTGAGCTCTCGGGCTTATGTAATTCTCCTACTTGAGCCTCTCAGGCAGCTAGAAGTAAAGGCACCTGCCATTATGCTGAGCTAATTAAAACAAATTATTTTTCTGTAGAGACAAGATTGTATCATGTTTCCCAGGCTGGTCTTGAACTCCTGGCCTCAAGCGGTCCTCCCCATTCTTGGCCAAAGTGCTGGGATTATAGGCTTGAGCCACCCCGTCTGCCCTCCACATAATTTCTGATGGGAGAATATTGAAAATATTCCTTTCAAGTTAAGAGACAAAGATGCTGACTCTCATTACTTACGTTTATTTAATATTATGCTTGAGGTTCTAGTCACTTTATGAAGACAAGAAAAATAAACAAAAGATACAATAATTGGAAAGGAGGAAATAAACTACCATTATTAGTAGATTATATGATTTTCTGCTTGGAAGATTTAAATATCTAAGGGTAATTATTATAACTAATTAGAATTTAGCAAGACTGACAGATTTAAAAAATCAATGTACATAAATCAATTGCATTTCTATTCACCAGGAACAATTATTCAAAATGTTAAAAAGTACAATAAAAAAGAAAACATTTGATAGCAATCACAAATATAAGGCAGCCAAGAATTAAAGTTCTTTATGGGGAGCATTGTAAAAACAGAGAGATATACCGTGGATAGGAAGTCTCACTACTAGAAATACCAGAATTACTAAATTCATCTACAGATTTAACACAATTCCATTCAAATTCTCAATAGAGTTTTCCATAGAATTTGATATGCTGCTTCTAAAATTTATATGGAAGAGCCAAGGGCTAATAATACACTCCCAAAGATAAAACCAGCACACACCCAAAGAAAAAGAACCAGGCTGGGTATGGGGATGGAGTAGGTGGGGGCTTGTCCTTCCAAGGCTTACTATAAAAATACAATAATTAAGAATGTATTGATAATGAGATGATTTTTTTTCTCTTTTTTCTTTTTTTTCCCTTGAGGCAGGGTCTCGTACTCTATTGCCCAGGCTGGAGTGCAGTGGCACAATCACGGCCTACTGCAGCCTTGACCTCCTGGGCTCAGATGATCCTCCCACCTCAGCCTCCCCATTAGCTGGGACTACAGACGTGGGCCACCAGGCCCAACTAATTTTTGTACTTTTTATAGAGACAGGGTTTCGCAGTGTTGCTCAGACTTGTCTCAAACTTCTGGGCTCAAGTGATCCACCTGCCTCAGCCTCCCACAGTGCTGGGCTTACAGCTGTGAGCCACTGGACCCAGCTGAGTCTAATTTCATTGAATGAAATATAGTTTATGTACAATAAAATACACCTAGTTTAAAATGTAGAGGTTAATGAATTTACATAAATATACAAACACTACCTCTCTGCAGCTAGTCACTTCTCCCAACCCATAGTCGCAGGCAACCACTGACGTCCTTTTTGTCACTATGGATTTGTTGGGAATCACCACTTTGGAAACTCAGTTAAAGTTGAACTTCTGCACACCCTGTGATCTAGCTATTTGACTTCTAGGAATGTGCTCTAGGGAAGTTCTTGCGCATGTGCCCAGGAAGCAAGCCTGTGAGTATCCACGAGCATCACCGCTGCGTGCCAACCCCAGCCCTGCTCTGCGGGACTCCTCCTGCTTTAGCTACACCACCGCTTCCTTTCACTTTTTCCTCCACTTTTTTCTTCTCTTGTTTTGTATTTTTTTCTAATTTCTTTTCTGTCTCTTTCCCTGTTTCTTCCTTGCTTCTGAGCTTTTGTATCTCCGATTTACTTTTTTTCAGGTCATTACTAAGCAATAAACCTTCTTTTGCATTGGCTATAACCTTAGTACTTGAGTTTTCTTGGCTATTTTTGTCATTACCCACTCTTCAGCAGCTGTTTTCTGGAAGAGATGTAGAAAAGAAAAGAAAACAAAACAAAACAGTCCTTCAGATTTTATGACTTTCTGGATGTTGGAGGTGTCAGAATACCGACCTCCAGGTAGAGGGGGGTAGAGAGATCACAACACCACATATGTCTGGCAGTCTGGCTTCTGGAAACCTGAGTCGCCGGCATAATAGTGACTGCAAGTGAGAAGGACCTCAGATCATCAGGGCTGTAATAGTCACAACACCACGCAATTTACACTACAGGAGAGGTGTGGACTTAGTTTTAAGTCAGATGTTATTGATTTAGGGTTGTATAAAATTTATAGTTACATCTTCCTCTATACGGGCTATTTTCTTTTTGTGTATACATACACATTTGTTTCTTGAACAACATGGGTTTGAACTGTGTGGGTCCACTTGTACTTTTTTCAGTAAAAATTACACCGAATGTGTTTGCCTCTCCTGCCTCCCCTTCAACCTCTTCCACCTCTGCCACACCTGAGACAGCAAGATCAAGCCCTCCTCTTCCTCCTCCACCTCAGCCTACTCAATGTGAAGACGATGAAGATGAGGACCTTTATGATGATCCACTTCCACTTAATGAATAGTAAATATATTTTTCTTCCTTATGATTTTCTTTATCATCTTTTCTTTTCTTTTGTGGGACACAGAGTCTTGCTCTGTTGCCCAGGCTGGAGTGCAGTGGCACGATCTCGGCTAACTGCAATCTCCTCCCAGGTTCAAGTGATTCTCCTGCCTCAGCCTCAGCCTCCTGAGCAGCTGGGATTATAGATACGCACCACCATACCCGGTGCATTTTTGTATTTTTAGTAGAGACGTGGTTTCTCCAAGTTGGCCAGGCTGGTTTTGAACCCCTGACCTCAGGTGATCCGCCTGCCTCGGCCTCCCAAAGTGCTGGGATTACAGGTGTGAGCCACCACGCCTGGCCTTCTTTATAACTTTTCTCCAGCTTACCTTATCCTCTTTTGCTCTTTCTTCTTACCTGCTCAACCCCCTGCAGTCTGAGCACTCTTGTCTGGAGAATTTGTCTTTTCTTGGCTTCCATGAGTTCGTTCTCTCTTGATTTTCCTCATCTCTCTCCAGCCACTCACTCATTTTCTCTGAGTCTCTCTCATAATGTTGATGTTTCTTTGAGTTCCCATATTTGAACCAGTTCTCTGGTCACTCTGCTTACTATCTGTGGGTGAGCCCATCTGCACTTATGACTCCTACTTCTAATCTCTTCAGTTCAGGCCTCTCACCTGAACTAAATTTCAATCATCTCCACATAGCCACCTGACATGCTGAAACCTGAACACCAGCTCTGTGGTATGAGGAAGAGCAGAAAGAGGATCTTTCATGCCTTTCCATGTCATATTTGACCTGATCAGTATCTACAGCGAGCTTTCTGTTTTCTGGTTAGATGAACCCCAAGGTTCAGTTGCTTTCAGAATTAACCGTAAATCCTGATTGTCTTAATTGAGACTTTAGCCAAATCTTTTAACCTCTCTAGGCCTCAATTTCCTCGTCCATAAAATGGAGATCATAATAGTAATACCTTTTATATTGGGTTGTGGTGAAAGTTACAAAATTAAAGAATTAAGTGCATGGACACTCCTTAGTACTGCTTCTAGCATTTTGTGAGCATCTAGTTAGTGGTAGTTGACATTATTTATTATTGTTATTGACATTTTTGTTCTTGAGTTGGTTGAGTTTGAATCCAAGTTGTACTACTAACTCTCTGTTTTAAGTCTTACCATTATCTTCTCTAAGCTGGGAATGAAAACATCACGCAAGTAATATATACATATATGTATATATATTGTGGTAAACATGAAATGCAATAATGCAGGAGTCTACAAACTTTTTCTATGAAGGGCTACATGGTCGATATTTTCACCTTTGCAGGCCAAATGTTCTCTCAAAACTATTTGACTTTGCTGCTGTAGCAAAGAAGCAGCAGTAGACAATACTTAAATGAGAAAATGTGGTTGTTTCCTAATAAAACTTTATTTATGGACACTGAAATTTGAATTTAATATAATTTTCATGTTTTATGAAAGACTCTTTTTTTGATTTTTTTTTCATCATTCGAAAATGTAAAAACTGTTTAGCTCTAAGACCATACAAAAACACACAGGGATGAATTTGGCCCAAGGGCCATAGTTTACAGATCCCTGAAATAATGCAAGCAAATTGGAGATTCTTGAAGAGGAGTGTATGTACTTGAATTTGCTTGGCTGGAGAATAGCTATTCTCTATTTTGGAAAATTAGTTAAAGGAAAGGAGACTGCTTGGCTTTCCCACATAGGAGAGCTAGCTCTGGTCCTTATCATTCCTGTTGTGTGGGAAGAACAGGGAGAGTCTGTAATCAGTCTTTGGCCTCTTTTAAAGTTCTACCTCTACAAAACGTGGTTCCCCCAAAATGTCTGTAAATCTTGTCAACCAGATTAGTCTTTCTCCTTGAGAAAGAGCAGAGAGTGGATCTTGCATAAAACCTGACCTAATTAGAAAATTAATTTCTTTTTATCCATTCATCTCACCACGCTCTGTCCCTTCCTTCCACAAGTATTTATTGGGTATCTACTTTTTCCCAGGCACTGTACTTCATACTGGAAATTCCCGGGGAATAACACAGACAAAATTGCAACCCTCAAAGAGCTTACATTTTAGCAGGGGTGACAAACATTAATAATTTGTGTAATTATTTGGAGGAAAATGTAATTGATGCAAATTGATTTAGACATTCCACCTTTCTTTGTGATTGCTTGCCTACTTGACATTTCCACTTGGATGTCTCACTAGCTTTTCAGACTTAGTATGCTCCAAACAGAATCATGATTGCCTCCATGCTATCTCCAAACCTTCTCTTTGCTCATGTCTTTGCCACTTTAGATAGTTTTTACCACCATCTCCTCAATTACTTAAGCAGAAATGGGGACTCATTCTTCACACTTCCCTCTCTCTTACCTCTCACATCTGGTCAATCTCTCTTTTGTCTCTAAAATACATTCAGAATTTGATTACCTGTCACAACTTCTAGCATTAACCCCCTCCTCCAAGTCACCATCATCTCTAGCCTGGACGACTGCAACAGCCTACGGTTTGGTAACCATGCTTTCATTTGAATCTTTCAGCTGTCTATACAGTGGAAATGAAATAAGATCATATCCCATTGCCCCCCAGCAAAAATCCTTCAGTAACTCCCCATTGCACTTAGAATACAATCCAAGCTCCTTATCATGGCATATCAGATCAGGTCCTGCACAATCTGGCCACTGCCTACCTCTCTTATCTCCTCTTGTGCTACTTCCCCACCCTGTAACCTCCATTAGTAACCCAGCTACAGTCACACTGGCCTCTTTCTGTTCCTTAGGCACATGAAGCTCCGTCCTGTAATGAAGCCTTTGCACTTTTATTCCTTCTGCCTGGTATGTTTTCTCCCAGGTTTCCTCATGGCTGGCTGATTCTCATTATTCAGGTCTCAAGATGAAAGGTTACCTCTTCTCTTAGGTCTTTCCTAACCATCCCATCTACAGTAGCTACACTTGCCCTCTTATACCTAATCACTATCATATCACTATTTATTTTCTTTGGAGTGGTTATTACTACCTAACATGTTTTTGTTTGCTCATTTATTGTTTCTCTCTTCCTATTAGAAAGTAACCTCCCTGAATGCTTTCTGTCTTTAAGAGTCTTATTTTAGACATGGTAAGGTTTAGGTGCCTATGAGAGACAAACAAGTAGTGATATCAAGTAGGCAGTTGAATATGTTTAAGTTAAAAATGCTTAGGCTAGTGGCTGATACACATAGTACATACCCCATAACCTGCTAGCTATCATCATCATCCTCATCATCATGCAAGTTATTAATTGAAAAAGTAGTTAATTATATTTAATCTTATATGATGACATCAATCAATCAACCTTATTGAACTAAATAGCTCCTTTCAACTTGTATTCTTTCTCTACTTTTTTTTTTTTTTTTTTTTTTGAGACAGAGTCTCTCTCTGTCACATAGGCTGGAGTGCTGTGGTGTGATCTCGGCTCACTGCAACCTCCACCTCCAAGGTTCAACAGGTTCAAGCAATTCTCCTGCCTCAGCCTCCTGAGTAGCTGGGATTACAGACGTGCATTACCACCCCTGGCTAACTTTTGTATTTTTAGTAGAGGCAAGGTTTTGCCCTGTTGCCCAGGCTGGTCTTGAACTCCTGGCCGCATGTGATCTGCCCACCATGGCCTCCTAAAGTTCTGGGATTACAGGCATGAGCCAGCATGCCCAGCCTCTTTTCAGCTTCTTGAGCAAGATTTCATATAGCCAAGAAGGAATTGAAATATTTAAAAGCCCTCCAGGTTCCAGAAATGTCTACCTTTTTGAGGGGAGGATGGGCCATTCTATAGTTGGCTTTGTTGTTCCTCAAGAAAGCTCAATGAAGATAAAATTTGGATGGCATTTAGCAACCTTTTTCTCACAACAATGTCGCTACCAGACAAGAGTGATGTGTTCTGAGTCTGTGCTTGTGTTATTCTTTGGCAGTGGCAGCTTGTAAAGGATGTTCCTTTCACAGATCTTGTTATCGCTTATAAAATTGCTGTCAGTTTCTTCCCTCTGCTTTAAATTAAATATTATCTCTTCTTAGTGTTGGTGACACCTGTATTTATACAAAGCACTAGGTAAAATATGAAATGTGTGAATGTATCAGCATGTTTTTAATGCTTTAAGGAAGCCTAATAAATCCCAGTAAACTTGCCCTTTCTCATGGCATTTATGCTTAATACAGTAATAAGTGGGAAGTCGCCTCTCTCCTCTATTACCTTTCTAGGAATGGTTGCTTCAGAATATCCTTGAAAACAAGAAGAAAATAGTAATAGTTCATCCACTCATATTGAAGCCTAATCACCCATGTTTACCACCTTTCCAGCAAAACAGAGGCATAAATGGATAGGTAGAACTCAGGGACCAGGGTCTGGATAGGCAAAAATTGTAAGTGGAAGGTGGTGACATCTAATAACTTGGAAAGCACACGAAGCTCTATTTTATTGCCGGATTCTAGTTTTTGACACAGATTTTGCTCTGTGAACTTCGAGTTTCTATTTAAATTTTGTCGACCTTAGTTTCATCATCCACAATGTGATAAACAATCCTTATTTCTTGGGTTTGTAAGGAGAAGTGGTATGATGAAATCTGGGAACTGTAGGAATATAGACAGTCTATGAGAAGCTTGTCCTACTGTTCTTGTCCACTCATCTCTATGACTTTTTTCATATATTCCTTGACTTCTGTACCTGCCTCACTTGTCTTCCTTCGATCTTATTCCATGTCATCTGGGTGGATGGCCAGTACAAACCTGACCCTCACCAACTACATGATTCCTCCCTACTCCTCTTCAGCCAATGACAATCAGATGTTGGACATTTCTGAACTTTGGGTTATTTCATCTCTGTAATCTCAAAATCAGAGCTATCCCTCTCTCCCTCTAACCTGTGGTTTTTTTTTTTTTAACTTTCCTACTCTCTCATTCACATTGAACCTGCTTTTTTCCCCATATCACAACTCTAGCTTTTCAACCCTTCCTAGTTCACAATGTTCTTCTGGCTGTCCTTAACTTCCCACCTACCAGGCATCCCATGGCCAACCGTGTCACTAATGTTTGCTCCAATATCCCTGAACCCTACACCCTTTGACTCTGCCCCATGTTTAACACAGTAATCTCTGTTACTGGCTTTCTCAGCATCTCTGTGATGATAATTGTGGAAGAAAAGCATGAACATTCCTTACCCACTCTCTACCATTAATACTCCCATCAGTGATTGTTCTGTTCATCTTTGATGACATCCCATCATGTTCACCATAATGCATGTTCCAGACATTTTCTGCGTACAGACTCTGATTCCTACTTCCTTACACTTTCAGCAGATGATTTTGCTTGGTATCTCATGAGAAGATGTAGGCTATCCTTCGTGGAATACCAGATATTCCCTCCTTTCCATCTGTTGTTATACTTTCTCCACCTACCCAGACTTTCTCTTTATCTTTAGTTTTCTGTCATTTTTCTTTCCTGGCCCAGGCAAAGAAGTGTTCCTTTTCTTTATAAATCTAATTTCTCCACCTAAGTTTTTAACGTTCCTTTTCCTTTCTAAGGTGGGGCTACACTCCATCAATTTTTGTTTTTCTGATATCTCTCTCTTCATTACTTTCTACTCACAAGTTTTCTAAGGTGAAACAAAAGTCTCTCAATTCAGAGCTACTATCTTATCTCTTTGCTTCCTTGTATTGCCAACTTCTGAAAATACCAATCTGCCCTCATTTGCTTACAACACACTCACTCTTTCACTCTTTTTTGTTTGTTTTGAGACAGAGTCCCGCTCTGTCACTCAGGCTGGAGTGCAGTGGCGTGATCTTAGTTCACTGCAATGTCCACCTCCTGTGTTCAAACAATTCTCGTACCTCAGCCTCCCGAGTAGCTGGAATTACAGGCACCCGCCACCATGCCTGGCTAATTTTTGTATTTTTAGTAGAGATGATATTTCACCATGTTGGCCAGTCTGGTCTCAAACTTCTGACCTCAAGTGATCCATCTGCATCGGCCTCCCAAACTGCTGGGATTACAGGTGTGACCCACTGCGCCTGGCCTCTTTCACTCTTTAATCTACCTTATTCACTTAATGCTTTGCACCAACCCAGAGAGGCCTTCTTTGAACATGCTATTCAGTGGGTTTCCTCCATTATTTTCTACCCCTGTGTAGTCAGGGCTCTCCAGAGAAACAGAATCATCAAAACATATATAAAATAAGGAATTGGCTCATGCAATATGGAGGCTGAGAAGCCCCATGATCTGCTGTCTGCAAGTTGGAGATCTAGGCAAGTTGGTGCTGTACTTCAGCCTGAGTGTGAGTCTGAAGGCTTGAGCACCAGGGAAGCTGATGTTATAAATTCCAGTCTGAGTACAAGAGAAGACTGGTGTCCCAGCTCAATATCCCAGTCAGGCTGAGAAGGGATAGATTCTCCTTTTCTCTCTGCCTTTTGTTCCTTGGTCATTGTTGTCGTCATCTTTGTTGTCATCATCTCCATTGTGGCTGCCTCCTCCTTCTCTTCCTCTGTCTCTCTGTTTCTGTGTCTGAGTCTGTCCCTCTCTCTTACTCTCCTCACTCCCTTGGAGGGATCATATGATATCATTATTTTGTGAAGTGCTGTGAAGTTCAAAAATATTTATCTATGACCCTGAGAATTTACCACAAATTTCAGTTTTTACTTTCTAAAACTTTAGTTCAACATTAACATATCTAAATCTAAACTTCATTCGTCCTGCTGAATCACATCCTTATCTGGAGTAACTTGAATCTATTGATGACACTGTATGCATTTCCTGAGGCTACTGTAACAAATTATCACAACTTCAATGGCTTACAACAACACAAATTTATTCTTTTACAGTCTGGAGGCTGGACATATTTTTCTGAAATCAGTTTCACTGTGCTAAATACAAGGTGTCAGCAGAGGCCGGAGAGAGTACAGGCTCTGGCAGGGGAAGCAGGTGCAGGATTTCTTTTCTTTCCTCTTCCAGCTTCTAGATCTGAACTCCTTACGTTCCTTAGCTCAGGGCCACTTTCTTCATCTTCCAAGCCAATAGTGTAGCATCTTCAAATACATTTCTGTGTGCATCACATTGTCTTCTTTGTATTCAAATCAAACTCTGCGAAAGCCCAGGATAATTTCCCAATATCAAGATAATCCGGGATAATTTCCCATTTCACGATCCTTAATTTAATCGTATCTTCAGAGTCCCTTTTGTCATACAAGGTAAAATGTACAGGTGCCAGAGATTAGGACCTGGATATCTTTGGGGGCCATTAATTAGTCTACCACAGCCACCATTTTTCTTTTAGTCATTTAGGCTGAAAAATTTGAAATAATCTCACCCCTCCCACTCTCTTGTGACCTAAGCAATGGGAATCTTCTTCCTTTCTCAATGGCTCTTATGCTTATCCCCTTCTGGTTCAGGCCCTTATTTGCATATTTCAGTGACTATTAGTAATTAAGAGTGCATGACTGAAGAACTACATTTAAAATTTTATTCAGTTTTAATTCATTTAAATTTAAATAGGTTTCAGGGGGAAAGTCAAGAGAGTGCTCCCTTTTGGCGTAGGGCATATGACTCCAGACCAACAGATGTTCTTAATTAGGTATGGTGGTGGGCTCAGTAAGGGAGGGCCTGGAGAGCCTTAGTCAGGAAGGTACACTTGAATGGGAAGTGAGAGGAATGGTGGGGCCAGGGACTGTGACATAGAACTGATAGCCAGGAGTTGACCCGAGGCTAGATGCAACATGAAAAATATTCCGTTGAGAGGCAAGTTGCATGAACAAAAGTTTGCAATCAAGTGTTACTTTTTGTGAGGAGTCAGAGGGCTGTGGTTACATCAGTTATGGACTATTTGAAGAACAGGATTAAAGTGGTATGTACCTATTTCATTTGTTCTGAGCATTCAGTGAGATCATACATGTAGAGTGGTTAGAACATAGTGCCTGGCACATAGTATGTGCGCAATAAATGGTAGATATTTCTATTAATAACTACTTTTACATAATATATTAATTAAGGGCATGGGTTTTGGAATCAGCAAATCTGTGTTCTAGTTCTACTTTTTTTTTCTTTTTTTTTTTTTGAGATGTAGTCTTACTCTGTCGCCGGGGCTGGAGTGCAGTGGCACTATCTTGGCTCACTGCAACCTCCACCTCCCGGGTTCAAGCGATTCTCCTGCCTCAGCCCCCGAGTAGCTGGGATTACAGGTGCCTGCTACCATGCCTGGCTAATTTTTGTAGTTTTAGTAGAGATGGGATTTCACCATGTTGGCCAGGCTGGTCTTGAACTCCTTACCTCGTAATCCACCCGCCTCAGGCTCCCAAAGAGCTGGGATTACAGGCGTGAGCCACTGTGCCTGGCCTAGTTCTACTATTCTTATGACCATGACAGTCACTTTAACTTGTAAACCTCTCAGTTTCCTCAGTTCTAAAACAGGAATCATAATCATACCTGTCCAGCAGGGTTTCTGAGGTTATAAGCATTTTAACCACAGAACACAGAATCTGGCACATAGTATGTACCCAGTCAAGCTATTATTATTGTATTTGTTATCTATTTTTGTTATCTACCAGCTCACTGTTTTAGGGTAGACAGAAGTTCTTTTGAGGCCTGGGCACTCTCTCCTTCATCCAGTTAACCTCTAGAAGGAAGACAAAATTTAATGATGCTTTTTTTTTTTCCAGTGGAAAGTCAACCATACTCTTTTTAGTTCACAAGGTACTGGAGAGGTTCCTTGGCCTTAAGAGCCAGAAGTCCAGACTCACCTGTGTTTTAAACTGAAATTTTTCAACCGCCAGATTAATTATTTTGGCATTTAAGAAGGGGCCCAGAAAATGGATCGACAATACTACGAAGGGTTGGGAATTACAGAGGCATTCAAGTGAACAACCAATCTGGCTTGAAGAGTTTCTCAGAGATTCTTGTCAAAAAATCTTTTATAGCCCTCCTGGTTTTAAGCTACATCTAGGATATCAGTAATAGGCACAGATTCAGTGGTGGAGGGAAGTAAAATCACTTTATCTCAGTGGTGATCAAAATAGCAGCAAAGAAGGAGGGAAGGAGCAAGAGAAGAGGAGAAGGACGACAAAGAGAGGAATGGAAAGATTAGGATGACTCTTGGGTTTCTAGATTTAGACTGGGGAAATTGTGGTACCACTAGCTGATGGAATACAGGAGGAGGGACAAGCTCAGAGGGAGTGGAAATGATAAATTTGATGTTGACAAATTTGTTGATGTTGAATTGGCAGTAATAAGTAGCAAAAATAACGAACATTTATTGCATGGTTACATGCCAGGCCCTGTGATGAGCATGTTATGTTCATCATCTCACTGAATCCCCACAGATAGGTACGATTATCATTCCCATCTTACAGCTGAGAAAATTGAGGCACTAAGACATACAATTGCTTATTCCTGGTGGTGAATGGAGAGCTAGAATTTAAACCAGAGTCCACACTATAAACCAGTAGGCTATACTACTCTTCAGTGTGGAACATCAAAAGTGAACATTTCTAGCAAGTAGTTACATGTATGAATCTGAAGTTAATAGGAAAGACCTGGGCCTGAGATCTAGATTTGGAAGTCCTACGCATATAGGTGTTAGTAGATGTCTTGGGAGTCAGTGCGATCTCCCAGAGAGAATAAAGCAAGAAGAGAGTCTTGGATGGAATCCGGAGGAACACCCGTATTTAAATATGGGTAGACTAAGGAAGCCAGGAAAGAAAACTGAAAAATAGCAGCCAGAGAAGTAGGAGGAAAACCAGGAGAATGTGGCATCACGGAGCCAAAGGAAGAAGAAACGTAAAGATGCAGTGAGTCGTTGAGCACCACGGGCTGCTGAGAGGTTAAGAACTGAGAAGGGCCAGGCGTGGCGGCTTACACCTGTAATCCAAGCAGTTTGGGAGGCCAAGGCAGGCAGATCACCTGGGGTCAGGAGTTCGAGACCAGCCTGGCCAACATGCCAAAACCCTGCCTTTACTAAAAATACAAAAATTAGCCGGGCATGGTGATGCACACCTGTAATCCCAGTTACTCGGGAGGCTGAGGCAGGAAAATCACTTGAACCTGGGAAGCAGAGGTTGCAGTGAGCAGAGATCACGCCACTGCACTCCAGCCTGGGCGACAGAGCAAGACAACATCTAAAAGAAAAAAAGAACTGAGAAGGGTCCATATATTTTTGAAACAAGGAAGACATTGGTGACTTCGGTGAGCACAATTTCAGTAGATAATCAGCAGAAGTAAAAGCCAGGTTATGAGTTGAAGACAGAATCAGTGGTGAGGAAGGAGAGATAGCAAGTGTAGTTTACTTGTTGTAGAAACTTGGTCATGTGTGGAGAGAAGAAAGATAACATCAAGAAGGGATAGAGTTTCAAAAAAGGTAGAAATTTTGTTTGTTTCAGATGAGCAAGATTTGCAGATTTTTATGTGCAGAGGGGAATGAGCCAATAGGACGTTAGAGATATGAGTGACGTAAAGGCTAGTTATTAGAGCAGCATTCCTAGGGAGATGCAGGATGAGATTTAGAGGCCAGGCAGAAGTTTGGCCTGACTTAGGTAGGCCTCTCTTTTCCTGTAAGAGGCAAAAAAGTAGGGATTGGTACAGACAGAGAAATGTATGTGGGGAGGGGCTCAGGAAGTTGGGGGAGTTTATTCCCAGTGGTTTTGATTTTTGTGCGGGGGGACAGGAAATAGTTCATCTACTGAGAGAAATGTGTTGGGTGAGGATTTGTGGTGCTTTGAGTTTCATGTTTTCAAACAGTTTTTGATCAATGTTTACCTAGCAGCCAAGCAGGGGACGTCAGTAAATATGTTGTACATGGTTAAGTGAGGAGCCCATCGCCCGTGTTGATTAAGAAACCTATCATTTCCTGGTCTGTGAAGAAGTCTATGGCTTGTAAACTTTGAAAATAGATTATTGGCATTACCTGTTTATCTTCTTCAACTAGGAGAGAATGCCTTTTACCATGTTGGACTTCAGGAACTACTTCTTTTTTTTTTTTTTTTTTGAGATGGGGATTTTACTCCATCATCCAGGCTGGAGTGCAGTGGCACAATAAGGACTCACTGCAGCCTTGAACTCTGGGCTAAAGCAATCCTCACACCTCAACTTCCCGAGTACCTGGGACTACAGGTGCACCACCATGCTTGGCTAAATTTTTAAAATATTTTTGGAGAGTTGACATCTGGCTATGTTGCCCAGGCTGGTCTTGAACTCCTGGCATCAAGTGATCCTCCCATCTTGGTTTTCCAAAATGCTGAGATTTTAGACTTGAACCACCATGCCCTGCCAAAGGAAACCTTTACTAGAAAATTTGTGGGAGGGGGCAAAGAACACATAGAAGTAAACAGCCATCAAGAATATGGGTTCATGATTTACACTACCTCTAACATGGCACAGAAAATCAACTTGGTTGACCCTAATGTCAATACCCTCACTGCTCTCCTTTTTCTCTCCTTGATCCATTTTTTTTTTTGAGATGGAATTTCACTCTTGTCACTCAGGCTGGAGTGCAGTGGCGTGATCTTAGTTCACTGCAACGTCCACCGCCTGTGTTCAAGCAATTCTCGTACCTCAGCCTCCCGAGTAGCTGGAATTACAGTTACCTGCCACCATGCCTGGCTAATTTTTGTATTTTTAGTAGAGACAGGGTTTCACCATCTTGGCCAGGCTGGTCTTGAACTCCTGACCTCATGATCCACCCGCCTCGGCCTCCCAAAGTGCTGAGATTACAGGCATGAGCCACTGCACCCGGCCTCCTTGAGCCATTTTTATAGACCATCCATGGCTCTCCCTCCATTGCAGTTGGGTCATATCAGATAGTCTCTTCTCTTGCACAGTGAGATATATAATCTCCACCATATCCCTTATTGACTTCATGTTCTTGATTCCTCCTCTGCAGAAGACCCAACTTCCTTCCATCTGTAGCCTACATATTGCTTATCCTGCAAGTCTGATCAACATTCATGTTCTCACAGAAGCCTTTCTGACTCAGGTTATCCTGTGATATTTGCTTAAAGCTATTCAGCACCTTAAAGCAGTGGTTCTCATCCTTTACTAATCATTATAACCACCCGGGTAACTTAAAAATTCTACTTCCTTCATGCCTATAATCCCAGCACTTTGGGAGGCCGAGGGAGGCCGATCACGAGGTCAGGAGATCGAGACCATCCTGGCTAACACGGTGAAACCCCGTCTCTACTAAAACTACAAAAAATTAGCCGGGCGTGGTGGCGGGCGCCTGTAGTCCCAGCTACTCAGGAGACTGAGGCAGGAGAATGGCATGAACCCGGGAGGCGGAGCTTGCAGTGAGCCGAGATCGCGCCACTGCACTCCAGCCTGGGCGACAGAGCGAGACTCCGTCTCAAAAAAAAAAAATACTACTTCCTGGACTCTATCATAGAGATTCTGATTAAGTCATTCTGTGGTGGCTCTTGGGCTTTGGGACAAGCTGATTCTAATGGTCAGCCAATGTTGAAGACTCCTGTCTTAAAGCCTCTCTGGGGAATAGAAAATCAAGCAAATTGGAAAAGAGCCTAAACAGCCAGAATTGTTTCTTTGTTCCTTAGTCTTGTGTTTGACTTTTGACAATCACCTTGACATTGATCTTTGATTTTTTTTTTTTGTTTTTGCCATCTTCTGCTGCTTTGCCTTTGCCCTGTCTGCCAGGCTATCCCTTACCTGCTTGGTTTGATCTGCCTTGACTCTCAGGTGCCTGTCACCATGTTTGTGGCCCTCTTTGAACCAGGCTCCTTTCTTGGCTATAGGTTTGTAGCCATAATCTTTGCAGATTTCAGACCTGCCAAATGGAATCTGATTCCACTTGCAGGCTTCTGGCCCTGCCATGTCAGAAGGATCCCATTCTCTGCCCTACTTCTTTCCATCAGCTCAAATCTTGAGACCTGACAAGTCCATGGTTTTGGATTACTTCAGCATGTACATTCTCTAAATCCTTGCATCTTATCGTTGTTCAGCTTGTGCATTAAAGAAAGTCTCCAATGTTTGGTTACAAATACATCTGATCATCTCATCTTTACTTTAAGCAAATTAAAGGCAGAGTGCATGCTTTTGCTGTTTGAATTCCCTTCTATTACCTAGAACAGGTTGACACCTAGTAGTTGCTCAGAAAAAGGACTGTGTTTAACTTACAGATTTGTAAACTTACAAAGTTGGAGAAAGTTTGCGTTTCAGAGATGATGCAGGTCCTGGCTTGCTGTCCCTCTATCAGGACATCTTCATTGTATTCATCTAAATCCAGTCCCTGTTTAATTATCTGAGCAGGACTGATTGCTATTTGATTTAATATTGCCTTGTCAAGTATTAACCAGATTGTTCCATCTGACCCGGGGCAGGAGAGAAGGTTGGTGACAGAAATAGAAGGGACCCATGGTCTTCTTCCTGGTAGCAGACTGTTCAAGAATGTAGCAAACCAATGGAGGAAACCCTCTCCTTTTTCTATGGCAAGTCTAAACCCTCTGCTGGTCCCCTGCTGCCCAGAAGCCCTCTGGCCTCCTACGTTGGTGGCTTCCTACAGTGGGAAGCTAACTTTTCCTTTTTCATTTTCCATTCCCTCCAGCAAACTTACAGCTTCTTTTTGTTTGTTTGTTTGTTTTTGAGATGGAGTCTCTCTGTTGCTTAGGCTGGAGTGCAGAGGCGCAATCTCTGCTCACTGCAACCTCTGCCTCCAGGGTTCAAACGATTCTCCTGCCTCAGCCTCCCAAGAAGCTGGGATTACAGGCAAGTGCCACCATGCCCGGCTAATTTTTTGTATTTTAGTGGAAATGGGGTTTCATCATGTTGCCCAGGGTGGTCTCGAACTCCTGAGCTCAGGTGATCCTCCTGCCTCAGCCTCCCAAAGTGCTGGGATTTCAGGCATGAGCTACTGCACCCGGCCTAACTTACAGCTTCTAGGCTGATGACATCTTAACATGCCATCCATCCCAGAGTGATAAGCATTTGAAAAGAAGCTGCTCAGAGACAGCAAAACAGTTGGAAATTCTGGCAATAAAGCTAGCTGATAGGAAGAATCTTTTTTTTCTCCTCTCTCCTTTCCCTAGGTTGGAGAAGTGGCTTTCCCAGTGCTCTCAAACCTGATTATATTTAGTGCTGCTTTGTAGGTCATCAAATAACAAACAAGAAAAGAAACAACAAAACATCTTTAGCCAAAGGCCATCTGGTTAGACCATGAACTGGTTTTCCAATGTAAGTCAAGCCTCTTAACTTTATAATGAGGAAACCAAGTCCCAGAGAAGAAACATGATATGCCAAGTATTCTCCAGAGGGAAGTCTAGAATCCAGGCCTTTGTTGTTCCAGCTAAATGAGAATTATTTGTGTTTGGCTGCTCTGATTCTCCACCAGTGTTTCTGCTAAAAGTTGACATGGTATATTTAGTATTTTTCACAAGTAGGAGAGATACAAGGGAGTTTGATTTTGCAGATGTTCCCGTTGAAATCTAGAACAAAGTGCCACAAGAACACATGCTAATGAATAGGAAAGTGTGGAGCAAGGAACTGAGTTAAATGGATTGTGCTTGGCAGCTAGATCAATGAAAGAGCCCACAGAAAGGAAAATGAAGGTACGAGAAGCCTGGATTGAGAAAAAGTTGCGGTTAGATTTATTTTTCAGAGTTTTCTATGGAATCATTGTTGGGCATAACTTAACAAGGGAGTTTTGAAGAAAGACTTTCTCTTCAATTGGGCCAGCACATCTTGGGTAAAGCTGCACAATCGATATGTGTGTGAGATGCCCATTTCCATCTCAAGCAGGTCAAATAACCAGAATCCCCATTTGATGGTTTTCTAAAGTCTCCTTATCATATTGTGTGTTCAAAGTGGACCAAGCCTTCTCATTCAATTTCAATTTCTTGCTGCAGAGTGGGTCAACAACTGGGGTACCATCACTTTTGAAGAGTGGAGGAAATTGGGAGAACTCTGATCCCTCGTCTGCCCTTCTGGTTTTCAGGAGAATTACGTAGAGGTGGGGAGACAGTGTAAGATCAACCTCAGGTATTTTTTTTTTTTAATGAAGTATTCAGTGATGAACCTGGGCAATGTGCATGACACAGACCTTAAAAGACTTTAAGGCCTGGCGCGGATCCTGCCCAGGAAATACTTAAGGCATTTGCTCTAATACTGGCTTCTTCCCTGCCTTTACCTCTCTTGCACATTGTTCTTTCACAGCATCCAGTCATAGATGTAAGACTGCAGACAACCTCTGACTGCCAGGCTGTCTGCATTGAACACATAGGAGCAATTCCCCATGTCCCCTGATCCCCGAATTTCCTAGTTGATAGGGTATGTCAGGGTATTGTTTCAAATCATTCAAATCTATTTCAAATCGTCACTGATTGTCCTGAGGCTGAGCTTCAAATCTTTTTTTCTTTCCAGAAGCAGAGAAAACAGCTCATGGGTTGCCCAGGTGCAGGGTGGAGTGGGGAAGAGAAGCAGGAGGGCCCTTCCTCAGCATTCACAATCCTCCCCATCCACACATTGTCCTGCAGTCTCTAGTATAGGAGTCCTTCGGGAGCGAACAAAAGGCTTTCTTGACTGGATAAAGTAGCACACCAACCCCCATGGCTCACCTGGCAAACAAAACAGAGTAAGGCTGGGTGAGGATGGGAAAAGACTTGGTGGAGCTGTGAGTAGAATCTGTCTTGCTGAACAGAGTCTTATTTGCAGTGTCACACTGGGCGTGGAAAGCTGTGAGTGCTGCCACAAGGGAAGAGCAGATGGGGGAGTGACATAGCTCTCAGCAACCAGGACTAGATATAGAAAAGTAGAGAAGAGGCTAGAGGTGGTTTTTTGAAGTCAGCATGAAACAGAATTTA
The DNA here is from genome assembly GCF_000001405.40 of Homo sapiens. NCBI lineage: Eukaryota > Metazoa > Chordata > Mammalia > Primates > Hominidae > Homo > Homo sapiens. The sequence goes on from NC_000023.11 coordinate 104,392,250, forward strand.
TTCAGAAGCAAACCCGAACTTCCTGAGATTTCTGAGCAGATGAAGCAGAAAAGGTGCTGAGCAGTTGCCCTAAACTGTCAATAACAGTGAATCAAACATTCATGAGTTTAAAATCAGAATACAGTCTATAGCCTTGAGGCTGAATCTGAACTAAGGCTAACAACCAGTTAAGAGAGTTGCCTGTTCTAGACTCTTCCTTAAGCTAGTAACACCTGAAGCTGGAAGTAGACACTTCGGTTAACGTACATTTTTTAGTGTTTATTTCTTTCTTCATGGCAACTTGGCTAACTGGGTTGATGTGGTGCCAGCTCAGCAGGGAATGAGCCTGGGCTTGTTGATTTACAGCAGGGCCCATTTACTCGTTTGGTTTCAATTTTAAAACCTTAGATAGAATTTAAAATCAGTGGCGTTAGAGTGGACCTAGTAATCTATTCAAAATTTAAAAAATGTTTTTGAGTAGCCTTCCTTAAATCAGAGGGAAGAGAGTGCTTTTCTGAAATTCAGAATGCTTGGCATTTTAAAATTCATAATAGCAATCATCTCGGTCCAGATTTATTACTAATATGTGAAAGAAGAAAGGAGTATTCAGTTAATGGATACTTGGAAGGGTCCTACAACTGCTTTAGATGTAAGGGCTCCAAGAAAGACACTAAGAATGATGTTTGGGAGGGAACTACAGGTATGCCCAAGGCACAAGCAGAGAAGGATAAAGCAATGGGATGAGAGAAACAGGATAGGGACACAGAGGAGGGACTCCAGAGAAAAGGTAGAGAGAAAGTGGTGCATATGGGTCAAGGACTACCTAAGGTGCTGATAACTTAGATTTCCTTTCCTTACTTTAGGCTCCAGGAGGCATCTGGGGCTTACTGCTGGGCTGCGACCTTGATGTTTTCAAAATGTTGATAGCATAAACCTGCAGTGTGACTATTTAAACTGTCTCTGACATCTGCCATTTTCATCACCACTCCAACTTGGTTTGTTCATTTATTGAACAGATATATGTGGAGTGCCTCACACATGTGCACATCAATGAAGAAAACAGACAAAAATCCCTCCTTTAGTGAACTTTACATTCTAGAAGGGGAGGAGGATAATACACATATAACAGGAGATAATTTCAGATTATGGTAAATGTTATGAATTAAACAGAAATGTATGTTAGAATGACACACAGTGCATGTGTATATGCTCATACTAATTTAGTCTGGATAGTAACAGAAAGCATCACCAAGGAGGTGACATTTGAGTAGAGACCTGAATGATAGGAAAGAGCCACCCAGTCAGACTTGGGGGAAGAACATGTGATATACCGGGAAGAACAAGTGCAAAGACCCCAGGGCAGGAATAAGCTCTATGTGCTTGAGGAGCAGCAGGAAGGCCAGTGTAGCTACAGATTTTTGAATGAGGGAGAGAGTGGTAGGAGATAAGGTTAGAGAGGTAGACAGTGGCCAGATAAGCTAGAACTCTGTAGGCTCTGGAAAGAATTTAGATTTTATTCTTAGAGCAATGGGAAGCCATTGGTGGGTTTTAAGCAGGGTTTTTACCTGATACGGTGTATTTTTGTTTGTTTGTTTAGAGATCACTCATTTACTTTGTGAAGATTGAATTGTAAGAGGGAAAGACCAGAGACAAGACTACCTATCTGTAAGCTATTTGAAAAGTCTAGGCTGGAGATAATGGTGACTTGGACTAAGGTGATGGTAGTTGGAGGATATAGGATATGTTGTGAATATACATTTGACAGAACATTCAGATGAATTACATACTAGATATGAGGGAAAGGGAAGAGTTGATGGTTAACCCATGCGACTTGGATAACTTGTGGTACATTTACTGAGCTAGGAAAATCATCCACCTCAGTCAGTGGGAGTTTGTTTTTGGGTGAATGAGGGGACTACAGTTTGGGACATGTTGAGATATATATTTAGAATCTCTGAGACAATGGCAGGCAACTGGGAATATAAATGTGGAACTACATAGGACATCAAGCCTGGGGATATAAATTTTTGAGTTGTCATTTAAAGCGATATGGTTGGAAAAGGTCACCAAGGGTTAATAAGTGAAGATAGAGAAAAGGAGACAGTCAATGGGACCAAGCCCTGGGTTAAACCTTCATTTAGAGGTTGAGCGAAGGAGAGTAGCAAACAAAGGAAACTGGTAGAACAGTCATTAAGGTAGGAGGAAAACTAGGAAGGTATCTTGGATACTAACAGAAAAGAATATTTGAAGAAAGAGGGATTGTATTTTCCAAAGATGACCATAATAATAACTCCTCTCCCACATGCTTTAGTTACACTGTGAGCATGTATATCCCTTCCTTTTGAGCTTGGGTGGACTTTTGTGAATTGCCCTGACCCATAGTGAGCGATACAAGTGACATTATGTGACTTCTGAGAGTAGGTCAGAAAATATAATTCTGATTCTGTTGGGCTCTCTTTCTCTCTCTTGAGACATGAGCCTTTGGAGCCCTGAGCTGCTATGTCAGAAGTCTAATGACATTGACACCACTGTGCTGTATAAACCACATGAAGAGACCACATAGAGATAGGGGAGAGAAGTCTAATGAGCCCAGATGTTCTAGTCCCCATCTATTTGAGCCTTTTCAGAGCAAGCACCAGACATATGAGTGAACAGTCCTTCAGACGATTCCAGCCCCAGGCATTATCTGACTGCAGCCCTGTGAGACATAGGAGCTACCTGAATTGTTTCCAAATACCTGACCCTCAGAAATTGGGAGAGATACTAAATGATTGTTAAGCCACTAAGATTGGGGTGCTTTTTTAAATGCAGAAATAGATAATCAGAACAGGGATGAAGAAAAAAATATCTATTGGATTTGGCAACATAGAGATGGTTGATGACTTTAGCAAGAGCATGTTCAATGGAGTACAGAGATGGAAGCCCAAATGGAGCGGATTGAGGAGAGAATAGTAAGGGATAAAATAAATGACAGTGGTTAAATGATTCTTTCAATATTTCAATTAGGGGGATTGAAGATATGGGAAAGTATTTAGAGGGATCAAGGGAAGATTTTTCCTTATTAAAATGGCAGCTACTTAAGCATGTTCATGTGATGATGGAGAAAACTCAGAAGAAATAATAAATTTATAATAGAAGAGAAAATGACTCAGTTCCTCATTACCTCTTACTTGGACTATTGTAATTGCTTCCTGAAGTGTTTTGTCTGTTTCTGATTTCTTCCTACTCTGTTTATGCTACATACTACTACTAAATTTTTCTAGATTCAAGTGCCCTTTTCATCATATCATACCCTGTTCAAATAAAACAAAACAATGTTGGCTACTTCTCCTTTGCCTTACTCATCAGACTACAGTTCCAGAACTGGAAGGAAACAAAGATCCTCTAATACCTTCTCCTTTTAGGTACAGAACGCAACAGAAAACAACAGCACATAACAGGTACTTTTAGGTACAGTACGGAAGTATTAATTCTAATGTTCAGTATCCACGTAGTTGCCAATATGAAAAATGGATATCATGCCTTATGTAAGTTACATCTAAACCTGTGCCTATATATTAAGAGTAATAGATACTGTTTGATGTTGGAAAATATTCCTAGCAGCCATGTGCAATTGTTAAATGCCATGCTAATTCATGAATACTTCTGGAACCATGAATTATAATACGAGGGAAGCATGAAAATGGATGATTGGCATTTCTGAGAAACAATACTTCCTTATGCAAGACTCTATTACATTCATATGGGCAATTAATTTGCCTTTTCTTTTGCCAATGCTTTTCTCCTTCCCAAATACTCTCCATGTGCTAAGACATTGTCAGCCTTCAAAGTTGGCAGAAGTACAACCTCCAAACCTGCATGGCATGCAGACCGCGTTGCCTTTTGTTTTGAGAACACAGGGCAGTAAATATAGAAATCATTGTCTGAACAGCATTAACCATGAGAGTGGGTGTTGAGGGATATGGATAAAGGTGTAACAGTGCTGAATCCTGGATCCGGAGTGACAGAGGCAGTTAAGTGTTTTTGGTAAGTGTAATGTGTTTGAGTGGGTGTGTTAGTGATATGCATAATTTTCTAAAGCTTGGGACCTAGGCCAGGGTTCCCTCTTGACCAGAACTAAGGGTGGAGCTGATCAGGACATTTATCATAGATAATATTTCCTTGCTTATTTTGTATGCCCCACTTGATCATGAGGTGCTCAAGGAGTTTTTTCATATTTTATTCCATGTCTCTATTTCATCCCTTCCGCCACAGCCTTAGTTGTGGCCACCATCATCCCTACTTTGATCACGGCCACAGTCCATCAACTGGTCCCCATGTTTGCTTTCTCCAAACCATATTCTATATCTGGCTTCCACAGGGACATTTCTAAGATATACAGCTTCTAAGAAGAAAATATTAGAGCTTCTATTTATGTTTGTTTTTATTCATTGTTTAGTTTTTTTATATTTGTGTGTGTTTCATGTGCATAGTGTCTTAGAATGGTAGCACTTGTGTATAACGTATACATTAATAGATGAATATGTAAATCAGAGGTGCATGCTGTCTCTTTGCTTTCAAGAGAATGAGATAGCAAAAGTGCAAGAGACATGTGTCTCTAGGATCAAGTTCAAGCACCTTAGTATGGCAGTGGAGGCCTTGCATGATCTGTTTCCACCTCCTTTCACATCAAAGGCAGGAGCAAACCCTGAGGAGCATACAGTGCAGGTGATGGAAATAATTATGATCCAGCAAGCAGAACACAGCACAACAGGGTTTGGCAGGTAATAATCCTGGCATGTCCTCTCTGTCAGGGGCTTCAATGCAAAGTAATACAGACTTCTAGAATCCAGTTGCAGATTCTAGAGGTTCAGGCAGGCTGGCAGTTGTCCAGTATCAAAGAAGGCTGTCAGGAGGTAGCAGGCCTCATGGTTAGACTGGACTGGGGCTCAGGGCCAGGACTATAGTTCCTGGGAAGGAGAGGACTGGCAAGAGCAACACAGTGCTCTAGTGCTTGAGGGATGGGAGAACTATGAAGGTATTAATTTAGAGGCAAATCTCTTTGGGGCAGGATGTTTCCCTACCACCGCACCAGAACCTTTCACAGGGACAGCTCCTAGATAGTCTTGTTATTTTGAATCCACTCACACATGCCCACACTATTCAGTTAGAGAGGGAGAGAGTACTCACAGCCCCACAGCTGCACTGGGCTTAGGCAAAGGGGAAAAGGCAGTAGCAAGAACTTAGGAAGGACTGTAGGGGGAACTGTGCCACAGGAGCAAGAGGACTGTGTTTTTCACAGAACTGGGACCTGAGGTAAGGGCTGACCCAGCAGAAAGTGTGGCTTGAGACAAAGTCCCACAGTGTTGGGAAGGTATGGCTGAAAACCTTCTGCCCTATGGTCAGGGTGAATCCTAGAGTGCGGGGCAGATCCGAGCCTGCAGCTGGGAGTGCATGACCCTCACAAAGTAACCCCAGTCATGGGGAAGGATGCAGCAGAGACTGAGTATGAGACAGGGCCTGACTCCACATTGCTCTCTGAGACCGGCATTCAAAGTCCTTCACAATTTGTCCCCACAATAATAATAACAACTGACATCTGGTGAGCACTTACTATGTGCCAGCCACTGCTCCCAGTTATGTGTATTAACTCAGTGAATACTGAAAACAACCGTATGATGATTCTATTCCTGTCCCCATTCTGAAGATGAGGAGACTGAGGCACATAGATTGATCATTTGACCAGGAATACATACCCAGGAAGAGGAGGAGCTAAGATTCACACAGAAGCAGCCTGTCACCAAAGCCCATCTCTTAACCTCTGCACAGTGGTGCTTCTCCATGTAGCATGCCAGTCTTTATTCTCAATCCCAAATTTTCATGTATGCAATGCCACTGCCAATTTGGATGTCTCGCTGTTTTATGAGTAGGTTTTGTGTGCCTTTCTTTCCGAAGGCCTTTCCAACATTCTTTGGCCTCTGATAATATGACTGGAATGCCCTTCTTGCTACTCTCAATTTATCCAAATTATACTTGCACTCCAGGTGCCAGCTCAGGTCTTCTTTTGCCTGACCCTTAATCACTAGCCTGGCTGAGCTAATGGCTGAGCTGTGGCTTTGCAGGCTTTGCAGCTGATTGGAGCTTAAAGGGCAGAGTCCTAGTCCCAACTCTGGCACCAGCAGCTGTGGGGCTGTGGAGTACTCTCTCCTTCTCTGACTGAATGGAGTGTGCGTGTGTGAGTGGATTCAAAATAACAAGACTACCTGGGAGCTGTCCCTGTGAAAGGTTCTGGTGCTGTGGTAGGGAAACAGCCTGCCCAAAGAGATTTGCCTCTAAATTAATACAGTCAGGGGAGAGGGGGCACTTCAGTGTGCTTCAAAATGATTAGATTTGGGTTTGGCTTCCCTTATTCTTTTTAGACAACAGCGTGTTTCTACTCTCTCAGGAGTGTTGACTCTGGGATGGCATCACTTGTGTTAGTTCCCAATAACCTTGACAGAGTTTGTAATTACAGAGTGGCAGCAGAGAGAATGCAGAGGCAAGTGCATGCTAGAGCAATTGCTAGACAAAGAGTACACAGGGCAAGTGACAAGCAGAGGGCAATGGGTAGGCTTGTGGGAAGGGGGCAGGAGGCAGGGAAGGAAGCATTCAAGAAAGGATATTGGCACAAGTTGTGCGACTCCTTTTGGAAAAGGATTGTGCCGTCATCAAAGCTTTAGGGGTTCCAGAAGTTTTGTATGAAAGGGAGTCAAAAGTCACCCTTTTATTCTTCTTATTGGTTCACGTGCTCATAGTCCCTAATTCTCTTTAGGGAGTTCATCTGGTAATGAGAGATTATTTGGCTCCATGGGAGCACGGTCAGCAGATGACAGGCTGTGTGATTTATGTGATTTGAGAGGCTCATGATCTCCCCTATGAGCCTGTGAACTGCTTGAGGGCAGTATGATCTCTTTACTAGTGTATTTGCTTCACACCTTGCCCAGGCCATAGTAAGTGATTATTAAATATCTACTGGGCTGGGCACGGTGGCTCACGCCTGTAACCCCAGCACTTTGGGAGGCTGAGGTGGGCGGATCAGGAGGTCAGAAGATCGAGAGCATCCTGGCCAACATGGTGAAACCCCGTGTCTACTAAAAATACAGAAATTAGCTGGGCATGGCGGTGCATGCCTGTAATTCCAGCTACTTGGGAGGCTGAGGCAGCATAATTGTTTGAACCCGGGATGCAGAGGTTGCAGTGAGCCGAGATCGCACCACTGCACTCCAGCCTGGCGACAAAGCTAGACTCTGTCTCAAAAAAAAAAAAAATCTGCTGAAAAAATGAGAGGGTATTGTATATGTCTGATCGTTTAAGAGACTGGTTTATAAGTGTTTTTTCTAAGCAAAGAGGGCCATGGAGCTGCTGCAGATTTTATTCTGTGGGTGGTGTAGAAGCTGGGAAGTCAGCATAAAGTAGTGGCACTAGGCCAAAAGAGTCACTGAGTTAAGTTCTATATCTATGACAGAAGTGTATTATAGGGGCTGGCGCAATGGCACATCCCTGTAATCCCAGCACTTTTGGGAGGCTGAGGCGGGTGGATCACTTCAGTCCAGCAGTTTGAGACCAGCCTGGGCAATATAGTGAAACATCATCTCTACAAAAAATACCAAATATTTTTTGGTGTTTTGTGATGGTGCATGCCTGTAGTCCCAGATACCCAGGGGGTGGGCGGGGTGGGGGTGGCAGAGGTGGGAGGATAGCTTGAGTCCGGGGGGCCAACACTGCAGTGCACCATAACTGCACCACTGTACACCAGCCTGGGAGACAGTGAGACCCTGACTCAAAAACAAAAAACAAAAATACAACCAAAAAAGAAATGTATTATATGCGTTAGTAGGTGTTTAGTGTAGTCCAATGCAGTCAGCAGAAAGCAAGTAAGTCCTGGCCCTGGTCGTGCTACTGGTATAGGTGGTGAGGTTTCCTAATGGCCCATTTATACTTCTGCCAAACAGCTCCCATTTTCTGTCACAGAATTAGGCACGTGTAGATGTTCAAGAACATGTTGTAGATTTTCAAGAAATATATGTTGAGTAATAGTAGATTGCTTACGTTGATATTTACTATGTGCCCTTTCAGGTGAAATAACTAAGACACAGGAAGTGTCTTAGCCATACCGCTAGTGAGTTGAAAGACCTGGATTGGAATCCCAGCAGTCTGGCTCTGGCACTGTCTTATACCACACTGCACCCTGAACTTTAGTTACTCCTTTGAATGGAAGGCATTGAAATTGTTGTGAATAATGCAAATATCTTGGAAGGGAACACATTTGTCCTCTGTTTTTAGCATATTCATCAGTCAATATATTTCTTGACTACAGTATGTGGCCTATACATACCTGAATATGAACTAACTTACACAGTTTAAGTTTCAACATATGCGTACCATCCACACAATCAAGATAATGATGAATATATTCATCATGCTTAAATGTTTCCTTGTGCCTCTTTATAAACTCCCCTTCTTAGACCTCTTTACCCTCCTGCCCCATTGCTAGGCAACTACTGATCTGCTTTCTGTCACTGTAGATTATTTTGCATTTCATAAATTTTTAAATACATGAAAGTATAAAGTATGTATTATCATTGTTATTTTTATTTAGCAGTACCTGTGACTTTGTCACCAATGAATATCACTTTTTTTTTTTAGATTATACTTTAAGTTCTGGGGTACATGTGGAGAATGTGCAGACTTGTTACAGGTATACACGTGCCATGGTGGTTTGCTGCACCCATCAACCCGTCATCTAGATTAGGTATTTCTCCTAATGCTATCCCTTCCCTAGCCCCCCACCCCCTGACAGGCCCCAGTGTGTGATGTTCCCCTCCCTGTGTCCATGTGTTCTCATTGTTCAACTCCCACTTATGAGTGAGAACATTTTGGTTTTCTGTTCTTGTGTTAGTTTGCTGAGAATGATGGTTTCCAGTGTCATCCACGTCCCTGCAAAGGACATGACCTCATCCTTTTTTACAGCTGCATAGTATTCCATGGTGCATATGTGCCACATTGACCTAGCAATCCCACTGTCACCCAGGCTGGAGTGCAGTGGTACGATCTAAGCTCACTGCAACCTCTGCCTCCCGGGTTCATGCAATTCTCCTGCCTCAGCCTCCCGAGTAGCTGAGATTACAGACATGCGCCACCATGCCCAGCTAATTTTTGTATTTTTAGTAGAGATGGGGTTTTGCCATGTTGGCCAGGCTGGTCTGGAACTCCTGATTTCAGGTGATCCACCTGCCTTGGCCTCCCAAAGCACTGGGATTACAGGTGTGAGCCACCACGCCCAGCCCAGTTTGATTATTTTTATATTCACCCATGTTGTTACATGTATAAATAGATAATTTCTTTTTATTGTTGAGTAGTATTTCATCATACAGTTATACTACAATTTGTTTATTCATCCATTCATTTGTTGATGGACATTTGGGTTGTTTCAGGTTTAAACCATTACAAATAAAGCTTCTGTGGACATCTGTCTACAAGTTTCTGTATCAACATATTTTTGTTTATCTTGTGTAAATAACTTTTTTTTTTGAGACAGGATCTCACTCTGTTGCTCAGGCTAAATTACAGTGGCATGATCACAGGACACTGCAGCCTCAACCTCCCCAGGCTCAGATGATCCTCCCACCTCAGCCTCCCAAGTAGCTGGGACCATAAGCGCACACCACCATGCCTGGCTAATTTTCGTATTTTTTGTAGAGACAGGATTTTGCCATGTTACTCAGGCTGATCTTGAACTCCTGAGCTCAAGTGGTCTGCCTACCTTGGTCTCGCAAAGTGCTGGGATTACAGGTGTGAGCCATCGTGCCTGGCCTATCTTGTGTAAATATTTTTTAGAAACTGCCAAACTGATGTCAAAAGTGGTTGTATCATTTTACATTCCCAATAGCAGTGTATGAGCGTTCCAGTTGCTCTATATACTTGCCAACAGTAGGTATTGTTATTTTTAAAAAAAGTTTAGAGATTTTAGTGTGTGAATAGTGGTATATCATTATTGTTTTAATTTGTTAATATATCTACCTAATGTTTAGCATCTTCTCATGTGTTTATTGGCCATGTGTATATCTACTGTGGTGTGAGGCGGTAGTTCAAAACTTTTGTTCATTTTTAAACATAGTTGTTTTTTATATTTTTTGAATTTTCATCATTCTTTTATTTTATTTACAAGTTCTTTATCAGATGTATCAATTTGCTATTGACACATGGACTTAACAGCTTTAAACAACACTCATTTATTTGTACAGAGTTCTGTAGGTCAGGAGTATGGGACAGCATGGCTCGGTTCTCTGCTCAGAGTCTCAGAATGCTGAAGTCAAAGTTGTGGTTAGGCTAAGTTCTTGTCTCAAGGCATTGGGCAAGAAACTGGTTCCAAGCTCATTATTGTTATTGGGGCAGAATTGAGTTCTTGTGGTTGTAGAACTGAGGTCCCCATTTCCTGGTTTGCTGTCAGCTAAGGGTCACTCTCAGGTCTTAGAAGTTGCTCACATTTCATTGCTATGCAGCCCACTCCATTTTCCAGTACCGTTTGTTAAAAAGACTATCCCTTTCCCCTTGAATTGCTTTTGAAGACTGTCAAAATTACATATATATGTGGGTACAGTTCTAAATTTTCTATTCTGTTTCATTGATTTATTTGTCTATACTTATGTTGATACCAATGTGTTTGGGTTACAGTAGCTTTATGAGTCTTGAAATTAAATAGTGGGAGCCCTCCAATATTATTTTTTTGAAGTTTCTTTAGACTATTCTAGGTGGTATGTATGTATGTCCATATGAATTTCAGACTCAGCTTGTTATGTCTAAAAAAACAGGCCTGCTGAGATTTTGATTGGGATAGTATTGAATAGATCAAATCAGGGAGAATGGACATCTTAACATTATTGAGTTTTCTGTTCCATGAACGTGGTATATTTCCCTCATTTGTTTAGGTCTTCGTGGTTTCTTTCATCTGTGTTTTGTATTTTTCACCATACAGATCCTGCACATATTTTGTCACCTATATCCATGATCATTTAATATTTTGATGCTATTATAAGTGGTATTGTTTTTAAATTTCATTTTCCAATTGTTGCCAGTATATAGACATATAATTGTTTTTTATATATTAATCTTGTATCCTTTAACTTTGCTAAATTCACTTATTCATTGTAGTTGTTTTTATTTAGATTCCACAGGATTTTCTGTACTGACAATCATCATTCTCAAATAAAGACAATTTTACTTACCTTTTCTTTCCAATTTGGATGTCTTTTATCTTTTTCTTGCCTTATTATACTGAGTAGGACCTGCAGTACACTGTTGAATAGAATGGAGATTTTTTGTTTTTTTTTTACTTTTAAGTTCAGAGGTACAAGTGCAGGTTTGTTACATAGGTTAACTTGTGTCATGGGGGTTTGTTGTACAGATTATTTCATCACCCAGGTATTAAGCCTAGTACCCATTAATTGTTTTTCCTGATCCTCGCTCTCCTGCCACCCTGCGCCCTCCAAAAGGCTTCAGTGTGTGTTATTCCCCTCTATGTGTCCTTGTGTCTCATCATTTAGCTCCCACTTATAAGTGAAAACATGCAGTATTTGGTTTTCTGTTCCTGTGTTAGTTTGCTAAGCATAGTGGCCTCCAACTCCATTCATATCCCTGCAAAGGACATGATCTCATTCTTTTTTATGGCTGCATAGTAAGAATGGAAATTCTTGCCTTGATTCTGACTTTAGGGTGAAAGCATTTAGTTTTTCACCATTAATTATAATGTTAAATTTAGACATTTCCATAGGTGTTTTTTAATGAGGTTAAGGAAATTTCTTTGTATTTATAGTATCATTATAATTTTTTAAAATTAGGATAGATGTTACATTTTATCAAATTCCTTTTCTTTTTTTAAATTTTATTATTATTATACTTTAAGTTTGGGGGTACATGTGCACAACGTGCAGGTTTGTTACATATGTATACATGTGCCATGTTGGTGTGCTGCACCCCTTAACTCGTCATTTAACATTAGGTATATCTCCTAATGCTATCCCTCCCCCCACCCCGACCCCATGATAGGCCCCGGTGTGTGATGTTCCCCTTCCTGTGCCCATGTGTTCTCATTGTTCAATTCCCACCTATGAGTGAGAACATGCAGTGTTTGGTTTTTTGTCCTTGCGATAGTTTGCTGAGAATGATGGAAGGGATCCAGTTTCAGCTTTCTACATATGGCTAGCCAGTTTTCCCAGCACCATTTATTAAATAGGGAATCCTTTCCCCATTTCTTGTTTTTGTCAGGTTTGTCAAAGATCAGATAGTTGTAGATATGCGGCATTATTTCTGAGGGCTCTGTTCTGTTCCATTGGTCTATGTATCTGTTTTGGTACCAGTACCATGCTGTTTTGGTTACTGTAGCCTTGTAGTATAGTTTGAAGTCAGGTGGCGTGATGCCTCCAGCTTTGTTCTTTTGGCTTAGGATTGACTTGGCAATGTGGGCTCTTTTTTGGTTCCATATGAAGTTTAAAGTAGTTTTTTCCAATTCTGTGAAGAAAGTCATTGGTAGCTTGATGGGGATGGCATTGAATCTATAAATTACCTTGGGCAGTATGGCCATTTTCACGATATTGATTCTTCCTATCCGTGAGCGTGGAATGTTCTTCCATTTGTTTGTATCCTCTTTTATTTCATTGAGGAGTGGTTTGTAATTCTCCTTGGAGAGGTCCTTCACATCCCTTATAAGTTGGATTCCTAGGTATTTTATTCTCTTTGAAGCAATTGTGAATGGGAGTTCACTCATGATTTGGCTCTCTGTTTGTTTATTATTGGTGTATAAGAATGCTTGTGATTTTTGCACATTGATTTTGTATCCTGAGACTTTGCTGAAGTTGCCTATCAGCTTAAGGAGATTTTTGGCTGAGATAATGGGGTTTTCTAGATATACAATCATGTCATCTGCAAACAGGGACAATTTGACTTCTTCTTTTCCTAATTGAATACCCTTTATTTCCTTCTTCTGCCTGATTGCCCTGGCCAGAACTTCCAACACTATGTTGAATAGGAGTGGTGAGAGGGGACATCCCTGTCTTGTGCCCGTTTTCAAAGGGAATGCTTCCAGTTTTTGCCCATTCAGTATGATATTGGCTGTGGGTTTGTCATAGATAGCTCTTATTATTTTGAGATATGTCCCATCAATAAACTCTGAATAAACTCTAATTTCTTGAGAGTTTTTAGCAAGAAGGTTGTTGAATTTTGTCAAAGGCCTTTTCTGCATCTATTGAGATAATCATGTGGTTCTTGTCGTTGGTTCTGTTTATATGGTGGATTATGTTTATTGATTTGCATATGTTGAACCAGCCTTGCATCCCAGGGATGAAGCCCACTTGATCATGGTGGATAAGCTTTTTGATGTGCTGCTGGATTCGGTTTGCCAGTATTGTATTGAGGATTTTTGCATCGATGTTCGTCAGGGATATTGGTGTAAAATTCTCTTTTTTTGTTGTGTCTCTGCCAGGCTGTGGTATCAGGATGATGCTGGCTTCATAAAATGAGTTAGGGAGGAGTCCCTCTTTTTCTGTTGATTGGAATAGTTTCAGAAGGAATGGTACCAGCTCCTCCTTGTACCTCTGGTAGAATTCAGCTGTGAATCCATCTGGTTCTGGACTTTTTTTGGTTGGTAAGCTATTAATTATTGCCTCAATTTCAGAGCCTGTTATTGGTCTATTCAGAGATTCAACTTCTTCCTGGTTTAGTCTTGGGAGGGTGTATGTGTCGAGGAATTTATCCATTTCTTCTAGATTTTCTAGTTTATTTGCATAGAGGTGTTTATAGTATTCTCTGATGGTAGTTTGCATTTCTGTGGGATCGGTGGCAATATCCCCTTTATCATTTTTTATTGTGTCTATTTGATTCTTCTCTCTTTTCTTCTTTATTAGTCTTGCTAGCGGTCTATCAATTTTGTTGATCTTTTCAAAAAATCAGCTCCTGGATTCATTGATTTTTTGAAGGGTTTTTTGTGTCTCTATTTCCTTCAGTTCTGCTCTGATCTTAGTTATTTCTTGCCTTCTGCTAGCTTTTGAATGTGTTTGCTCTTGCTTTTCTAGTTCTTTTAATTGTGATGTTAGGGTGTCAATTTTAGATCTTTCCTGCTTTCTCTTGTGGGCATTTAGTGCTATAAATTTGCCTCTACACACTGCTTTGAATGTGTCCCAGACATTCTGGTATGTTGTGTCTTTGTTCTTGTTGGTTTCAAAGAACATCTTTACTTCTGCCTTCATTTCGTTATGTACCCAGTAGTCATTCAGGAGCAGGTTGTTCAGTTTCCATGTAGTTGAGCGGTTTTGGGTGAGTTTCTTAATCCTGAGTTCTAGTTTGATTGCACTGTGTTATCTGAGAGACAGTTTGTTATAATTTCTGTTCATTTACATTTGCTGAGGAGTGGTTTACTTCCAACGATGTGGTCAGTTTTGGAATAGGTGTGGTGTGGTGCTGAAAAGAATGTATATTCTGTTGAATTGGGGTGGTGAGTTCTGTAGATGTCTATTAGGTCTGCTTGGTGCAGAGCTGAGTTCAATTCCTGGATATCCTTGTTAACTTTCTGTCTCTTTGATCTGTCTAATGTTGACAGTGGGGTGTTAAAATCTCCCATTATTATTGTCTGGGAGTCTAAGTCTCTTTGTAGGTCTCTAAGGACTTGCTTTATGAATCTGGGTGCTCCTGTGTTGGGTGCATGTATATTTAGGATAGTTAGCTCTTCTTGTTGAATTGATCCCTTTACCATTATGTAATGGCCTTCTTTGTCTCTTTTGATCTTTGTTGGTTTAAAGTCTGTTTTATCAGAGACTAGGATTGCAACCCCTGCCTTTTTTTGTTTTCCATTTGCTTGTTAGATCTTCCTCCATCCCTTTATTTTGAGCCTATGTGTGTCTCTGCACGTGAGATGGGTTTCCTGAATGCAGCACACTGATGGGTCTTGACTCTTTATCCAATTTGCCAGTCTGTGTCTTTCAATTGGAGCATTTAGCCCATTTACATTTAAGGTTAATATTGTTATGTGTGAATTTGATCCTGTCATTATGATGTTAGCTGGTTATTTTGCTCGTTAGTTGATGCAGTTTCTTCCTAGCATCAATGGTCTTTACAATTTGGTATGTTTTTGCAGTGGTTAGTACCGGTTTTTCCTTTCCATGTTTAGTGCTTCCTTCAGGAGCTCTTGTAAGGCAGGCCTGGTGGTGACAAAATCTCTCAACATTAGCTTGTCTGTAAAGGTTTTATTTCTCCTTCACTTATGAAGCTTAGTTTTTCTGGATATGAAATTTTGGGTTGAAAATTCTTTTCTTTAAGAATGTTGAATATTGGCCCCCACTCTCTTCTGGCTTGTAGAGTTTCTGCTGAGAGATCCGCTGTTAGTCTGATGGGCTTCCCTTTGTGGGTAACCCGACCTTTCTTTCTGGCTGCCCTTAACATTTTTTTCCTTCATTTCAACTTTGGTGAATCTGACAATTATGTGTCTTGGAGTTGCTCTTCTCGAGGAGTATCTTTGTGGCATTCTCTGTATTTCCTGAATTTGAATGTCTTGCTAGATTGGGGAAGTTCTCCTGGATTATATCCTGCAGAGTGTTTTCCAACTTGGTTCCATTCTCCCTGTGACTTTCAGGTACACCAGTCAGACATAGATTTGGTCTTTTCACATAGTCCCATATTTCTTGGAGGCTTTGTTCGTTTCTTTTTATTCTTTTTTCTCTAAACTTCTCTTCTCGCTTCATTTCATTCATTTGATCTTCCATCACTGATACCCTTTCTTCTAGTTGATCGAATCAGCTACTGAGGCTTGTGCATTCGTCATGTAGTTCTCATTCTGTGGTTTTCAGCTCCATCAGGTCCTTAAAGACTTCTCTGCATTGGTTATTCTAGTTAGCCATTCGTCTAATTTCTTTTCAAGGTTTTTAACTGCTTAGCTATGGGTTCGAACTTCCTCCTTTAGCTCGGAATAGTTTGGTTGTCTGTAGCCTTCTTCTCTCAACTCGTCAAAGTCATTCTCCATCCAGCTTTGTTCCGTTGCTGATGAGGAGTTGTGTTCCTTTGGAGGAGGAGAGGTGCTCTGATTTTTAGCGTTTCCAGTTTTTCTGCTCTGTTTTTTCCCCATCTTTGTGGTTTTATCTACCTTTGGTCTTTGATGATGGTGACGTACAGATGGGGTTTTGGTATGGATAACCTTTCTGTTTGTTAGTTTTCCTTCTAACAGTCAGGACCCCCAGCTGTAGGTCTGTTGGAGTTTGCTGGAGGTCCACTCCAGACCCTATTTGCCTGGGTATCAGCAGCAGAGGCTGCAGAACAGAGGATATTTGTTAACAGCAAATGTTGCTGCCTTATCGTTCCTCTGGAAGTTTTGTCTCAGAGGAGTACCCAGCCGTGTGAGGTGTCAGTCTGCCCCTACTCGGGGGTGCCTCCCAGTTAGGCTACTCTGGGGTCAGGGACTCACTTGAGGAGGCAGTCTGTCCGTTCTCAGATCTCCAGCTGCGTGCTGGGAGAACCACTACTCTCTTCAAAGCTGTCAGACCGGGACATTGAAGTCTGCAGAGGTTTCTGCTGCCTTTTGTTTGGCTATGCTTTGCCCCCAGAGTTGGAGTCTACAGATGCAGGCAGGCCTCCTTGAGCTGCAGTGGGCTCCACCCAGTTCGAGCTTCCCGGCTGCTTTGTTTACCTACTCAAGCCTTGGCAATGGCAGGCACCCCTCCCCCAGACTCGCTGCCACCTTGCAGTTTGATCTCAGACTGCTGTGCTAGCAATAAGCAAGGCTCTGTCGGTGTAGGACCGTCTGAGCCAGGCGCAGGATATAATCTCCTGGTGTGCCATTTTCTAAGACTGTTGGAAAAGTGCAGTATTAGGGTGGGAGTGACCCGATTTTCCAGGTGCCATCTGTCACCAGTTTCTTTGACTAGGAAAGGGAATTCCCTGACCCCTTGCACTTCCCGGGTGAGGCAATGCCTCGCCCTGCTTCAGCTCATGCTCAGTGTGCTGCACCCACTTTCCGACACTCCCCAGTGAGATGAAGCCGGTACCTCAGTTGGAATTGCAGAAATCACCCATCTTCTGTGTTGCTCATTCTGGGAGCTGTAGACTGGAGCTGTTCATATTTGGCCATCTTGGCTCCTCCCTGAAGTTCAAATATGAAATCAATCTTTCAATCCTTGGATTAACCCTGTTTGATTATCATGTATCAACCCTCTTTATATTGTTAATTCTATTTGGTAAAGTTTTGTATAGATGTTTACATCTATGTTCGTGAGAGATAGTGGTCTTTGATTTTTTTTTCTTATAATATTTTTGTCCGTTTTGCATATCAGAATAATGCTGGCCTCTCAGAAAAAGGTGGGAAATAGTCCTTTAATTTCCTGCAAGAGTTTGGGTAGAATTGATACTATTCGTTTCTTTAATGTTTGGTAGAACATTTTGTCTGACTTCTTGCACTGTGATTGTTTTGGTAGAATTCACAAGTGAAGTCATCTGGGAATGGAGTTCTCTTTGTGAGAAGATTTTTAATGACAAATTAAATTTTGTTAATAAACATAGAACTGTTTACATCAATACCAAGGCTAGGGTGAGACAAGGGGGCACTCACTGCCAGGGCCATGCAAATCCCAAAGAGGACTCAGCTCAAAGCTGTCAGGACATTGGTACTCTCAGCAAGTGGGAAATGAATTTCATAATCCTCACAAGTGGATCTGGGAGGCAACATAGCATCCACCACACTGTTCAATACACTCTAATTCATTTTATAACATTGATATGGAGAAGATCTGCTATTAAAATTCAAAACAGGCATTAGTTCAGTGGTTAGAATATTATGCTTTGTTGTTTACAGACATGATTAATTTCTTCTGTTTACTTTAAAAATGCCAGCATGTATTTTGCAGGAGTGATTTTAGGGTGAATCCAACTGTCAATTACAGTCAAGATTCTAGCCACCAGAATAGTCAAAGCTGGGATACAACAATCATCTCTTTCTAACTGATAATTACTGCAACCCAAATATTAGCAGAACTTAATTTACTATCAGAGCCTTGAGGTGATGGAATACAGGGCAGAACCATTTGCACTGGACTGGGACCAAGGTCCTGATATTTCCAGGGTGTATAGTTTTGGGTGGGGAGATGAGTCAAAAAGAGGGAATAGAGCTCTCTAGAAGTAATCAAAACTGGCTTTGTACCATTTTTTGGGACCCGTGCTGCTGTGAGCTCGTGGATGTAGTTTTTAGGCAATGGACTATTTTCCCTACAACTTGCAAAATTGATAGTGACTTTCATTTTCATCTCATAATCCAAAGAGGAGCAGAAAAAAACCTCTATTGCATATTACAGTGCTAAATTCGCAAGTGATAGAGAACATGTTGAGGAGACATCCTTTAGAAGCTTACATCTATTGATGCCTGTGAGTAACTGGGGCATTATATATATAAAGGCATTATTTTAATTTCAATAAAAACGAAAGCAAGTCAAAGTAGATTTGTTTAAGGGTAAATTCAGACATGATGTAGTATATAATGAAAAGTTTGAAGTTTTAAGTAATTCCAGTTCCTTCTTGATATGCCCTGAGCTAACAGGTCTTAAATGACAGCCCTAAAGTAATCCTTTCTCTCTTTGTTCTAATCTTACATGGATTCATGGCGCTATGGCTGGGGTGATGCAGTTTCTTCTTATATGAAGGCGCAGCCCTATGTCATGTGTTCTTTCTAGGCAGGAAGGATCTCTGGAGTCCTTGATACAGTGCTCAGCATTGAGTCAGCCTTGTCATCAACTTCCTGATGGATTCCTCCCATGGCTAAGTGCCTTGATATAGTTGTGCTCTTGTCTTGTGCTTGCTTGTCCCTTGGGCACTGGAGGCCTATGATTTGATTCCAAGCCTGGTGATAGGATTCTTGCTAGGGTCTGCTTCACTTCTATACACTGCCCTGCCTGCCACTCTGTCACACCTCAGTCATTGCTGGATTTCCCTGTTGGCAATTGCTTGTAGCCCAATTGTTCCTCTGCCAATGTTATGCTGATTCTTCCCCTGCTGTCACCTACAGCATGATATTGGCGCTAGTGACAGGCTCTGTAGATTTGAATGTGCCACTAACTTGTTGTTTGACCCTTGGCAAGTTAATAAACTTACTTTTTAAAACCAAATTTCTATGTCATATCTAAAATGGTACCTAGTAGGAGGGAGGTGGAGCAAAATGGCAAATAGAAGCCTCCACTGATTGTCCTCCATGCAGGAACACCAAATTTGACAACTATCTACATTAAAAAGCACCTTCATAAGAACTAAAATTCAGGTGACACAGTATCTGGTTTTAACTTCATATTGCTGAAAGAGGCACTGAAGATGGTCAGAAAGACAGTCTTGAATTGCCAACGCCACTCATTCTCTTTATTTCAGCAGTGACTTTGCAGTGAGGTGAATCTGTGCACTTGGGGGAGAGAGTGCAGTCATCATTGGACTTTGCATTGGAACTCAGTGCTGCCCTGTCACAGTGGAAAGCAACACCAAAGCAACACCAGGCAGAACTGATGCCTATAGAGGGAGCATTTAGACAAGCCCTAATCAGAGGAGAATCATTCATCCAAACCATGGGAACTCAAGTTCCCATAAGCCTCATCACCTTGGGCTAAAGTGCTTTGGAGTTCTAAATAAACTTGAAAGGCAATCTAGGCCACAAGTACTGCAACTCCTAGGTATGTCTTAGTGCTGTGCTGGGCTCAGAGCCAGTCAACTTCTGGGGGCACGTGACCTAGTGAGACACCAACTGGGGTGGCCAAAGGGAGTCCCTGTGCCACCCCTCCCCCAACCACAGGCAGTACAGCTCCTAGCTCCTGAAGAGACTCCTTCCCTTTGTTTGAGGAGAGGAAAGCAAAGAGTAAAGAGGGCTTCGTCTTGCAACTTGGATACCAGCTCAGCCACAGTAGGATAGAGCACTGAGCAGAGGTGAAAGGCCCGCATCCAGGCCCTAGCTCCTGGACTACATGTCCAGTCACACCCCAGGCCAGAAGTAATCCCACTATCTTGAATGGAAGGACCCAGTCCTGGTAGTATTCATCGTCTGCTGCATAAAGAGCCCTTTAGCCCTGAGTAATCAGCAGCATTTGCCAGGTAGTAGATGCTGTGAGCCTTTGGTGACACTCTGAGATATGACAGCTTCAGTTGTGGCCAAGCACATTTGCAGCTGTGGCAGCTATGAGGAGAGGCTTTTTCTGTTTGAGACAAGCAGAGGGAACAGTAAAGGAGACTTTGTCTTGCAGCTTAGGTATCAGCTCAGCCAAAGTGGCTCTCGGCGTTCCCTATTCCAGGCCTTGTCTCTTGGATGACATTTCTGGACCTGTCCTGGGACACAGGGGAGCCCACTTCCCTGAAGGGTGAGGCCCAGGCCTGGCAGCATTCACCACAATCTGACTGAAGAGCCCTTGGGCCTTAAATGAACATTGGTGATTCCTTGGCAGTACTCTTTGTGGACCTGTGGTGATGGTACACGTGGAGAGAGACTCTTCTGCTTGTGGGAAAGGGAGGGAAGAGTGGGAAGGACTCTGTCTTGTGGTTTGGGTGCCATCTCAGCTGCAGTATAATAAAGCACCAAGTAGATTTCTGAGGTTTCTGACTTTAGGCCTTGGCTCCAGGATGGCATCTCTGGACCCGATGGGGTCCAGGGGAATTTGCAGCCCTGAAGGGAAGGACACAAGCCAGGCTGCCTTCACCACCTGCTGATTTTAGACCCGTTAGGGCATCGAGTGAACATAGATGGCATCCTGGTGGTGGTTACAGCAGGCCTTGGGTGAAACCCAGTGCTGTGCTGCCTTCAGGTCTGATCCAGCACATTCCCAGTCAGTGATGGTGGCCACAGAGTTGTTTGTTTCGGAGAAAGTAAGGACAGAGAAGAAGAGTTGCTGCCTGGAAATCTAGAGAATTCCTCTGGATCTTATCCAAGATGACCAAGGTGGTAGGTACCTCTATGAGTATGCAAGAGCCACAGCATTACTGGGTGTGGAGTACCGCCTAATGCAGATATGGCTGCGTTTACCAAAAACATAGATCACAACACCCAAGTTTCTTTAAATATCTGGAAAGCCTTCCCAAGAAGGGTGCAAACAGGCCCAGACTGTGAAGGCTTTAATGAATACCCAGCTCTCAATGCCAGGACATTGACAGATTTCTACAAGCATCAAGATCATCCAGTAAAACATGACTTCACCAAACAAACTATATAAGTCACCAGGAATGAATCCCGGAGAGACAGATATGTGACCTTTTAAACAGAGAATTCAAAATAGTTGTTTTGAGGAAACTCAATGAAATTCAAGATAACACAGAGAAGAAATTTATAATTCTATCATAGAAACTTAACTAAGAGATTGAAAAACTAAAAATAATCAAGCAAAAAATCTGGAGTTGAAAAATTCAATTGACCTACTTAAGTGTGCATCAGAGTCTATTAATTGATCAAGTAGAAGAAAGAATTAGTGAACTTGAAGACAGGCTGTTAGAAAATACACAGTCAGAGGAGACAAAAGGAAAAAGAATAAAAACAATGAAGCATGCCTACAAGATCTAGAAAATAGTTTCAAAAGGGCAAATCTAAGTGTTATTGGCCTTTAAGAGGAAGTAGAGCAAGAGATAGAGGTAAGAAAATTTATTCAAAGGGATAATAACAGTTACTTCCCCAAACCTAGAAAAAGATATCAGTATCCAAGTCTAAGAAGGTCATAGAACACCAAGCAGATTTAACCCAAAGAAGACTACATCAAGGCATTAAGTAGTTGAACTCCCAAAGAACAAGGATAAAGAAAGGATCCTAAAAGCAGCAAGAGAAGAGAAACGAATAACATACAATGGAGCTCCAATATGTCTGGCAGACCTTTTCAGTGGAAGCCTTACAGGCCAAGAGACAGTGGCATGACATTTCTGAAGTGCTGAAGGAAAACAACTTTTAACTTAGAATAGTATATCTGGTGAAAATATCATTCAAACATGAAGGAAAAATAAAGACTTTCCCAGAAAAACAAAAGCTGCGGGATTTAATCACCCCAGACCTGTCATACAAGAAATGCTAAAGAGACTAGTTTAATCAGAAGAAAAGGACATTAATGAGCAATAAGACATCATCTGAAGGTACAAAACTCACTCATAATAGTAAGTACACAGGAAAACACAGCATATAATAACACTGTAACTATGCTTTGTAAACTAATCTTATCCTAACTAGAAAGACTAAATGATGAACCAATCAAAAATAATAACTACAACAGCATTCCAAGACGCAGTACATACAAAAAATGAACAGAAATGACAAAAAATTAAAAAGGAGGATGAAGTTAAAGTGTTAAAGTGAAGTTAAAGAGTTTTTATTAGTTCTCACATTGCTTGTTTGTTTATGCACTCAGTGTAAAGTTTTCATCAATTTAAAGGAATAGGTTAAAAGATAGTATTTGCAAACTTCCTGGTAACTTCAAATAAAAAAAAAATACAATGGATAAACAAAAAATAAAAAGCAAGAAGTTAAAACATACCACCAGAGAAAACCACCTTTACTAAAAGGAAGACAGGAAGGAAAGAAAGAGGGAAGAGAAGAGCACAAAACAACCAGAAAACAAATAACAAAATGGCAGGAGTAAGTCACCTTACTTATCAATAATATTGATGGTAAATGGACTAATCTCTCCAATCAAAAGACATAGAGTGGGTGAATGGATAAAAAAGATGAAAACCCATGATCGGTTGCCTATAAGAAACACACTTCACCTATAAAGACACACATAGACTGATAATAAAGGGATGGAAAAACATATTGCATGTCAATGGGAACCATAAAAAAGCAGCAGTAGAGGCCGGGCGCGGTGGCTCATGCCTGTAATCCCAGTACATTGGGAGGCTGAGGCGGGTGGATTAAGAGGTCGGGAGATCAAGACCAACCTGGCTAACATGGTGAAACCCCGTCTCTACTAAAAATACAAAAAATTAGCCAGATGTGGCGGCGGGTGCCTGTAGTCCCAGCTACTCGGGAGGCTGAGGCAGGAGAATGGCGTGAACCTGGGAGGCAGAGCTTTCAGTGAGCCGAGATTGCACCACTGCACTCCAGCCTGGGGGACAGAGTGAGACTCCGTCTCAAAAAAAAAAAAAAAAAAAAAAAAAAAACAGAAAAAAGCAGTAGCTGTACTTATATAAAACAAAATAGATTTGAAGACAAAAACTATAAAAAGAAACAAAGAAGTCATTATATAATGACAAAGAAGTCAATTCAGCAAGAGGATATAAGAATTGTAAATATATATGCATCCATTACTGGAGCACCCAGATATATAAAGCAAATATGATTCAAGCTAGAGAGAGATAGATTCCAAAACAATAATAGCTGAAGACCTACACATCACCCTTTCAGCACTGGACAGATCTGCCAGACAGAAAATCAGCAAAGAAACATCAGACTTAATCTGCACTATAGACCAAATGGACCTCATAGATATTTACAGAACATTTCATCCAACGGCTGCAGAATACACATTCTTCTCCTCAGCACGTTAGGCTACAAAACAAGTCTTTCTGAAAACATCAAAGAAATCACCTGATATTATAGCAAGTATCTTCTCTGATCACAATGGAATAAAACTAGAAATCAATAACGATGAATTTTGGAAACTGTAAGAACACATGGAAATTAAATAAGATATTCCTTAATGGCCAATAGGTCAATAAAGGGATTAAGAAGGAAATTGAAAAATTTCTTGAAACAAATGCTAATGGAAACACAATATACCAAAACTTACGGGATACAGCGAAAATAGTACTAAGAGGGAAGTTTAAAGCTATAAGTGCCTATATCGAAAAAGAAGAACTTCAAATAAACATCTTTGAGGTGTGTCTTAAAGAATTAGAAATGCAAGAGCAAACCCAAACCAAATTAGTAGAAGAAAAGAAATAAAAATCAATGCAGAGGCCGGGCACGGTGGCTCACGCCTGTAATCCCAGCATTTTGGGGGGCCGAGTCAGGCAGACCACAAGGTCAAGAGATCAAGACCATCCCGGCCAACATGGTGAAACCTCGTCTCTACTAAAAATACAAAAATTACCTGGGTGTGGTGGTGCTTGCCTGTAGTCCCAGTTACTCAGGAGGCTGAGGCAGGAGAATTGCTTGAACCCAGGAGGTGGAGGTTGCAGTGAGCCGAGATCATACTACTGCACTCCAGCCTGGTGACAGAGTGAGGCTTCATCTCAAAAAAAAAAAAAAAATCAATGCAGAAATAAATAATAATAAATATATAATAAATAATCAGAGAGAAATAAATGAAAGTGAAAATAGAAAAGATCAATGAATCAAAAAGTCGGGGTTTTGAAAAGCTAAACAAAATTGACTAACCTTTAGGCTAAGAAAAAGAGAAGACCCATATGAATAAAATCAGACATGAAAATGGAGACATTACACCAATATTGCAGACGTTCCGAGGATCATTAGAAGCAACTATGAGCAACTATATGTAATAAATTGGAAAACATAGAAGAAATGAATAAATTCCTAGACATATACTGTCTACCAAGATTGAACCATGAAAAAATCCAAAACATTAACAGACCAATGACAAGTAATCAGTCTCCTGGCTAAGAAGAGCCTGGGATCTGATGGCTTCACCATTGAATTCTACCAAACATTTAAAGAAGAACTACTATAAATCATGCTGCTATAAAGACACATGCACACGTATGTTTATTGCGGCATTATTCACAATAGCAAAGACTTGGAACCAACCCAAATGTCCAACAATGATAGACTGGATTAAGAAAATGTGGCACATATACACCATGGAATACTACGCAGCCATAAAAAAGGATGAGTTCATGTCCTTTGTAGGGACATGGATGAAATTGGAAATCATCATTCTCAGTAAACTATCGCAAGAACAAAAAAGCAAGCACCGCATATTCTCACTCATAGGTGGGAATTGAACAATGAGATCACATGGACACAGGAAGGGGAATATCACACTCTGGGGACTGTTGTGGGGTGGGGGGAGGGGGGAGGGATAGCATCGGGAGATATACCTAATGCTAGATGACGAATTAGTGGGTGCAGCGCACCAGCATGGCACATGTATACATATGTAACTAACCTGCACAATGTGCACATGTACCCTAAAACTTAAAGTATAATAAAAAAAATAAAAATAAAAAAATAAAAAATAAAAAATAAATAAATAAATAAATAAAAAATAAAGAAGAACTACTACCAATCCTACTCAAGCTAATCTGAAAAATGGAGGAGTACAGAATACTTCTAAACTTATCCTATGAGGCCAGTGTTATCCTGATACTAAGACCAGACAAAGACATATGAAGAGAAAAAAACTACAGGCTGATATCTTTGATCGACATTGATGTAAACATTCCAACAAAAATACTAGCAAGCGTAATTCAACAACACATTAGAAAGATCATTCATCACGACCAACTGGGATTTATCCCTACAATGCAAGAACGGTTTAACATGCAAATCAATCAATGTGATACATCATATCAACAGAATGAAGGATGCAAACCATATGATCATTTCAATTGATGCTGAAAAAGCACTTGATAAAATTCCACATCCCTTCATGATTAAAACCATCAAAAAATGGGATAGAAGGAACATACGTCAACATAATAAAAACTATATACAGCAGTCCCACAGCTAGTATCATACTGAATGGGGAAAAGCTGAAAGCCCTTCCTCTATGATCTGGAACATGATAAGGATGCCCACTGTCACTACGGATATTGAACATAGTACTGGAAGTCCTAGCTAGAGCAATCAGACAAGAGAATGATATAAAGGGCATCCAAATTGGAAAGAAAGAAGTCAAATTATCCTTATTTTCAGATGATGTGATCTTATATTTAGAAAAAACTAAAGGCTTGACCAAAAAACCATTCAAACTGAAACATATTCAATAAAGTTGTAGGATTCAAGATCAACATACAAAAATCAGTAGCATTTCCATATCCCAACAGCATACAATCTGAAAAAAAATCAAGATAGTAATCTTATTTACAATGGCCACACATAATAAATACCCAGAAATTAATGGTAACCAAAGAAGTGAACATTTCTATAATGAAAACTATTAAAACACTGATGAAAGAAATTGAAGAGGACACCAAAAAATGGAAAAATATTTCACGATCATGAATTGGAAGAATCAATATTATTAAAATGTTCGTAATACCCAAAGCAATCTATAGATTCAATGCAATCACCATGAAATATCAATAACATTCTTCACAGAAAGAGAAAGAAACAATCCTTTGTGGAATCACCAAAGACCCAGAATAGCCAAAGCTATCCTATGCAAAATGAACAAATCTGGAGGAATCACATTTCCTGACTTCAAATTATACTACAGAGTTATAGTAATCAAAACAGCATGGTACTGGTATCAAAACAGACCCACAGAGCAGTGGAAAAGAATAGAGAACCCAGAAACAAATCCACACACCTACAATGAGCTCATTTTTGACGAAGGTGTCAAGAACATACATTGGGGAAAGAACAGTCTCTTTAATAAATGTCTTGGAATACTGGATATCCATATTCAGACAAATGAAGCTACACCCCTATCTCTCTCCAGATTTAAAAGTCAAATAAAAATGGATTAAAATCTTTAAGACATCAAAATATGAAATTACTACAAGAAACTTTGGGGAAAATCTTCAGGACATTAGTCTGGGCAAAAATTTCCTGAGTAATACCCAACAAGTACAGGCAACCAAAGCCAAAAATGGACAAATGGGATAACATCAAGTTAAAATACTTTTGCACAGCAAAGGAAACAATCAACAAAGTGAAGGGACAACCCATAGAATGGTAGAAAGTATATGCAAACTAACCATTTGACAAAGGATTAATAACTAGAATATATAAGGAGCTCAAATAACTGTATAGGAAAATATCTAATAATATGATTAAAAAATGGGCAAAACATCTAAATAGACATTTATAAAAGCACACGTACAAATGGCAAACAGTTACATGAAAATGGGCTCAACATTAGAAGGCCCTTGCTATGGAGCCAACTGGCCCTGAAACCTGTTAAGAGTTCAGGTTTGTGGATTCTTTCTGGATTGCTCCACATAAAGGGATATGGCAGAGTGCCAGCCCACTGAACAGGTTTTCTGATATTTTGCCTAGAAGTCCTTCTTGCCCAGGCAGAGCTGTCCCATCACAGAGCCCCATACCAGTGGGATGAGTCAGGTTCTCCAAATACCTTCTGCTTCAGTCTCAAAGATATTGGCTAAAACTTCCACCATTAAGTCCTGCTTTGAGGTTTTTTGGAGATGTATTCAATTTATCTTGATTAAGCAAGTATGTTATTTGAGAGAGATAACAAATGAATGGGGATTATGTAATGATTAATTCATTAGCAGACACTGACTCACCCAACAGAAAATGGGGTCCTGGGAGACCTTCACTTACATTGGACCTGAGGTTGGTAAGGCTGGATGCAGTTGGTGGTACAGCATGGGGAGGGAGTGGTAGGGTGCATCAGGCAGGAATCATTTTGTAAATGTGGGCTTAGAAAATGGAAACTCATTTTAGAATCTGATGAGCAGAAGATAATTAGGGAAGTTAAATCTGCTGGAAAAAAAATGAAAAAAAAATACATGACACCTTTCAAAGCCAAATCGAAATAATTCTTGGATTATTCACAGTTTTAAATGAGCTGTACCATGGCTGGACCTTCTTTGGTACTGAGCCCAGAAAGTAGAGTCTGTCAGTGGGCAGAGCTGTCCAGGAAGCCTTTAAGGACTGCTAGAAGGACTTGGGATTCCCTGCCTCTATCTGTCTTTTATGCCATCAAACTCCATATGGCACACCCCTCCTATTTAGGTCTTATCTGTTCTTCAAGGTCCAGTTCAACAACTACCTCTTGTTTGAGACCATTTCCGTCTACTGCAGTATATAGTGCCTTTCCTCCTTCTGAACACCATAGTAGATGCAGACGGGTATTTGCTTATAGAGAATCTTTTCATGGATTCACATTCTGTCTCTCTGCCTGGAAGAGGAGCTCTTGGAGGACAGGGTCCATTGCTCATTCATGTTTGTAACCCCATATCACCTGCCACAGAGTCTGCTCTCAATAAATGGTTGAAATCTTGTCTGTGCAAACTTGCAATTTTACCTTTGCCAGTGAAAACACATCTAGGAATTTTTTTCTTTTAACATTTTCATTTATTATAAGTGAGCCACATGACATATAACTACATTGTCATTGTAAAATTTGAAATGATGAAGATAGTGTTAAATTCCCCTTGACTTTTATCATTCTTTTCATCCCAGTCTTCTTTCTAGAGATAATCACAGTTCATAATTTGGTAGGGAATCTTCCAGTCATTTATCTCTGCATTCAGTACATACATGCAATAGAGATTATAGAGTGTATGCGTTTTCCTACAAATGGATGTTTTATCTATTATTTCGCAGCTTGTTTTTAAAATTTAATGACTTATCTTCGGTGTCTTCCAAGGTTAGTAAATGAAGATTTACTTCATTCTTTTAATGAATGAGGCATGGTGCTTTACACAATAAATACATTGATCCCCTTTTCACCAATATTTAGCTTTTTTCTAACTTTTGTCTTTGTTAATACAAAAAAACAGTAATGAAAAATCCTTTTAAACAGCTCCTTAGCACACAATGTGTGTGTTCTTTAGAGCAAATATAAAAATTTGGAATTTCTGTGTCATAGGGTATGTGTTTTTAACAAAATTATAATGAAACCTTCCAGTGTGGATCCTATAGCTCTTTCTAACCTATGCGGAAGCAGCTGGCAGTGTTTGTCTCCCTGAGACACACTGCTTATAGCATCAATGGGATTACTTTAAAAAAATTCTTGTCAACGAGGAGACAGTAAAACATTTATACTAGTCATTTCCTGGGTTTTATTGCTGCTATTTGAATACTCCGAAACAGCAGGATTTTATTGCCATGGTACAGCCCTAGGTGGAATTCAGAGTGGTTTTGGAGGTTTTAAAGCCACACAGCAGCTACAGCAGTAGCAGGCAAGGTGGGGCTACTACCAAATAACTTTCTCGTGGGCTTTATTACCACAGGGGTCTGATTGCTCCACTCTGTTCTCCAGAATGTCAACTGGCAAACAGGTGTTAGTCTTGACAGGTGGTAAGTGAATGAGTTCAGAAGGTTTAGGGACACATTTTTCCATACTTGTGAAAAACAGCCAAAAGCCCACCCTTGTCATCTGGGAGGTGGTAAGCCATGTTGGAATACAGACTCTGACCCAGACCAGTGAACATTAACATTAGCAGTACTTCAAAAATAAATGCACTTCACTTAGCATAATGTCCTCCAGGTTGATCCCTGTTGTGGCTAGCGGCAGGATCTTTTTTAAGACATATATATATATATACACATACATACATACACACACATATATATATGAATTATATATAATATATAATTATTATAAGTGATTATAATGTAATATATAATTATAAATAATATATATAATTATATATAATTTCTTGATGGACATTTCATAATCCAGATACAGAAAGAAAAACTATTGTATGATCCTACTTATGCAGAATATTTTTAAAAGAGCTCAAATAGGCTGAGTGCAGTGGCTCATGCCTGTAATTCCAACACTCTGGGAGGCCAAGGCGGGAGGACCGCTTGAGCCCATGAGTTCAATACCGGTCTTGGCAACATAGCGATACCCTGTCTCTTCAGAAAATTAAAAAAATTAGCCAGACATGGTCATGCATGCCTGTGATCTGAGCTACTTGGGAGGCTGAGGCAGGAGAATCGCCTGAACCCATGGGTTCAAGTTTGCCGTGAGCTGTGGTTGCCCCACTGCACTCCAGCCTGAGTGACAAAGTGAGATCCTGTCTCTAAAATAAAAATAAATCTAGCTCAAGTGCACAGATAGAGAATTAAACAATGGTTACCGCAGGCAGGGCCCAGGGGAGATGGGGAAGGGAAACAGGAAACAGGGAGATGTAGCTCAAGGGATATGTAGGATGAACAAGTTTGGAGACCT
The DNA here is from genome assembly GCF_000001405.40 of Homo sapiens. Taxonomy (NCBI): domain Eukaryota; kingdom Metazoa; phylum Chordata; class Mammalia; order Primates; family Hominidae; genus Homo; species Homo sapiens. The sequence continues at coordinate 104,422,267 of NC_000023.11, forward strand.
CATGTACAACTCGAGTACTAAAATTCACAAAATTGTATTGTATTAGGGTTTTTTGTTAAATAAGTAAAATCTAAGTGTGTGAGATGATAGATATGTTGATCTGCTTCACTATAGTAACCAATTTACTATCTATATGTATTGTATAGCAGCTATGTTGAAAACCTCAAATATACACAAAATTTATTAAAAAAAATTAAAAAGCAGTTCCATCAAAATGATTATAAGATTAAATTTTGTGGCAATCTTGGAAATGTGACTATGCACCAGGTTTTATCAAGGAATTGTTAATTTTATTTGATGTGAAATATCATTATGAATGAGTAATAAAAATGTATTACAGTTAGAGATGCATACTGAAGTATGTAGGGGCTCAATGACATCCTTGAGATTTATTTTAAAATACTTTAGAAATAAAGAAACAGGGCCGGGCATGGTGGCTCCCACCTTTAATTCTAGCACTTTGGGAGACCTAGGCTGGAGGATCACTTGTGGCCATCCTCAGGGTTCAGGGTTACAGCTGTGATCACTCCATCCTGGGAGACAGATTGAGGATATGTCACATAAAAAAAAATAAATAAGGAAACAACATAACTAAAGCACGTGTTGCAACATTTTGTTCCTTGTTGCTCTCATTGATAGATCTTTATGAGGTCAGTTACAGTATTCTCTCCACACTTTTGTATGTTTGAAAATATTCATAATGCATTTTCACAAAGAAAGCATGATAAAGACCCACTTGGAGAAAAGGCACACCTAGAGCAACTTAACTAAAGAGGCTATGGATTCATCTTCTGATACAATTTGTAATGTACAGTCGATTATTCTATTTTCTGATGAGATTTATTTCAATCTGTCCAAAAGACTGGGGCTGGTCTGGATGACCTTCAAAGACCCACTTTGGCATTCTGTTCCATGTTAACCCAGGCCCATGTGCATCTATACGGAAACCCAAGGTAAGAAAATCTGAATTCTTCAAAGTTGTAAGACTCTAGGGCCTTTTTTTAAAAAATTAAAAATTCACTGTTTCTTTGAGAACTTATTTAAATATCCAGCTTCCTCTTTGTTTGTTGATTGGATTTTTAAAAAACATACAGTCAAATAATTATACTTACCAGAGTGTATATAACATGTGTGTACATTTTAAAGAATGAAAATGGAGGGAAATAAAATGAGCACTTCACTCCCAGCTTAGGAAAAGAGAACATTGCCACTATTTCTGAAGTCACCTGTCTGCTCTGAGTGTATCCCTCTTGTCACCTGGCAGTAACTGCTACTCTGAAATTCAGAAAAATCATTCCCTTGATTTTCTTTACTTTTATCACACATATGTAATACTCTCAAAATTCATATAAGTTAAATCATACTGTATATGTACTGTTCCTTTGCTCAATGTTATGTCGTTGAGAACCTTTCATGTTGATGCATGTGGCTGTAGTTCATTATAAGTACTGTGTGACACTCAATGGTATAACTATCATGGAATTTACTTATCTTTTTTGATTTGTTTAGTAACTTGGGCTATTGCCAGGTGTGGTTTTCATATTAAAAGTATTGATGTTATAGATATTATTTTGCATATTTTCCACTGCACATATATAAGAGTTCTTCTCTGTCTATAGCTAGGAAAGGAGTTGTTTGGTTGGTAATATATTCTGTATATATTCTACCGGTGTTCAGCTGGAATTTTTCCAGAGATGATTTGCATTTGTTTCTGCCAGTAGCCTGGAGGTTATTACCAACCTTGGACCACTTTTAGTTCAATTTTTTGTTTGAGGTTTTTTGGACAGGCAGCATGAATCCCAACCAGAAACCCACATGAGGGTCAGACTGCAGTTACAAATTCTCAGGGAAATGCTTCTTTTTTGGAACTACTTTTGCTTACAGTCCAGAGCCCTAAGGTAGTTGTTATTCTGTGTTTTGTCCTGAATTTATCATTATTATCTGTGAGAGAGTCAATTTGTTAGAAACTCACTTCTCCTTACCGGCCATAATATATTGTTGAGTGAAAAAATTAAGGTACAAAATAGCATAAATGAAGTGATTTTATAGGTTAGCGAAATCTGGAAGTGTATAAACAACTTTTTAGAGAAGTGACATTACAATGTACTTTTACTATTTACTTTCTATACATTTGTATTGTTTGAATGTTCATGAAGATCATGTATTACCTCTATAATCACAAAAACATTAAAGATATTTCTATTTTGCCAATAGAAAGTGTTGCTCCCAGAATAGGCTCTAATCTTTCATTAAAATTACAATGTACATTTAAGGAAGGATGCTGCCTCTCCTAGGGGTATATGAATCCTAAGGCATCTGTCTAAAAGTGACAGTTTTAATCCAGGGTGTTTAGATCTTTGTCATTTTGGGTCAATGCATGACTTTTCAGGAGTGGCACCTTCCCCAGCTCCAGAGTAACTCTTTTGGCATGGGTCTACATTGAGGTAGTTTATAGGTTAAACCTTTTGAACTAACTGTTCTCTTTCCTTGGGAGCTATCCCAGTGTTGCTTTGCTTCTGGTAGAACAGTAACCTGGAAGATGTTAGTGTTGGCAGTAGGATGAATCCTTTTCCATGTGCTCTTATAAGAATAATGTCCTTCAGGGCTTCTTATTGGACCTGGAGAAAAGTGTAAAGTGGGAAAAGTTGTCTTCCAGCCCCCTTTCCCAAACCCTGGATGAGAGCTGCTTCTGGAGCCCAGTTCCCTGATTTTTCCCACACTGTATTGACAAATTCTGGTCTGTCTTCTTGGCTTCTCCCTGCGTCCCACAACCTTCCAGACCCCTGTGTTTTTTCATACCCCCTCCAGGCCCCATGCTTCTGAGGTGACAGCAAGCCAAAGTGACACAGACCGCCATGCAAATGTAGTTGTGGGTGTCACTGGGTACCCAGGTGTTGCTACATGATTTCTCTCATTTTAACATATCTTCATTAAACATAGCCTTACCCCAAAGAAGTGATTTTAATAGTTGGGAATTCAAGCACAATGGCTGGCTGGTATGCTATGGGAATGTTCCGGGTAAACAGGCAGGAAGGCAACATAGTCCTAAAACAATGGTGAAGTTTCAGGGTATAGGGTGAGAGACGTGGAAGATGGAATGAGCTAAGCCTGGCAGTAAAAGTTTCTAGGAAGCCTGGGTGACTTCTAGTAACTCTCTGCTTGATCTTACTCATTGACCAGGACTTGTTTTTTATGTAAATCACATAGCTGTAGCCCTTTCCTCTCCACTGGCAAGAAGACAGCTCTAGAATTGATGAACCCTGTAGGCTAAAAATGATCATTCTCCTAGTCGTTCCTGCAGGAAAATAGCAGCTGGACTGATTGCTACACTGGGTTATTTGTCTGTATAGAGACTCGTATAGCAAAATCCTGGAGAGTAGGGTGTCATCAGACAGGATTTGCCTTCATCTGAGGCCAGATCTTTACTATAACTGGTTCAGAAAATGCCTGAACTGCTCTCCTGACTCCCCTTCAGGAGAACAGAAGATGTTCTGTTGTCTCCCAGTCACCATCACCAAACCCCCTTTGAGGCTTGCAGCTCCTGCTTCTCCTTTTGAATTCCTTCACTGTGTCCTTAGCGCATCCTTATCACTACATCCACCCCTTCTCCACAGTCCTCTGCATGCCAATGCATCTTTTCCTCATTCTGTATCTTTGTAAAGAGAAGGAATGCTCCACTTTTCACCTCTTGTACAAAACTAACCTCAGGCGCTCTTTGGAAAATTCCCCGATTTTATTCCTTCTGTTTTTCTGCATCCTCAACCTTTTTGCTTCCCTCATTTTATTTTCCTTGGCTTGAAAGAAGGCTTAGGGATGATTACCCTGTGTAAATAAAATAGATGCCTTTCCTGAAAACACTTTCCCCTGTTGGGGGAACAGGAAGAATGATTTTCCCCCTAAAGCTGCTCTTCTCTCTCTATCCTTTTCTTCCCTGACAAATTGCTTAAAAGACTGGCCTACATTTCCTGCCTCTGCTGCTTTTCCACCTACTCGACTCAACCCACTGCAGGGTGGCTTCCGCCTTCACCACTCCACTGGAACTGCTCTTTTAAAAGTCACCAATGGCCGCATGGATGTTCAAACTAGTGGCCTCTTTTTTAGCCTTTGGTTTAATTAAGGAAGGCTTCCTAGGTACACTGATGTTCTCACTCACTGGCCAAATACAAAAGGCCTAGTCTCTATTTCTGAGGAAGAAATGAGAACTTGTGATGACGAAGCTTATTCCTGGAATGGCACCATGGTATGGGGGTGGTGGGGGTAGGGAGGAGCTGTGGGCTTGCTTTCTTTTCTGTGTTTAAAAATAAACTAGGCATTCATTCTTTCATTGATTTATTTGACAAATACTTTTGTGTATCTGCCACGTGGCAGTATCGCTACCCCCAACTCTCTGGAATGTGGTGAGGCTCCTTTCTGTTCCTGTAAGGACTAAGAGACAGGTAGACCCACAGAATGTCTTTGTATTTAAGCTACCAGTGGCAGACCGTGTAGGCTAAGCAATCAGTTGCCATACCAGCTTGCCACTCATCCAGAGCAATGCTCACTTACCTGTGGATGAATTTTAAAAGCTTCACTCTAAGATACAAAATTATCCACATTGCATCATTTTTAAAAAATACCACTAGGATGAAGTGGGAGGAATGATCTGAGTGTAATTTATTTGAAAACTTGGTTCTGTCAGAGGGAATTTAAGTTAATGTTAATAACAGAGCCTCTTGAAAAGAGGTCAAGGGGGTAACGTCGCTTTAAAAAATTCTGTTTCATAATCCTGTTAGTTTAGAAGGAGGAGGAGTTCAGTTTGTCTGAAGGAGACAAGGGGGAGCCACGGCCTCAGGTCCTTGCTTTGAACTTTTGAGCTTCTTAGCAAAGGGAATCAATATTCAGAAAGATTTCACTACAAGTTGCAAGAACTTGGACTCTTCGTTCAACGTGATTATTTCCTACCCTCTAGCTGTCCATAAGAGAATCTCTTAAACACGCTGTTCAGGCCTGATCAAAACATTAGCCAAGCCTTATGATGTCTGGACATGCTAGGCAACACGGGAGTCATTAATCAGGGGGTTACTGACAGATGTTAAGTACAAGCATCTGTATGTTAAGATTTTTCTTTTACTGATTAACACATAACGGGGCCTGAGGCCTGGAAAAAGGGATAAAACATATTTGGAGATGTGCAGTGCAGGCAGAGTTGACCCAGATTCAGGAACCAGAAGATAAAATGCAAAGTGGGAATCTTGACATTAGTAAGTGAATTTGAACAGTATTAAACATCTTAATTCTCCTAATGATCCTGAATGTTTTAAGGATAATTAAGGTTAACTAAAATAAATAGGCCTGCTCGTTCAAGTGCACATGGTGAGCATATTCTTAGGAAATGAAATTATCCATTTTTGTTTCCCAGGTAAGAATTAATTTATAGAAAGAATCCACCAGCAGAAAATTTTTTTTAATACTCGGTTTAAGTAGGTACCAATTCCTTAGAAATTTTCTCAGTAACCAGGAAGAAAGTTCCTATATTATTATGCCAGTGTAATAGACCAGCATGTTAGTCACTTAAGTCTAGAGGAAATGAATTTATTACAGTGTAATCTGTGCTATTAAGTACTCGGGGATCACCATTAAGCTATAAATCAGTGTCACTGTTGATTCAGGGGAAAAAAAAACCAGTAACGAGTCTTCACAGGTTTTTCTCACAGACCCACAGGAATCTAGAAAAAATGAGAAAAACCTCAACCTTGGGGTTTAATGTACATGCAATATGACTGCTATATAAGGAAGAATAAAAGTCCCTTCAGGGTAGTATATTTTAACTCCAATTACATGCAGTAGTTCCCCTTAATCTGTGGAGGATGCATTCCAAGGCCACCAGTGAATGCCTGAAACCATGGCTATATATATATATATATATATATATATACTGTTTTTTTTTTCTGATACATACATCCCTATTGATAAAGTTTAGTTTATAAATTAGGTACAGTAAGAGATAACAACAATAGGTAATAATAAAATATCACATAAATCAATGATAACATTATGCCAGCATCACTGCTTTTTTGCTTTGGGGCCATTATTAGGTAAAATAAGTGCCACTTGAACACAAGCACTACAATATCTCTACAGTTGATCTGATCACTGAGATGACTACTAAGTGACTAATAAGTAGACAGCATGGATGTGCTGGACAGAGGGAGGATTCATGTACTGGATATGGTGGAGCAGGGCTGCCTGAGATTTCATAATGCTTCTCAGAAAAAGTGTCCAATTTAGGCCAGGTGCAGTGGCTCATGCTTGTAATCCCAGCACTTTGGGAGGCCGAGGCAGGAGGGTCACCTGAGTTCAGGAGTTCGAGACTAGCCTGGCCAACATGGCGAAACCCTGTCTCTACTAAAAATACAAAATTGGCTGGGTGTGGTGGCGTGCGCCTGTGATCCCAGCTACTCGGGAGTCTGAGGCAGGAGAATCACTTGAACCTGGGAGGCGGAGGTTGCAGTGAACCGAGATGGCACCATTGCACTCCAGCCTGGGCAAAAATAGCGAAACTCCATCTCAAGAAAAAAAAAAAAGTGTCCAACTTAAAACTTATGAATTGTTTGTTTTTGGAATTTTCTACTTAATATTTTTGGACCACAAGTTGACTGTAGGTAACTGACACCATGGCTAATGGGGGATGTCATATATATGGATTTGTAAGAAATCTATTGTGTAATTGTATTTGAGGACAAAATGTTTTATAATGTGCTTAAGAGGTTCGCAATGAAGAAATGACAAAACCCTTTACAGAACTCAAGCTCCAAAATAAAATAATGGTCAAAATACAGTTTTGTAGCAAAACTTTATCAAAAATGTGGAGTGGAGCAAGGTTATTATTTAGTACTTTACCTTGTATAATTGGGATAGAGAAAGAATCACAGGTACCAGTAGATGTGTGATTGCATGGACTTCACTGAATTGCTAAATTGGCTTCATGAAATGAAGGCACATGGTTCATAAAGAATAATGGTTAAGAAGTATTGAGAGCTTAGTGAGTTTAAGACACTCTTCTACATGTATCACCTCATTTAAGCCCCACAACAACTTTATGCTATGATTAAGTACTATTATCCCCATTTTACATTATTGTCCTCATTTTACATAAGAGGTAACTAAAGTTTATAAAAGACATCCAGGTTTACACACAATTAGCAAGGGGTGGAGCTAGGATCCAAACCCACGCAGTCTGATTTTGTGTTCATAACCACCACATAGGAATAGGGGCTGCTGCTCTTCCCACTCTACTGGAGGGAACGTTATAGATCAATTCAGACCAAGTCCATCCTACTCCTCCATATCTGTATCGTGGAGATGGAGAACCATAAAGTTCTACTTGGTATCACTTGTCACCGTTGTGATTTTACTGTGAGTGGTGAGATTTTTGGGGTTAATGTCTGTCTCTCACATAAGCGTGGAAATCAGTAGCCCAAGGACTGTGACTACTGCCGGGATAAGAACTCATGTTCAAATATAGGAAGAGTATCCTAAGTCTTTATTTATTGCCAAAATAAATATGCAAATAAATAAGTAAAGAAAAGAAACCAGCTCATATGTGCTTGGGTCCTGCCCTTTTGCATACCAAATTAGGGATTGATATGTCAGGGTACTTCTGGGGCTTTAGGGAGTAAGGAGATGGAGGTGGCTTGGTCTTCATGTCAGAAGGGTGTAGCAGGTATGGGGGTTCTGAGGACAGGGAAGTGCTTGCCAAATGTGTTTCTGTCCCTGGGCTGTGCTAATCCCTGTTGTCTGGAAGGACAGCCTGATTCCAAGTCTCAGTGGAAGCTGGCAGCCAAGCCCCAAGTTCAAATGGATTCTAAGATGTCCCTGCTCACTGCACAGGCTTCAAGGTTAATGGGCAGATGGGAGTAGGAAGAAGGGCAGGAGAAATGTGCTTGGAGGGAACAAGAACTGGGAGCAAAGAGCTTTTGATGCAGTCCAGCAGGGAGCACGTCCTCTGAGCTTCTTCCTTTTTCCCACACCATCCCTCAGAACCTCCGCCTCCCCCTTCCAGCTCTGACTAGCCCTTTTTCCTTTGTTAAAGGGGATCTTTTAGAACCAGTTCATAAGGAGGTGGAAATTCAGCTGCAATTGGAACAATTAGTCTTGGTTGACACCCCTGCTCATCTTTGGGCACTTAGAGAAAAGAGATAAAATGGTGAGCCCTGAGCTTTAAATCTTTTTATGCAATCAGGCTGCTTTAAAAAAAAGGAAGCCATTATTTTTAGGTTTGTCATGTTTGTCTCACCATGATAAAGTGAACCATCTAACTCAAACTGAGGCCAGAGAACGAGCCCAGTGCAGCTGTCAAAAAGGCTTGGGAAAAAGGAGAAAAAATAGTTTTCACGTGCTGTTCCTTCTGTCTGGAATGCTCTTTCCCCACCTCTTGAGATTGCAACTCAATTGTCACTTCTTAAGGGAAGGATTTCTAATTGTGTGCCCCCTCCTTCCTTCAAGGTCACAGTCTCCTATTACCTGTTTTCCAAGAATGATATAATTCTCCTTGGTATCATCTGTCACGGTTGTGATTTTACTCTTACTGGTGAAATTCTTTGGATTAGTGTCTGTCTCCCACATTTGATTTGAAGTTTCACAAAGGCAGGGACTTCCCTCCTCACCTACAGGATCCCTAGTGTTGATGTAATATCTGGCACACATAAGGTGAACAGTAATGATTTGCTGACTAGATGAATGACTCATTAAACAAGATCCAGCATATCAAAGTAGTTTATTTTGCACTATTTCCTCCTTCAACAGAGACAGTATAGTATATGAAGGTAGCTCTGGAGTGAGAATAGTTGGGTTCAAATCCCAGTTTTGGCATTTACTAGTTGTTTAACCTTGGCAAAATTACTTCAGGTCTCTGTCTCAGTTTCCTTATCTGTAAAATGGGGAGAAGACCTTTGTCATAGCACTGTTGTGAGGACTCCATGAATTAATACATGTGAAGCATGTGCTTGGCATACTTATTACATTCAATCAATGTGAGCTGTTATTTTATTAAAGCCCTTGCTTCAGACCACACTGAGCAATTGCCTGCAGCTGCTCGTTATACAAATTATGCCTTCTGACACCAGTGGCAGAGATATTGCACTGCGTTTTAATTCATACACCTAGGGTCCAATCCTGATCCCCTACATTCTCTGTTTCACTCCATTACTTGATTTGATGTCACTGAGGCTGGCAGTGAAGGGATCCTTTGCTTTTCAAGGAGAAGTAAACAAGAGAGTGAAGCATAAATCCATTAGCTTCCTAGGCTACCTCGGTTGCAAAGCGGTAAAATGAAATAAGTGTCTTCTGTGTTGCACTTTGAAGTAACAGGAAAATAAGTGACCTGTCAACCACTAATTACTCAGCAGATCACCAATGAGGGGCTCTAGCTTCCATGAGATTGCCTCAGAGCCAGCTAGGTGCTTGTGGTTCAGTACATCAGCCACTATGTTAGTCAATGAAGAGTAATTGAGTGAAGCAAGGGATTCCCATTTATTTGGTGCAGAGATTATGCATGAGGTTATAAGACTTTGAAACAAATACCCGATGATTAGGAGGAAGTTGTGAGCTCTGATCTGGCCACCAGTGAGCAACTGTGGTGGGTATCCTATCCACAGACCCGAAAATCCTCGTCTCCTTGGCCCTTTGTACATTGTTGATGGGAAAGGCTCTGTTTTGTTTTCTTATGCTCATGTTGTATCTAGAGATTTTAGGATAAGGATCTGTTTTTCTGCTTCCTCTGGGTGTAGCAGCTTGGACTTTTCTTTGAGGAGAGCCTTATGGCTCTAAACTCAGGTTCTGGAATGAGAGAGCCGGTGTTTGACTTCTAGTGTCATCACTTAGGAGTTCTGTCACCTTGTAATGCCACCTAACCTCTCTGTTCCAGTTTTCTCATTGGCAAAATGACCCCAATCTTAAAGGTTGTCGTGAAGATTAAATGAATTAGTACATGTAAAGCATTAGCATGCCAATTCAAATAGAGTTAATGGTCAACAAATTATGATTATTAGTGGTAGTTGTATTTGCTGCTTCTTTTTGATATAACTATATGGCCATCTCTGTGTTAAAAGCTTTACATACATTATCTTGTTTAGCCCTCTCAATCTTGCCTTTGAGTTAGGTATTATTCTTTTCTCCATTTTACAGATGAGAAAGAGATTAAATTGTTTGTCCAGGGTCATGAAACCAGTGAGTCAGAGCTTCTGCTCTTTGCCACTACATGCGGAAGAAGGAAGGAGATGTAGAGGAGGGAGGGCCATCAATCAAGTCTCTAGGCAAGATGTTTGCTCTGTCCTCGGGAAAGACAGAAAGGAAGTCCAAGGACCCTGGGCAGTGAGCTGCCCCCACCTGAGCAAAGAACGCAGCATGCCACCTGGCTTCCCTAACACTTATACTTATTGTCACCATGGTAATTGGTCCTAATGGCATGGAGCTACCTACCCCCTTTTCTTCCTGACTCCAGAGTGAGGCAAACAAATATCAGTATAGCCCAGTGACTCAAAGAAGGGCCTCTGGATTCATGCTGCTGTGGTTCAATCTGATAGCTTTTTGAGTGATCTTGAACATTCAATCAACTCTCTAGGCCAGTAGTTTTCAAAGTGTGTTCTGAAGATCCAAGGAAGTCCGTGAAGTCCAAACAATTTCTGTAATAACAGTAAGAACTTACTTGCTTGTTTCATTTCTATTCCCTCATGAATATACAGTGAAGATTTGCAGAGGCCCCATGATGAATGATGATTTCATCACTCTGATGGCTAATGGAGTGTGTGCTTGTGTGTTCTTGGGTTTTAAAAACTTCAGTTTTAATTTCTAAGTTGCAAAGTATTGAGATACATATAATATTCCACATAAACAGAAGCTTGTTGGGGTTCTCCAAGATTTTTATAAGTTTAAAGTGGCCTTAACATCAAAGAGTTTGAGGATCACTGCTCTGGGCTTTAGTTTGTTCTATAGGTTATGTATAATAACAGTATCAACCTTATAACATTGTTAGAATTAAATAAGATAATGCACATCAAGCTCCTTGCCAATTGCCTGGCATATAGTAGGTGCTCAGTAAATGGTAATAATTTTCAATGCCGTTATTGATTTACTTTGTTCTGCGTTTGCTGAGGCTCTGCAGCTAACTGCCTTGGAAACCACAAAGAGGAGTGCATATGTTTATTTGTTGGTGATCACATTGCTGGGTACAGTGGAAAAACATGTAAGAGCTTTCAATCTGTTTGGAGATACAGGACTTGTGAAACAACATCAAAGCAGGTAAGATGAAATGTAAATTAGATCGAGTAGAGTATAAGTGCAAAACTGAACTGAGCAAGACACTTCTGCACTTACATTTTGTAGGAGTTTGGAGAAAAGGGAGACTGAAACGAGAGATGGATGGCAGACTGACTGGGTGCCACGTGTCCCTGAAATGTCCTAACCATACTCAATAAGAGTGTGTGCCTTCTCAGGGAGTCTATAGGGCATGTGCCAGGCCCTTAATATCTACACTGAAAATGGCGTGTTCATTTCCAGGAATACTCTGGTGCACTTTAACAAAACAAAAACCAAATTCCTACTTCTGAAATCCTTTTATCAGAAAATGCAGGGATTTGGAGTCAGCTGACCTGTGCCAAATCCTGATTCTGTTACTTCAGTGGCTGTGGGAGCTGGGGCATGTCCAGTCAGCATATGGAATCTTGAGATCCTGATGTGACAAATGGGGTGGTACTAATACCAGTCCTGCCTAGACTTGGCCCCCAATGTAAGGGGAACAAATGAGATCGTGTAGGCGATGCCACTTTGCACATTCTGAAGCACTAAATGAATGTGCAATGGTGTCACCACATGGTCTTTTGCCTCTTTTGCCTATTACATCTCTACCCCCATGATGTTCTGAGACTGGTGGCATCTGCTCCAGAGAGGAAGCAGGCCTGGAATAGCCCGGGTATTTACGGAGGAGATTGGCAGAGTGTGAGTTGTGAAACTCAGTGGTCTGCTCCAGATCATCCTGTTGAGTTCCTCACTCTCATGAGCACTAAATTTACTCTCCCCATTTTTTAAAAAATAGCTTCAGAAATTTGCTCTATTATGTTTCTCTTCACTTTATGTTGGGGGGAATTTGAGAATACTTCCATACAAAGGGCTGTTCTTTGACTGAGAATGATCCTGTCAGGCATATAGCTCACCTCTCACTTGTCAGGCACACGGCAAGAGAATGACTTTCTCAGAATTAATGGCCTTTTCTAAACCCATTAAAGAAACTCTAAAGATTAGGGCTGCTGTTCCCAAGCATGAGGATCATTTTATGTGGATTGGCCACTTTGAATAAGCTAGTGACTAGTGGAAGAGTAGCTGTAACCCTGCCCTCTGAAGGCTTGTACTCATAATGAGCTCAAATGTGACCTAAGGACAACTAAACCGGTAAGTCTGAGACTTGATTACCCTGTATGTTTTGCAGCCTCCTCCTCTTACTCAGTGTGTGACCTTAGGCAGCTCACTGCACCTCTGTGGGATTCAGTTTCTGCATCTGCCATAGAGGGATCATGAGTACCGATCCTCCAGGGCTGACATGAAAATTAAAGAAGGTAGAGTGTCTACAGTGCTGATCTACGTGATTGGCATATAGGCAACACTCTGCAAATGTTAGCTGTTATGACTGTGATGATGTTAGGACCTTGTCACAGTGTAAAGGAAGCCATATCCCTGACCTCTGAGGGCATGTGCTCAAAATGAGATAAAATACAGAAAGACAAGCAATCCAAACGTGGGCAGAAGGGGCAGGGAGGTTGCATTCAGTCCAGTGGTTTCACCGAACCCTCCTTCCTTTCCATCTCCTCCTACCAAAATTGTTAACTTTACCACAGAACAAGACATTATTTTAACTGCCTAGAAACCAGGGCTTCTTTCGTTTTTTCCCCAAGTGGGGTGAGGGGGAAGGAAAAGAGAGAGGAAATAAACACCAGCTGGGATGAGAATATGAAGAAAAGATAGGTTTCTTTTTTTTCCATTAAAAAAAAAAGAATGGGGTAGTGGGGACAGGGAGAAAAATGTGTTTTGAATGTGGAGGTACTGTTGCAAATAGCACAGGCAGTTTCCCAGAGCCGCACTTCTTCCAATCATCTCAGAGCAGGCAGTGCTCTGGCCCCAGCCAATTATTTATTTACACAAGAGGTACAGATGCCAGAGGCAGGTGTCAAAACAATTAATAACACTCCCGAAATGAATAGTCTCTCCGTAACTCTGCCAGCCCGTGTAGGCTGGCTCCTCAGGAGAGAGCTCCCTGAGAAACTGCTCCCAGCCAGAGCAATGGTCTGGGTCCACTGCGCAAACATTCAGTACTGATCTGTAGCTACACTCTACCGCCCATTGCGTATGAGGGTGAGGGCTTGCCTTTTCAAGAGACTCACCTTCATCCCTTCTTGAAATACCTAGTACTTCGCGAAAGCTGAATCTTTGCTCAAAAGTCTTTGAGTTTTTCTAGCCAGAGAAATGCAGAGGCAGACTGGGGGACTCCAAAGTGGTGGGAACTGCTGTTTCTTGAAGATAAATTTGCAGTAAAATGAATTCTACAATTGAGGATTAAAAGGATTTCAAATTTAAATTGAATTAAAATTTTAAAACTTAATTCACTTATTTTTCAAAACAACCTTACAAGGTATACACTACTATTATCCCCATTTCCAGACGAAGAAACCGAGTCACAAAAAGGGTAAGTAATTTGCTCAAGTAAGTAGTAGATCTAGAATTTGAACTCAGGTGGGCTGGCTCTAAGGTAAATGCTCTTAACCATTAAACACTCTGCTTTGCTCCCTCCTGTTCATTCCAGAGATTGAACTTCCTTCTCTTGACCTTACAGCCAAAGGTTGTTATTGTGTCATATAAATATACTTTCTATAACTATGTGTGTTGGTATTTATTTCTCATTGAGGTTGAGAAGGTCTTGGTGCTTTGAACATCTTCCCACCTATCCTGTGCACAACTGCACACACTCTCAAATAATGAAAACATTTTTCTTTTTGATTTTACAAGCTGATATTATTCTCTTTGGAGCTTTGGTGTCTTAGAAATGCACTGTAACCTTAATTACAACTCGTATCAGGGGAGTTGTACTCAGTTTTAAGGGACTGCTTCACCGTTCTAACTGTGGAGAAATGGGAAGTTATTTCCCAGTGGCTCGAATTAGAATTAATGCACTGAGCTCTCCAGACCACAGACAGAATCATGAGACATTGGGTAAGCATCTGAATCGGGGAATTTTCAGCCTCCTGGCAAATGCTTCTTTTTTCTTCACCCCTTCCCCAAGCCTGCCCAGGAGAAGTCCGTGCCTTGGGGAGTAGGGACTTGAGCTAACTATCAGGTTGGCAATCAGTGAATGCCTGCTGGTGGATTGATTGCTAGAGTCTGCTAGAGAAGAACTTTTGAAACCTCAGGAGCAAAAGAGTGTGTGTTCTTGATTCTAGGGCCAGATCCAATCTCCTCAAAAAATTAAGACAAAGTCAGAGTTTCCCCGACAAAACCCACATTTGGCAGTCTTCAGAAAGTTTCTATCACCTGCAGGATGGAAAAATCATGGTCCCCAGGGAAGGTAATGGGTACTTATTTCATGTTTTCGCTTTCATTGCAGATGGAAGCAGCAGCAATAGGAACAGCAGCAACACAGCCTCGGACCAACTGAGCATTTAATTGAACACCTAATGGAGTGACACTTTGTTTCCTAGGCAAATTTGGTTGCTATTAACAGGGAGGTAGTTATCATGGTTAAATTTACTCATTACAACAAAGTACTAGGGGAGCTTTTTAATATTTATGTGACAATAATTGATCTCTTACCACTGTCAAGTACTGCTAAAGACTTATCAGCTTGCTGTTTCAGCACCATATGTTGTAGCCAAGATGCACTCCATGTGTCCTTCCTGTGCCTTGGGGAGAGAACATTTGCAGTAGATCAGAATAGAAAATGGTATGGGTTTCAGAAAAGCTGCTTGCTCTCAGCTTTCTCGTCAGTGACCGGGGTATGCAAGTTGTGACTATAAAGTAATGAGACTACCTTCCAAAACCACCCGTGAAATGAAGCCTCGACCTTTAATTGTTCTCTTCCCTAGGTTTGAACCAAGAACTGGTCGACCTAATTAAAGGGGATTCCTCGTAAATTCGCCTTGTATTGCATTCAACTTATTTTAAATAGGGCATTCTGTGAAATCTGAAAACCCGCCTACAATTAAAACACTAACATCTATACCATTTGGTTTTTCTTAATGAGCCATGTGCTGATTTCACTTGTCTTATTTCAGCAATAACAAGGATTAGCACACACATACCATAAATCTCCCAGGAACCTAAGGAGTGGGCTTTTAGAATTTTTCTTGAGGCAGATTTCATTTGAACTTTATTTATGGGAGTGAGTGAGCTACTTGGGGAAAGAGAGTTTAACTGTTTCAAACTGTGAGGGTCCCCTTAAGTAAACTGCGTCTGGGAATCACAGTGTGGGTCAAGGAGCTAGAAACATTAAGCATCCCACAGTCATATGCATAGGGAGGCTACCTCAATAGCTCTGCCTGCCTGATGAGGTGGGGTTGCAATGACCCTTGGGTCGTCTGGAGGGTCACAGTTTCAGAAGATGTGGTGAAATAAGGCAAGTGTGTTACCATGACCATGATAATATTTATATTTTAGAAGTATCTTGATGTGGTGGGCCTTAAGGAACTGACATTCACAAGTCTTCCTCCAAGCACACACTGTCTACTAGGTCAATCACACAATGAGCTGTTAATATTTAAAATCTAAACACAACAAAAATTTTTTAAAAATGGATCTGTCAATCACAGTGGAATGCTATTTTCCTGGGATCACTGTGCCACCATCTTTTCTGGGATCGAGAATCTCCTTTTCCGTTCGTTTGTTAGTTTGCTTTTTTGCACCGTTGGAGGAGAACGTTTTCAAAGCAAATTAAGAGAAAATTGAAGAAATGGACCTTTAACCCTTCCTCAGAGCTACTGATGAGGGCCTGAGAGAAACTTCTCTTTAAAATCCTCTGGAAATCTAGAAGCCATTTGAACATGTTCATTAGTGGCCTTTGGCCAATGATGTCTGTACATTTCTTAGACAACTTTTCATATATTTGGAAAATTCAATCCAGCCCTAATGCCACTGTGGATTATTTCCTTGGGCTCCTGGATATTTTCTGTGCTTCTTCTTCTTTTTTTTGGATCTGATAATTTTTTGTAATTAAGGGAAATAAACCCTCAAACAAATTACTTATTATCATGTTTTATTATTTTTCTAAGCAGTTTCCTATTCATAATCTGTCCTGGTCCTCATTAACACTTCTGGGATTGAAATTGTTAAATTGCTTTTGCCCATATAAGTAGATATAGTAACATTTAGGCTGATGCCTTGGCTTTGAGGTGTTTCTAGTTTCAATGAGCAGCTATTAGTCAGTTGAATTTGATGCAGCTTTAATCAAATTAATTAATTAATTTTTCAGAGACAGGGACTTGCTCTATCCACCAAGCCAGAGTGCAGTTGTGCAATCACAGCTCATTGTAACCTTGAACTCCTGAGCTCAAGGGATTCTCCTGCCTCAGCCCCCCAAGCAGCTAAGACCACAGGTGCATACTACCACATCTGGCTCATTTTGTAAAAAGTTTTTGTATAGATGGGGTCTCACTAAGTTGTCTAGGCTGCTCTTGAATTTTTGGCGATATTCCCGCCTCAGCTTCACAAAGTTCTGGGATTATAGGCAGGATAGTACCTGGCCTTCAACTTTATTTTAATATTCTATCTCAGTTGCTGCTCATTTTTATCTCATTCCTGACTGATTTCTGTCTTCTACCTATGCTGTTAGCCTAACTAATTATCTGGGAAAATTTGTGAAGAAATGGCTTTCTCCAGAAAAATGCAAACCCATTCAAAATTTTGCTCATGGGTCCACTTATAGTGTGATCCCAAGGAAGGCCATGCCCTAGCTTTGGAATCTCTCAGTTAGATGGTTGTGTACCTGTTTCTGTCATGATCATCGGGTCTCTGAAGCAAACCATCTTAGAAAGGAGATGACTTAGACCAGGAGTTAGAAAATTTTTGTCTGTAAAGGGCTATATGATCTCTCTTGCAATTACTATCCTCTCCTATAGTAGCATGAAAGCAGCCATAGAGATATGTAAATGATGGGCGTGGTTGTGTTCTGTAAACCAAAGTTCTGTCAACAGGAATTTGGAGGAAAGAGACTTTATCACAGTAAGCAGTTTACATGTTTAAAAGGAAGGTGCTTTCCAGGGAACAAAGGGATGGCTAGGGTTTTATAGAAAAAGTTTCCACTCAGGTTCCCAATAAGTTCTGATTATGCAAATGAGATTTGAAACTCGATTAGTTCTGATTGGCAGATGTAGCTGTGTTCTGATTGGTCAATACAGACGACCCTGATTGGCCAAGGCAGATGAGTGCTGATTGGTCAGCTCAGGTGTGCTTCCATTGGTTGGTTCAGGTGAGCTCTGAAAGTCCCAGATTGAAAAAGGTGTGTAAATAGTATGGAGGCAGAAAAATGATTTTGGGACATCAGTACATTTTCAAATAAATTCCTCAGGTGATTCTGATGTGCAGCCATGGTTGAGAAGAGCTGGTCTAGAGCAGTGTTTTGTAGCTGCAGGTTTAGCCCAAGAGTTTGGAGCCACAAACTCTTAAGGGTTTCAATATACTCCATGGGAGAAAGCTGATATCCAAAACGGGTTTCTGAATCATTTTTAATAATGCTTAACTTAGCCTTCTTCAAGAGGCAGTGCACTGTAGGAGAGAGATTAGATGGGAGGATTGGTGTGGACAAAAAAGAAAATATTAATATAATACAAAAACATTTATTTCCTATGAGTACATGTCTATGTTTATAAATGCATAAAATGAAATCTGGCAGGCTGCACCTCAAATAGATAGCCGTGGTTACCCCCAGGGGACTAGAACTGGAGGGTTGGGGATGGGGTCAAGAAAGATTTGATTTCAGCCTGCTGAAATCCTGACTCAGCCACTTACTAGGTGTGTTATCTTATTTCTTGGTGCCTCAGTTTCCTCATCAGGTTGTATGTGGGATTTAAATGATTTAAATACATGTTAAATATTCTTAGAGCTGTATCTGGTATGTAGTAAATGCTCAGTAAATGTCATTATTATTAAGGATGGCTTGGAAAGTATTAATATGAAGCATTATATTGGTAGTTATCAACCTTTTTCCTGCCTCCATACCATTTAAGTGGGTAACTAGACTCTTTGAAGATACTGATTATCACCTAGCAGACGTACTCATCCCTTCTGGAAGAATAACTCTCTAGAGATTCTGATATGCATTCCAAGTCAGTATGATCTTCTGTCTAAATGAATACAATTATGTTTTCATTCATTGTTGAGCAGAAATCAACCTTTTCTCACAGAGATATTGCAGAGTTTGATTTGTGGAAATAGGAACAAAGTGATGTAATTATGAGGCTTTATACAGAAAAAGTCCCTACAACTAACATTGTATTACTTCTCTGACATACAAATAGATCTTCAAAGAAAGGTTAACTGTTTGGAGCACAGCAGCTCACACCTGTAGTCCCAGCATTTTGGGAGGCTGAGGCAGCAGGATTGCTTGAGCCCAGGAGTTTGAGACCAGCCTGGGCAAAGTATCAAGACCTTGTCTTTACTAAAAATAAAAAAAAAAGAAAAAAAGAAAGATTAACTGTATGCCACCAAAAGGAATATTGAACCACAGCATTACCTCTTATTTACAACATGTGGTAGTATGTAAAATACTCTGAATCCCCAAGTCCAAGCACTATGAATTATATGGTATCTGTCATGGATCTTTCAAAAAATGAACAGTCTCATCATCTTTCACTTTCTTTTTATAGGTATTATATTTACCTTCTAAATTATGACCTATTTATATGAATATTAAAATGAGTTTGTCATTTTGACTGGTGAGAGAAACCAGGAATTTATTTGGTATAAATGAAAACATGTCAGCTGGGTGTGGTGGCTCACGCCTGTAATCCCAGCACTTTGGGAGGTTGAGGCGGGCGGATCACGAGGTCAGGAGATCGAGACCATCCTGGCTAACACAGTGAAACCCCGTCTCTACTGAAAATACAAAAAAAATTAGCCAGGCGTGGTGGTGGGCGCCTGTAGTCCCAGCTACTTGGGAGGCTGAGGCAGGAGAACGGCGTAAACCCGGGAGGCGGAGCTTGCAGTGAGCAGAGATCGTGCCACGGCACTCCAGCCTGGGCAACAGAGCAAGACTCCGTCTCAAAAAAATAAAAATAAAAATAATAGAAAACATGTCTGAGAGGAAAAATTGGTTTAAAATGACCTGTTAAACATACAATTTAAAATGATCTGTAAATAATGTGGGGAAGTGAGAGAGGGCATAGATTTGGGGGTGTGACCAACAAGGTAGTAGCTTTACCAGAGAATTCAGAGGAAAGAATAAGAGTCCGTGCGTTTTAGTAAAAGCACACTCACGTGAAACTTGGCTTCTGGTCCCATTTATCACTGACTTTGGATTCATCAGTTAACCTCTCTGGGCCTCATTTTTCTCCTCCATAATTTGACAAGGCTGGGCTCAGTGAGTTCAAAGGTCTCTTTGGCCTGAATATTCTATTAATTAATTGTTAATAGCAGTGTCCATAGCCATGGAGTTCCGCCTGGGGCCTTCCTCTGAGGCAATCATCTATGGTATTTGAAGGAGAAAAAATGTTCTCTGACGAACCCTCACCCGTACGTGGAGACAAATTAAATTCTGAATATGTCGGTTTTCATTGAAATGTCATCTGTAGATTGACTGCTAAACAAAGGCCTTTTGACACGTCCCTGCATTAGCTGGTAACGGTAAGCTTTGGGAATGTTTTCTAATATGGCAGTACATTGGGCTTCTTTCTTCGGAATTAACTTCACCAGAATGGCTCTATCAGCTGTCAGAGAAGACGCCTGTAGGTGACTGCAGCTCTTGCATCAGGTATACTTGTTTGTGAAACAATCTCCAGGGAAACCATACCCTCACACTCTTCTTCACTTCCTTTGAACCTCCTGCTATTGCTGTTACTGTTTTCTAAAAAAGTAAAAATTGAAAAAAAAACTGATTCGGATATGGGTTCTGCTTGCTGGACAGTGATGACTGAGAGAAGGCATGGGGCGTCTGGCTGGCACGAGTTCCTTCTTCACACTCCGTGTTGTGAATCTGCTTTTGCCCAATGTCTCTCCATTGTGGTGGTGACTCCAGCTAAAATGGATTGAGCTAAAATATGAGCATTGTGCTGATATTTGGTAGCATTCTTCATTGAGGTCTCTGTTTTTCTTACTAAGGATAAATCTGAGCCAGCTTTAACCAAGTGTTTGCTTTGCTTCAGTCAAAGCTTAAAAAAAACCCAACTAATTCTGTCAATTGCAAAAGTAAGGCTCATGATAAGCCAGCAAAATAGTGATCACTAGTTTAGTGAAGAACAAAAGTAACAACTATCACTTCCCATTTATAGCATATCTGTATCATCATTTTATTATGCTTTTTGGACCAATTGTATAAACAGGCTATGATGCCTCCACTTTATTAGAATATCAGTAAGTTCAGTGACTTGCCCAAGTCCTGCTAGTTAATGACTGAGCTGAGACTCGAATCCTAGCCTTTGGGCTGTAAGCCTACTGATTGATAAGAGTGGCTCCAGCCCTGCTCCTCTATACTCTTTCTAGAATACTGTGGTTGGGAATAGGGTGGTGAGCATGGCCTACCCAGGTTTAGGCCACAAGGAGATGCATTGTGGAGAATCCAGAAACAATAATAAAATGTATTCTAAGTGATACTGCTTTTTTTTTAAATCATCACTATGCCTCAATAATTCTAAACAATTTCAGTAATAAAATAATTCTCCCTATTTGGACAAACCACTCTCATCACTCCTTCCTGAGAGATAAGACTCCTCAGGTTTTCCATCCAATGACATTTTCTGGCTTCCTACTCACCTCACCCTCAAATGAAGCCAGAGATGCTGCATAAGGCCAGAAGGAAAGACAGGAAACCAGCCAGCAGGCTTTGGACTCAAAAAGCCCCTCCTCAGTAGGGTACTGAATCAATTAGCAAGTGCTTATTGAACACCGATTCCATGCTCAGCACTGGGCCAAGAGCTTGAGGGGGAAAGAGCAGTCAAGCATGGTCTCTACTTCAAGGAGCACACAGTTACCTTGATGAGATAAGACCTAGGGGAAGCAGCTATAGTTCACACTTGGCACAGCAAATAATTAAGAATGTGATAGGGCAGATTGTACATTGACTTTATTCCTCCAAGGATGGATCTTGATTTGGCATCATCATTTCTCCATCATTCTCTAGCTCTATCTTCTTGAGCAAGTATCCTAGCCTCTCCATGTCTCTGTTTCCTCATCTACAAAAATTGGTGGTGATAACAGTACTATAATACTAGCATTATTACTCCTTGAGGATTAATTGAGAGAGGAAGTGTTCAGTAGATTTTAGTTATTATTCATTCATCGAACTTTTAGTGAGTGTCTACTGTTTGCCACGGCACTGTGCTAGTTGGAAATATGGCCAGCACCCAAAGAGTTTCGGTGATTCATTCATTGTCACCTAGAGTTTCAAGGCTGTATAGTGTAATGGCTTAGAGCACAGGCTGTGTCTGAAACCATATCATCTAGGGTCAAATGCAACCTCTGTCATCTCCTGCTTATGTGATTTTGCGTGAGTTCTCTAATCTCTGTGTGCTTCATTTCCCTCACCTGCAAAACAGCAATCATAATAGTACATATCTCATAGAACTATTGTGAAGATTAAAATAATTAATAGATACTAAGTACTTAGAATACTGTCTGGAACATAGTAAGCATAAATTTTAGCAATTACTATTACTACTGTTTGCTCCCTCACCAGAACTAATAACATTAATTTGGAGGTTGGTAAGAGGTTCCTAAATCAGTTAGAGAAATGGTTGAAACTTAAGTGATATTAACCTTTTGGCTGCACTCTGCTTACAGCAATACCGTGATTATCCAGAATGGGGCATTCTGCTGAGCTTAATTTTCTAGTTAATTAACCAGGAGTTGAGTAGAACACCCTATTTATTTCATTCCTTTTGTTTGGAAATCATTCTGAAGTGTCCCTAGCTTCTTACCCACTTTAGTAAATAAGGTTTAGTGGCTGTCCCTCCAAGTCTGCAGTGGAGGCAAAGGATCTATCCAAGGTTCTGGGTTTGATTTTAGCTAGTCTAATTTGGACTGCAGGGAGCATCATGGCCCCTGATGCCAGCAGAATCCTTGGGGTTTCTAGTTTTCTGTTTAGGCTTCACTAAGGACTACTTTTCATGGTTTTAGTAACCTACAGTGCCAGGACAAAGTCAATGACTTTATAATTTTTTTTTTTTTTTGAGACGGAGTCTCATTCTGTTGCCCAGGCTGGAGTGCAGTGGCGCGATCTCGGCTCACTGCAAGCTCCGCCTCCCGGGTTCACGCCATTCTCCTGCCTCAGCCTCCGGAGTAGCTGGCACTACAGGCGCCCGCCACCACGCCGGCTAATTTTATGTATTTTTAGTAGAGATGGGGTTTCACCATGTTAGCCAGGATTATCTCGATCTCCTGACCTCGTGATCCACCCACCTCGGCCTCCCAAAGTGCTGGGATTACAGGCGTGGGCCACCGCGCCCGGCGACTTTATAATTTTTTATGTCCCTAAAGGAGGAACTCAGTTGAAGGTTATTCTGACTATTTCTAAAAGCAAGGGCTAGGCAGCTATGTGTTGTTTGTATGGGGCATAAAATGACTTTTTGGAAAATGTTGAGTCTTGGGCAGCAGTAGAGAGAACATTCTGTCTAGGCAAAGGATACCTCACAAGAAGTTCAAAATGGTCCTTCTGCTTCCCATATCTGTCCTACCAGCCTTAGCAACCTGCACACGACCTGTAAGTCCCACCAGTAGAATCGCCCTCCAGAGAAATGCTGTCCAATAAAAACTACTGTGGTCATGGAAATATCCTATATTTGTAATATATGGTAGCCACTGGGCACATATGACTTTTGAGCACTTAAAAACCAAAATTTTTAACTGTATTTAATTTCTCTTAATTTAAATTAAAATAACCACTGGTGTCATTTAGTGGCTACTGTTATCAGGTGTTTTAAGTAAATGTTTAGGCCAGGTACAGTGGCTCACACATATAATCCTAATACTTTGGGAGGCTAAGGTGGGAGAATCGCTTGGAGCTGGAATTTTGAGACCATTCTGGGCAACACAGTGATATCCCGTCTCTACAAAAAATAAAAAAATTAGTTGGGCCATGGTGGTGTGCACCTATAGTCCTAGCTACTTGGGAATCTGAGACAGAAAGATTGCTTGAGCCTAGGAGTTTGAGGCTGCAGTGACCTAAGATTGCTCCACCCTGGGTGACAGAGCAAGATCGTGTCTCAAAAAAAAAAAAAAAAAAAAGGTATGTTTACTTTTTTTTTCCCCTAAGGACACTGAAGGTTCCTGTTCCAGGAATGATCTCTGGGGGAAAAAGCATTACGTTTTTTTTCCTTTGTTCATAACTGAGTGGTGTACACATTGGTTTATTTGTCCTTATCTCATAAGAGGACCAAACATGAGATGGTATGAACTATTGAGAAATCAGGGTTATGAATGTTTAAATGGTGAAGAGACTCCAGGCTTGGAGAACTCACAAAGAGGACAGGCAGGAGTGTACCATTAAAGGGGCAGGGTGGGAGCTTCATGTTAGGTGCTAAAAAGGACATGGCAAGAGCAGAATCAAATTTGTCCTAATTTCTGCTGTTTAGGGCTGATACAGACTTAAGGAGACAGAATGGGAGTGGAGATGAGGACTTGGGAAGTGAGCTTGGAGTCATGACTACCTCTTCAATGAACTAGCTTCCTTTCCTCACCCTGGCCTACGTACAGGGGGCTTGTCTGGAGAAGACTAGTCCTGTGGTAGAAAGGTTAAGACTGTGTCCCAAAATGCCAACTTTGGTGAGTCGCAGGCAAAGGGGCTGAAGGAAAGAGGGCAGAGGATGGCTTTGTAAAAGATTCATTCCTTGAGAGACTTTCACTAACCTGCCCATGGAGGTGAAATCCAGCAACTTCTCTTCGGTGGATGTCCTTAGTACTTAGATGAAATGCCAATCAGGAAACAACTGCTTCTCTCTGGGATCCCTGAGGCTTCTGCCGGCCAGACTGCTCATGGACAAGCCAGCCTGTTCAGCAAACAACTGAATGATTTCCTTATTATTCGGAAGTGTGGTGCATCGGACATACAGTAGCTATCATGGTGAAACAATTGCCGTTTCAAATGTACTTGAAACCGAATGAGCTGCTGCAGACAGCATTAGCAGTGCCCAGACTCTTGGATGGGGCTTGTTTTACTGGAGACCATCAGTTTTTAGTGGTTTAATTTTTCTCTGATCCAGTTTAAGTGTTTGACATTAAAGAAGTTTTATGCTTTCAAGATTTACCCTGGAAAAGATCAACAACCCCACAGTGAAAGTTAATCGTCAGTGTCAAGCACTAATCACATTCCTGAAGGGGGGTAAGCACCAAGGTATTGGGAATCTGGAGCTGGTGAAAGACAGTTTCCTCCTCGTCGGAACCAAGTGTTGAATGTTGAATGAAGGACAGGGAAGTGTTTGGACTATTTGTGAAGGAGAGAACAGGGTTCCATGGGTTAGAACACTCATCAGGGCACTCAGGGCACATCAGGGCACATCAGGACACTGCCAGATGCTTTCCTACTGAGAGGCCTTGGAGTTTATCTTTAAAGCACATCTGCCCAGTGATATTCACACACTAAAGGTACTGGGAGGAAGGCTTACTTAGAGAACCAGCTGGGGATGTAGAGGACTTTATTGAGATCCAAATTTGAACATAGGCATGGACAAATATCCGACATAGGTTATAGAATGTTTGAAATTAGGCCTATTCTGGAAATTTTCAGAGTCATGATGGATTCTGCTGTGGATTACGCTCTCCTGCCAAAAAGGAAATTCCATTTTGCAAGCCACCTGCTCTGTTTTGTTGTGAAGGGTAAGGGAGGGGCTACTACCTCTCTGCTTCTTCCATGTAATTCGTAAGAACAAGGCAGAACCAACAGGCAGTCTTCCATCTAAGATCTGCAGGGCACAGATCAATGTTACAAATGGAGGCATCTGGCCTGTGGCCTACTCACCCACTGCCCTCTCATATTCCTACCCTTGACTCTCTTCTCTTATCCCTGGCTCTCTTTCCACACTACAAGAAGGTTCAAGCACATGGACATGCCAGCCTACACGTCCAAGCTCTATCTAGCACTCTAATGTCCAAAACAACTGGCCATTGGTCACCCAACAAGGTAGGGCTTGTACACCTGTGGCACTGCGTACCCCTAGAGGGATAACTCCCAGCAAGAGTCCTGCACAACTACCTTCCCATCTGTAGTCTTCATGCTGTTTGAGCAGAAAATTCTGGGGTTCATTTACCTAAATTTTGTTCTAGAAGCTGAGGATCTGAACTCAAAATGTGCATGTCCCTGAGGCCCCATGGCCCACTTTGGGGGGAGAGTTGCAACCATAGGAGAGTCAGAGCAGGGCCCTTCAAAGTGTGGGCCTCAGGGCAGCGCCTCTTGCCTGGGTTAACCTGACACCAGTATGCACAATTTAAAAATGTGGCGTTCCACTGGCCATCTTTGGTCAGAAACTCCAACAGTCAGTGATGAAGTGCTATGAAAATAACTTCAGTGAGCTGATAAAGGGGTGGATACCAAGGACCAGCTGAAGTGATGACCGTCCACTCCTGCTGCTTAGCATGCAGCCATTCCTGTGCAGCTGAGCACTATGAGGACGAGACTCTAGAACTCATAGATAGTTAGCTGGGTGTAGGCAGCTTAAATGCAGTGAGGCGTGAATAGGCCTTGATAGCCATAGGTTTCAGGTGTCGATGCATGAGAAAGTACTGGATACACAGTATAAAGTTGTGTCCAACTATGGAGTTTGCTTCATGGAGCTCTCCTGGGCACCATTCCTAGTAACAGAGCAATTATTGGCATTACTGGTGAGAGGAGGTATCCCAGGAGTTGACATTTTGCCCTTGTCATTTTGAAGTAGCAGCCTCCAAAGAGCTGTATGTCTGCACAGCCTAGGGGCCCTTTCTGGCTGTGCTGGTCATTGGTGAACTGGAGAGCTCAGGAGCCACATTATCCGTGCCCCCATCCACTCCTGTGTCCTGCTTGTGCATTGTGCCTGTCTTCAGGCAGCCAGACAGCTTGTCTGCCCTAGGTGTTCTCCTGAGAAAAACCCATGGATATTTCATTAGATAATACCACTGATAAGAGTGGCTGCCATTCAGTGGTTTTGATTTGCCAGACTGTGCTAAGTGATTGACATGCGACTTACTGAATTCTCACATCAGCACTGTGAAAGATTTGTTCTCATCCCCATTTCCTAAATGAGCAAGTTGAGGTTGAAAGAGGTTAAGTAATTTGCTCTAAGTGACAGGTAGTAAGTGACAGAGACAATATATAGACTCAGATCTGCTTGACTTGAAGGCCTAAGTCCCTAACCGGAACCCTAACCTCCCAGCTATTCTCTCCCTTATCCAGGCCTGGTGTCTCTGCATAGAATTAATAGTGAACTTCTCCCAACTTGTTACTTAGGGTTCACGCTAAACGTACCCGTGTAGTCAATTCTTACTGCATGCACAGTCCACTATGCTGCGGTGGAAGCTCAGAGAGTAAGGCAGGGATGTGAAGGCACGCACAGCGGACAGTGGCCACAGCTGAGTGAGTTACATTAGGTAAAGGACAACCTCAACCTCATAGCATTTCTATCTCCTTGACAGGGCAAATAATTAAGCTAAACTTTACCCTCTGTGCTTGGCAAAATCCTTTTTCTGTCTCCTATACCATCCCTGCCTCACAGAGGACCACGGCCTACCTGAATGGAAGGGAAGAATGCTGTTGACAGTGTAGGTGGAAGCTGGATTTCAGTCCCAGCTCTGTGACTTGCAAGCTCTGTGACCTTGAAAAATTTACTTAATCTCTTTATGCTTCAGTTTCCACATATGTCAAATGGAGATCATAATGGTATCCATCTCATGGGATTGTTGTGAGTATTAAATGAAATATGCATGTGACAGTGGGTCTGGCATATAGTAGGCACTCAAGATTTGTTGGCTATAACTAATATTAGCTCTGTTTAGAAACCTGATGACATCCAAGCAACCACCAAAAATACTTATCTCAAAGCCCTTTCCAAAAGGAAGAATACACCAATATTCATAGAATTTAGTTAATCTACTTTTGAAGATACACACACACATACACACATACACAGACTCACACTGTGTCACTTAATTTTAATCGCACACACAGATTCACACTGTATTACTTAATTTTAATCAAAGGCTGTACAATTTGAAAGCTCTGAGTTTTGCTGTAACATGCAAAGTTATAAAAGGGAGAGGAAATGTATGACTTAAGTATAAATACCGGGTAGGCACGTGATACGTGATCTTTTTTCCTTTTTTTTTTCTTTCTTTCTTTCTTTCTTTTTTTTTTTTTGATGGAGTCTGGCTCTGTTGCCCAGGCTGGAGTGCAGTGGCATGATCTCAGCTCACTGCAGCCTCCGCCTCCTGGGTTCAAGCGATTCTCCTGCCTCAGCCTCCTGAGTAGCTGGGATTACAGAAGTGCACCACCATGCCCGGCTAATTTTGTAGTTTTAGTAGAGACAAGGTTTCTCCATGTTGGCTAGGCTGGTCTTGAACTCCTGACTTCAGGTGATCCGCCTGCCTCGGCCTCCCAAAGAGCTGGGTTTATAGGCGAGAGCCACAGTGCCTGGCCAAACGGTCTTTTTTTTTTTTTTTTTTTTTTTTCCGTAAGTATCAAGGATGTATGCTTTTTTTTTTTAAACGAAGAAAATACCATTTTTGAAAATAATAGACTGTTATTTGAAACTATAGTTTAATTCTAAAATGCTTCTCCTGGCTGGGTGCACTGGCTCACACCTTGTGATCCCAACAATTTGGGAAGCTGAGGTGGTAGGATCACTTGAGCTCAGGAGTTCAAGACCAGCCTGAGCAACATAGTGAGACCTCCTCTCTACAAAAAATACAAAAGAAATTAGCTGGGAGCTATGGTGCATGCTTGTGGCCCCAGCTACTCTGGAGGTTGAGTCAGGAGGATTGTTTTAGCTCCAGAGTTCGAGGCTGGAGTGAGTTGAGATAGTACAAAGTGAGACCCTGTCTCAAATAAATAAATAAATAAATAAATAAATAAATAAATAAATAAATAAAATGGTTCTCAGTTACCAACTCAACAAGGTCTGGGGATAGGGCCTGGATCCTAAATTGCATTTAAGTGAGGGATGGATAGTCTGGATCTCCTGTCCAAGCTGAGTAATGAACTCATTCATTCATTAGAGACTTCAATATATTTCTTTGGTCAGAACTAAATACTTATCTGACCTAAGCTCTCCTGCTTTCACTGCAATCATTAGTACTGTCAGGGAGCAAGTGCATTTTTTGAGTTTCCACAAGAATGAGTGATTTTTCAATCTTTCATCAGGTGCCAACTCTTATTCAATAGGTTCATTTGCAGAATCTATCCAATGATAGTGCTAAGAAACTGAGACAGTATTTACTACATGCCAAACGCTGTCTAAGAAGCAGTTTACATCCATCAACACAATTACTTTTCATAGCAACCCATTTAGTTTTCCAGAAGAAGAAACTAAGGCCATAAGTAAAATAAATTGCTCAGAGCCACACAGGTGATAATGAGGTGACATTCAAACACAGGTATTCTGGTTCCAGAGTTTGTGCTCCTAAAATACTACACTATTTTGCCTCCAGAAGGCTAAAGAGGA
The DNA here is from genome assembly GCF_000001405.40 of Homo sapiens. Classification (NCBI taxonomy): domain Eukaryota; kingdom Metazoa; phylum Chordata; class Mammalia; order Primates; family Hominidae; genus Homo; species Homo sapiens. The sequence goes on from NC_000023.11 coordinate 104,451,114, forward strand.
TTTTGCTAAATGCCTGATTAGTTAGACTTGCCTGCAGTCAAACGCATTATTGTAGCTTGAGCTTTCAGGAAGTTTGGACTGTTTCTCAGCATTCTCTCCGCCCCAGAGCCTCACCTGCATATTGAAAAGTGAGAGCCCCATAATTTGGTGGTTAATTTCAGGAGTCCAAGCAGTTTGGGAGATGAGATTTTGAAGGGGAGAATAAATAGCACCCTCTTCCCTACCCAAGCTCTGAAGCAATTCAACTGTAGTACAGAAAAAGAGTAAAAACAGTATAAAGTACAAAGCATTGCCTTTATCCCGCATAAAGTCTGGCTTGCAGGAGGTAGCTTAGTGTGAAATAGTTGCTAGTTAATAGAAGCTATTATTACTCATTCTTGTTCCTACCCCTGTGCTCCCTGGAAGCCCCGCTCCTTTGCCAAATTGAAAGCCTACACCTTGTCTAAAGTGAATTCATACAAGTAAATCAGCTGGCCTCATGCCTTTCTTTCCCCTTCTAGCGTATATTGACTTTTGTCTTTCCTGGACTCTTAATTTTCTGTACCAGACAATGTTGTATGATTTCATAATAAATGCTATGTAGCATTTATTATGCTACATGGATGTTTTATGCTTGTCTCTCCGACTAGAATATATCTCTATGGACAGGATGCCTTTCTCATATGTCATTAAAATAAGATGAGGTGTTTGAATGCACATAGCATAATGTCATGTGCATAGCAGGAGCTCAGAAATACTTTTTCTTTTATTCATCCTCTCCTTTCTGTTTTTCTCTCCCTTTAATTCTCTTTTTGTTCTTTCTCCTTTGTATCCACTGAAGCACTTACTGTAGTGCTGAAGTCCCAAGAAGTACTAAATAAATACATGTGAACATAAATTTACTGTATTTTACTGTCCAGAATCCCCCTTTTATTCCTGAGAATGTGAGGTTCCTTTTTGTAAAATGCCTGATGTTGAGTTTATTCAAAATGATTCCTTTCTTCCCTCATTAACTCTGAGGAAATAAGCAATAGCCAAGTTAGAGTCATGTGTTGGATTCAGTTGGACCCTAATAATATGTCTGGTATCCTAATTAGGTTTCCTCTGAATATCCTTGAGTGAATGCTGGACTACAAATTATGCCAAGATAAGCACTGTGTAGTGTTCTATGCTGTATCCCCAGTACCAAAATGTGGAAACAATACAAATGTCAATCAACTGACAAATAGTTGACCAACAAAAAGTGGTATATCCATACAATGGAATATTATTTGGCCATAAAAAGGATGAAGTATTGATTCACAAGACAGTATATTTGAACCTTGAAAATTTTATGTAAATTATAAGAAATCTGACACAAAATGCCACTTATTATATGATCCCATTTATATGAAATGTCCAGAATAGGCAAATCTATATAGACAGAAAGTAGAATCACATTTTTTTTAGGGCCAGGGCGGGGATGGGGACATGGGGAATGTTACTGATAGTTAATGTGTGCAGGATTTCTTTCTTTAAATTTTACTTCAATTCTCCCAAAAACCAAATACTTAAGTATTATTATTCCCATTTTCCAAATAGGAAATTGAAATTTCAAAGGTTAAATAATGCCCAAGGTTATACAGAGTGTGAGTCTAGGCTGGGATTGTCTCCAGTCAGGGTTTCTTTTTGGGATGATGCAAATGTTCCAAAGTTGACTGTAGGCTGGGCGCGGTGGCTAACACCTGTAATCCCAGCACCTTGGGAAGCTGAGGCAGGCAGATCACTTGGGGTCAGGAGTTTGAGACCAGCCTGGGCAACATTGTGAAACCCTGTCTCTACTAAAAATGCAAAAATTAGCCGGATGTGGTGGTGCCCACCTGTAGTCCCACCTAGTTGGGAGGCTGAGGCATGAGAATTGCTTGAAGCCGGGAGGCAGACATTGCAGTGAGCCAAGATTGCATCACTGCACTCCATCCTGGGTGACAGAGCAAGACCCTGTCTCAATAAATAAATAAATAAATAAATAAATAAATAAATAAATAAAGTTGACTGTAATGGTTGTATATATCTGTGAATACACTAAAAGCTATTCAATTATATACTTTAAATGATTGAATTTTATTCATGTGAATTTTATGTCAATAAATGGGTTAGCAAACTGGCCCCAAAGTATATGCTTAATAGATATTATTATTATCAGTGAAAAAAGTCAGAAACCCTGGGGATGAGCTTTGAGATTCAGTAATTTTTAAAAGCTTCCAAAGTGATTCTAATATTTTCAGCTGCAACTAAGAAGCTCTTTGCTAAGTGAATAAATGGCTGAATTCTATGTAAGCACTGATTGAATAAATCAGTGAATGAATGGATGACAGGGGTGAGCCTTGCTCCTCTTTTTTTTTCTTTTTTTGAGGCAGGGTCTCAGGCCGGAGTGCAGTGGTATGATCACCGGTCACTGTAGCTTCGTTCTCCAGAGCTCAAGTGATCCTCCTACCTCAGCCTCCCTAGTAGCTAGGATTATAGGCACATGCCACTATGCCCAGCTAATGTTTGTATTTTTTTCTTTTTTCTTTTTTTTTTTTTGTTGAGATAGGGTTTTGCCATGTTGCCCAGACTGATCTCAAACTCCTGGGCTCAAGCAATCCTCCTGCATTGGCCTCCCAAAGGGATGGGATTACAGGCGTGAGCCACTGCACCCTGCCCAGCCTTGCTTCTTTTGCCTGGCTGGGAAAGTCCAAATATCTGGAGCATTGCAGGAGATGCCAATTTGATCTGGAAGCCCAATTGTTTCTCAGGTCACAGAATGATGTGCAGGGTGGGGCCCTACCAACACTTCCATGATATGCCTACCTGCACCCTGACTTCTGGGTAATTCAGCAAGTGGGCTGCACATCCTTAGAGAGCATACGTCAAGGGATTAGAGCTCTTTTCAAGGAAGGAGCTCTGTCAACACAAAGCACAATATTATTGCATTTTTATAAAGCTGTATGAATTTTCACATACCATCTGCCTGTTATTTTTACAAGTTCCTGCCTAAAAGTAGGTTTGCATTTATGCTGTCAGAATTTGAAGGCATAATTGTGATGGTGTTCCTTATAATTATTATTGCATTTTCTTCCCAGTGGCTATTTGTTTTATTATGAGTTTTATTTTTCTCCCAGGAAAACCTCCATGAGTGAATCAAATGCATGTAAATGAGGGCACTCAGATACCATCCATAGACAGCATAAGATGGTTAGACTCTGAAAGTTAATGAGCTAATGTATTGCTAATCAACCCAGCTTACAACATAATTTAGTAGATATAATTGAAATACTGAATAGAATCAAGCATGTAGCATTTTGAACTATTTCTATTTTGCATTCACTTTCATTAAACAGAAGTTAGAAGTGTGTGTGTGGCCTTCCTCTTTTTTAGCCATGCCTAATGTCAGCAAACATATTGAAACAAGTACACGGAAGTTTTAGTCCAGAGCTCTCTAAGCACACATCACTTATATTGACCAGTTATGATTCTTAGCCTTTAGCACATGATAAAAAAAAATTGGCTGGGCGCGGTGGCTCACTCCTGTAATCCCAGCACTTTGGGAGGCTAAGGCAGGTGGATCACGAGGTCAGGAGATCGAGACCATCCTGGCTAACACAGTGAAACCCCGTCTCTACTAAAAATACAAAAAATTAGCCAGGCGTGGTGGCGGGCACCTGTAGTCCCAGCTACACGGGAGGCTGAGGCAGGAGAATGGCGTGAACCTGGGAGGTGGAGCTTGCAGTGAGCGGAGACTGCACCACTGCACTCCAGCCTGGGCAACAGAGTGAGACTCCGTCTCAAAAAAAAAAAAAAAATTCACAGGACAGTTGGGCCTTGCACAACCCAATGTACAGCTCAGACACCAAGCAGCTTTCCTGACTCTGGGTTCAGTGTGACCCTTTCTGGAGGAACTGAAAGGCATGGGCAGCGTGCCGTACCCCAGCGTGAGGCATGGCAGATAGGACTGCTTGCCTTTAAATGCCAGGCCGAAACTCAGTCCCCCGCGCAGAATCTGTCATGCCCTGAAATTCTCCTTTCTACAGGGGGCTTCTTGCTCTTTTTGGTATGTGGTTTCATTAGCTGTTATCCTTTGACATCACTGGTTCTTGGGCCCCTTAACTTTACAGTTAGGCCTTCAGTTCTAACACTCCTGAAATCTCACAGTTCCTGTGAGTTTTTGTCAATGCATCTTCTTGCAATATTCATGGCAAAATTTGCACCTGCTTAGGTTAAAGTGAGACCTGCCAGATGTAGCGATCTTACTGAGTTTACCAAAATTGCCACACACAGATGCACACACACACACACACACACACACATTTTCTATTCTAAACTCTTAACCCTGTAGAGAAGTATAATATGTTCACAGTGGCAACATGGAAAAATCATTTCTAGCAAATCAAAATTTACAGAATCCTGCCCAAAGTACTATATTCTTGATTAATATTAATTGGATGTTAGTGTCCAGTATTATGGAAAATACAACTGCCAAATTCATAGAGAACATCAAGGACAGGTAGTGGGAAGCATATTGAATACATAGTAGGTGTTCAAAAAATATTTCAATTCATTTCACAGAAAGCACTGATTTAATAATTGCATACAACTGTGGAGACACAAAACAAAATGAAACAAAGCAACAGGCTTCCTCTCAATGGCATGTTTTAATTGGAAGTTCAGAGGAAAATGCAAATTGGAATCATCCTGAAAGACAACTGAGCAACTCTTTTCCAGACTTCAAAAATCTTTGCTAAATCACAAGCATTCCTATACATCAATAACAGACAAACAGAGAGCCTAATCATGAATGAACTCCCATTCACAATTGCTGCAAAGAGAATAAAATACCTAGGAATCCAACTTAGAAGTGATGTAAAGGACATCTTCAAGGAGAACTACAAACCACTGCTCAAGGAAATAAGAGAGGACACAAACAAATGGAAAAACATTCCATGCTCATGGGTAAGAAGAATAAATATTGTGAAAATGGCCATACTTCCCAAAGTAATTTATAGATTCAATGCTATCCCAATTCAAGCTACCACTGGCTTTCTTCACAGAATTGGAAAAAACTACTTTAAACTTCATATGGAACCAAAAAAGAGCCCACATAGCCAAGACAATCCTAAGCAAAAAGAACAAAACTGGAGGCCTCATGCTCCCTGACTTCAAACTATACTACAAGTCTACGGTAACCAAAACAGCATGGTACCAGTATCAAAACAGATATATAGACCAATGGAACAGAACAGAGGCCTCAGAAATAACACCACACATCTACAACTATCTGATCTTTGACAAACCTGACAAAAACCAGCAATGGGGAAAAGATTCCCTATTTAATAAATGGTGTTGGAAAAACTGGCTAGCCATATGCAGAAAACTGAAACTGGGCCCCTTCCTTACACCTTATGCAAAAATCAACTCAAGATGGATTAAAGACTTAAACGTAAGACCTAAAACCATAAAAATCCTAGAAGAAAACCAGGGAAATACCATTCAGGACATAGGCATGTGCAAAGACTTCATGTCTAAAACACCAAAAGCAATGGCAACAAAAGACAAAATTGACAAATGGGATCTAATTAAACTAAAGAGCTTCTGCACAGCAAAAGAAACTATCATCAGAGTGAACAGGCAACCTAGAGAATGGGAGAAAATTTTTGAAATCTATCCATCTGACAAAGGGCTAATATCCAGAATCTACAAAGAACTTATACAAATTTACAGAAAAAAGAAACAACCCCATCAAAAAGTAGGCGAAGGATATGAACAGACACTTCTCAAAAGAAGACATTTATGCAGCCAACAAACATATGAAAAAATGTTCATCATCACTGGTCATTAGAGAAATGCAAATTAAAACCATAATGAGATACCATCTCATGCCAGTTAGAATGGTGATCATTAAAAAGTCAGGAAACAACAGATGCTGGAGAGGATGTGGAGAAATAGGAATGCTTTTACGCTGTTGGTGGGAGTGTAAATTAGTTCAACCACTGTGGAAGACAGTGAGCAATTCCACAAGGATATAGAACTAGAAATACCATTTGACCCAGCAATCCCATTCCTTGGTATATACCCAAAGGATTATAAATCATTCTACTATAAAGACACATGCACATGTATGTTTATTGCAGCACTACTCACAATAGCAAAGACTTGGAACCAACCCAAATGCCAATCAATGATAGACTGGATAAAGAAAATGTGGTGCATATACACCATGGAATACTATGCAGCTGTAAAAAAGGATGAGTTCATGTCCTTTGCAGGGACATGGATGAAGCTGGAAACCATCATTCTCAGCAAACTATCACAAGAACAGAAAACCAAACACCTCATGTTCTCACTCGTAAGTGGGAGTTGATCAAGGAGAACACATGAACACAGGGAGGGGAACATCACACACCGGGGGCTGTTGGTGGGTGGGGGGCTAGGTAAGAGTTAGCATTACTAGAAATACCTAATGCAGGTGACGGGTTGATGGGTGCAGCAAACCACCATGCCATATGTATACCTATATAACAAAACTGCGCATTCTGCACATGTATCCCAGAACTTTAATAATTAATAATAATAATAATAATAAAATGATGAAATGAAACTGAAAAAAAATTCTTTGCTTTGGACAGTGGGTTTTTCACTTTAGTATGCATCAGAATCACCAGGATGGCTTGGGAAAACAGATTGCTGGGCTCTACCTCCATAGTTTCCAATTCACTAGGTTAGGGATGATGCCCAACACTTTTATTTCTAACAACTTCCCAGTTCATGCCAATGCTCCTGGTTGTAGGATGACCAACCATGCTAGCTTGCCCAGGACTGACGGGTGTTCCTGGATATGGAACTTTTAGTGATAAAACGGGACACTCCTGGGCAAACCAGAATGGTTGGTCACCCTGCTGGCCCAGGACCAGACTTTGCATACCACTAGTCATGGTGGTTGTATGGTAATCAGCAGGGCACCCTACATGTTCAGGCAACACCAGCATCCCTTGCTGTCCCAATTGTAGATAGTCAAGCTCAGTGTGATGGTTAATTTTATGTGTCAACTTGACTGGGCCTGGAAGTGCCCAGTTTAAACATTGTTTCTGGCTGTGTCTATGAAGATGTTTCCAGACATTAGCATTTGAATTGGTGGACTCCATATAATAGATTGCCCTCTGCAATGTGGGTGGGTACCATCCAATCAGTTGAGGGCCTAAATAGGAAAAACAATGGAAGCAGGAATTTGCCCCTTTTTTGCTTCCTGCCTGCCTGCCTGCTTAAGCTGGGAAATGGGTCTTGTCTGCCCTTGGAGAGGATTTAAACCATCATCTCCTCCGGATCTCAGGCCTTTGGACTCAGGTTGGCTACACCACTCGCTTTCCTGAGTCTCCAGCTGGTCATGTCACTTCTCTGTCCCCATAATCATGCGAGCCAACTTCTCACAATAAATCTCTTCCAATAGCTGTATCCTATTGGTTCTGTTTATCTGGAGGACCCTGACGAATACACTCAGTAGATGAACCAAGTAATAGAGGGAGGAAGTTCTTATACTTGGAGACTCAGTGTAAGCAGTCTGGTGCACTTCCCTGACCCAGTTTCTAGCCCTCTGCCCTGTGCCACTGTACACCCTCCCAAGTACTGGGACTAGAAGATGTCTTCAGTTGAGGTCTTTCATTTTCTCCAGATGAGATCTGTTTTGATGCAAGTTGCCTGGATCCACCTTGAGGGGTGATATGTGAAGGGAAGTGGAAGGAGTAAACTTCTGGGTCAGACAGACCTACTTTTGGTTTTTTGTTTTGTTTTGTTTTGTTTGAGACAGAGTCTCACTTTGTCACATAGACTGGAGTGCAGTGGCATGATCTCGGCTCACTGCAACCTCCGCCTCCTGGGTTCAAGCGATTCTCCTGCCTCAGCCTCCCGAGTAGCTGGGATTACAAGTGCCCGCCATCACGCCTGGCTAATTTTGTCACCCCCGGCTAGGTTTTGTATTTTTAGTAGAGACGGTGTTTCACCATATTGGTCAGGCTGGTCTCGAACTCCTGACCTCAACCAATCCACATGCCTTGACCTCTCAAAATGCTGGGATTATGGGTGTGAGCCACAACACCCCACCCCAGACCTACTTTTGAATCCACCACTTCTCAGGCCTGCAGCCTTGTCTACATCACTTAATTTTCCTGAGCTTCAGTTTCATCATGTAGAAAATGAGGATTATAATGTCTTCCTCACAGACATTGTCATGAGAGTTGTTATAAAGATTAAAGTGAAGGTATGAATTAAGTCTTATGGATGATGCCTGGCACATAGTAGGTGCAAAATAAATCTAAGCTGTGATCATAAAAATCCTACACTGTTGGTGAGAATGTAAAATAGTACACCCATTATGAAGAACAATATGGAGGTTTTGCAACACTCTAAAAATAGACCTACGATATGACCCAGCAGTCCCACTGCAAGGCATTTATCCAAAGGAAAGGAAATCAGTATATCAAAGGGATACCTGCACTCGTACATGTTTATTGAAACATTAGTCACAATAGCCAAGATGTGGAAGTAACCTAAGTGTGTATCACCAGATGAATGGATAAAGAAACTGTGGTATACAGTGGAGTACTATTCAGCCATAGAAAATGAAATAATGTCATTTGCAGCAATATGGATGGAACTGGAGGTCATTACGTTAAGGGAAATAAGCCAGGCACAGACACAGAATGACAAATAATTGTATGTTCTCACTCATATGTGGGAACTAGTAAAGTGAATTTAATGGAATTGGAGAGTAGAATGATAGATACCAGAGGTTGGGAAGGGCGTGTAGGTGGGCGGGGGGATGAAGAGAGGTTGGTCCATGAGTACAAACATACAGTTCTGTAGGAGGAATAATTTCCAGTGTTCAATAGCACAGTAGGATTACTATAGTTAACAATAATTTATTGCGTAATTCAAAATAGAAGAGAACATTTGAAATGTTTCCAACACTAAGATGTGATAAATGTTCAAAGTGATGGATATCCTAAATAGCATGATTTGATCATCACACAATGTGTGCACGTATCAAAATTACACCTGTTCTCCATAAATATGTACATTTATTGTGTATCAATAATATTTTAAAATTCTACATCCTAACACCCGTTATTGGATCCTTAAGATCACAGCAAAAATACTAAAGTGGAAAGTTTGCCCTGCCCCAAAGTGATGTTCAGTGTTGCATGATTGCTGAATCATAGTACTTCGACTTTGTTTTGCAACTTAAAAGGCCCAATGAAAGAACAGAAGAGGTCTCAAATAAATCACTTATGTTACTGAACAAAAATTCTAAGAGAAATAACTCCCTTGCCTACATGGAGAATAAGGAGTGTTAATGAGTTAAGAATCATTTTAAACATTTTCAGTTAACAGATGGTGAATTTGAGGTCAGACCGGTTCTCTGCTCTTGAACCCTATTTTCTGTTGTTTAAGATGTTTATCAAGACAATACTTGCACAGCTGAACATAGACCCTTGTCAGGAGTTTTTGATTTTGCCCTTTGCCTTGTGATCTTTGTGATCTACTCCCTGTTCGTACACCCCCTCCCCTTTTGAAGTCCTTAATAAAAACCTGCTGGTTTTGCAGCTGAGGTGGGCATCACGGTCGTACCGATATGTGATGTCACCCCTGGAGGCCCAGCTGTAAACTTCCTCTCTTTGTACTCTTTCTCTTTATTTCTCAGCTGGCCGACACTTAGGGAAAATAGAAAGAACCTACGTTGAAATATTGGGGGTGGGTTCCCCGATACCCCACTTATCTGCTTTTCCAGGTTCATCTTGTGAAGGGCTCAGTCTATCTCTCTCACTACTGGCACTTAAGAGGTTGAGCTCAGGGATGCTGCTAAATGTCTTGCAATGCACTTGGTAGCCCTCCAACAACAAAGAATTATGTTAGCCCCAAGTGTCAATAGTTTCATGGTTGAGAAACTCTACTTTATGCTTTCACTTCTCAAATTGCTGTCAGAGGATAGTATACACTATTTTGCAGACTCAGGGCAAACACTTTCATAAAGCATCAAGTTTGTTCATAGATCTTGGGACCCCCTTTTCAAGCATTAAAGCAAAAATGGATATTATATAGTCTAGAATACAAAATATTTTAAGATACTACTTTTAAAACAATTTTATAAATTCTACTCACATAGTATTATCATAAGAATTAGAAGTATTATGGTAGGCAGTTAACTTTTTGTATTGTGGTAAAAGACATAGAACATAGTATTTATCATTTTAACACTTTTCAAGCATACAGTTTAGTGGCATTAAGTAAATTCACGTTGTTGTGCAATCATCACCACTATGCTTCTCTAGAACTTTCTCATCTTCCCAAGCTGAAACTCCTTACTCATTAAATGCTAACTTCCCATTCCCTCCTCCCCCCAGACCTGGCGCCCATCATTCTGTCTCTATGAGTTTGACTATTCTAGGTATTGGATATAAGGGGAATCAGATTATTCCTTCTGTGACTGGCATATTTTAGTTAGCATGATGTCTTCAAGGTTCATCCATGTTCTAGCATGTGTCCATATTTCCCTCCTTTTAAAAGCTGAAAAATATTCCATTGTATTCATGCACCACATTTTGTTTATTCATCTGTTGATGGATACTGGGTTGCTTCTGCATTTTTAGCTATTGTGATTATGGGTATACTAATGTCCATTTGAATCCCTGTTTTCAATATTCTAGGTTATATCCCCAGAAGGGGAATTGCTGTCTGTGTTTTTTTGAGGGACTGCCATACCATTTTCCACAGCAGCTGCACCATTTTACAATCCCACCAGCAATACACAGGGGTTCTAATTACTCCACAACTTCACCAACATTTGTTTTTTTTTGGGGGGGGGGTTCTTGTTATTAATAGCGACACTAACGCGTGTGAAGTGGTTGTGCATTGTGGTTTTGTTTTGCATATCCTTAATGATTTGTGATGGTGAGCAGCTTTTCATGTGTCTATCTGCCATCTGTATATCTCTTTAGAAAAATGGCTATTCAAGTCTTTTGCCCATTTTAAAATTGGGTTGTTTGTTTTTTTGTGGTTGTTGTATTGTAATGAAAAAACTCTTGAAGTATAAGTTTGAATCTGCTCTGCTTTCTGGCTCTGTCTCCAGAGCACTAGGACTCACTCTTTCTTGGAATTCAGCAAAGACCTTGGGATCTTGGCTTTCAGCTCTTGGTCATTTGTTGATGAATTTAGCATTAATAATTTAATGGCTGATAATGGGCTAGTACATGACCTCTCAGTCCATAATTACACTTACTTGTGTGGTTCCCAGAAAAGATGATGTCTTAACTCAAAGAAATGAGTTCCAGTTGGTGAAACTTCTGCCACATAGGGGAAATTATCTTTGAGTAGAGCAACTTTGTTTCTCACTCCATACCATTTAGACAGTCCTGCACTCACGAATTTGATTTTACAAATTGCATGTGTTCTTTCCGACTCTTTGCTCCCATGTACAATAGAAGAAAAACTAATAACCCTCACATTTGTATTGCGTTCATCAGAATGAGCTTGAGGGCATGTTTTTCCTTATTTTAACAACAGATTAAGAGTTCCCTTATAACATGATGCTGTGCTGCTTCTTTTTCTGATTGTTTGAATTCATACATAAAAACTGAATAGGTCTGAACTGAAAGATTTTGTTTCCACATGTCAGAAACTGAAACTCACCCAAATATGTTGGAATTCTGTGCATGGGCAATCAGAGCTGCCGTGCCTTTTTTTATGGAATGGGCATGTGCCTCATTTGCTCCTATGATCAAGTTCATGCATATATCTTCCTGAGAGGATAATCACAGATGAGATTTCTATAGTGTTTGCTATCTGCCAGGTATTGTGGTGACTCCTCTCTCTCTGTCATCAAAAGGCTTGGAACCCACTTCCAGAGCTTTCGCTGCCATGTTTCTAGGGTTTCTTCTCCTGAAGGCAAACTACACCATTACTGTGCATACCTCTAGCCTGAAGAAGTGGTTCTTCTGAGGACTGTAGATCATACTCAGATTAGAGTGTCCACCCATACACATACAAGACAGGGTGGTGCAGTATTGAGCTAGGAGAAGAAGGGGGTGGGCTGACTTTCCTTTGTGAAAGGAAAATAAATCTCGATACCCTCCAAATCACTAAGCCAAAGGGAAAAGTCAAGCTGGGAATTGCTTAGGGCAAACCTGCCTCCCATTCTATTCAAATAAAAGATCGCTACTAAGAAAACAAACAAACAAACAAACAAACAAACAAAACTGCATACCTCCCTCACAATTTGTGGACAAATGACAGACAGAACTCAAAGTCATCCCTGTGCTCACTGAGATAAATGCGTATGTGATTGCTTCCTTTGGAAAAGCTAATCGAAACTCAAAAGAATGCCACCGTTTGTCTCTCATCTACCTACGACCTGGAATCCCCCTCCCTGCTTCAAGTTGTCCTGCCTTTCCAGACTGAACCAATGTACATCTTACATATATTGATTGATGTCTTATGTTTCCCTAAAATGTCTAAAACCAAGCTGTGCTCCGACCACCTTGGGCACATATCGTCAGGACCTCCTGAGGCTGTGTCATGGGTGCGTGTCCTTAACCTTGGCAAAATAAACTTTCTAAATTGGTTGAGACTTGTCTCAGGTATTTTGGGCTCACACCTTGTACCACCAAATTCTTGTGAAGAACTCTGAGGAGTCATGGAATTCTGCAAACCTGAACTTGCAGGTTGTTACAAAGGTATGTTTATAAAGGTAAGAGAATTAAACATGTTTTATTCATCAGTTTGTTAACCTTTTTTGGACTTACGGTGTGTGGACCTCCATTTGTACTCTTGTCCCAGTTTTCCAGAAATGTTAGGGGCAGTTGTATTTTAGGCTTTGTGTTTGTAAGTGTAGCCAGAAGGTCTCAAAAGTTTACCAGTGAAATTGAGTAGGAGTGGTTGGTGGAGGTGAGGGAAGAAGAGAAAGAGGATAAATACTTTTCTGGGCTTCTCATTTTCCATTTAACTGGAAAATTCCAGTAAAATGAATGGCTTAGTACACAAACTCTGGAACCAGACATTCTGGGTTTTAATCTTGCCTGTGCAGTGTACTAGCTGTATAACCTTAGGCAAGTCACTTAACCCCTATGTTTTTCAGTGTTCTCATATGTAAAATGGGGAGGACATTAATCTATCTTGTATGATATTAACATGCTTAAAACAGTGCTTCACAAGTTGTATGTTCCATGGGTTTGCTTTTTAAAATTATGTTCATCTGAGCATAGTGCGACATGGTATGCAAAGATCCTGAGGAATCTCTACATAGGGGCATTCCTATTCATTGGGCATTTTCCAGTCCCCAGGATAATATGAGCACCCCAGAAGATGATCAGAGTGAAACAAGTTATTCTGAATGTGGGCTTCCCTAAAGGGTGGGAGGAGGAAAATTTGGTTGGGGCATGCCTGTTACTTGTTTTTGGCCTCCCAGAGTAGTAGGAAGGCCTGGGTAGTGATCTCTTCTGGGTAAGCGTTTGTGGTGAGAGACCCTGGAGGGTTGGTGAGCCTCTACTTGGAGGGCTGGGTAGTCACCTGTTCCATTATAGGCTGAAGACTATAAGATGGACAGCAGTGTTCCTCTGTTCCTGACGTCACTTCCTATTGAACTTGGCATCTTTGGAATTGGCTAGGCAGAGGCTGTGGCCACATTTGAATAATGCATATTGAAATAATGTGCCATGGAGGCCACATAATAGTTTCTAAGGTCCATCGCCCTAAAGCAGTAGTGACTTCAGCCAGATCAAACTTTCAGGTTAGAATGTTTCCTACTAGGCACCTTTGGAACCCAAGGTTGTGGAGTTCTGTCACAGCCAGCTGCATCAGTAAGGGATGACTGGCAGGGTTTATGGACCCCAGTAAGCACTCCTGATGGTTTCTAGCAATATTCTATAAAAGACTGAACTTTCTTTCTTAATTTTAATTTTAATTTTTTATTTTCCTTTAAGTTCTGGGATACATGTGCTGAACGTGCAGGTTTGTTACATAGGTTATACATGTGCCATGGTGGTTTGCTGCACCTATCAACGCATCATCTAGGTTTTAAGTCTTGCATGCATTAGGTATTTGTCCTAATGCTCTCCCTCTCCTTTCTCCTCACCCTCCGACAGGCCCCAGTGTGTGATGTTCCCGTCCCTGTGTCCATGCGTTCTCACTGTCAACTTCCACTTATGAGTGAGAACCTTCGGTGTTTGGTTTTCTGTTCCTGTGTTAGTTTGCTGAGGTTGATGGTTTCCAGCTTCATCCATGTCCCTGCAAAGGACATGAAGTCATTCTTTTTTATGGCTGCATAGTATTCCATGGTGTATATGTACCACATTTTCTTTATCCAGTCTATCATTGATGGGCATTTGGGTTGGTTCCAAGTCTTTGCTATTGTAAATAGTGCTGCAATAAACATAGGTATGCATGTGAACAGACTGAACTTTCTACATTGAAACAGATGGGATCTCAGGGCTATTGTGATTTCTGTAATAGGGTTAATGTGACCTCATTTGTATTCACTGGTTGGCAAGTCCCAGGACTTTTGGGTTCCCCCATGTTTTTAAAGACTGGAAAGACATGGTTAGATTTGAGACTTTGGACATGCTGGTATATGTAGAAATGAGGTGGGAGTTTAGGAGAAGTAGCAGTTAAGAAACGATTATAGTAGTGTTCTGGTGCTAAATGATGAGGGGCTAAACTAAGACAGTGATGGGAGGTATGAAGTGGAGGGGGAGTTTTTTTCCATAAGTTATTGGGGTACAGGTGGTATCTGGTTACATGAGTAAGTTTTTTAGTGGTGATTTGTGAGAATTTGGTGCACCCATGACCCGAGCAGTATACACTGCACGATATTTGTAGTCTTTTATCCCTTGCCCCCCTCCCACCCTTCCCCCAAAGTCCCCAAGTCCATTGTATCATTCTTATGCTTTTGTGTCCTCATAGCTTAGCTCCCGCATATCAGTGAGAACACGTGATGCTTGGTTTTCCATTCCTGAATTACTTCACTTAGAATAATAGCCTCCAATCTCATCCATATTATTGCAAATGCTGTTAAAGATGTGAATCTCTAATGGTGAAAGTTTCCAATTACATGGAATAGAGGGAAGTGGCTTGTAGAGAGGATATTTAATTCTTATAAAAGGAGAAACGAAAACTCAGAAATCTTAATAGATTTGACTGATGTCATATTGAGGAAGAGATGAGATCATTTTCTATTCTTTTATCCCAAACTACCACTCCTTCACTCTCCCTAGTTTCTTTGTCTCTGCTGGAACCCCTGCTATGCATCATTGCCTGTCTACAAAGCCCCATCACTAGCCATTTGGGTGATTGATAATGGTTTCACTTTGGACTTCAGGCTGTGTCTGCTTGGCTGTGTCTTCTGTGTCCTCTACTCTGGGGGTGGATTTCCCACAGTCAGGCTACAGCCTCTTCTCACGGCTGCAGTGTCTGGTTGCCAGTAAACTACATTGATTTGAGGATGAATTCCAAAATGTGATAATCACCTATGAAAACAAATGGTGTAAAGATGGAGCAAGTGACAGTTGAAATGTGTTTACCCCTGCTGGGGTTCTTGTTTTGGTGACAGAAGGTGTGTATAATGTTAGGTAGGCTGTCAGACTGCGGATAAGAACATTATCTTTGAAGAGATCCTATAATAAGAGGAAAGATAATTAGGATTTGGGAAAGTGGCCAAGGGGTGAGGAAGGAAATATGTAGCAGCAGCAAATAAAATTTTACTTGGGGATGGGAGCACAGGAAATCTGGCTTTTTAAATGCAAAGTTTGAGACTTTAATCATAATAACAAGAGAAGCTACTGTGTCGTAAGCAGTTTCTAGGCATTATATCTCATTTCATCCTCACAACAACCTGTAAGGTAGGTACTAATATTATCCCCAGTTTGCAGATGGAATAATCGAGGCTTAGAGAAGTGAATTAACTCTCATGAGGTCACATAGCTAGTATGGTGTAGAGCTCAGAATGGCACTTGGGCCAAACTTGTCTCCACAGATCTCTGGT
Organism: Homo sapiens; assembly: GCF_000001405.40. Classification (NCBI taxonomy): domain Eukaryota; kingdom Metazoa; phylum Chordata; class Mammalia; order Primates; family Hominidae; genus Homo; species Homo sapiens. The sequence continues at coordinate 104,467,132 of NC_000023.11, forward strand.
TAACATTTACTAGAGGCCAGGCACTCTACATGTAATGTACCATTTAAGCCTTACAATAGTGCTATGATATAGCCTCTATTAGGATCCTAAATTTATAGATGAGGAAACAGCGACATATAGAATTTTAAAACCCTGCCTATTTAATAAATGGCAGTCAGTGCTCTCATCCAGTATGCCATAAGCACAAGCCATACTACATGAGGCTAAAGGGAAATTCAAAAGTAAAAAAAATGGTGTAAGATTTAAGATTAGGAGTGGATCATTGAGAGGCCAAAGCATAAGTCACAGCTAACACAGTCATAAAGTGGGAGATGGGTTTGATAAGGCCACATGTAGCTTCTTAATTTAGCCTCTTTTAATCATTGAATGAACTCCATTATCCAACCAGGATTTAGGATGAATCCTAACAGCCCATAGCACCTTTTGAAGAAGGTGACTGATTTGGATGGTTCACTAATATTATGTATCAGGTCATATGCAACATTTAATTTGTGGCTTTGTCCGTAATCTTGAAACAAAATGGGACCCTGTGATAATTTAGTAAACATTAATCCTGTAAGTCCTTATAAGTTATGGGTCCCACCATCCCTCCCGTCTCATCTGTGACTGACTTTCATATACTGCTCTAGCACTCCTGGACTTCTTGCTGTACTTTGAATAATACGAGTTCGTACTTACTGTATGCCCAATGCCTAGGTAAGTGTTTGGCATATTGCAGGCACTTAACAAATATTTGTTGAATGATATTAGGCTCTTAGTATAAATGGAAGAGATGGGATATGTGGTACAGGTAGAGGAATTTACCTTAGGTAGGAGGAATGCTTAGTTCCTTTATCATAACAGGAAGAAAGGAGAATAATAATGTCTAATATATCAGGCAGTTAAATAGGGCTACTATGAACTGGGCACTTTACATATATTAACTCATTAAATTTATAATCCTGTTAATTAGGTACTATTATTCCTTTTTTGCAAAAAACAAAAAAGCACAGAAAGCCTATGTGATATGACAAAGTTCCCAGTTCATATGTGGTAGAGCTAGCTTTTTTTTTTTTTTTTTTGAGACAGAGTCTCGCTCTTTCGCCCAGGCTGGAGTGCAGTGGCGCGATCTCTGCTCACTGCAAGCTCCGCCTCCCGGGTTCACGCCATTCTCCTGCCTCAGCCTCCCAAGTAGCTGGGATTACAGGTGCCCGCCACCATGCCCGGCTAATTTTTTGTATTTTCAGTAGAGAGGGGGTTTCACCGTGTTAGCCAGGATGGTCTCGATCTCCTGACCTCGTGATCCGCCTGCCTCGGCCTCCCAAAGTGCTGGGATTACAGGCGTGAGCCACCGCGCCCGGCCGTAGAGCTAGCTTTTAACTGTAAAACCCACAGAGGTGTAGGTAGGCTTTTTTGTTCGTAATCAGGTAAAGGAGAGCATTTATGTCTAATAGCTTCAATTTTCTCTGTAATCTGTGCAAAGAGGGAGGAGGATGGACTCAAGGAGTGGAGATTTGAGGAAAATGGAGGAAATTTGAAGTAGTCTGTGGAGAGTGGGAAATGGAATCGATCAAAGATCTGCAATTAGGATGGCATATGGCATTGAGAACATGTATGAGGTTGGCAGTCATGAAGGTGTATGGTCCAAGTCTTTCTCTTGTGGAACTTTATCCAGCAGGTATTTATCAATCTGACACAGGTATGGTGAAAGTGGACAATAGCATTCTTCCAGATTTTGCCAGATGGATAAAATGAAATGATAGAGACGTGAGGGAGTTTAGGATGTTTATAAGAGTTATTCAAAGGGCCAAGGGGAGGGTTCCAATGGACAAAAAGCAAAGTAAAGAAAAACTTAGCTGACACATTGGGAAAAAGTGATTAAGTCAATGGACTGGAGATCTTAATGAAGTCAAAGAATAGTTGTAGTGGAAGTACTTGAACATACAAAGTGGAAAAAGGAGAGGTTATGGACAGAGAAGGGGATGCTGGAGTTAGTGATATGAAAGGTGAAGAAAATTCAAGAATCTTAGGGATGAGTGGTTAAAATGGGGTGCAAGGGAAGGTCAATAGAAATGAGGAGGTCAAGGAACTAAGAAGCCAGAGTTTGGAAGTCCATCTATATTGATATTGATATTATTGAGAATAGTGACAGGGCTTGGGTAGGGTTGGAAGATGCCAAGGTCTGATAAGCGAAGGAATTGTTGACAGCGACACAAAGAGAGAGGCTGGTAAAGTCAGAAGATGTAAACCAAAAGTAAGGTTTACAGGAGAAAAGAGGACTAGGAATAGCAATGGCGAACACAGATGACAGGTGGTAAGTTTCTTGGCCCTGAGGTAGTTGAGGTGTGAGAAAATAATCAGCCGCCACTTGAGAGTGCTGCAGGGGAAGCAGAGTTTGGATTCCATGATGTATTTCAGTTTCTACGTACCTGCAGATTCTCCTCCTTGTTTTTCTCTCCCTTGATTATGTGTTATATGTTGATCAGGGTGTGTGTGTGTGTGTATGCACACACATTATCATATTAAACAAGACTCAGACAATCATCGATCGTTTCTTAGAAAAATTCTATTTCAGATGATAAACTTTCACCTTGTTAAGAAAGTGTCTTCTCAGGTGCTGTCCAACAGCTCACACTGGAATTATTTACAGCAGGTTTAGGTGGAGAGAATTTTTAAAAATAATACCCTCTAAAGAGCCTAAAGCTCTTCTGTACCAGCCTGGAGATGTCAGAGAGCTGTAGGGAGAGTTCTGAATAGCTGGGAGCAGAAGTGGGCCTGCTGTGTGTGTTTCACACAAAGCAGTGCCTTGAGGGGTCCAGTCAGCTGCTGCCTTCAGCACAATTGCTTCAATTAACTTGTTGGAGAGTTAAATGCCTGAGAAGCTGGAGTATTTCCTGGACCTGTGGTGGGAAATGACATCCTCTTATCTTCAAGATTCCTTTTGAGGGTGCTATGAGAGAGAGAGAGAGAGAGAGAGAGAGAGAGAGAATGAGAGAACAAGAGCTAACGCAGGTGCCATTTCAAGCAAACAGCCCTGCTCTATTTAGTCTCCTTCACAATGAACAAGTACCAAGTGTTGGATTGTAGTTAGATCTCATCTCCTTTAATCCAGTCCTCATCTGGGCTTGCCTGGCTTAATTAGTTCTGGAGATTTCATCAGTGTAGCAACAAACTTGCCTGGAAAACCGAGGCAAGAGTCAACTGTGCTAAACCCAGGACAAGCAGGGAAGGGCATGTGGTGTCTGTTAAGTCTTTTGTTTATTCTCAGGATCTTCTTCTGTAAGGGTTTTTGGGTTGAATTCAGAAGCAGGACATTTTTACATAGTCATTTTGAAACAGATGGGCATTGAGAGATCCCTGTAAAATTATAAAAGCACTGGTTATTTTTAATTATCAATAATATTTACAAGACACATCCTTGACCTTTGAGTCAGCCTAACTTGTACCCCGTGCTGAGACCCTTTCACTGTATAGTTTACTACTTGGTAGTATGGAATAATGGTTAAGCTAGGTTAAGTTAGATCCCATCATATGTTCAAGTCCTGTCTCTGCCACTTCTCATTCATGTGATCTCAGGACAGATACATGATCTCTCTAAGCTTTAATTTCCTCTTCTGTAAAATGGGAATGATAGTAGTTTTGGGATCTGTATGAGTTAGCATAGTACCTTAGTAAATGTTTAGTCAATATCATCTTATTATCACTTTATTTAGTAGTTTTTAAATTTTTATGGGTATATATTAATTTAGTCATCAATAGAGCTAATAAAGATTTTCAAAAAGGCTGTTAGAATTGGGTTAGCCTCTTGTCCTATTTTAAAAAGTCACTATAAAGAAATGTGCTGTTATTAAGTGTATGTATATTTAGTAAGAGTTCTTCAGGAACTGTTTAGTCTGGAATTGAAAATAATGAATCATGTTGCATTTCACCTGTTTTTCCTCTAACACGGTGTAGTAGATATTTGATAACATAGAATCTGTATGATTAGGAAGCCTACAAAACTCAGAGGTGCCCATCTTCTAGATTTTCTAGTGGAAAACTGTAAGTTTTATTGTCAAGCAGTTAAATATCACTAAAAGTAAATTTGTAACTCTGAAGAAGCACTAGAAAAATTTTGTCAAGGAGACTATTCAGACAGGAAGTGAATTCCCAGGCACTCTGCTCAGAATGAGCAATTGCCCTTTTTGAGGTGAGCACATGGAATAAACATGGACTCTTGGTTAAATATGGAGCGAATGCAAGATGTGTCTGACCCTTGCCTTATCTCCAACCTCATCTGTGATTCTATTTTGCACATTATTTAGTCATTAAAGAAACCAAAAGCAAAAGGGTCATGGTGGTTTGTTTTTAGGCTTCATCAAAATGATTGAATCAGGAAGGGAGTATCAAAATATCACCTCCCACAGTCTAGCACTATCATTGACTTGAGGACCAGAGGAGACAATCAGCCACATTTTGGTACCAGTCTTCAGTCCTCTTTCCCTCTCATTCTCTACCTCTTTCTCCTGGATACCTGTTCAGGGCTTTCATCAGTCAGGTTTTTCCCCGGCTCTCCTCAGTGGTGCTCCTTCTGCATTGCCTTCACTCAAAGTGCCTTAGAGTCTGCCATCGTCCTTCATCCCTCCTCTTCACTGACCAATCAGTTTTGTCCTGTAGCTGACAGATAGGATATAGTATTACACATATTGTGTCAGTAGCTGATCATGCTTAAATTTTATTTTTTATTTTTAAAGATGATCACATTATAGAAGTGTAGGAAAGGAAGAAAGAGAGGAAGTGCTGAGAGCAGATAATGGATGAAGTTAGCCTTCTCTGAGGGCACTGGGTTGGTCAGCCTGCAGAACAAACACTTTGAGCAAAACCTGAAGAATGAGTAGGGGTTATTTGGATGAAGGGGTATAAGGATAAAGTGCATTCCAGGCAGAGGGCCTGGTCAAAGGCCCAGAGGTGGGAAGAAGCTTGACACTAATGAGGAACTCCAAGAAGGCCAGTGTGAATGGAACTTACAAATGACTCTGGGGAAATTGATAGGGGCCAGATGATTCAGTTCTTATAGGCCATGGTAAGGATTTTGACTTTATCCTAAAAGTAGTGATAGGCTGTTAAAAGGTTTTGAGCAATAAAGTAATATGATTAGATTTGTGTTTTGAATGGGGGACTACATCTTTCTTGGTTTCAGCCAATGCTAGGCCTAGTTTACCTGATCTTGATTTTCAGTTTTCTTTGCATTTCAATATTGCCCTTCTTTATAAATGCAATATAGAGATGGTATACTAATTATGGGCAATCCAAGATTTGGCTGTTTGATTCTGGAAGTGTGTCTCTTTAAATCTCACGTGTTTTTCTGTTGGGGTCACACCCTCACCCTTTTAAAACTTTTTATTCTTGGAGGAGGTGACACATCAAGTCTTCTGAATCAAATCATAAAGGCTTTTAAATCAAGCCCTCATTCTAAGGTCCAGGTGACAGCTTCTGAATTGCTAAAATGTGTCCCATGTGTTCCTCAGCCTGAGTAGGTGGCCATTGGATTGCCATCTAAATCCAGTGCCGAACACTCAATATCAATACTATTGCTTTCGTCTTTGAGGCTGAATAACACGTCAATATTGGTAATGGAATGATTTACTGTTCTTTAGGGTGGTTGCATTTCGTGGAGGCAGCCTAAATGGAATTAACTGTGGGCTAATTAAGTGCTCCCTGCTTCTCTCTCAAGTTCCCCCTTGGGCATTGGCTGCAGTGAGTTGTGCAAGTCGCAGGAAACTGTAAATTATGACTCAGCTTAAAGAAAAATGGATTGCTTTTCTAATACTTATTGAACACTTAAAACAGATGTTTAAATCTCTACAAGTTTTAGATAATTAAAATTATAAATCTGTGCTCTTTGAACAGGAACAGAGTAGGGATCAGAGGTATAAATAGTACCATGCTGGGAAGATTCATCTTGTGGCTTCAGGTTTATTACTGTAACTAGGGCTGTCCCCAGGTAAAGTAGCAAAGAGAAGAAATATGTTTTTGTTGCCCCTGCATCTCCCCGGACTCCAGATCTCCTCAGTGCTCTCAGGCTGCCGGGTACCTCTTACTGTAGGACCATCTAATGCTAGTTCTTCCCTCTAACATCAAAGGTTTATCTGTTCTGTCTTTCATTCCCTGAAGGATTTGCTGGATGTTAGAGTAATCGAGCTGCAGTAACAGTAAAACCCCTACATCTCAGTGGCTTGACAGAGTAGTTGATTTTTCATGCATAGAAATTCCAAACTGGGTGGTTCTGATTGGTTGGAGGCACCCCCTCTAGGGACTCATGCTACTTTCATGCTACTTTCATCTTATGACTCTATCATCTTCAATTTGTCTATCACAAGGTTGCCATAATTTTCTGAATCAGCTCCAGAAGAAGAAAGGGCACAGAGAACCATGTGTGAGGTTTTTTATGAGCCTGGACTGGAAGTGTAGCCTGTGCTCACAGTCCATGGCCACATCTGATGGCAAGGAAGAATGGGAAATATACTCTAGCTCTATGTCTAAGATGGAGAGGAAATGGGCTTGATGGAGAGCTAATCAGTTTCTGCCATTCTTGGTGACAGAGCAAATCTGATAAACAAGTTTGCAAGTAAGGCATTAGTGGCTTGCCCCCTCCTTTGGTATTTTGATTTCAAGAGCTGCTTTCTGGAAAAAAGATATATTGTCTGAAAACTGGTTGGTGTAGTAAATGGGGGATCACTTTTATTTCTTTGGCTTTTTTAGTTACATGTCAAATCTGTGCAAATGTCTCCAAATACCTGATATGATAGAATATACATTTGTTGTCATAGAGTGTTCTCTTTCTCGGTCTCTCTTGCTGTCTTGCTCTTTTGCTCACCCCAACCCTCCTCTCCTTCTCTCTCTCTGTCTCTCTCCCTCTCTCTATCTCTCTCTCTCTCTGTGTGTGTGTGTGATGATTGAAAAAAGTAATATGTTTTTCTTGGGGCATTTTCTTCCTGAATTCAATTGGGATTTCTGGTGAGGAATGCTGTGATCATGATTCCAGTATTTTTGCCATTGAAACAGTTATTTGAATGTTCAATCATCAAATTATTAATCCATTCTAATAAGCAATTGGTGGCTTAAGTTGTCTCTAAAGCCAAGAGTCTTCTAATATTTTACATTCACTAAGCAATATGAAAATTAAATAAGTAATCTAGTGAATTCACATTTTTATATGATGAGTTAGGATCAAGCACATTTGAAAAATGTAAGCCAACAATTTAGCCACAGGATTTTATATAAGAATCTGTTCTATTTTTCTTGGGTAATAATGCAAAATTAACAAATATATATGTTTTTTCTTTGCTTCTATGAGAACCTTAATAAAAGTTAAATACCTTTATAAGCTTTATTCAGGTCTTTATTTTCAACCAGTCAGTTAATTTCCTTTAAATGGAATTTTATTTCACTACCCAGAAACTGGCTCTAACCTTTAAACTATCCTTGCTGTGGGCTAAAAACATTTCTTGTCCTGTATCAGTGTCACAATGTAGAGATGCAGTGATGACTATTACCAAGTCACTTTAGGATTAAAAGAAGTTCTTAAAGCAATTGGAGACACATTTTTAGGAGCAAATACTGTAATAATTCCATTGTTGAGCTGGTAAAATTTTAAGAGCCTGACTCACAAAAGTCATTAAGGATAATTTCAAAACTGTTATCCCATCTTTGATAAAGGCATTTTATATATTCCCAATTAAGAACCTTCATGGTGTGTCAGTTGTATTCTCTTATCTGGCTTTCCCCCGCTTTCCACATATTAAAGTCTAGGCTATGTCAAATTTCATCCTGTCGTGCTAAATGTGGTCTCAGTGCCCTTGAAGATTTACTTTCTCTGAAACTCTGGGTTAAGCCTTTTCGAGATACAGTGCCCAAATCCTTTTCTCTTTCATCTCGCCCCTCCACACAAACTCCACTCCCAACTCCACCCATTACCTGATATCTGAAACTTAAATTTTTTTCAGGCAGTAACATCTCTCCCATTGTCCTGCATTGTAGGAAGTTTGTAATATCAATTTTCTAATTTCTATGCACAGATTACATGAAACCTGTGCTTTCAGGAAGCTTATGTTCACTGATAGAAAACGTCATGGCCAAATAGACCTACTAAAAATGACTCCTTGGAATTTTTCAATGTGAAATCCCTCCACTGATATCAATGATGTGTCTGTTAGCAGTTATAGTGTAGTCGTTATGTGGTCCCTGAAGTCAAACAAGTCTGTGTTCAAATCCAGCTCAGCCAGTTCTCAGCTGCATGACTTTGGCAAGTTATCTAATTTCTGGATTCTCAGTTTCCTCTTTTGGAAAGAATGATGATAGTACCTACTCATGGGTTGTTGAATGGATGAAATTAGAAAATAGACCATTAGACAATGTAAATTATATAATGTAAATTAGCACTGCCTGAAACTAAATAAACATCCTATAAATGTAAGCTGTCATATTTGCAAGTGGTACTTGTGTAATCCCTGATTATACTGGCCCCTGACCAGGAGATTAAACAGATTTGCCAATGTTAAAGAGCCAAACATTCTTTCCTTCCCCTCTGTCATCCCCCCACCCACACTCCCCATTCAGACAAGTTCAGGGGACAACAACATATTGCCTCATAGCAATCATCATTCTGTGATTTTAGAATGGGCAGGGAATAACAGGGTAATATCTGGAAATTTCCCAATGTTCTGTTGCCAAAGGAATGGATTTATTCTTCCTTCTAAGGAGCTGATGTGGGCCCAACTGCATGCCAGGACCAGGGCCTCCAGGCTTGGTTTGGGATTTACAAGGTTTTGTTGCCAGAGTGAGAAGATATGGGAGTCTTAAACTTATTGAATGCTCAAAATTAAAACCAGAGAAGGCTGGGCTCATATTTTAAGTACTAAGGTTGAGAGCAGAACCAGAAACAGGAGATGAAAGCAAAGTCTCACAGGCAGGCAGAATTTGTTTGGAGCAAGGGAGCAGGGTAGCAGGACAACAGGAGCAAGAATAGTGGAAAATTGAGAGAGGAGTGGAGCTGAACACTGGAAATATGGCCAGAGTACCTGCGGCTTATTTTTATGAGCTCATGACCACATAGTGCATGGGTTAGTGACCTAGTCTAACTGTGTATGGTTGGTTACACAGCATTTGCTCAATTTTGCCGCAACTCTGCCCCTGCAAAAGGTCTTCCTCATTGTGTTAACAAAGGTTTTATATATATATATATATATATATATATATATATATATATATATATATGTATGTATGTATGTATATATAAGCACAAGGGTTTAGTTGAAGGGAAGGTGGTATGGCTTTTGTGAGTGACATCAAAACTCTCATAGGTTAGGGATGTCCTCCTGCTTACTAGATTCTATCAATGTCCTGTATTGGTCCTACAGTTTTGTGAATGAATTATATTTAAGCTATGTATACATTATCTTCTTGAAGGGAAGAAATTCTTTGCGCTCATTAATTGTGGTGCAGAGTAGTTCATCTTTTTGCTTCTCTTCACCTTTTTGTGAATGTGATTTTTAAGTTGTTGTTGGGCTAGGGGAGACAAATTCTAGTCTTGCTAGAAACAAATGATTTAGTTCTTATTTCTTCTAACTTCACCATTCATGATTTTCTGGGCTCTCATCATATCCTTTCTGAGTCTTTACCTTTTCAGTTTGAAAGATCATCTTTATCTAGTGCATTTTACTTAGCAGCTATCTGTTCTATTGTTCAATCCACAATAAATTAGCTATATATTTTGAGCTCCTATTATGTGCCCAGTGTGGCATTAGACACTGTGGGGAAATAATAGGAGATAAAAATCATTTTCTCAGCCTACAGAAAGGATAAGATTTTATTGAAGATTACTTGGAGATGGAAAAAATTTAGAGAAAGATTGTAATCTTGCATAATCAAGACCAGAGACTGCAAGCCTTCTAGGTCAGTGATCTCATACATGAGTGTGCTTTAGAATCACCTGAGATCTCTGAATTACTGAACTCCATAGGTCCCAGTTTTTCAGGTTGTGGGTGGTGCCTGGGACTATGCGTTTTATCAAGCTCTCTAACTGATTCTGCTGCTGGGGATCTCTAAACTATCCTTTGGGAAGCAGAAGGCTAAAAATATCTGTGAAAATTGAGAGGCACATAATGTATGTGATTGACTAGGAAAGGTATGATTGGAGCATGGAAGGGTGGGAAGAACTTGGAGAAGAAGTAGTTGGAGGAAATTCATGAAGTGCTACTGGAAGTGAGAATGAGAATTGGATATGTTGCAGAGATGAGCTAATTGTTCACCAACTCCGTTTTCTTTTCTTCCTAGTAACACAGTCTATATTTCCTCATCTCCACAGTGAAGTTTGGCTGTTTGGGTTCTGGCCAATGGAATATGGACAGAAGTTTTGTCACATTTACGCCAAAATTATGGGTGGACGTCTCATAACATCCCCCAACTGTTTCTCTTCTCCCATCTGCTTGCTAGATGTTGATGCTCAGAGTGACCTTGGAATCATTGTGGTGAAACTGACGGCCTCCACTGGCATGTGTGCCTGAATGACTGTGACTCCCTCTGACCAAAAGAAATATCCATATTGGGTTTCATATGAGTAAGACTTCTATTGTGTTAAGCTATTGAGATTTCAGGGTTTTTCTGTGAGAGCTTCTACTATAATCTTAACATTCAAGGGACCAGGCTATACATATATTCAATCTTGTAGATAAATATCATCATGAATCATAGCAACATTTTCAAGATGCTTTGTATGTATTTCTGTGTAACCTTTAACTGACAAGACTCCTAGCTGGACATTCCTTTACCCCTAAATCCCTTTGCTGACAAGTGGAGGGAATGAAAACATAATTGTTTTTTACTAAAAAACAGAGAATTATTTTCAGTGGGACAGGTGTCAGCTGGCTTTGTGCAGTTCATAGTTCATCTTGCTTGGGTGCACCTTCTCATATTCTGCCATCTGCTTTTCAGTGATGGATACAGCAAAAGAATTGCTAACCTGCAGCTGCCTTGTGATCTGGAACCATCCTACTGTTGGATACTTTTGATGATGTGATCTGGATGCCATTGTCTTACCTCAAAGTTTTCTCCTGACCTGAAGGATCTCTCCCTGGCCTGACAGGTGCCTACTATTTCTATTATTGGGGGAACCATTTGGGGACCACAATATTATCTCAAAAAAGTTTCCTGTAAAAATACAATACATTACAAGAGATAGAATAACCCATTAACCATTAACATAAATGAACTTGTGTTACTATTGTGTAAAAAATGGGACAATGATAGAATGGCATTCCAGGTGGAAAAAAGCTGAGCCAAAGGGGCGCTGTCTGCTTTAGTGGATCATCCTGGTAGAGAGGAAAGGATTCCTTAGAATGTTTGGGGCCAAGTGAAACTCCTGGCAACTTGGGAAAGTGCACTGTGAACCCCACCTTGAGGAATCTTAGAAGGGGTGTACTCTACAGAGCACCAGAAATGGTAGAGAGTTGTGGGAACTAAAGGAATAACATTTAGAATGGCAGAGAAAATAATGGAGACTGGAAAAGGAATAATGGAAAACAGGAGCAAGGATTTCAAAAGTGAGATGTCAGCAGATCAAACCACATCCCTGGAGAGAATCACTGAGAGGAATAACAGAAGAATAGGCCAAGCCACGTTACTGGGAGAATAAACGCATATTTTTGGCTCCTTTCTATGAAACCCTTACTTGTCTCAATAAACCTGTTTTCTTTTCACACATATGTTATGCAAATATTAATGTTATGCATTGATTATCTTTTTAGTATCTGTGTTGAGCCTGTTGAAGTCATCCTGCACCCAGCTGGGCTGCTGCTAAAGCTCATACCATTAGCTTCACAGAGAAAAACATGGAGGTTCCTAGATAAGCAATTCAGATACATCCATCACATCCTTTCAATGAATATCTGACTACAAGAGCTATCACATGTAGTCAGAGATAAAAGTACATTCCCTGATTAATGCCTGTCAATCACCATGAAATTTCTGCTGACCTTTCTCTTCTTTCTAGATTTCCTTCAGTTAACTCATGGCCACCAGTTTTGGACAGTACTGGCAACTCAGAGTCATGTTTACTGAGCCTCACAAATAAATGGATTGTGTTTCATTTTCTGTCTTCAAGGCTAATTATTAGTATTATTGTTGTTGTTTATATATATTATTTAATAAAAAAGAATAGATATTACCACAATAAGAGAATGCCAATCTAATTCTGTTTATTCATTATTAGTAACCATGATCTGTAGGATACTATCATTCTTAACAGGCACATCTTCCCAGTTTTGAGTTAAGCAGAAAGTTACCCCAAAAGTTCATCTGTTTCCTGGAGACTGAAACCAGTTTAAGTGGCCAGGAGCCCTGAAGACCTGTCTTTTGTCTTTACCTTAAGATCTACTGTTTTCTTCTTTGAGTACTTCTTCTGTAGTCTTTGAGTACTTTATTGACACTTTTCCATTAGCTTCACTCAAGCAATTGAAATATTGCACCTGGATTAGCACAAAGGATAAACCTGTAGTTTATCCTCCATATTTTTTGCCAGGATAAAAAACATTCTTGCTTGTCAGGGGTATCCAAGCAATATTCTCCTGCATGGATACTTATTACTAGCCTGTAAGAAAAAGGTTATAGAAATTCCTCTTTGGGGAGAATGCCATGAAGACTTTTTCTTCCCACCTAGTAAATTTCATGCAGATGCACCTCTCTGGGTACTGTAGCTGCAATTCCCTTTGGAAGTTCACCTGGCATAAATGCACCATATAGAGAAATTCCCATTGTGGTAATGCATTGCAAATATATCCCCCTTGAAACAAATATAGAATGTTTTCCTATTGTGTAAGAGTACTTGAAGCAGTATGAAGAATTGGAATTTGATTTGCACGGTCCTGGTCTTTTAGTCACTGTGGGCACCTTCATAACATAATTGGGGAATAGGATAAACATTCTTGTTGGACTCAAAGCCTGTTATAGGAAGCTATGTTTGGGAGACTAGGATTTGACCTGTGGTATGTCTAAAACTGAGTACTATTACCTTGCCTATCAGTACCCAGGAATTCAGATGTCAGACAGTCATGGCATCTGAGCAGATGTACTGGTGTCCAGGGCCTCTGAGGTGATTTTCCAGCTGGTAGCCAGGTTGACACCTACCCACCATTGCTTAAAAGAGCTATGCCATAAAATTCTACCCCAGTGACCCCAAAGCTCAGAGGCTTCCCCGAACTCAGCATTCACTACATAGTTATTGCTATGTCACCAGTGTTGCCTCCTTATTTTGCTTTGCTATGTTGTTCACAGCTTAAGTCATTGTAAGCTTCCAGCCCTTTCATATAGATTTATTGATATGGACAGAACAACCACTGAAATGTTCACCATTGAACAAAGACCCTTAACTATAGTTACAGTCTGATGAACTAAACTGACTTGAACCAAGGACCAGAAATGATCTCTTTAATATAGAATATGCCTTGACAAAATCAAATCAACACTGGAAATATTAGAACCTTAGCCCCTGCAATAATAATACCTAGCATGTATTGAGCTCTTACTATATGCTAGTCATTGGTATGAACAAATATGCATTACTTGTAATCCTCACCACAATACAATGAAGTGTTACTATTATTTCCTTCAGGTTATAGATGAAACAACTGGTGCACAGAGAGGTGAAGTCTCTTGCTCAAGTTCGCATGGCTGGTAAAATGGCAGAGCTACGATACCAATACCTTGTGAGTCTGGCTCTGACATCAAAGCTCTTAACCACTACCTATACTACCTTTCTGCTGCTGTCAGTCAGGAAAGTAAAACTAGTGTTCTATATTAGAATTTTTGACTAATACTTCATTTTATCTGTATGGAAATATGCCTGGTTTCAGAAATTCTTCACCCAGTTTAGAAACAGTGATAGGTACTACCACTGACTTGCTGTGTCACCTTTGCAGTTCATTTGACTTCCCAAGCCCTCATTTCCAATCTAAAAGTGTGGTGAATAACATTTGTCCCCCCCACCTGCCTGTGTTGTGAGACAATGTGAAGTCAGTGTTTTTGAAAGTAGTTCTTCATTTAAAACTGGTTTCTGTTAAATTTCTCTGCCTGAGGGTTAGGGAGTCTCAAATACTAGGCAGCAGTGAAGGTAAAATACAGCATAGGTTCCAAGTTAAAAGAAAGGGAAGATTAATACCAAGTTCAGGCTAGGGAAGGGAGGAAGGAAGCTGACCTCCACACAGACCAAGGGGACCTAACAAACTAGAAAACACACTGGCAGGTCAGGGTCAGAGGAACAAAGAGAAAAGGTAGGTTTGAGCATCAGCTGGCTCTTTGCTTGTTAATCTTAGTGATTTGCTTTTTCCTGACAAAAGAGCATCCTTTGAAGGGAGAAGGAATGGGGTGGAAATCAGAGTGCTTCATGCATGAGGTTTTGTAAAATGCAATCTGTAGCACATATACAGCTACAGACACTGAGAGGAGCTCACATTCTAGGACAGTACACACATAAGATCACTCCTTCATGCCAGAATTTTCCAGCTGAGAAAATAGTCATGTCATTTGGCTGCTGTGGGAAAGGTCTAGAGTCACCCAGGGCCTCAGAGGAGTACCATGGAATTAGAGGAATGAATTACATTAAAAATATTCTGAGCTTGGCGTGGTGGCATGTGCATATGGTCCCAGCTAGTTGGGAAGCTTAGGCAGGAGGACTGCGTGAGACCAGGAATTCCAGTCCAGCCTAGGCAATATAGCAAGACTCCATCTCTAGAAAGAAAAGATATTTTGTCCTACAGAAAATCACATTACATCCAAACATTGTTCTTAAAATACTAAAAGGCTCAATATTCATTCCTAGAGTAGAAAAAAAAAAAGCTATTAGACTTCCTGGAGCATTTGATATCCATTATGTTCATAGTTTAATAACAGTAACAAAACAACAATAATAACAATACCCATTCATTTTATGGCTATAATATCATGGGGATATGCTGGATGCTTTATACATATTATTTCTAACTCGCAATAATCTTATGAGGTCAGAACTCTTATTATCCTCATTTCCTTGGTCAGAAAACTGTCCCTGAAAGATTAGAGACTTGCCTCTTGTTACATAGCTAGTTACAAACCTTGTTAGAGGCTTTCTATCTAAAATAGGACTTCTCTTTTAGATTCCATCTCTCTACCTTGTTTTCTTTCCACTCACAGCCATTACCAGTAAATATCTGAAATTAATTTGTTTCCTTGTTTACTGTCTTTCTCCTAGGCTAAAATGGAAACGCCATGAGGGCAGAGGTTTTATTAAATTCATTAACTCAGTCTTAGAATAGTCCCAGGCATATAGTAGATGTGTGTTGTTCATAGCTGTTGAATGAATGACATAGTGGTGGAGGTGGAACTCAATCCCACATCTAAGCACCTCCAAAGCCCCTGATCTTTCGACTACTCCATGTTGCTTTCTCTCCATATATATATATATATATATATATATATATATGTATATACACACACACACACACACATATATATATATATATATAATATGGATTAAAAAATTGAAAGGCACAGCTTTCTGTTTTTACCCATGTTCAACTCCTCAGCAATGACACCAAGAGCAAATAATTGGCTGAGGATTTTTGACTTAATTTAACCTAAAAATACAAACCAAAACAAAGGCCAATTTTCCATAAGTAAAATTCCTCCAAGAAGGAAACAAGGACAAAATAAATAAAAAGATAAAGAATTAACTGTAAGTTGCAGCATGGGAAATTTGATCTCTTTGCGAATTTTGTTATTATTATTGTTATTGTGATTTGTGTGTGGGTGGGATGGGAATTTGTTTTTCATTCTTATCAGTAGGTGGCAGCAATTTTCTTAGGCTGAGATGAGCTTAACGGTTAAAAGGGAACTAGCAAACTTTGTCCAGATGATGATAGATAAAGATTTTTTTTTTAAAGCTGAAGTTCATAAGTTCACCTTTCTTGGAATATGGTTAACTTCTAATTGAAATATAAATTGAATAACACCATCTGTTGAACATAACATCAGTGCAGGAGAATTTCTAACAACTGTATCTGACTCTGGTAACCATTTTGGAGAGTCTAATATGACTTACACAGTTGTATCATAATCATATGTAACATAAATGTGATTTATTGATCATTCATGGTCTGCTTTTGTAACCTCCAATCTCTGCCCCCATCTTGTAAGAAATTACTTAGAACTGATTCACCTCATAGGTGTGACCAAGCAGGAACATTCTTCCCTGGTGGGTTTTTTCTCTTTTTGTGGAGAGTGCCCAGAGGATGTAGGGACAGATATGCTTAGGTCTATGTGGATTGGGATTGAATCCTATTATGGCATGCTTCCACAATACAGCCCTTGCATAACTGGCTTTAGCACAGGTGGTCACCGGTTGCTCATTTACTTGTCTGTCTTCTTCACTGGTTTGAGAAAATGAATCATGTCTTGATTTTCTAGTACTCAGCACAAAACTTAGGATGTAGTAGGTGCTCAATAAATATTTGTTCCTTGGATTTTTTTTTTTTTTTTAGACATGTTCTCACTCTGTCACCCAGGCTGGTGTGCAGTGGCATGATCAAAGCTCACTGCAATCTCGAATTCCTGGGAGATATGATTTGGCTCTGTGTCCCCACCCAAATCTCTTGTTGTAGCTCCCATAATTCCCACATGTTGTGGGAGGGACGCACATGTTGTGGGAGGGAGATCATTGAATCATGGGGGCAGGTCTTTCCTGTGTTGTCCTTGTGATAGTGAATGGGTCTCACAAGATCTGACGGTTTTAAAAGCGTGAATTTCTCTGCGCAATCTCTCTTTTTGCCTGCTGCCATCCCCATAAAGTGTGACTTGCTCCTCCTTGTCTTCTGCCATGATTGTGAGGCCTCCCCTGCCACATGGAACTGTGAGTCCAATTAAGCCTCTTTCTTTCGTAAATTGCCCAGTCTCAGGTATGTCTTTATCAGCAGCATGAAAATGGACTAATACACTGGGCTCAACTGACCCTCCCACCTCAGTATCCCAAGTAGCTAGGACTACAGGCATGTGCCACCATGCCCGGAAAATTTTTAAACAAATATTTGTAGACGCAGGTTCTTGGTATGTTTCCCAGGCTGGTCTCAAACTCCTGGCCTCAAGCTATCCTCCTGCCCTGACCTCCCAAAGTGCTGGGATCACCTTGCCTGGTCTGTTGCTTAGATTTTTGATGGTATTGTCCTGAAGCTTGCACAGTATATGGGAATCTTGTTGGACTTTATAAGTTCTGGTTGAGCATTTCTCATTCAGTGCTATTTGTGGGACATGACTAAAGAAAATGCCTAAATGTACATTCCCTGTGTATAAATCTGTGCAAGTATAAAGTTTTACTTGGTCAATTTGGTGCTTGTTTGTTGATCCCTTAGGCAAGCTTGTCCAACTGGTGGCCTGCAGGTCACATGTGGCCCAGGATGGCTTTGAATGTGGCCCAACACAAATTCATAAACTTTCTTAAACATTATGTGATTTTTTTTTCGATTTTTTAACTTCTTTTTTTTTTTTTTGCTCATCAGCTATTGTTAGTGTTAGTGTATTTTATGTGTGGCCCAAGCCAATTCTTCCTCCAAAGTGGTCCAGGGAAGCCAAAAGATTGGACAACCCCCCTTCCTTAGAGCCTTGAAGGACACATTGATATACTCACATTCTCCTCATCCTCATCTACTGAGATCAACTTTATGCTAGACTCTGGGATGCAAGTTTCTGCCTTTTAAGCTCTGGACTGCAAGATGTGTCCATGCAATCATGAGGAACAATACAACTTACCACAGATTCCAAGTGCTTGGTTAACAAGCATGAGCAGGAAGAACTCAGATAACATTATAAACTTTAGCCAAGAGGTTGTGCTAAAAGACATAAGTAGTCTGGTTATTTGAAGCCCCCTGGATAATTGAAATTTTTCATTTTTATTGGAATGTTTGCTCTTGTTGTTATAGTAGAAACATAGCCATGCTGTGCTAGATGCTGGATGTTCACCTCTCTTTTAACATATTCAGTGCATAAATTAGCCCCAAAGAGACTAAAAACCTAATGGTTGCTTTTTTTTTTAAGAGAAATTCTTTACTGAATCAGTTACATTTTCATATGCTAATAATCAGTGAAAGAACATACCATGAATAGCTTCATAAAGTGATTGAGATTTTAGTTTTCATAGTTAATTTTAGCCTAAGCTGGCTAAAAAGAAGTGAAAAGCTCCAAGATCAAAACCATGAGTTTGATGAAAAGCAATTGTTTTATTATTTATACAAACTACTTACAGAAGAATGATTTGAAAAGCAAATGGAACTGTATTTTCATGATAACAGTTATTCCCATTTTGTTTTCTTTAAAAAATTCTCATGTGTAACATAGAAATTTGCAAATAGAAGATAAAGAGTAAGAGTAATGCCATGTAGGGATTACAAAATATAAGTTGCGATAAGGGGCATCAAAATGATGATAAAACCAGATAAGTTCCATCAACTTTAAGTGAATACATTATCTTCTTTGAAAGGAAAAAATAACCTAGTGGTTTTCATTGCTATTTTCAAATAATACTTGGTGATGATTAAAGCCCACTGCATTTGCTATTGACTAGTGTTAAGGAATTGACTTTATGCCACTACCCCTACCCCTGGCCCTGGCCCTGACTTTCCTACTATTCTTACCCCCAGGGTCTTATCCAAGATGCATTGATTTCTGTATCAGTGATTTCTTTCGAATAGTTAACTCATTCATCAATCCTACAAGATTAACTACATCTCCAACTGCTATGGCCAATTTCTAAAGTTTATGGTCCATTTCATAAAGTCTTGTAAATCAGACCTTATTTCCTTTTAATTATGTGTCCCTGCAGAATCCATGTGCCAGCATTGCTTCAAATTTATATGTGAGGCCCAGAACCAGAAAATCTTATCATGGGATAATTGTTTCAAATCCTATTAAGGTCTTTTCTGTATTAAAATGGCTAAGGTTAAGAATAGCAAGTATGACAATCAACTCTGTTCTTTTTCATTTAAGATTTGGCACAAGACTCATTTATTCTTAGAAGACTTCTCTGAGAATCTACTCCTTCAAACACAACTACAACTACAACCCTCTCTGCACTCGCAGCCCACAGTAGCCGTGAATGTTACTTGCATTTCTTGGCATTTAAGTGTAGAGTTCTAACTTTAATGCTATGCTCTATATGCATGTATTTTGCATTACAGCTTGGTGGTTAATAGCTCTAACTCTGGAGTCAGACTGTTAGGGTTTGGTGCTAGCTCTGCTGTGTATTACTCGTATAATTTGAGGCAATTTACTTAACTTATTAATATCTTACTTTTCTTATCTATTACAGGGAGATGATAATAATAGCACCTCCCTTGTAGGAGTATAAGGTAGAAAACAGTTAAAATGTTTAAATGATAAGCACATACTTGGCCCATAGTATTACGTAAATGTTAGCTCTATTGTTATGCTTTTGAGTGTTTCTCATTTCTGAATTATTTTGGAGGCTATTTGAATGCAAGATGCATGTTTTCAATATTCATATACCCTCTCTATGCCCATAGTGTCATGCTTAGTGCCATGAATGTATATAGTGTTTCCCAAAATAATAAAAAATGAATAGATTGTTCTAGTGATTCCAGATGTATCTATATCATGAGCTCAATATACATCATACATTCAGAAAAATATAATAGTAAAAGCAAATTCAAGCAAATGTTCCTATTAAAGGAGGCAACGGATGACTAAGAATTGGTCATGCTACACCTGAGTTGAGAGCTGGGCATGAGGAGTGTTTTCGGAAGTCTTCCTTGAAGAAGACTCATTTCAGAGTTCAGAGAGGCTGAAAAATTTTGTCCTGAGAAACAATGATGGCAGTTGAAGGTAAAAACATACTTTGAGTGAGGTAGACATGCTAGCTGTCCTCTGAGGTAAATGAAGGATGAACTTTAATTTATGTTGCCCCAGTGTATAGAGCTAAGACAAATAGATCAAAATTACAGGATGGAATATTTGGGTTCAATATAAAGAAACACTTTCTAACCACCTAGGCTAAAGTGGAATGAGTGGCTTTGTAATTAGTTTGGCTGGTTTCACAGGCAGCCACTTTACATACACCCTGAATAGATATAAAACTGTCACTTCTGTGGTGGGGAGTTTTGAGTTGTTTTCAAGGCCAACACAGAGGCAAGATCAAATGCAGTGTCACACTGGAAGAGGTAAGAAGAGAGCTTATTTCTTCCTTTACTTCCCATTAATGAAATAAAGAAGGTGGACAAAGGTTGTTAGTGCTGTTGTACTTGTCCAGGTAACATGCTAGGAGAGCTCAAAGGAAGGAGAGTGTGATATTTGTCCTTGATGTAGATCATTCAGTATCTGTTGATCTTAAAAATCACATAGGTCACTGGTCACCAAATTTAGATTTTGCTAATTAGTAAAATTCCCTGTGCCCTAGCCAATGCATAGAGTTGCCCTCATTTTTTCTTGCCAAGTAAGGACATTAAAAAACCAAAACTCACCTACCATTGGCTTAAATTTTCATTTCATAGAATAATCAATATTTTATTTTATTTATTTATTTTTCTAGTTTTTTTCTTCAAGGTCTCAGTATGCTGCCCAGGCTGGTCTCAAATTCCTGGGGCTCAAGTGATCCTCCCCACTTAGCCTCCCAAGGCACCAGGATTACAGGCATGAGCCACCACACTTGGCCCATTATAAAAGAATCAATATTTTTTAAAAAAGGAAATGGAACATAATCCCACAATAAAAATATTGTATTTTTTAGAGTTATGAAAAATACACATTGTCCATATTCTGCTCATTTCACTTTGGTCTGGTCAAATATAATCCTTGGCATGTATTGGGAAGAGTTCTCATGCAAGCACCTGTGAAGTATTATTTAGGCTTTAGTGATACTGTGATTGTTTCATGTGAGATTCTTAACCCCCATCCCTTCCTGGCTCCTTTTAACCCTCTTATTATGGCATTGGTGCTTTAAACCTTAATTCCCCAAAGTAACATTTATCCCGTAGATCTCACTGAACTCCACTGGTAGATTGTCCGAACCTTATTTGGGTTTGACACCATCTGTAGGATCCTAACATAAACCTAGTATTTAGTTAGTAAGCCTGTGCTGGGGTGGTGTCTTCCAACTACTCTAAAGACCCATTAAATAATATGGTATAATATCACTATTTCAAAATGCCAAACATCTAGGAATTATAGATGCTAAAATAATGTAATCCATAAGGAATAAGGACTTTAGGAGTCTTTATTGTCTCCTAAAAGCCCTTTGAACCTGCCTGGCATAATAGACGAGGTCAAATTCTATTTTTTTTCTGTAATAGATAATATATTGAAGGAGCTCTTGGGTAAAAATGTTCTAAATATCTACCCTGACAAAAGAAGGACTCCTATCATTTTTAAAACTTTAATTCCATTTCAGAAACATTGATATGCAATTGCTTGCTACTGAACTGGAATTTGTCTACATGTGAAATCACTTTTTTGAAGCATGTTATCTGCTAATGGAATCGTAGAACATTTTCTGGAGAGGAAAAAAAAAAGACTAATCTTTTGGCTCCACAGCATAGATAGTAGATTACCATTTGGATTAATGGCTTCTGTATTATATTGTTTTATTTTTAAATGCTAAGGTTCTTATTTTAAAGTCACATTATTCAGAAGCTCTTCAGATGTGTTGACATCTCAGTTTTGAGTATAATGAATGTAGGGTTTTATGCCCTTGTGAAAATTCCATTCCTAGTAGGATTCCAAATGGGGATTTAAAAAAATTATCCACATGGTCTGAATGGCTAAAATCCAGCAAATATATCTAGAACATGACAATGCTGGGCGAGTCCTGCTGAGATCATTGCTTGAGGTACTGAGAACATTCCCAGACAAACCAATCCAACTGTGACTAATGAACAAGTTCCATTTATGATCTATAGCTTGAGAATGCTCCAGGAAGAATCTCCTCTTCTCTACCATTACCACCCCCACCACCTTATTCTAGGCTCTCACTTGCACTATTGCAAGGACCACTTACCTGGCTTCTTAAATTCTATTTTGTGCCCACCCAATTGCCACTCACAGTGATCTTAAAACTTAAATCATTTCCTGACTCCCTTGCATAAAATTCTTCTTAAATGGCTTCTCCTTTCACATAAGTAAAATAGAAACCCTCAGCTCTTGCTTGCAAGACCTTGCATGGTATGGTGCCTGCTTACGTCTACATTCATGCATGCGTTTGATCATTCAGTAAATACGTATTAAATCCTTAGCTTTTGTAAGGGGAGCAAAACAGCGAAAGATCTCTGCTCTAATGGATTTGACATTCTGGTTGAAAGAAGCAGAAAATTGATGAAACAAAAAGGTAAAATATATAGTGTATAGCAGGATTCAGTTACCTAGGACTTGAAAGATCAAGAGGAAAGTGAAGTCACCAGAACGAGGAGAGATTGAGGATTGTATGGAAAAGCTTCTGACAAACACTGGGACCTTAGACCACGGGACTCAGACAGCCCTAGATGGCCCTGTTGGGAGGGAGTTGGATGAATAAACACGGTGACTGTCTTTCCTATTTCAGATCTCCTCCTGGTCTTCTCTGCTAGCCAAACATAACAGGAAACTAGAAGGATGAAAGGAGCTTATTGATGTAGCCCAAATGATCAGTCTTGGAGAGAGGAACAGAGAACAGGATGAAGAAGGTTGGGGAGTGTGGAGGGCAAAAAGAAGGGATGCAGTATAAGGTTGTGATTTTAAGTGGGGTGATCAGGGAAGTCCTCGCTGAAAGCTTCATCTCAACAAAGTGTCCCTGTCACTCTCTTTTGTCTAAATGCACTGGCTTTCTTACATATACTCAGCTCTGCCTTGCTCCCACCTATCTGGGCTCAGGGCCTTTGCATATGTTGATACTCCTATCTGAAATGGTTCTTCCTTCCCTTCCCCTTTAATTAATTAACTTAATTGAGTTGGAGTTAGTTGCTTAATTAACTCCTGTTCCACAGATGGAAGCTCTGGTGTCCTTTCTTCAAGAAAGCCTTCCCTGAGACCTTAGCCTATTCAGATACCCGCTGTTCTGTGCTCCATCTTCTGTACTTCTCCTGCTGTGTGCCATCCATATTTATTTGACTAATTAATATTTGTCCTGCTCACTCGACCTTAAGGTACATAAAGACAGGGAATATGTCCGTGTTCTCCTTCACTATATTCACAGAGTTTGGAATGCAGTATGTAGTGAATAAATATTTAATTATTGAGTGATTGAAGATTAGTAAATAGGAAAAAGTCACACTGAGAGATCCCTTGTCCTAAACTCCTCATTACTTTATATCTATTGTCTTTTTTGTGACTATGTATCTTTGGGTTATCAGAGTTCTAAATCCTCCATGAAAACTATTTTGGACTTCTCTAGTTCACATTAATCTCTTCTTTTTCTGGACTCAAATTGAGGGTGTGTTCAGAATCTCACAGTTTAGCACCTAGAACTGATACCTTAAGATCTGTGCATTTTACTGCATATATCTCAATATAAATGGGACATATATCTCAATAAAAATGGGACATATATCTCAATATAAATGGGACAAAAACCTATACATGACAGTACACATATTGGAAAAACCACATTTTAAAAAGATTCATAGTAACATGTTAACATTCTTGGCTATAGGGCTAAGGGATGGGAATTTGGATAAAAATAAAATAAATAAATAAATAAATAAATAAATAGAACTAGTTTATTTATTAAAATAAATAGTTTATTTTATTTATTTATTAAAAATAATTAAATTTTTATATACATATAAAATTTTTATATATAATTTTTATTTATTATATAAAAATAAATATATTATATAAATATATTATATATAAATAAATATATACAATTTTTATTTATTAAAAATGCACAGATCTTAAGGTATCAGTTCTAGGTGCTAAACTGTGAGATTCTGAACACACCCTCAATTTGAGTCCAGAAAAAGAAGAGATTAATGTGAACCAGAGAAGTCCAAAATAGTTTTCATGGAGGATTTAGAACTCTGATAACCCAAAGATACATAGTCACAAAAAAGACAATTTATTAAAAATAAATAAATAAAATAAATAAATAAATAAAACTAGTGAGCAATTATGATGGTAGCATAAATGAAAACATGCACATGCACATACACATACACACCAAAGGCCACCAGGACTGGGACCTGTGTATTGATACAGTTTGGCTTTGTGTCCCCACCCAAATCTCATGTTGAATTGTAATTCCCAGTGTTGGGTGAGGGACCCGGTGGGAAGTGATTGGATCATGGGAGTGGATTTCCCACATGCTGGTCTCATGATAGTGGTAAGTTCTCACCAGATCTGATGGTTTAAAAGTGTGTTGCACTTTCCTGCTTGCTCTTTCTCTCTCTCCTGCTCCGCCATGGTAAGATGTGCTTGCTTTCCCTTCGCCTTCTGCCATGATTGTGAGTTTCCTGAGGCCTCCCAGTCATGCTTCCTGTTAAGCCTGTGGAGCTGTGAGTCAATTAAATGTCTTTTCTTCATAAATTACCTAGTCTCAGGTAGATCTTTACAGCAGTGTGAAAACAGACTAATACAGGTATGTATATCACCCCTGGAAATTGTAATGTTGCCTTCCCACCTCACATCTATTTTTGGTTGCTCAATATGATTTTATAGCAACATGGCTTCTTCACCAATAATAGCCACTTCAGAAATCTTTAAATGATATGGACTTGTTGAGTTAAAAAATAATTCAACTATCTTCGTGCCCAGTAGAATCCAGGATAATAGAATATGGCATCTGCCCTTCACATTGCAGGATTATCTGTGCCTCCTTGGATTTCCCTCCAGTGCATCTGTTTATATTCAAGTCAGGATCTTTCTGCTAGATGTTGGTATATGTGTCATTCACACACTCTCAGTTACATCGTAAGGTAAGCATTGGCTATTCAAGAATTGGTTTCTGCCTTCACTAGAGTCACAGAAACCCTATGCATAGGGCAAAGCAGAATGGCTCAGTTGTCCAGGTCATTTTCATTGCTGTTCCCTTGGCCCCTCCCTTTTTCTCTGCCTGTAGTCCTCTTGGGATCTGCCTATTGGCTTGAGTTTTCATATTTCCACCTTGCTCTGACCCTGATGTCCATGACTTCCTGGTGTTAATCTACTTACTGGACTTCTGACTCCCTGAACTCTGTGCCTCATGTTGCCTTTGCACCCTGACTCCAGCTTGCCTAGTTGGCTCTGACTTGCTGCTTTGCTCTGACCTTTGGTTTCTCTCTTCCCACCTTTACCTGAATTCTGGAATGCTTACACTAGCCTTCACCTTTGCCCCTGGGTACCAGGTCCTACCCCAGGACTACCTCACTCTTCTGCCAATTCCCTTTGCCCCGTCTCAGATTTACCTCTGCCCTCCTTATCCCAGCTCCCACTTTTTCATCCATGACCCACTGCCACATATATTACTCAAAACTCACAATCTAGAAAACTCTCCCATCCCCACCATTGCCACCAGCAACCAAGGACAGAAGTTTATATTTTGAAGCAGTGTCAGCAACATTCTGTGAGCTGTTAGGAGGAAGACACAGGACGTGACCTCTTAGCTTAGATGAACAATATTGCCACTTACCAAATGGGAAATTATAACAATAATTACTAAGAAGGGATTTTTATGAGTACTTAGTGCCTGAGGGGCCAAAGGACCTTGTCATCACTTGGGTGACAGAGAGAGCAGAGGATTTGTCTGAAAAAGAAGATTTTTAAGGGTCATATCATACTTGTAGTTCCCATTTTGAGTTTGGTTGAGGAGAAAGAGAGCCGCATTGATTTTCATAATTAAAAACACGTTTTTACCATTGTGGGGGCAGTAGGGTAGGGGTACGGGGCAGTGAGCAAAAGGGAAATCAATTGGTTAGGAATCTCAGAGAGTTAATGGAATAGGTGAATTGAAGTCCACTAGATTGCATGGTTTTCTCCTTGATATGAAAGATTTACAGTTCCAGAACTCACATTAGCATTAACGAGGATTTCACATGTAAATTCTCAGCAAATCCAAAGAACTGTTAATTCCTTACACCTGGATGGTGTTCTGAGCCATAGTTTTTTTCCCCTTAGCTTTTTATAATCCAATGGCTATTAAAGAGCACAACTTTAAAAATTGCCCATCCAAATGACACAAGTTAAAACAAAGACAAGGTGTTTACAAAAACCTCCTTGCTTCTAAAACAGGAGAGGCACTAATATGATCCTCGTTATTAGTGGCATTCAAAGAAAAGGTGTTATGTAAATCCAAGGTACAGTCTTATCATTTCCAATTATTATCATTATATGGTGTTTAATTTTTAAAATTATGCTGATTATTAGTCCAATGTTTTTGCAGGAAATTATAGCAGTTACCTACTTCTAGAGATGAAAGAGAAAGGTTATCAACTTCCTGTCTTATTTCCTTGTCCACATGGAGAAAGAACGATCAATTTTAATACAGTAAGAGTCTACCAAAAATGTTTTACTTCCTTAAGAATGAGGAGCAGGGAAAAATATGAACCATGGGTCAAAATTGTAAGAAGGCAGATTTCAGGTGAGTATAAGAAAAAAATTTAAAACATTAGATCTGCCTCTAACTGCATAGGGATCCTTTGTTGTGGAGTGCATTTCCTGTCAATAGAGCTATTCAAACCAAATAATAGTATGTTAGGGACATTGTGCAAAAGATGTCCATATCAGCTAATTTAGATAGCTTCCAAGGTCCCATTCAGCTCTGAAACTCTTTTTCCCAATATTCCAAAGTGTTGGTTTGAAAGAAAGGAATTAAATTTTTACAGTTTTAAGAGGTAATGAATATGAAATATGAAGAACCTCAGAACCATGACATCATTTTCCCTTTTTAAAAATGCTTTTGTTTTGAAATATTTATAGGCTCACAGAATATTGCCATAAAAGTACCCAAGAAGTCCCTGTATCCTTCACCCAGTTTGCCCTAATAGTAACGTATTCCATAACTATAGTAAGATGTTACAACCAGGAAATTGACCTGACAGTTATTTTTATTAAAATAAATTACTTCACTTGAAGAGTCTAAGGTTCCTGGATAATGTTTTCTTCATTTTTTCATGTACATATGATTATAGTTGCATGTACGGGAACTGCTTCAGGGCTCTACATGTTTGTAAGGGATGGTAGAAGAAACGCACTTGCCACCTAATATGGTCTATGTTTTTCCTTTTTTAATTATTGTTTTGAGACGGAGTCTCACTCTGTTGCCCAGGCTGGAGTGCAATGGCACAATCTTGGCTCACTGCTACCTCTGCCTTCTGGGTTTAAGCAATTCTCCTGCCTCAGCCTCCTAAGTAGCTGGGATTACAGGTGCCCACCACCATGCCTGGCTAATTTTTGTATTTTTTTTTAGTAGAGGCGGGGTTGCGCCATGTCAGTCAGGCTGGTCTCGAACTCCTGACCTCAAATGATCCGCCCTCCTTGGCCTCCCAAAGTGCTGGGATTACAGGCGTAACCCAACACACCCGGCCTAGTTCTGTGTAATTTTATTACATGTGTAGATTCATGTTTACACCACCAAAATCAAGTTACAGAAGAGATCCATCACCACAAGGATGGTTTTGCTACCTTTTTGTAGCCGCAGCACCCCTGTGACTTCCCTCTCCCTAGCTCCTGGCAGCCACAAATCTTTCCTCCATCTCTATAATTTTTTTCATTTCAAGAATGTTATGTAAATGGAACCATACATTGTATAATCTTTTGAAATTGCTGCTATAAACATTCATGTACAGGTTTCTAGGTCAATGTAAGTATTCAGTTCTCTGGGATAAATATCTAGGTGTGCATATTATTAGTTTTATGGTAGTGGCATATTTAATTTTGTAGGACTTCATCATACTCTTTTCCAGAGTAGCTGTGCCAATGGCATTAACAGTCTTCTTGAGTTGTTATTTATTTTATGCTAACCACATCCCAGGTCCTATATTAAGTACCTCACATGCATCATCTCATTTAATGCTCAAAAAACTCTTCCATTTTAACACTGTGGAAATTGAAGCCCAGAAAAGTTAAGTAATTTTTTCAAAATCATGAATCATAAACCTGGGAAGTGGCAGAGCTAGGTCAATCTGATTCCAGTGCCTGTATGCACTCTTTAACAATGATGCTATCCTACCTACTCCTTTGGAAAATGACTTTAAGTATAGCAGATGGAAAGCTGTCCAATTCATTGTAGAGCAAATAAGTAAAACAGCAAACTCCTTAGAAGGTATTGGTTTGGTATCCATGTTTTTTCTACTTTGGTTAAATTGGAATTGATACTCCTAGTAGTTTGGCTGTGGTAGGGTAGGAAAGAGAGTAGATGTGTAATCAGAACACCTGAGCTCATATTCTGGCTTTCTCACTTACTAGATGTGTGGCCTTCAGTAAGTCACTTAACCTCACCAAGATTCAGCTAGGTTCTTGTCTATAAAATGGGGGCTAATGACACCTTTCTCACAGGGTTTTTGTGAAGATTAGATAAGCCGATGGATGTAAATGCACTTTGTAAGCTCCAAAACACTATATAATTAGAATGGGTTATTATTGTTATTATCTCAAATGATTGTAGCAGGATTGCAGATACAATGCACAGTACAACTTGGCTGTGCAAAGAAAATCAAATTTTACAAATGAATCTCCATCTAATCTGACCTTTCTCTTGAGCCCAGAGAGGTGGGTGGGTACCAAAATCTTAAATATCTAATTAGGTTTAAAACTTAGTCTGATTTAGTACTTTAAACCAAAAATTATCAAACTTTTTTGTAGAGAAATGAATAGTAAATATTTTAGCTTTTGTGAGCCATATGGTTTCTATTGCAAGTATAGTCATCCCTCAGTACCCAAAGGGAATTGGTTCCAGACCTCCCCCGACCCCCACCCTTGGATACCAAAACTCACAGATGCTCAAGAATCAGATATAAATTGGTGTAGAATTTGCATATAACCTATGCACATCCTCCCGAGTATTTTAAGTTATCTCTAGACTGCTTATAATACCTAATGCCACGTCTAAACATTACATTGTTTCTGTGGATTCAATGTAGTACTCAGTGCACAGCGAATATAAGTTTTGCTTTTTGTTACTTTGTGGATTTTTTTCCCTGAATATTTTCTATCCAGAGTTGGTTGAATCCATGCTTGTGGATATGGATTCACATATATGGAGGTATAGAGATATGGAGGGCTTATTGTTCTCAACTCTGAGAGCTAAAGTGTCCATAAGAGTGTATGTAAGTGACCTGGAGTGACTAAGTTCTAATAAAACTTTATTTACAAAAACTCACGGCAGATTTGGCCCATAGGTCATACTTGACCATCCTCTAGTTTTAATGATCCCTTTAGATAGTTTTCAGTTTTTCTTGGAAAAAAATACTATCTCAGATAAAAGTCTTCTGCTTCTTGTTATAAACTGGTGTCTGAGTATATGGGGAGAAGGCTTTTGGAAACTTTTAGTGTTAGGGGATTGTATTAGTCTGTTTTCATACTGCTATAAAGAAATACCAGAGACTGGATAATTTATAAAGGAAAGAGGTTTAACTGACTCACAGTTCTGCAGACTGTACAGGAAGCATGGTGCTGACATGTTTGACTTTTGGGGAGGTGTATTAGCCCATTCTCACACTGCTGTAAAAAACTTCCCAAGACTGGGTAATTCATTAAAAAAAAGAGGTTTAATTGACTCACAGTTCTGCATGGCTGGGGAGGCCTCAGGAAACTTACAATCATGGCAGAAGGCAAAAGAGAACCAAGTACCTTCTTCACAAGGTGGCAGGAAAGAGAACAAAGGGGGAAGTGCCAGACACTTATCAAACAACCAGATCTAGTGAGAACTCCCTCACTATCATGAGAACAGCATGGGGAAAACCACTCCCATGATCCAGTCACCTCCCACCAGTTCCCTCCTTCGACACATGGGGATTACAGCTCAAGATGAGATTTGAGTGGGGACACAGAGCCAAACCATGCAGCAATGATTGGAATTATTGGATCTTTGTAGCCTCTATATTGCCCTCTGGCTACTCTGGTGGCTGGCTGATGTCCCTTGTCTCCTATTTGCTGCTTGCTGTATTTGCATTTATAGCTGAAGTTTACAATTTCATCAATAGTGATTGTGTTCCTCTTTCTTGGTTTGGCCAGAGCCTGGAAATATGGCCTGGTTGCCTCTGCTTCCTCTCACTCTCATTATAGATCGGTCTCTGCCAGATCTTCCATTAGCCCACTGGCTGGTATCTGTAGTGGGCTCATTTCTTTGCCACAGTGGTTCTCATGACAGACTTAATGGCCTTTACCTCAATGTCCATTCCTTATGAAAACTAAGGGCTGTTGGGGAAAGCTAAATTTCAGGGATCCCTCTGCCTCACCAAGGACACTTTCATGTAGTTGGCCTTACACTGGAAGTTATAGGGAAATCTGTGAGATAGCTTCCTCCCATAGTTTCAAGCTGGGAGTAGTGTTACCCTTATCTTACTGTGCTTCTCCCTATAGACTTATCTCTCTTTTATAGCATTCTCTCTCCCTTTTTCCTCCCACAGTTCCCCAAGGCTGAAAAGGTACAATGTTCTTCTACCTCCTCTAGATTGTATCCCACTTCTACCATATAGTTGGCCTAGCTGTCACAGGGAAATGGATAATATTTCTGGGGTTCTCTTTGAGATCGACCCTCAAAACAGCCCTTGATTTTACTAAAGGAAGAGATTGAGGAATTTGGATACATACAGGTAATTTTTTTTACTTGGATTTAACGTAATTTATGTGTGTGTGTGTATGTCATCCCTAGCAAGAAGTATAAGAGTAGAGACATTCATGCAGTAATAAAAAAATTATCAGTTACACTATTGACATTGCTTTAAGACACTAGCCTGACTTGTAAAGCTGTTGCCCTACTGCATGATCCTATTTTACACATAAGAAGCAAATATTGTCCTTTCTCTGTTCATTTCTTCTCCCTCTGTCATAAATGCTAATCTCTCTGCTATCCACCTCTACCTCTTCCCCAAATGGCTACCTCACGCAAACTAGGATGTAAGTTAACCTCCTAAAAGGCAATAGAGAAGTGTATAGTAATACTTTTCCACCTCTGTCTTCTTTTAGATGATTGTTTACCTCTTGTCAGAGTTGATCTGACTATGAGTGCCAGTAAAATATAGTGATTAAAAGCATAAGCTTCGAAGTCATCCATATCTGGTTTTAAGTCTCAATATCACTACGCACTATCTCTGTCATCTTGGGAAGTTGTTTAACTCCTTGATACTTCACATTCCAAAACTGAAAAATGCAGGCATTAATAGCAATTAATACCATTAAATTATTGATTACTTACTGTTGCTAAGCACTTTACATGTTCTATCTAATTTCATTCTAACTAATCAATAAGTGATAGCTATTTATTTTTATTGCTTGCAACAACGGTGCACCCATTAAACAAATGAGCTAGACTCTGCATCTGGGTTACTATCTCAGCATCTAATGTTGGCATGTCAACACAGATTCATTTCTTTTGGGAGAAATGTAGGAGAGGTTGTGCAAGTCACAACTGTCATGTCCTGCTTGGTCATAGGGAGAAAGCAGGAAAAGGGGATTTCTCTCTCATTTTTTTTAATCTTCTTTCAAAAACTCACTTAGTCTGTCTGGAGCATAGAAAGGACAAACTGGAAGTGGGAAAAGGAAAGAAGAGGAGACTATACAGGGTGGCTTTCCCTCAGAAATCAAGAGTTCATCTGAAGACTTCCCAGGCAGATCTACAGCAAATATCTCCTCCCATAAAACCCACCCTGAGTCCACAGCAATTAGAGAAGACCACTGTGATTTTTGCTGAAAATCAAAGCAAACTGGAGGCTGTAGACCACATGGAGTCTGGGCACGATAGTTGCACAGTGCTATTCCATGGAAATACATGGGGGAATATAAGTGGAGGAAGTGTTTGATATTGTTTTGCAAATAACTGTGTGCCCAGGGAGAGGTTTGAAGCATGCCAGGAAAGGAGAAAACTATATTGATTTCATCTGTAATGACCTGTGTATCTTGAAAGGTGAAGGAACAATTGGTTTTCAAAGACTGGGCTCTGATGAAAGTTTGTTACTTAATATACCGTTTTGCTTCTGTCTTTGATGTACTGAGCACTATTTTGCAAGAGGCAAAAAACAGTGCCTGCATTTTTCTTTCTTTTTTGCTTGCATCCAGCACGCTTATTTTCATTAAATTGTCTCTGGATCCTGTGAAGTGAGGCTCATCTCTCCCGCTCCGTGCAGTAGAGGAAAAACAAACAAGAACTGAAAGAAATGGAAGGTGAAATGTCAAGTACCTAAGGCATTCCAGTCTAACCTTGAGCAGAGGCCAGCTACTGAACGCAGAAGGTAATAAGACAAATTCCAGAGTGTGTTTTTATAATGGGATGGCTTGCAAGCCATGCTGACAGCGGGCTATACTCTCACAGCTCTATTTATTTATAGCTCCCCCTCCACCCAAATGCTACAGAACAACAAGTATTCTGACAAGTTGGAATGCTAATAGATTACGTGAAAAGCAAATCAATAAAAACCCATTCCAAAATGTCTACCTTCCCCCAGTAATTATGTAGGAAATAGGATAATGGGAATTCTTTTTTCAAATCTAGTGAGGTTTAGGGATCAGGACAGGAGGTGAGGATGAAATATATGCTGTTTGGCCTGATTAGAAGGATAGGAGGGATTCAGTTAGATTTAGAGGCTCCAGACAGCATCTGATATTTATACAAGTCTATTCCTCTGGTTAGTGCCTCTGGGCCCTCCAATTCCTGTAGTCTGGTGGTCTTTTAGATAAGTTCTGTGTCACGGTATTTAAATTTGGAGAGTGCTGTACATTCCAACTAAAAACAGGGCAACTGTGTCCTGGCTCTTTAAACATGGCCCTGACTGGTCTACCTTTTCTCCCTGATTTTTCATTTAGCAAAAACTATTCACTGTATAGACAGATGGGGCCTTACTGGATACACGAGGGTGTCTAATAATTAGGGACAGCTGCTTCAGGTAAATGCAGTTTGCAGATGGCAAAGGAACACCAGATTATGCTAATTTTCCCAAAATAACTCTTCATAAAAGCTTACAGCAGAGCTGACTCTTCTGTTGTGTTCCTGAAACAATGATAATGCAAAGAGTAAAGAGTCTGAGTGAAATCTCTCCTCTCTTCCCTCCCCACCCCACTTCTATAGCTTCAGTCTTGGAGAATTTTGCAGAATAGCCAAGAAGGCAAAACACACCTAAGTGGAGGAAGCAATCTGCTTGCTTATTCTGGTTCCTGTTAACTAGCACCATGTTTTATGAGCTATCAGCAGAAAAACATGGTGTAGCGCCCAAAATGATGCCGACCTGGTAGACTATGAAACGTACTTTTCAGCTATATCTTTCTGTGACTTGAACCTGGCACAGTGTAATGGTCTCTGGAAGAGTACTGAAGCCTGAGTCCTAATTTTATCTCAGTTGCTTAACTTTTTGTGTGACTTGGGTCAAAGCAGTCTCTAGATTTCTGTTTATTCATCTGTCAAATGGTGAAGGGTGAATTCATGGAGGTATTATTGAGGATCCATTTAGTTAATATGAGCGCTTCAAAGAAAATGGGTAAATTTTTACATAAAAGCATTTCATAACTCAGACATTTTTCAGTGCCTTATTCAGTGCTGGAGATAGCTTCCTTACTAAACAAATATTGGTGTACTAGATATGTTTCCAAAAATCCTAAAATGCCATTTGCAGAACCATATTTCACTCTGACCACTCCATTAGTTTGCTAGGCCTGAGTATGTTGCCTTCACCATACAAGGTGACACTTGCCTCTAGATTTTCCTATAAACATTATTCTGGTTTCTTTCCTACATGTTTTGCCTTTTTATCATCAGAACAGGGCTTTTCAATGTTTGGTCTTATACCACATGCATCAGAATCACTTCATATAATGTGAATACCTGGGCCAGCGCCCTGAGATTCTCGTGAAGTACATCTAGTAAGGGGCTTTGCAATATGATTTGTTTTTACAAAAGTTTGAGACCTGTACCACTAAGCTTGCCTAGGCCAGAAGTGAAGTGGTAAACGAATTCCATCTGTGATAGTCTAAAGATGGGTGTTGGCTGGATGCGGTGGCTCATGCCTGCAATCCCAGCACTTTGGGAGGCCGAGGCAGGTGGATCACCTGAGGTCAGGAGTTCAAGACCAGTCTGACCAACATGGTGAAACCTGTCTCTACTAAAAATAAAAAAAAAATTAGCCAGGCGTATCGGTGGGCACCTGTAATCCCAGCTGCTCGGGAGGCTGAGGCAGGAGAATCACTTGAACTTAGGAGGCGGAGGTTGCAGTGAGCTGAGATCACGCCACTGCACTCCAGCCTAGGCAACAAAAGCAAAACTCCATCTCAAAGAAAAAAATCAGCGTTTAACAAACATGGACAGGCTAACTCATATACTATCTGTCATATTTATCCCTCTTATTTCTTATCATATATGTGAGTTACCCCATCCTGTGCAGACTTGCTTAGTTGTAGAAAAGGGGTTGGAGGAAACTATACAGTCCTTTTCTTCAGATTGGCGCACACATACAGATTCTCCTTTTTCTCTCTGGCTCTGTGCCCTGGGAGCCTTTTTGGAACTCTAGAGTCAGAGCCAGTCAGGCAGGCAGGTTCATATCAACAGTGGCTCTCAAAGTGTGGTGCCTGGACCAGTAGCATCAGCCTCACTTGGGAATTTGTTAGACAGGCAGACTCTCAGTACTCCACTCCCACTGCATCTACAGAATCATTCATTACCACAATACATTTGTACTCTCTGTGAAGAAAATGCATTTAGAGTTATTTTTTCCACCATGTCAATGCACAGAAGCATCCACCCTTGCTTCTGAGGGTAGAAACCCTCAGAAACTGAGGTGGGCTCAACAATCTGTGATTTAATTACCCCTTCAGGGGATTCTGATGTATGTTGAAGTCTGAGAACCACTGCCTTAAAGCATTTTCTATCCCCAAACTTCATTCTCTCTAAACTTTGAGGCAGCTGGGAGAGTAAAGGGGGTGTTGATTTAAACAGGAAAATAGAGGCATCACAATGTAGAAATAATGACTTAGTGGTAAAGTTCTTATTTAGGGTATTTGTGCTTGAGGGAGATCAGATATTTAAATAGAAATTCACCTAGAAATGACTACAGATACTATACATATACCTCACATGCGTGTGCATACATATGCACAATTACAACACACAGCCACATATGTGTATATATATGTGTATATGTGTATTTAGATATATAATTAAAGTCATTCTTAGAAACAACAGAAAAAGAATAGAAACATTTAGACAGTAATAAAAGTCTGAGCAATAGCTATTGATAAAAATGCAGGCAGGGGAACAAACTTGAAATATAAACCAATCAGCAGGTCCAGATGATATGCATTTTGGGGTCTTGAGGGAATTCACTAATGATTTCCCTAAACGACTGATAATGGGAGAACCCGATAAAATCCACTTGGGTATGCACTACATTTTGCCTTGTCAGCATCCTGCATAATGTTGGTATTCTGGCAGTTACATTCACTAGGGCCTTTCTGCCTACCACCACCCCCTCCCACCAAAGAAAGAAAAGATTTCATTTCTAGATGTAAATTATACAGGAGTTAACAGAATATACTTTAAAAAAAAGTTCTTTTTATAAATGGAGCCTCCCCACCATTGAATGCTATCATCCCAGCCCCTGGGATTGTCAGGTGTGTAACACAGGACAAACACTGCTCCCAAGGCCTGCACAGGGTAGCTGGGCCTATATGGCCTTCACATTCTTGTGCTGAGATTTACAAGTTTATATTCTGGCAATAGGACTGGAGGTAGCAAGCTAGGAGCCTTTCTACAGAAAGGGAATTTGCGATCAAGTCACATTCTATTCTGAGGATGTTTTCCCTTCGTTCATGTTCTTGAGAGTAAAGATGGATAAGTTCAAGTGGCTGCACAGATATTTAGCGGGAGATACAAGCTCCATGGGGATGAATGGAAGCCCCTGGTTCTTGCAGGTTCTAGAGACCACAGGATAAGGTTGGCTTGGTCAGTTGGTCAGGCCCAAGGCTAAGGAAGGAAAGACGCAAGTAAGACCATTCCTTCTACAAACCAGCTAGTACTTCCACAATACATTAACAGGCTGTACTCCTCACCCTAGCCCTATACTATATCCACACTGCCAGGCAGTTATTTCAGAAATGATTGGGAACAAGGGGAGGTGCTTCTGTGCAATTCATGCTTAGGAAAAATAACTCCAAATGCATTTTCTTCACAAAGAGCACAAATGTATTGTGGTGATGAATGATTCTAAGGGATTCTGGATAGGGATTTGGTATGTTAATGTTCTTTTTCTAGATTTACACTCTTAACTAGCTTTTCTGATATTTCAATGAAATCTAAGACTTTTCCCCAGCTCATTATTATTCAACCTCTTAAATAACTCCTTAGGCCTATACCAAAGATACAGGAAACAAAGCTATGTATATATAGATTGTCATGTGTCAGATGTAGTGGACATTAGTGGAAAGATTACTGATTTAGGAGGTAGGTGACCTGGGTTATTATCCCAGGACTACTAATATCTAGCTTGATCATCTTGGGGACAGTAGGTTTTCCCTTATTAGCCTATTTCTTTATGTGTAAAGTATAGACATTAGATATGACCTCTAATACCCACACCTTCTCTAACATTCTGTGACTTGTGCATATTAGATCCTCAACCTACATAACTTTTTCATTTGTTGTCTTGATTCCTTAAGAATAACATTTCAGGTCCATGGTGGACAAGTTTGTCATTTTACTAAGACATGAAACTGAATTTCCCATTTGAGGCTGGAGTAGAGTAGAGTCATCCAGCTAGCAAGTGAGCCTAACTGACCTCTTATCACCTTCATCTCAATAGGGTTCTATTGGTGGCTGGGCGTGGTGGCTCACACCTGTAATCCCAGCACTTTGAGAGGCTGAGGCAGGTGGATCACCTGCGATCAGGAGTTGAAGACCAGCC
Organism: Homo sapiens; assembly: GCF_000001405.40. Lineage (NCBI taxonomy): Eukaryota > Metazoa > Chordata > Mammalia > Primates > Hominidae > Homo > Homo sapiens. The sequence continues at coordinate 104,504,166 of NC_000023.11, forward strand.
TGATCAACATGGTGAAACCCCATCTCTACTAAAAATACAAAAATTAGCTGGGTGTGGTGGCACATGCCTGTAGTCCCAGCTATTCAGGAGGCTGAGGCAGGAGAATTGCTTTAACCCGGGAGGTGGAGGTTGCAGTGAGCCAAGATCACACCACTGCACTCCAGTCTGGGTGACAGGGAGAGACTCTGTCTCAAAAAACAAACAAACAAAACCCAAACCAGGGTTCTATTGTTCTCTACTTAATAGATACAGTTTTGTGAGGGAAATTGCATACAATGGTGAATTCGGAGATTTGGAAACCTTTGTTTATATCAAGGGCCTATTACACAGTATACTTGAGATTGAAAGTCACTGCAAATCAAAGCCAGTTCGGTCTTACATTCTTTGTACTTTAATTTTCTCATCTGTTAAGGAAGCAGTGATCAGAGGCTTATTTCTTTCTCATGCAAGACCAGTGTGGGAAAGAAAGACATAGAGGTAGCTCTTATCTTCCTCACCCCCTAAATGATGTATCTCTTCTGCTCATATTTGATTGACCAGAACTAGTCACAAGGCCTCAGCTTAATTGCAAAAGAGGCTGTGAAATGTAAGGGAATACATGGCACTAATGGTCACTGCCACAAGGGATAACTCCTTTCTTCTAATAGCATACGAGAATGTTAACAACAACTACTACTATTATTTATTATGTGCTAGATACTTTGCTAAATGCTGTACATATATTATCTCATTTAATCATCATAACATTGTGAGGTAGGAACTATTATTATTATGTTTACAAATGAGAAACCAAGGCACATAGAGATTTAGAGACTGGTACAAGGTCACATAGCTAGTAAGTAACAAAGATAGTATGTTAACCTGGGTTGAGATAGAATTACATTTGGAATGCAATGAAACTGTCCTAGGTAAATGGTACCCAGGCCAGCTCTTGAATTGGCTTTCACAATAGAATTATATTGCCTGTAGGGGGGGTTTGGAATATTGGGAGTATTTTTAATTGTTAAAATGTTGAAGGTTGGATCATGTAAGAGGAAGGGTCAGTGATGTGAGGTGTCTTGCAATGAGGAGGACATTCCTGTACAATGACAAATTGTCCTATTTACATCCCACAAGATGTGAATGTCATTCAAGATGTTCAGGTACATGTATGACATCTTTAAAAATTATCTGAGCCTAGAACTTAAGTCTGTTTTATTTGTAAACACAAAGTATGTCTCACACAGTTTTAATATATGCTGAATTTTCTAGTAATGAAACAGGATTTTGGAGATGGAGTCTCTCACTCTTTCACTGAGGCTGGAGTGAAATGGGGCAATCAGCTCATTATAGCCTCAAACTCCTGGGCTCAAGCAACCGTGCTGCCTTAGCCTCCTGAGTAGCTGGGACTGTAGGTGCGTACCACCATGACTGGCTATTTTTAAATTTTCTTTTTGTAGAGATGGGGTCTCACTGTGTTGCCCAGGCTGGTCTCAAACTCCTGGCCCCAAGTGTTCCTCCTGCTTCTTTATCCTCCTTAAGTGGATGAAATACAGGCATGAACCATCATGCCTAGCGTTTTTTTTTTTTTGCATTTTACAAAGTAAATTTATTTCCTTCAACATTCATAAATCAACATAGTACATGCAAGTAAGTAGGACAGAGGCCATTGGCAATTCTAAGAAAATCATACTGCCTAGCATGTGATAGACATCTATCAGGCAAACGGCAAATGGCAGCATTTTAAAATTTAACTTTCAGTAGGAAAGTGATGGAAATAAAAATTAGCCTAGACAGTTCACCATACAAAAACAATTTTACTTTTATTTATTTATTTTTTTATTATACTTTAAGTTTTAGGGTACATGTGCACAACGTGCAGGTTAGTTACATATGTATACATGTGCCATGTTGGTGTGCTGCACCCAGTAACTCATCATTTAACATTAGGTATATCTCCTAATGCTTTCCCTCTCCCCTCCCCCCAACCCCACAACAGGCCCTGGTGTGTGATGTTCCCCTTCCTGTGTCCATGTGTTCTCATTGTTCAATTCCCGCCTATGAGTGAGAACATGCGGTGTTTTGTTTTTTGTCCTTGCGATAGTTTGCTGAGAATGATGGCCTAGCATTTATTGAAGAAGGTTTTACTTTGTTTTGTTTAGAACTTTACTGCTAATATCCAGTTTACTAAATGCCAACCACTTTTATAATCATGTTCCATATATTAATTTATTTAATCCTCACTACACCCAAAATGGTACATGCTATTGTTATTCCCATTTCACAGATGAAGAAACTGAGACACAGAGAAGTTAAGTAACTTGCTCAAGGTCACAATCTTAAGTTGCAATCACCATTTTGTAAAATCATGTTATTGATAACAATGTTTTTCTTGGTATTTATCTTCACATTTTACCATTTCTGGTACTTATCATTTCTTCACATAAATTCAACTATCTGTCTGGTATCATATTCCTTTTGCCTGAAGAACTTCTTGAACATTTCTTATACTGCAGGTCTTCTAGCATGAATTCTCTCAGCTTTTGTCCAGACATGTCTTTATTTCTTCTTAATTTTTGAAAGTAATTTTCTCAGGTATAGAAATATGGGTTGATGGCTTATTTCTTTCAGTGTTTTAAACATGTCACTACATTGTCTTCTGGTTGGCATAGTGCTTGTAGTGTTTAAAACACCATCACTCCCAAATCCATCTCCATGTACATCTGTCACATTCACAGAAGACATCTGACCTCTTCATTATGTCTCCTAGGGTAGTCATATCAAAGCATTTACATATCATTTTATTTTTAATAGCTGTCCCTTTCTCTTTTTTATTACAGTTATGGCATCATGCTAGTTTTTTTACAAATTATGCATATAAAAAGTTATCTATGAATTTCATTTTGAAATATTAAAGTGAACATTACAAATATTTGTAGGGAAAAAGAAGTGTTGAATTTGGTATATTTAAAATCACTGTCTTAGACAAAACTAGTAATTCAGAAAAATTGCTTTTCAGTTTTCATTCCTCCTTTTGATCTCATCAGCTGCTTATCTGCTCTTTGGCTCTTATTAATTTTAATGAATAGTGGTTACTTTGGAATTGGTAACCATACCAATTTGCAAAAATTTCCAAATTTTTGCAATGAACAAAGATTACTTTTATAACCAAGAAGTTAAAATGAAGACTTCAAATAAGGCAAAGCATATATATATATATATGTGTGTGAAGGTATTAATGGCCAATAATAACTTCATGTACCATATTCAACCCTGCTCCAAATAAACAAACATCCCAAAACATTTGTGAGTCATCAGTGTCTTCCAGATTTAACTATCTACTTTAAGGATTGTAGGCACTGTAGGAAGATATTCTAAGGCAGGTGATATTTTGGAAGTGGTGTTACTTATCTATTACTGCACAACACGTTTCCTCAAGATGTAGCGGCTTAAAACAATAAACATTTATTATCTCACAATGTCTTAGGGTCAGGAATTCAGAAGCTATTTGGTTGGATTATTCTGGCTCTGGATCCCTCATGAGGTTTCATTTATGCCGTCAGCCTGGGCTTGAAAGCTTGATTGGGGTTAAGGGATCTACTTCCAAGCTCACTCACAAAGCTATTAGCAGGAGCCATTAGTTCCTCACCATGTGGACTTTTCTATAGAGCTGCTCACAACATGGCAACTGGCTTAATCTAGAGAGAGAGGGAAAGACAGAGATCCCAAGACAGAAGCCAAAATATCTTTTATAACCTAGTGTCATCAGTAACAGCATCACTTTTTCCGGATTCTATTGCTCACAAGACCAACCCTTACCTACTGTGGAAGGGGACTTCACAGGAGTATCAACATTGGAGGCAGAGACTACTAGGGACCATTTCAGAGATGGATAGCCACAGAGGTCCCCAATCACATCCTGGATCACCTACATGTCAAATTGTACAAGCTGTACTGTGCATACATGCGTAAGTGTTTGCACACAGGCATGCATGCATGTGTGTGTGTACATATACAATCCTATACATAGACACCCCAAGGAGAGGTTTTTATGATCCATAAGCCAAAGTTTTTTCATGGCTATCTGATGGCTCACAGCAGTGCTGTTAGCTTTACTACTTTGTATGTTGATGAATAGGTTAATGGCTTTAGAGACAAATGTGTACTTCCTGGAATATACACTATTATTTTTTAATGAAGCACAGAATTCAAACTTGGAAATAAACTACTCTTGAATTTTCATTCAGTTTATCTGGATAAAAGATATTGAAATGTAATGGTTAAGAGTGGAGACTCTGGAGTTAGGGAGTCTGGGTTCAAATCCTGGCTGAACTATTTACTAGCTTTGGAATCTTGAGGAAATCGACCTCACTGTGTTTCAGTTCTATTGCTATGTGAAGGTGAAACTAACATCTGCCTCATAGGATTTTTTGTGATAATTGAATAAGCTATTGTTTTAAATATGGGGCTTGGCCCACAGTTACCTAGAAATGGTAGTTTCCCATCACCATTGGTGCCTTTTGATGATTTGAGAATCATCTTCTCTGTTAGTCGTGCCTAGGTATTTGTCTGCTCAGTCTATCTCCTCCTTAGTGCTTAGAAAATAATAGGAAGGCTGTTCATTATTTCCCCATTTTGTGGATCCTGTCATAATGTGCCTTCCTCCCTTCTCACTTCTCTGAGAAAAGATCTGCTGTTGTTTAAGGCACAATTAACAATCTGACTGAAGGAACGCGTTAAGTCATTATCAGATATCAACATCTTGATCCAAATAGTCAGCTTAGCTCAAATAGGGAGCAGGGTTCTGGTAAAATGGAATAGAGGGAGGAAAGCATGTGATGTGCTTAAGGACACAGGGAGGGAACAGTTTCAGTATCTAGGGTGGGTGCTTCCTAGAGGGGACTTACCTTAGGGGAGGCAGCATGAGAGAACTGAGAGGCAAGCAGTGGGTGCTGGAGGGTGCTAAATGGGAAGAGTTGTGAGTGTATAGAAAGGTTAGGTAAGACCGAAGACAGCCTAATTCATTTTACATTTTTACTGAAAGCCTGTGGAGTGTGTGGGGGTGTGTGTGTGTGGGAGGGGGTTGGGGGGGGTTGGGTGCATGGTGTGATCATTGAAAAAGAGACCATTTCAGTCTTCTTTGCTGCACAGTATATCACAAAACTGCCTCATTTAGATAATATTGGAAAAGATCTTTCCCTTCAACCTCAAAGCATGGATGTTTCACATAGTGAAATGCTGACCACTTCCTGCTGGTGCATTCCATAACTTTTCCTCTCTTTGCTTTAGTTGGTGGTGCACACCAACTGGGCATTTTGAGAAATGCCCAGCCCACTTACCTTCAACAGGAGTTATTTTGTGTTCCTCATAGAAGCATTTTCACTGAGAGCAAGGAGTCTGTGGAAATTATTTCTTTTCTTAATGGGGGAAAGGTTTCCACATCATTCTTGCACATCTGCATGGCTTCCTTTAGACTTTGTTCAGTGCAACCTTGGCTTTCATGGTTGGAGGCATCAGGTGCTGAGGCCCTCTGTAGTTCTGTTCCAGCACAGTAGAGGAGCCTTTACCAATTATAAGCACCATATCTCATACACTCAGGTTCCAGGATCAGATGCTAAATGTGATATGAGAAAAAAGACCCACACTAAATATAGGATTTTCATGTAGATCTGAATTTGCCTCTCACTTTCTAATCCTCTGTACTATTGCTTTAAAGTGATTTCTGACAAGAGGCCAGTCTAGAAAAATCATGTCAAGTGCATAAACAAACCCCAAATCTCTCATTAAGCTATTAGCATTGTAAGGGAGCTCATTATTTTTGACCTTCCCATTATTGACTTTTTAAATTAGAGAATACGCTCAAAGTTGAACGACACCCAATACGTTCTGCAGAACATCAAGCCAATTTTGCTATATTAAAATTTTACCTTGCACCAGAAAGCTTGGAAAATCAAAAGTGGCTTTGAAGGAATTTTTACTCCTTCTATTATGTGTGCCTTGCTAGGTTCATATGAGAAACATGTATATGTTATATGACAAGATGTGACTGGCTGTATTAATGGCTAAAAAGTTATCAGAGCTTAAAATCACCTTTTCTTAATCTAGGGATCTCAGATTACCTTGTTCTTACTTGCCACCCTAAAATTCTCTAGCAGTGGGCAGTAAAAGATGTTGAAAGAATGAGCAGTTTTTAACTAGCACCCAAGGTGATTCTGATGCACTCTCACTTTGAGAATCCCTGATTATGGCAGACATTTTCAGTATCTTGGAAAAGTCACCTCAGTGTTTTGTTCTGTTTTGGAATGATGAAAATAGTAAACATCGAAAAGAATGAAATTTACTAAGTGGAACAGATATATATTACAGATATATATTTAAACTTTAAAGCATATGTGAAGAAATGCTTTTATCTGCACATTATATGACTCACTGGGCCATCAAGAGGTTATTAACAAGATTACTGATTCTAACAGGTGAATGTTTAAATCGCCAAAAAGTGGATGACGATGATAATAAAGGAAATAATAGTTAATACATGGTCCCTACCTTCATGGGACTTACTGCAAAGCAGGAAATGCAGACATTAAGTGAATTGTTTGTCTGATGCAGGTTATAAAAGGAAAGCACAGGATGCTGTGGAAATGCCTAACATGAGGTTCTAATCTCATCCAAGGGCTCTGAGGCAAGACTGGGAAGGGGATCTTTAACCTGATCCTTGAAGGATAAGAGGATATTACCAAAAGAGATGGGAGAAGTGTTGCAGGCAAAGGAAATGGCATGTTCAAAGGTACACATAGAAGTGTAAAGTTCAGTATGGCTAGAGCGGAGCAAGGCAAAGAGTAGACAGATAGGAGTCTGCCATGTGTTGCCTGAAGCTAATAACTATCGTTCCAACTCATTGTCTATCACTCCTTGGAATGCTCTTCTGCCAGATCATGGCTGCCTGTCTCCTTCTCATCATTCAAAACCCATCTCCAATATTACCTTCATAGCAAGGCCTTTCTTGAGCACTTCAGCTGTGTCTATCACTTTATCACATTCTTCACTATACTCATCAGTATCTTAAACAACATTTTTATTTAAATATCTCCTTCTTTCTTACTTGTATTCCTTCACTAGAATGTAAGCTCACTGAAGGTAGAGACCTGGTTTAGCTCATTCACTGTGGCATTTCTGCTACCTAGAACAATGCTAGGCAGAGAATGGTACAATTGATATTTGCGTTTTCATTTACATTTTGTTTTGACATACACAAACCTGGCTGGGTGTGGTGGCTCACACCTGTAATCCTGGCACTCTGGGAGACTGAGGTGGGAGAATGGCTTGAGGCTAGGAGCTTGAGATCAGCCTGGGCCACATAGTGAGACCCATCTTTACAAAAAAATTTTAAAAATTAGCCAGACATGGTGGAGCACACCTGTATTCCTAGCTACTTGAGAGGATTGCTTGGGCCCACAAGTTTGAGGGTGCAGTGAGCTAGGACTGAGCCACTGCACTCCAACCTGGGTGACAGAGCAAGACCTTGTCTCTTAAAAAACACAAAGCTGTATATAATTAATATATATAAATTGATGAGTTCAGAGATAAGTACACATCTGTGAAACCACCATGACAATCTACGCCATAAAACCATCCATCCTCTCCAGCAGTTTCCCCCATCATCTTATTTACTGTATCTTTTTTTGTGATAAGAACACTTAAGATGTACTCGTATCAAATTTTGAAGTATATAATTCAGTATCATTAACTGTAGGCACTAAGCTGCATTGCAGATATTGGAGATATTTATTTTTTATAATCAAAACTTTGTACCCTTTGACTAATAACAATTGGTAGGTATAAACTGACTGACCACATCCAGTGGTATTGGCCAAGCAGAAGTACTCAAACCATTGCCCGTTGGTTTTGTATGGCTCCTCAAAGACTTCAGATATGACCACAAAGCAAATATAAAGAGAAAAAATACCACCTGGAATTGATTTGGGGATTAGAATTATAACTAGCTACCTTGCAAGGCCTAAAATTACATAGCAAAATAGAGGCAGATGACTTTTTATTTTTTAATTTTTATTTTATTTTTGTTTTTTGTTTTGTTTTGTTTTTTATTTATTTATTATTTTGCTTTTAAGTTCTGGGATACATGTGCAGAATGTGCAGGTTTGTTACATAGGTACACATGCACCATGGTGGTTTGTTGCACCTATCAACCCGTCATCCAGGTTTTAGGCCCTGCATACATTAGGTGTTTGTCCTAATGCTCTCCCTCCCCCTGCCCCCGACCCTTCACCAGGCCCCAGTGTGTGATGTTCCCTTCCCTATGTCCATGTCTTCTTATTGTCCAACTCCCACTTATGAGTGAGAATGTGCAGTGTTTGGTCTTCTGTTCTTGTGTTAATTTGCTGAGCATGATGGCTTCCAGCTTTATCCATGTCCTTGCAAAGGACATGATCTCATTCTCTTTTTATGGCTCCGTAGTATTCCATGGTGTATACGTGCTACATTTTCTCTATCCAGTCTATCATTTATGGGCATTTGGGTTGATTCCAAGTCTTTGCTATTGTGAATAGTGCTGCAATAAACATACGTGTGCATGTGTCTTTATAGTAGAATGATTTATAGTCCTTTGGGTATATATCCAGTAATGGGATTGCTGGTTCAAATGGTATTTCTTGTTCCAGATCCTTGAGGAATCACCACGCTGTCTTCCACACTGGTTGAACTAATGTACACTCCCACTAACAGTGTAAAAGCATTCCTATTTCTCCGCAGCCTTGCCAGCATCTATTGTTTCCTGACTTTTTAATAATTGCCATTCTGACTGGCGTGGGATGGTGTCTCATTGTGGTGACAACATTTTTAATTAAGAGAACAATATTTTCATGACAGCAGTGAAATATTTAAATGGTCCATTTGTTTACAAGATGTAGATTCATCCTGGCCCTTCATCAATGGAACCGGTAAATTCTCATTCTTACTATTGCTTAAACTTGTGTCCTCAATCTAAGTCCACTCTCCCTGTCCCTTTTGAGCGAGTGCCAATTATTACAATATAAAACTCCTTAATTATATACTGTGACATTTTATCTTCTATTCCCCATATTTTGCAGGAGTCTGATTGCAGGCTGGGGATGGGGTTATTACCATTTGTTAGAAATTGTTCTGCACAGAAGCATGTTCAACCAATCTAGAATCCGGTGCTCTTCTAAGTGATGATGTCAGCACATATTTACTAAGCACTAAGCATGTAGCCCACTTTGTTCCTGGTGCTAGGGAAAGGACATGAAACAACATGAAGGAAGAGGAGTTCAACTTTTAGAGTACAACCAGTTACTGAGCTATATGTAAATTAAGCTAACCTTTTGAAAATTTGGTGGCTTACGCTGTTAATTCCATGCTTGGGTTCTTCTAAAGCAGCTTTCTAAGGTTTCACATCTGCTAGTTCTCCAAAATCACCCATTCAGCATTTTGATGTCATTTTCAGCTGGTCTCTTCTTCTTATGGTCTAACATACAATCTCCCCTTTACTACTGGTTTTATTCTGGGTAACTGATTCCACCTGGACATTTTCAGAAAGACCATGAAAACACAGCTTTGCTCAATTACTTGTTCACAGCTTCCTCTCCTCATTTATCTGAGAGCCATCATGTTATTTGGAACTTCCTTCTTATTTGTGTGACTGGAAAAAGTTTTCCTGTTAGCTTTTAAGTCTCATGTAATTTCCTTTTACTCCTTACGGATCTAGCCTGGTTTTCATTTTTTGAGGTATTCCTATTTCCCTTTTGGGTCACTGTATTGCTTTGGATTCCAGCCAACTTGGCATCTGGTTACCTTGTGAAACAGCCCTGAAATTTTACATCAGAGTAAAATTACTTCAATGTGTTGTGCATCTTTTGTGTCCCATTAAAACTAATTTCTAAATAACTTCACCTGTGGCCACCTAGGAGCTGGGTTACTGCATGGAAATGTCGTTTCTGTTTTCCCTGTGAATATTCTACCTAGAGCCAGCATTTCAAGAGCACAGAGGAATGAGGCATGCTTATATAGTCCTATATTTGTCAGCTACAGGTTGCCATAACAAAATATCACAGATGCTGTGGCTAAAACAACAGATATTTATTTTCTCATAGTTCTGTAGCTAGAAGTCCAAGAGCATGGCGCCAACATGGATAGTCTCTGGTGAGGGCTGTCTTCCCGGCTAATAGATGGCCTCCTTCTCACTGTGTCTTCATATGGCTGGGTGAGCGAGCACTAAGTGTCTCTTCTTATAAGGCCACTAATTCCACCATGAAGGCCCCATCCTCATGACTTCATCTAAACCTACTTATCTCCCAAAGGTCCCATCTCCAAATACCATCCCCCTGGGGGTTAGAGCTTCAGCATATGAATTTGGGGCGGGGAGACACAATTCAGTTCGTAGCAAGTTCCATTTTTTTTGTAACAGGTGAAGGAAAAATAATAAAATCAACCCGCCCTTTTCAATGCGATAATAGCGGGGTGACTTGAAATCAACCTATTACTTAATTACTACTTAGAGGCAATGTGATAATATAGTTGTTAAAGATTCTAGAGCCAAATTACCTGTTTTTTTTTCTCCCAGCTAGTACTTTCTAGCTGTGAATATTCAGGTAAATTAATCAATTACTGTGCCTCAGTTTCCTCATGTCTAAAATGGGTATAATAGTAGTATTTATCTCATAGGTTGTTTGTATTAAATGAGTTAAACACGAAGTACAGTGTCTGACACATAGTACATTGTTCAATAATTGTTATCATTGCTGATATAATCACTACAATTGTTAATGTGGTCTCTGTTCCAAACTCATATAGATTCTGGTTCTGTTCTTGACTGAGACCATTCAAGTGTAATGCCATCTATCCTCTCCCACCCCCAGATCTTAACTGAGGATCTGGGATTGAAATGGAGGTTGTCTCATTCTCTCATTTGTAGGGGGCATTTTGTCAGCCTGGCTGAAGTTGAGCCTGGAACTGGAATCAGTGCAGAGAGTTGGGGGTTACCTCAGGAAGTCAGAAGTACGAAGAGGCAGAGATGAATGTCTTAGGGCACAATTTGGGAAGCACCATTCTATCTTTTGAGGGCAAGTGGAGGTTCATAAATGAAAAGCATTTAGAAAGTTAGAAGCTGGCTGATACTGGAAAGCAGCTAAAAGCAAGACCCCAAAATGAAACATGAAACCAGAGGGGATTCCACATTTCTGAGAGTAGGGCTGAAGAGGTTAAGGGTAATTCTTACTGACACTGGCATTTTTAGTGGGCTGCTCTTTTCCAAACCCCACGATCAGGGTGAACAGAAACAGACATTGAGTTTCTTAAAGTATGGGGCTGGCTGCAGCAGTGGTCATCTTTGCTTATAGTCTGATATTGATTATTGTCAGGCAGTAAAGGAAATAAATCCACATACAAAGTTCCTTGAATAAGCAGGCAATGGTCATTTGAAGATACCCTTTCCTATGAAATTGAGAATTGCACATTTCTTGAGATCTACTTAAGTCAAAATATATGTGACTTGAGACAATCATTTTCCAGGCAGCAAGAGCGCAGCCATCTGCAAGCTGAGGAGAGAAGCCTCAGAGGAAACCAACACTGCTGGTACCTTGATCACGGACTTCCAGAATCAAGAACTTTGAGAATAAATTTCTGTTGTCTTAGCCACCCAATCTGTCGTATTTTGTTATGGTAACCCTAGCAAATTAATACAGCTGCTATGCATAGCACAACCTGTAGGCTTTTGTGTGAACATAATTTTTCATTCTCTGGGATAAATTTTTTAAAATTGCAATTCCTGGGTCATATGGTAGTTGAATATTTAGTTTTACTAAACTGATAGGAAACTGCCAAACTGTTTTCGAAGGTGACTGTACCATTGCATATACATACTGGCAATGTATGGTATGAGTGATCCAATTTCTCAGCTTCCTTGCCAGGATTTGGTGTCATCACTATTTTTAATTTTAGCCTTTCTTATAAGTGTGTATTGGTATCTCATTGTAGTTTTAATTTGCATTTCCATGATGGCTAATGACGTCAAACATTTTTAAAGTGCATATCTGTCATCTCTCTATCCTCTTTGGTGAAATATCTGTTCATGTCTTTTGTCCATTTTCTACATGGATGGCTTATTTTTTTATTGCTGATTTTTGAGACTTTAAAAAATATTATAGATACTAGTTTTTTGTTGTATATATACTTTATAAATATTTTCTCCCGTTCCCTAGCTTATTTTTAAAAAATCATTTTAAGAGTCAATTGCAGAGCAAAAGTTTTTACTTTTGAATAGGTCCAATTTATCAAGGTTTCCTATTATAGACCATGCTTTAGGTATTAAATCTAAGAACTCTTTGCCTAATCCTAGATCCTGAAGATTGTTTTGTAATTTTCTAAAACTTTTAGTTTTACATTTCACATTTAAATTCGTAATCTATTTTGAGTTAATCTTTGTATAAGGTTTGAAATTTAAGTCGTTTCATCTCTTTTACTTATACATTTCCAATGTTTCTAACACCACTTGTTGAGAGACTATCCTACCTCCATCAAATTGCTTTTATACCTTTGTCAAAAGCAGTTGGATATATTTGTGTGGGTCTCTGAGTTCGAGTTCCTTATTCTGTTCCTTTTATCTGTATGCTTGTCCCTCCACACAGTCTTATTGCTGTAGTTGTATAATAAATCTTAAAATGAGGTAGACTGATTTACTCTATTTTTCTTTTTCCAAAATTGCTATAGCTTTTGTAGTTCCTTTGTTTTTCCATATACATTTTAAAATAATCTTGTCTATATCTATAAAAATTTTTGTTGTGACTGTGATAGGAATTGTATTAAACCTATAAATCAAGTTGAGGAGAATCAGTATCTTTACTATGTTTAGTCTTCCAATCTATGAACATAGTATTTTTTTCCATTTAGTAGATCTTTTATTTCTTTCAATAGAATTTTGTAATTTTGAGCATACAGATACCATACATGTTTTATTAGATTTACACCTAAGTGTTTCATTTTCTTGTAGCATTTATGTTTGTGTTTTTCATTTTAATTTCCATATGCTCATTATTATTGTGTAGAAATATGATTGATTTTGTGTGTTGATCTTATATTCTGCAAACTGTAGATCTTATATTGTGCAAGCTTTCAGGTTATTTATTTGTTTTTAGACATGGTCTGGCTCTGTCACCCAGGCTGGAGTACAGTGGCGTGATCAGAGCTCACTGCAACCTCTGCCTCCCAAGCTCAAACCATCCTCCCACTTCAGCCTTCCGAGTAGCTGGAACTACAGGTGTGCACCACTATGCCTAGCTAATTTTTGTATTTTTTGGAAGAGGCGGGGGTTTTGCCATGTTGCCTGGTCTTGTCTCAAATTCCTGGGCTCAAGCAATCCACCTGCCTCAGCCTCCCAATGTGCTAGGATGACAAGCTTGAACCACCACACCCGGCTGAATCTGTAGTCTTATTTGTTCTAGGAGGGCTTTCTTTTTTCTTTTTGTTTTGTAGTTTTCTTAGGAGTTTTCCACATAGACAATTTTGCCATCTTTCAATAAGAGTGGTGAGGGCAGACATCCTTGCCTTGCTGCTGATTTTGGGGGGAAAGCCTTCAATCTTTCACCATTAAGCATAATGTTTGCTGTATATTTTTTATAGATATTCTTCATCAAGTTGAGGTGCTTCCCCTTCATTAGCTTGCTGAACTTTTTTTTTTTTTTTTTACCATAAATGGATATTGCAGATTGTCAAATGCGTTTTCTGCCTTTATTGATATAATTATATAATTTTTCTTCTTTAGCTTCTTATTATAGTAGATTATATTAATTGATATTCAGATGCTAAGTCAGCATTACATTCCTGGAGTAAATCCCACTTGATTTGATTTTCTAAAATTTTGTTGAGGACTTCTGAATATCTATTCATGAGAAACTACATTGGTCTGTAGATTCTTTTCTTGTAATGCCGTTGTCTGGTTTTGGTATTAGGGTAATGCTGCCTCAGAGAATGAGTTGGAAAGTGTTACCTGTGCTTCTATTTTCTGGGAGTGATTGCAAAAAATTGATATGAGTTCTTTAATAAATTTGGAATTTCCCAGTAAAACCATTTAGGCCTGGGGCTTTCTTTTCTGAAACTTTATTACTTTTTTTTTTTTTTTTTGAGATGGAGTCTCGCTCTCTCGCCCAGGCTGGAGTGCAGTGGCGCAATCTCAGCTCACTGCAAGCTCTGCCTCCTGGGTTCATGCCATTCTCCTGCTTCAGTCTCCTGAGTAGCTGGGACTACAGGCGTCCGCCACCACGCCCGGCTAAATTTTGTTTTTATTTTTAGTAGAGATGGGGTTTCACCATGTTAGCCAGGATGGTCTCGATCTCCTGACCTTGTGATCCACCCGCCTCGGCCTCCCAATGTGCTGGGATTACAGGCGTGAGCCACTGCGCCCGGCCGAAACTTTATTAATTATTGATTCAATTTCTTTAATAGATATAGGCCTAGTCAAATTATGTATTTCTTCTTGTGTGAGTTTTGGTAGTTTGTATGTCTCAAGGAATTAGTCCATTCCCTCTATGTTATCAAATTTTTAGGCATAGAGTTGTTTGTGGCATTACCTTGTCTGTTTAATTGATGTCATTTTATTATTAATTTTCTATTTCTTGTTCCTCTGTGTTTGTTTTCTTAACTTCCAGTGGGTTATGTGAACATTTTTAAAGGAATTCATCTTGATTTCTTTACAGTTTTTGAAACACATTGCTTCGTATAATTTTTTGAGTAGTTGATTCTAGGTATTACAACATACATAATTATCATAGTTTACTTGTTTTGATACATTACTACTTTGAATGATGTACAGAAAACTTACTTCTATTTAGATTTATCATCCCCACTTTTAGAATATAACTTTTCACTACATTTTTTAATAAAATTTGAACTATTACTTTAAATACTACATTTAATACATTTTCTATATATAAGTATGATATCAGATGGTGTTATAATTTTTGCTTCAACTATCAAATATGATTTAATAAATCCATAAAGAGTAGAATAATCTATTTATGCTTATTTTTACCCATTCCAATGCTTTTCCTTTCTGAAATTCCATGCTTTGCATTTCCTTTTCATTTACAAAACTTCACTTAGCCAGTCTTTTTTTTTATTTTTATTTTTATTTTTTTAATTATACTTTAAGTTTTAGGGTACATGTGCACATTGTGCAGGTTAGTTACATATGTGTACATATGCCATGCTGGTGCGCTGCACCCACTAACTCATCATCTAGCATTAGGTATATCTCCCAATGCTATCCCTCCCCCTCCCCCCACCCCACCACAGTCCCCAGAGTGTGATATTCCCCTTCCTGTGTCCATGTGATCTCATTGTTCAATTCCCACCTGTGAGTGAGAATATGCGGTGTTTGGTTTTTTGTTCTTGTGATAGTTTACTGAGAATGATGCTTTCCAATTTCATCCATGTCCCTACAAAGGACATGAACTCATCATTTTTTATGGCTGCATAGTATTCCATGGTGTATATATGCCACATTTTCTTAATCCAGTCTATCATTGTTGGGCATTTGGGTTGGTTCCAAGTCTTTGCTATTGTGAATAATGCCGCAATAAACATATGTGTGCATTTGTCTTTATAGCAGCATGATTTAGAGTTCTTTGGGTATATACCCAGTAATGGGATGGGTGGGTCAAATGGTATTTCTAGTTCTAGATCCCTGAGGAATCGCCATACTGACTTCCACAATGGTTGAACTAGTTTACAGTCCCACCAACAGTGTAAAAGTGTTCCTATTTCTCCACATCCTCTCCAGTACCTGTTGTTTCCTGACTTTTTAATGATTGCCATTCTAACTGGTGTGAGATGGTATCTCATTGTGGTTTTGATTTGCATTTCTCTGATGGCCAGTGATGATGAGCATTTTTTCACGTGTTTTTTGGCTGCATAAATGTCTTCTTTTGAGAAGTGTCTGTTCATGTCCTTCGCCCACTTTTTGATGGGGTTGTTTGTTTTTTTCTTGTAAATTTGTTGGAGTTCATTGTAGATTCTGGATATTAGCCCTTTGTCAGATGAGTAGGTTGCGAAAATTTTCTCCCATTTTGTAGGTTGCCTGTTCACTCTGATGGTAGTTTCTTTTGCTGTGCAGAAGCTCTTTAGTTTAATTAGATCCCATTTGTCAATCTTTAAAGGCAGGTTTACTAGTGACAAATTCTCTTAGTTTTCCTTTGTCTGGTAGTATATTTTCCTTTCATTGCTGAGACATTTGTTTGCTGTATATAGAATTTGCAGTTGAAACTTCTTTTCTTTCAGTATTTGGAAAATGCTGCATCACTTTTCTTTTGGCCTTCTTGTTTTCTGATGAGAAGTCTACTGTCATTTGAGGTGTATGTGTGTGTCTTTAATTTTTTAATTTTGAATTTTTGTGGGTACATAGTAGGTGTATTTATGGGGTACATGAGATGTTTTGATACAGGCATGCAATGTGTGAAGACCACATCATGGAAAATCCTCTCAAGCATTTATGCTTTGTGTTACAAACAATCCAATTATACTCTTTCAGTTATTTTTAAATGTACAATTAAGTTAATATTGACTATAGTCACTCTGTTGTGCTATCACGTATAGGTCTTATTCATTCCTTCTAACTATTTTTTCATAGGCATTAACTATCTTCACCTCTCCCCAACCCCACTCCTACCCTTCCCACCTCTGGTAACCATCCTTCTACTCTCTATGTCCATGAGTTCAATTGTTTTGATTTTTAGATCCCACAAATAAGTGAGAACATGTGATGTTTGTCTTCCTGTGCCTGGCTTATTTCTCTAACATAATGATCTCCAGTTCCATCCATGTTGTTGCAAATGACAGGACCTTATTCTTTTTTTGTGACTGAATAGTACTCCATTGTTTATAGGTTTCACATTTTCTTTATCCATTCATCTGTTGATGGACGCTTAGGTTTCTTCCAAATCTTTGCTATTACGAATAGTGCTGCAACAAACAGAAGTGCAGATATCTCTCTGATATACTGATTTCCTTTGTTTTGGGTTCTGGATAATATGGTAGCTCAACTTTTAGTTGTTTTTGAAGAACCTCCATACTGTTCTCCATAGTGGTTGTACTAATTTACATTCCCAGCAACAGTGTATGAAAGTTCCCTTTTCTCCACATCCTCTCCAGTATTTGTTATTGCCTGTCTTTTGGATATAAGCCATCTTTACTGGGGTAAGACAATATCTCATTGTAGTTTTGATTTGCATTTATCTGATGATCAGTGATGTAGAACACCTTTTCATATGCCTGTTTGCCATTCATCTGAATTGTTCTTCCCCTGTAAGTAATGTGTTATTTCTTTCTGGCTGCCTTCAATTTGTGTGTGTGTGTGTGTGTGTGTGTGTGTGTGTGTGTGTGTAAGAAGGTAGAAGGGAGAGTATTCCAAGCAGAATGAAGATTGGCTATGATGAATCTTGGCATGGATTTCTTTGGATTAAACCTGTTTGGCATTCATTAAGCTTCTTGATTCTGTAGGTTTATGTAGTTTTTGCCAAATTCTGGAAATTTTCAATCTTTATTTTTAAAAATACGTTTTCAATCCTACTCTCTCACTCTTCTGCTTCTGGAACCACAATGAAATGAACATTAGCTCATTGTTTTTGTCCCAGAAATCACCCCAAATGATCATTTTTTAAAATTCAATTTTCCCTTTTTTGTTTAGATTGGGGAAATTCTATTGGTCTGTCCCCAAGTTCACTGATTCTATCCTCTGTCTTTGTCACTCTACTTTTGAGCCCATCAGTGTGTTTTTAATTTCAGTTATTGTATTTTTCATTTCTGTAATATTCATTTGCTTTTTTATAACTTCTATTTATTTGCTGAGATATTCTATTTTTTTTCATTTGCTTCACATAATTTGTAATTTCTTCTTCAATCGTTTTTGTAATACTTGCTTTAAAATCCTTTTCAGGTATTTCCCATACCTGATTTATTTTGATGTTGGCATCTGTTGATTGTATTTTCTCATTCATGTTATAATTTCCTTGGTATTTTGTATGATGCATTATTTTCTATTTCATCCTGGAGATTTTGCATATCATGGGACTCTGGATACTATTTATTTATTTATTTATTTATTTTTTGCAGGCATTCCATTTTGAGGTTTAACATGGAGTTGACTGGGTGTGTATACTCAGTTTCCCACTTGGCCTCACTGATACCACCTGGTGAATGTAGATTGCCAAATCACACTGCCTTATTGCAGATGACTAGGGTGAAAGATCAGTTCCCTGCTTTTCCCTGCTGACACTTTGCAGTGAAAGTGGGACACTGACTCACACCACCTCATTCCCTCCAGGTGGGGGTGTAAGATCACCTCTCTGTTGTTCCCCGCTGTCCCCCAATGCTGAGGGACTCAGGATGCTTTGTTGATGCAGCACTTGGGGGCAGAATAACACCTCCCACTGGGCCCTACTAATACCAGCGAAGGGAGAAGGGGAAGTGGGATTTCAACTAGCTCTGCATAACACAGCCTCATTCAGTTTCATTAATGCCATGTAGGTGTTGAGGTTCAGCTCCCCATTGGTTTATTCTGACACCAGGGGAAGTGGAAAGTGGAATGCCAACTAGCCCTGCTTCACACTGTCTCATTATTTGTGCAACTTGTGGGCTTTCCTGGCACCAGAGATAGGGGAGAGAAGAGTGTTAATAGTCCCAATTTGCACCATCTGATTCAGTTTCATTGATGTTGGGAGTAGGTAAAGGCTCAGCTCTCCACTGGACCCTGATGACAGTACCCTGACAGGAGAATCAGAGCATAGCCTGCTTCCCCTGTATAGGATATGGAAGATCAGATTCTTGCTTAGCTTCCCAATATCACCAGTCAGGTGAACCAGAGATCTGCCTGCTTCCTTAAGGCAGGAGATGGAAGATTAGCTCCCCATTCTGCTGTACTGATACCACTCTGCAAGGGAATCAGAATCCTCCATCCTTACCATCACGGAGCTTAGAGACTAGTGGGAGAGATTAGTAATCAAGAAGTAAATTCAAACAAGTATATAAATGCAACTGTGATGTAGGCTATGAAGGAAAAGCAGTCTTATGAAGAAGAATAAGCCTTTTGAAGGAAGTGACATGTCAGATCCTGAAGGATGAAAAGGGAGCCAATAATGTGAAGGTGGAAGAGAGAGTATTCCAAGCAGTGAAAATTGCAAGTGAGATGGCTTTGTGGCAAAAAAGGATCTGAGTATTCATGGAAGTAAATGTGAGTCCAGAATGGAGAAACTGAGGTGGCAAAGTAGTGACAGAGTAAGGCTAGCGTGTTAGCAGGTGCCTGACCATCCAGGATTATGAGAGCTATGGTAAAGATTTGAGATTTTTTTTCCCTTAAGTGTGGAGACTAGGAATGAAAGATTTTCTTTTTTTTTCTTTTTTTTTTCTTTTTTTTTTTTTTGAGACAGAGTCTCACTCTTTCACCCAGGCCGGAGTGCAATGGCGCTATCTCAGCTCACTGCAAGCTCTGCCTCCTGGGTTCACACCATTCTCCTGCCTCAGCCTCCCGAGTAGCTGGGACTACAGGCGCCTGCCACCACGCCCGGCTAATTTTTTGTATTTTTAGTAGAGACAGGGTTTCACCGTGTTAGCCAGGATGGTCTCGATCTCCTGACCTCGTGATCCACCCGCCTCGGCCTCCCAAAGTGCTGGGATTACAGGCGTGAGCCACCGCACCCGGCCAAGGAATGAAAGATTTTCAAGAGGTGTAGGAGTATGTTTTTATTTAACCCTTAACAAAAGATCACCCTGGAGACTGTGAAAAGAGTAGATTAGAAGAGAAGAGTGGAATAGGGAGACCAATTCAGATGCTGCAGTAGAAATCAAGATGCAAGATGATAGAAGCTTGTAAACAGGAGTTAGTGGTGGGAATGAGATGTAGAAAGATTTGAAATTTTAAAAAATTTCGTTTGTCATCAAGGTGTGTGTTTTTAGAAATTTGAGTGTTTAATTGCATTAGCATTATATAAACCCATTATAACACAGTCCCTATGGAGACAAAGTGTATTTCCTCCTGTCAATATACAGGTATGAGTTTATTGAATACTGAATTTTCTTTCTCTATATTGTTTCTGATAATTCTAATAGTAACATAAGTAGTCCTATAAATGAACCCAAATCCATAGAAGACCGCACCTTGTTAGGCTGAAAACACACCTGTGTGTGCTTTACCCATTAAAATAATCCCACATTAGTCTGTCTTTGGGAAACAATGAGGCTATTTTCTGGGGAACAAAGATCTGTGGGTGAGGAGAAAAAAAAAAAGAAAGGACGATGGAACCCTGCTTAGTCCAGAATAAGCCCTCAATAAATATGAACTGACATTAGACTAAGTTTAATTCAATTTATTTTAGTGAAAAAACTTGTATTTTAAAGGCTTAGTTTAAATGACAGTAGTAATTTACAAATCCATAAACATTTGGAGCAGGATTTTTTCTTTGTCATGTGGTTAATTATTTATTTTATGAAAACACATTTGCATGTATAATTAAAAGCCTGATAGATAAGATGGGCATTGAGAAATTTCAAGTTAACATTTTGTAAGCCAAACATCTCCTGAAATTTGATCAAAATCAAACAATATTCTTTTATACTATCTTTAATAAGCAAGTATGGATTGCTTGTAGACATTATTTCTCAAGAGCATAACTCTATCAGTCAGGATTCAGTTGCAAGAAACAAAAACCGCTCTACCTTTATAGGCATTTAATATAGGACTGAGGATCTCCAAAAAATATTGGCAGGACTTAGAGGAATTAATTCTGATCTCGGCCTCCAGAAATGAATCACAGAATAATACTGCAGAACTAGGCTGCTCACATCAGGAAGGCAGGGAATTGGGAACCCTTCCACTTGAGTTCAAGGACACACAGCCATGGCTGTACTTGAGGAATCAGAAACCACCGTTACTGCAGCTACAACTTCACCCCATAAAGCAGTTGTCAGGGCATCCATGGCCAAGTTCACCCCCATCACCAGTAAAACTGCCTCTCAATACCAGCTAAGCTAGTGGTGCAGAAAACCCAACATTTTCAAGACTTTGTTAGCAACAACAAAGCAGCCGGGAAATGATTCTCAAATCACCTTCTACCTTCTAAATCTGATGAAAGTACATCTAATTGGTGAAATCTAATTTGCATCCAGAAACATAACTGTAAGGGAGGCAGATGTTATTTTTTGAGGCTTGGCAGTACAGGAAGCCACGTTAATGGGAGGCAAGAGAGAGTACTGAATGGAATTCACCAGACTTACAAGCTCTTTTGCTACTAAAGATTGTATATATTTGTCTTTCTATCCTTAAGCTTCCAAACAAAAATAGTAATGACCATATGGTGATGCCTAACAGAATGCAACTCTTTCTGGTAAAAACAAAACTGTGGACATCTTCTTCCCAAAAAGGGGATATCCAGGGTCTCAGTAGTCACCAAATCCATCTTTGCTTGATACTCATTCATTTTATGGTTTTGTCATAATCCTACCTTGATATACTGTAACTTAAAAACTATTATAAACTTAATTACTACCAACATATTTTACATAAAATAGTTGAGGAAAAGGAAAGATATGTGTATATTTGTGTATGTATGTGTGTAAGCAAGGGAGAAAATATGGGTACCTATTGAAATTCTCATTTTGAATATTGTTATTCAATATTCGCATCATGCATATTGCTGTGTGTTGGTAATAGTTCATTCATTTAAACTGGTTTATACTAGAGTCTGGTTTATATTTGTATTTGTACAACAGTTTATTAATCCTCTCTCCCATTAATGGGATTTAGGGTCGTTTCCAAGCTTTTTATGTTGTTAGCAGTACTGCTATAAACATTCTTGTACATATTTCCAGTTTTATATATGTAAGAGTTTATTTGGGCATATGCCTTGGAGTGGAATTGCAAGCCATAGGCTATATAAACCTTCAACTTTAGAGGGTAATGTTAAACTGTTTTTCAAAGTGGTTGCAGAAATTATTACTTTCAGACTCAATGTGTAAGTCATATGGTGAATATACATCATCTCTAACATTAGGTTTGTCAGACTTTTTAATTTTTTGTTAGTGTAATATGTATGAATTGGTATCTCATTGCAGTATTGATTTGCATTTTTCACAATCACCATTGATATTAAACTCTCTTCGTACATTTTTTTTTTGGCCCTGTGTGTCTCCTCTTCTGCTAAATGTCTCTTGTTCACTTTTTTTTTTTAACTGGGTTGTTTGTGCTTCTCTTATGGTTGTATAGCATTACTCTGATCTCTTTACTATAGATCATACATACTGAAAGATCACTACGGACCCCATGAATATGTATAATTATTATTTGTCAATTAAAAATAAAAATAAAGAAATTTTAAAAATTTAAAATAAAGTTTGAATTAACTGCTAAAAAAATAAAAAAGAAATAAAAAGAATTTCTTTACTAATTCTTTCTTGGTTGTGTGTATTCTCCACCTGGCATTCCATAATGTACCTTATCTTTCTTACTTTCTTTAAGATGTTTTTTAATGCATCAAAATATTGTCTAAATTATCAGGGAAAGATGGCTGACTACAGTTAGTTCATCCTCCCCTTCGCCAAAAGTGACCAAAACAATAAATAAAAAACTGTATTTCAACTGGAGTGACTGAGAAAATATGGCGGAGAGTACTAAGGGAGTAGCAAAACCCTTGTGGAGCATGGAAGCCCAGGATAACACCACAGAGAGGTGAGCAAGGCATCTTTCCTCTGCCACATGGTCTCCCCACTGGGATTGGCTTAGAGTCAGAGTCTTATTTTTACAAGGAAAATTTAAGCTAGAGATCCCCATTTGTCCCCATTGCTACATCAAATACCAGCAATCCTTGCTACAGGAGACTCCCCCAGTTCTCACAGGCCCCAAATCTAGTTTGGAGAGTATCTGGGATTTTGTGCAGCTGCATTGCCTTAGAATAGGAGCCATCCTTTAGCACCCTCTATCCTCATGACCTAAACTGCTACTGCATAAAACCATCTTTAAACCAGACCCACTGCTAGAGTGCATCCTATCCTGGGGGCCAGCAGCCCCCACTGTCATTGTCATTCTACTATGTTAACAGAAGTGCCTGTAGCACCACTACCCCAAACCACAAATACTGGAATTATAGCCATTTCACAAATGAGAAAGATAAAGGAAACAAGGTTTAGTACCAAAGAAAACCACCAAACCACAGAGGTAAACAAGAGAGTACGAAAGGACCAAAGGATCTATAAAACAACCAGAAAACAGTTAACAAAGTGTCAAGAGTAACCCCTTATCAATAATAACCTTGAATTTAATTAGAGTAAAATTTCCAATTAAAACATACAAAATGGCTGAATGGATAAAAAAAACAAAAAACAAAAAACAAAAAACAAAAAACAAGACCCAACTATTTCCTTCCTACAGGAGACTCGCTCATGTAAAGATACACAGACTGAAAGTGAAGGGAGGGACAAAGATATTCCTTGCAAATGCAAACAAAAAACGAGCAGGAGTAGTCATACTTATGTCAGATAACTGTATTGACTTAATGTCAATAACTGTAGAAAGAGAAAAAGTCATCATATAAAATTAAAGAGATCATTTCAACAAGAGGATATAACAATTATAAATATATAAGCACCTAACACTGGAGTATCCAGACATATAAAGAAAATGTTATTAGACCTAAAGGGAGAGATAGACTGCAATATGATAATAGTTGGGGACTTCAACACCCCACTTTCAACAATGGACAGATCATCTAGACAGAAAATCAATTAAAAAAATTGGACCTAAACTGCACCATAGACTGAACACACCTAACAGGCATTTATGGGCCATTCCATCAATAACTGCAGAATACACATTTTTCTCAATTGTACGTGAAACATTCTCCAGGATAGACCACGTCTTAGGACACAAAACAAGTCATAACAAATTTAAGAAGTTGAAAGAAATAAAAGATATTCAAATTGGAAAAGAAGATATCAAATTGTCCCTGCTTGCTCATGACATGATTTTATATATAATAATAGAAAATTCTGAAGACTCCACCTAAAAACTATGAGAACTTATAAATTCAGTAAGGTTGCAGGATACAAATCAATGTACAAAAATGGCAGCATTTTATACAGTAATAGTAAATTATCAGAAAACAAAGTCAAGAAAACAATTCAATTTATAACTATTAATACTACAGAAATAATGAGATACCTAGGAATAAACTTAACCAAGGAGGTCAAAGATCTCTATACTGAAAATCATAAAACATTGATTAAAGAAATTGAAGGCAAGAGAAATAAATGCAAAGATAACCCATGTACATGGTTCAAAGAATTGATATATAAAAAATGGCCATACTACCTAAGGTGATCTATAGATTTGATGCAATCCCTATCAAAATACCATTGACAATCTTCACAGAAATAGAAAAATAATCCTAAAATGTATATGGCATTACAAAGGGCTCTGAGTA
Organism: Homo sapiens; assembly: GCF_000001405.40. Classification (NCBI taxonomy): domain Eukaryota; kingdom Metazoa; phylum Chordata; class Mammalia; order Primates; family Hominidae; genus Homo; species Homo sapiens. The sequence goes on from NC_000023.11 coordinate 104,528,636, forward strand.
GTCAAAGGAATCTTGAACAAAAGAAGAAAGCAGGAGGCATCACACTCTCTGGTTTCAAACTATACTACAAAGCTTTTATAATCAAAATGGCATGGTACTGGCATAAAAACAGACACTTAGACCAATGGAACTGAATCAAAAGTCCAGAAATAATTTCACATATTTACTGCCAACTGGTTTTTGGCAAAGGCAACAAGAATATTCACTGGGGGAAAGAATAGTCTCTTCAATAAGAGGTACTGGGAATACTGAATATCCATACGCAGAAGGACAAAACTACACCCCTCTATCTTAAAAATCCACTCAAAATAGATTATGGACTTAAATGTAAAACTGAAAACTGTGAAACTAATAAAAGAAAACAGAGGAAATACTTCATAACATTGGGATGAGCAAAAATGTATTAAATAAGACTTCAAAAATACAGGCAACAAAAGCAAAAATAGACAAATGGGATTACATCACACTAAAAGGCAACAACAATCTACAAAATGGGAGAAAATATTTGCAAACTATATCTGACAAGGGGTTTCTGTCAAGAATATATAAGGAACTTAAACAACTCAATAGCAAAAAGACAAATAACCTGAATAAAAAATGACCAAAAGACCTTAATAGACATTTCTCAAAAGAAAACATACCAAAGGCCAACAGGTATATGGATAAATCGTCAATATCACGAATTATTGTGAAATGCAAACCAAGACCACAATGAAATACCACCTCACTTCAGTTATAAAGGCTACTATCAAATCTCCAAAAGAAACGTTGGCCAGGATATGGAGAAAAGGGAACACTTACACACTGTTGGTGGGATTATAAACTAATACAACCATTATGGAAAACAGTATGGAGGTTCCTCAAAAATTGAAAATAGAACCACTATACGATTGATTACTCCCACTACTGGGTATATATTCAAAGGAAATGAAATCAGTATGTTGAAAAGATATCTGAACTCCCATGGTTATTGCAGCTGTATTCACAATAGCCAAGATAAAGAATCAACCTATGTGTCCAACAAGTGATGAATAAATTAAAAAACGAGGTTCATGTACATGGGATTCTATTCATCTATAAAAAACAATGAAATCCTGTTATTTTTGACAACATAAATGAACCTGGAGGAAATCATGTTAAGTGAAATAAGCCAGACAAAGACAAATACCATATGATCTCACTGACATGTGGAATGTAAAATTATAACAATAATGATATCATAGAAGCAGAAAGTAAAACAGTGGTTAACCGATGCTGGGTAGTAGACTGGGAAGGGCAGGATGAGGAGAGGTGAGTCAATGGGTATAAAGTTACAATTAGATAGGATAAACGAATTATGGTGTTCCATTGCACAGTAGCATGAGTGTGGTTAACAGTAAAATATTATATATTGCAAACTACTTAGAAGAGAGGCTTTTGAAAGTTCTCACCAAGGGAAAAAAGATAAATGCATGAGGTGATGGATACACTAACTACCCTGGTTGGATCATTATACAACACAAATATTGTATCAAAACATCAAATTGTACTCCATAAGTCTGTACAATTACAATGTGCCAATTAAAAAATAATCTTTTAGTGTCTTGTTAAATATTTCCCTACTTCATTGACTAAAATATTTTCATCTATATTTTCTACATAGAATAGTGATGTTTTATTTTTGACTGTTAAATCCTTAATCTATCTGAAGTTGGTTTTTCGATATCATATGAGTCAGGGGCCTAAATCACCTTTTTCCATATGCTAATTATTTTACCAGTTTCATTTATTGAACCATCCCTACTTTCCCTACTGAGTAGATGTGCCATCTCTCTATCTTATATCATGGGTGAGTCTGTTTCTGGTATCTTCTATTTCATTCATCATTTAATCTTCCTGCTCCAATAATATACTGTTTAATATTATAACTTTATAATAATTCCTATTTTGGAGCAGGCAAATACCCCAAACTTGCTCTCCATCTTCAGTTGCGTTCTGGCCAGTATTGGCCTGTTTGTCTTCCACATAAATTTTGTAATCATTAAGCCATGTGAAAACACTGTTGGAATAGAAATTGAAATTGCCTTGATTTTATTTCTAGATCAATTTGGGGAAAACTAACATCTTTAAGATATTAAGGCTTACTGTGCAATAATGGAGCACATTTGATTTATTTATGTCTTTAAAATATATATCTTAATAACATTTTATAATTTTCCCTGAAGATGTCTGTGCATCTTTTATTAACTGTATTCCCAAATACTTGAGATTTCTAGTACTATAAGAATTGTGTTTTCTCTTTAAATATAGTTTTAATGGCTTGCTGCTGACGAATAGAAATGTAAATGAATCTTCTATATTAATCTTATATGCAGTTACCTTGCTAAATTCCCTTGTTGTGTCTAATAATGTGAAGGTTTACTCTTTGGGTTTTCTATAGAAATCACATAATCTACAAATAATCTGTAGATAATCACAATTTTGTTTCTTCCTTTCCAATCCTTATATCTCTGATTGCCTCATTATACCGTATAGGACTTCATGTACAATTATGAACAAAAGTGGTAATAAGTTTTTTCCTTGTGCCATTCCTGATTTCAAAGAGAATGCTTCCAATGTTTGCTCATTTAAGATAATGTTAACTTTTGGATTATTTTATAGATGCTTTTAGTCAGGTTAAGAACTATCCTTTCTCATTTCTAATTGAAGAAGAGTTTTTAAAATCATAAGTGGGTTTTAAGTTTGATGAAAGACTTATCTATTGAAATGATCTTTTGGTTATCTGTATTATTCTGTAAATATGGTAAGGTACATTTATGGATTTTCTAATAATAAACCATCCTTGTATACCTGGAATACATTCCATTTGGTTGTGATATATTGTCTTTCATATACTCTTTTGGGTTTGATTCATTAATATTTTGTTAGCTGTTTTACATCTAAATTAATGAGTTAAAATAACCTGTAATCTTCATGTCTCATAATTTATTTGTTCTGATGTCAAAGTATACTTGCCTTACAGAATAGGTTGTGTGGTATTCCCTCTTTTTCTTTTATCTGAAAGTGTTTGTATAAAATTGAGATTATCTCTTTCTAGAAAGCTTGGTAGAACTCAACTATAAGACAGTCTTGACTTAGTATTTCCTCAGCAGGAAGATTTTAACCACTGCGTTGAATTTTAAGATAGTTATAGGATGATTCAAGATTTTAAAATTTCTTTTTATGTTCTTGTAAGTTACATTTTTCTAGCCATTTGTCCATTTCTCCAAAGTTTTCAAAAACGTCGGTTTTTGGTGTTGATGGCATTGTTTTATTATCTTTTTTTAAATTTATTTATTATTATTATACTTTAAGTTTTAGGGTACATGTGCACAATGTGCAGGTTAGTTACATATGTATACATGTGCCATGCTGGTGCGCTGCACCCACTAACTCGTCATCTAGCATTAGGTATATCTCCCAATGCTATCCCTCCCCTCTCCCCCCACCCCACAACAGTCCCCAGAGTGTGATGTTCCCCTTCCTGTGTCCATGTGTTCTCATTGTTCAGTTCCCACCTATGAGTGAGAATATGCGGTGTTTGGTTTTTTGTTCTTGCGATAGTTTACTGAGAATGATGATTTCCAATTTCATCCATGTCCCTACAAAGGACATGAACTCATCATTTTTGATGGCTGCATGGTATTCCATGGTGTATATGTGCCACATTTTCTTAATCCAGTCTATCAATGTTGGACATTTGGGTTGGTTCCAAGTCTTTGCTATTGTGAATAATGCCACAATAAACATACGTGTGCATGTGTCTTTATAGCAGCATGATTTATAGTCCTTTGGGTATTATATTTTAAAACACTGTTCTGCTTAGTTATACCTTCCTTTCCATTAAAACATTATTTGCATCTTCTCTCTTTTCTCTCTTTATTAATCTTGCCAAATATTTGTCACTTTTTTTCCCAAAGAAACACCTATTGTTTTTATATCTTTGTTTTCTATTTCATTAGTTTTCAGTCTTATATTTATTATCTTTTTCTTTCTACTTTCTTTGGGCTTATTCTCTTGGGGTCGTTGTTTTAATAACTCCTTAAAATAGACACATAACTTCTTGGGCTTGCTTCCTCTTTATTTTGGGTATTTAAGGCTATAAATTTCCTTCAAAATACTGCTTTTATTACATCTTAGAAGTTTTGTTACATAGTGTTTTCATTTTATTCAGGACTAGGTATTTTTACATTTCCATTGATTGTTTTGTCCATAAGATCCAAGTGACTGAACTGCTTGCTCTGTTACCTCATCATACTGCAAAACATTCTAATATTCTGTGCCTCACTCAAAGTTGGCAGAATTATGAATTACTTATTAAATGGGTCAAACCAGCTCATTCAAGTGTGATATATGTTGTCACCCAATCTCAAGGAAGTCCCCCAAAATGTACCTCTTTATTAGTGGTGGGTATTGTGAGATGCAAAAACTTGTCTTTCTCATTGGTGAGGGATAATATTTCAGTATATTACTGGTCTCCAGAAACTTCATTGAGGTAGGCCCCTGGTTTCACTGGTTTTACCTCCTGCCCAACAAGACCTCTGGAATTATTGCTTATCATGTTCTATCAGCATGATGTTATCAATATTATAGACTAGCATCATGTCCTGTGGGATGATCAGAGTCTTGGCGTACTAAATTATGACAAAATATTGATGCATCCCTGAAATAAAATAGTGAATATTTAAGAGCAGTTCCTGACAGGTTAAATTGCTTCTGGTCTTTCTTGCTTCGTGGTACAGGGTTAAAAAAGCATTTGCCAGATTGGTAACTGCAAACCAGGTGCTGGGGACAGTGTTGACTTGCACCACTTTCTTTAAGAGACTACATCTAGAACAGCAGCTGCAACTTGGAGTTTCTCACTGATTAAAGTGAAGATAATTCACTGTCAGTCTCTAAGACCTGACTCTTCAGTAAAGGCAAAATAGGCCACTTAAATGGTATGTGATAGGAATCACAATCCCTGCACATATCTTTGATGATGTCACTACATTCTGTGCTTCTCCCAGGAATACTACATTACTTTTGGTTTACTATTTTGTAGAGAGGGAAGTTCCACAGGCTTTCACTTTGCACTTCTTCCTATAATACCCCTTGCTTTAAAGGTTAAGGAGTAAATGAGGGGTTTCTGTCAGTTGCCCAGTGATAATTCCAACGTATGCATTTGGGAAATGGGGAAATAACCACAGGATGGGTTTATAGACCTACTTCAGTAACAGAGAGATGGCTAGAATTCCACTTTATTACCTTACTCCTTTAAACCTCTGTATTTACCAGTAGACCAAAGTGGCTTTCCAGATACCCAGGAATTAGTATAACGCAAAGCCAATGTCCAATGTTTCCTAAAGGTTATAGGTATTTCTCTTTCCTCCATATACAGCTATCATGATAAATGACTACAGGTTCATTTTGGTAAAGCCAAGAAGAAAGATGTACAGTGTACATTTGTGGTGGTATTACAGGATTCTTCCAGAAGGGGCTCCTTTTCTGTGAATTGACTCAGGCTATGAATGGCTAAAAAAACCCATCATTTTATATAGATCCAGTATGACCTGATGGGGTTGCTCATCTAATTTAGTCCAAGAGCCTGATTAATAATTAGCTACTACCTATGTTCTGTGCATGTCAAGCCATTCTGAATAATACTCTAGCTCTGTTGCTTATTATAGTAAGCATGCTTACCTTGTTTCTGGTAGTTAAGTGCTGCCACTTAGTATCTGCCACTCTTTGATACCATCATTCTCATTGAAGTCAGGGAGTCTATTTCAATGGTAGATCTCCTACCTTCCTCTCCAAACTACAGAGGATAGGCACTGTAATGCTTTATTTTAAACTCTTTCTTGGGGAAATATAATATACACTTAGAAAAGTACATAAAACAAATGTATAGCTTAGTGAGCTATTATAAAGTGAATTTTGTAGAAAAACCATGCAGATGACAAAATGGAGCATTGTTTGTACCCCAGAAATCTTGTGCATGATATTTTACTGTCAAATACCTCTTCTGCCAAAATGCGACTGTTATTCTATATTTTATAGTAAGCATCTCCATATATTTATTTATTAATTTTCTACTATAACAAGCATTCCTAATAACATAACGAAATTTGACTTGTTTTGGAATTTTGTTTAAATAGAAGCATACTGGTAGTATATATTAAATTGGGAGTATACTTTATTTGGCTTCTTTTTCTCATTATTATAGTTTTGAGATTTATACAAATTGTGCATTTTTATTGATGTATAGTGTTAATTCTATGAATATACTACAATGTATGCATTCTGTTGAAAATGGGTTAGTTTGATCAGGGCTAGTTTGTTAGTTGTTGCTTGTGTTATTTCATTCTGGCTGCTATAGCAAATTACTTTAGGCTGGGTAATTTGTAAACAAAAGAAATGTATTTCTTACAGTTCTGAAGGCTGGGAAGTCCAAGATCAAGTTACCAGTAGATAACAGTGTCTGGTGAGGGTCTGCTCTCTGCTTCAGAGATGGTGCCTTCTAGCTGTGTCCTCACATGGTGGAAGGGCAAAAAAGCTCCCTTAGGCTTCTTTTATAAGGGCAGTGCTATGGTTGGTATGTCTTTGTCCCCTCTAAAACTTGTGTTGAAATGTAATTCCTAATGCAACAGTGTTGGGAGGTGGGGCCTCATGGGAGATGTTCAGGTCACGAAGGCTCCACCTTCATAAGTGAATTAATACTACTATACAAAGGGACTGTGGGAATGGGCTCACCCTTTCTTGTTCTTCTGCCACGTGGGGACACAACATTTTTTCTGCTTTCCTTTCTGTCTTCCACTATGTGAGGACACAGCAAGAAGGCCCTCACCAGATACCAGATGCTAGTGCCATGATCTTGGACTTTCCAGCATTCAGAACTGTGAGAAATATATTTCTGTTGTTTTTGAATTACCCAGCTTGTGATATTTTGTTATAGCAGCAAAAAAGAACTAGTACAGGTACTAATCCCATTCATGAGGGCTCTGCCTTCATGACCTAGTTACTTCCCAAAGTCCCCACCTCTTAATAGCAACACATCAGGGATTCAATTTTAACATTGTTTGAGGGACACAAACAATCAGGCCATAGCAGGGCTTTTACAAAGCTTCAGTGAATATTGTTATATATGTCTCTTGATGCACATGTACATGCTTTTCTGTTCGGTATGTATTCAGAAGCAGAATTGGTCCCCTCCCTTTTATTTTACCATACTTTTGTAACTCCATGCTTTCTTCTAGGTATGTTCTTCTGAAATATATTTCAGTTAACTAATTCTTCTACTGTATCTAATCTTTGTTTAATCCAACCACTAATTTTTATTCTCAATTATTGCATTTTTTTACTTTTATAATTTATATTTTAAAAATCTGAGTTCTCATGTCTCTGTTCTCAGTTTAAATTTTCAATCCTTTCCCTTATCTCCCAGAAACTAGTAAACATAGTTATTTTTAAATCAATGTCTAAAAATTTTGACATCTGGAGTCTTGTAGTTCTATTTCTATGCTTTGTTGTTGTTTCTGTTTCTTGTTCAAGTTGCCTTATTTGGACCAACTTTCATGCATCCCAGATACTATCATACTATCTTAAAACTTTTTTTTTTTTTTTTTTTTTTTAAGAAATGTGGCTGAGTGCGTTGGCTCATGCCTGTAATCCCAGTACGTTAGAAGGCCAAGGTGGGTGGACCACTTGAGGCCAGGAATGAGATCAGCCTGGCCTACATGGCAAAACCCCGTCTCCACTAATAATATAAAAATAAGCTGGGTGTGGTGGCCCACACCTATACTCCCAGATACTTGGGAGGCTGAAGCAGGAGAATAGCTTGAACACTGGAGGTGGAGGTTGCAGTGAGCCAAGATTATGCCACTGCACTCCAGCCTGGGTGACAGAATGAGACTCTGTCTCAAGAAAAAAAAATAAAAAAAGAGAAATAATGTGAAACTTGAGGTAATGTTATTTTCCTTTCTGGAGTATTTGCTGTTGCTTCTTCCAGGCATCTGGGAACACTAGCGATCTGAGATCATCATAATCCAGTATTAGGATTGAAATTTTCTGGGTCACCAAAGTGACTCTGGTGAGCTGCAATCTTTGTGAAAGCTGTTATACTTCCAATTCACCCCATGAATCCTAGGTGCAATTCTCTAGGGTTCCACCTCAAAGTGTAGGAATATTACTGGAGCCTTTACCCTGGACTGGTCTTACTAAATCACTTTCAGCTGTCTGAAACAGTGCATTAAATCCAGAGATTATTTTAGGTGTACCCATTTTTACAAATCTAATAAAATAATATTCTTCCTTTTCTAGTTTAAGAACTCATTCATATGCATATTTCTTAAGTTAATGCTGATGAAAATTAAAAGAAACTTGGTACCCATTTTACGTGTAATCCTCCTCCTCCAAGTCAGACTTTGAAGGTTGATAGCACTATCAGGTATTTCGGCAAGGTAGAACCACCTACCTGATCTTATGAGAAGAGTCTTCTGCTGCTGCTGTCAAAGGAAATTCAGTAGAATTTGGAGATTTAGAGTATTCATATTCTTATGAATTCCCCAAAGTGTCTCAATTTCTAGATGTAACATTCAATAATTTTCGCAATTCATACATCACAGGCATCAACCAGTTAGAATGGACACCTGATCAGTTAGTATGTATGCTCACCACCATTAAGTCTTCTGTCAAATGTTACCCTAATTTAAATTTTTAAAAATTGTGTATATTTATGAAGTACAATGTATTGTTTTCATATGTTTGCATTGTGGGATGATTATATCAAGCTAATTAACATGCATCACCTCATATACTTATATTTTTGTAGTGGAAACATTTAAACATTTTTTTAGCACTTGCAGTGTATAATACATTATTGATTATTGTTAATAATTCTGTGCAATAGTTCTGGAAAACTTATTCCTCCTGTCTAATTAAAACTTTGTACCCTTTGGTCAACATCTCCCCATTCTCCACTCGCTTCTTCCCACCTTATAACCCCAGCCTGTGATAAGTACCATTCTACTTTTTACTTCTATAAGTTAGACTTTTTAAGGAAAAAGTAAAATAACAAATTAAAAGTGAAATAAGCCAGACACACAAAGACAAATGCCACATGATCTCACTTATATTTGAAATAAAAAAAATGCTACCCTCTTAAAAGAATATTATGGCTACTTCATTTAAAATTTTATCGTAGGCTGGGCACAGTGGATCATGCCTATAATCCTAGCAATTTGGGAGGCTGAGGTGGGTGGATCACCTGAGGTCAGGAGTTCGAGACTAGCCTGGCCAACAGGACGAAACCCTGTCTCTACTAAAAATACAAAAAAAAAAAAAAAGCTAGATGTGGTGGTGGGGTGCCTGTAATCCCAGCTACTTGGGAGGCTGAGGCAGGAGAATTGCTTGAACCCAGGAGGCGGAAGTTGCAGCGAGCCGAGATTGCACCAGTGCACTCCAGCCGGGGTGACAGGGCAAGACTCCATCTCAAAAAATAAAATAAAATAAAATTTCATCATGCTCCAGATCCTGGAACACCTTATGCCTCCTGTTTTACTTTAATAGGAATATCAACTTATATCATTTGTCTAAAAATTATATTTATTTTTATTGTCTGTATCTTCCATTATAACATAAGCTCTATGTAGGGCAGGGATTTTTACTTGTCTTGTTCACTATAATATTTTCTTAATAAATATTTGTTGAAAGATACCAAATACTGCCTCAGTTAGCCTTTATTTACATGAAACAGATCCATTCCAGCTATTTTAAGCAGAATTGGTTTGATGTAGGGGACTAGGTTCTTACGAAATTCTTGGCTAAAAAAGTGCGCTCTAGGCTAGGCTTCAAGAAAGGACTCTCTAATCAACACTGTCAAACTGGTCCATCAGGATTACTGCTAACTCTGCTACATTTAGGAAGGTGATGAGTGACAGCAGTGAGGAGGCCACCACTGGAACTTTAAAGTTGACTTGAAGACCATATCTAAAATCTAGAAATAAGAAATTCACTGCCATTCCTATAACTATCTCTCAACACTCAACAGTCACAATAGTGACTAGACATTGGAATGTTGCTGCAGCAAAACCCAAGGTTTCCAAATCTTGCTTTTGGCGACTAGCAATGGCCAAAGTGGCAAGATATCTCTACCTCACTTATATTTTTCTAACTTGTGTCTGGAATCCTTGATTTTTTAGTGTTCTAGTAACTGTATTATATACAGGCACACTATAAGGACGTGGGAATGGATGCCATGTGTTATTTCACTGTATCTACTCCCTCGATTGTATAAAGTAGGGTGTATGTATCTTACATTTCATCATCTGTCAAGGGCTCTTATTCCAACATCACTAATCCCTTGCAAAAAAGGGGAAACTTATTATGCAAAGCTAGTATAGTTAAACAATGCCTTCTTTCCACTAAATTGCTTTATAAAACTTTGGAAAATTCTTTATGGAAAGACGTCTTTCTTGGTCTATCTGTTGCGGAATCATGGTTGAAACCAGTTGACAGTAATGATACTTCCCCCACCTGGTTATGAAAGTGACTATTTGTTAGCAGAGGCATACTAAGAGGGGAGGGGAGTGAGATAAGTCTGCCTTGTGGAGAGATTTTATCATTAGCATTGTTTAGAAATGCTGACACAGTGATAATAAAAAGCAAACCAACTTTTAGTCAGCTTTATTATTTAAGTTCTCTACAGAAGGTATACCCTTTAGTATCTGTACCCAGGGCAGTTACTCTACTGCCCCACCCTTGATACATCACTATTTGTTAGTATTGTTAGGGCTACTATTTCTTTCTTTTTTATGTGATAGGCACCATTCTAAATATCCTATGTATATTAACTTACTAATTCTTTTTTGTTGTTGTTGTTGTTACTGGAAAATTCTTTTTTATTATTATACTTTAAGTTTTAGGGTACATGTGCACAACATGCAGGTTAGTTACATATGTATACATGTGCCATGATAGTGTGCTGCACCCAGTAACTCGTCATTTAACATTAGGTATATCTCCTAATGCTATCCCTCCCCACTCCCCCCACCCCACAACAGGCCCCAGAGTGTGATGTTCCCCTTCCTGTGTCCATGTGTTCTCATGGTTCAATTCCCACCTATGAGTGAGAACATGCGGTGTTTGGTTTTTTGTCCTTGCGATAGTTTGCTGAGAATGATGGTTTCCAGCTTCAGCCATGTCCCTACAAAGGACATGAACTCATCATTTTTTATGGCTGCATAGTATTCCATGGTGTATATGTGCCACATTTTCTTAATCCAGTCTATCATTGTTGGACATTTGGGTTGGTTCCAAGTCTTTGCTATTGTGAATAGTGCTGCAATAAACATACGTGTGCATGTGTCTTTATAGAAGCATGATTTATAATCCTTTGGGTATATACCCAGTAATGGGATGGCTGGGTCAAATGGTATTTCTAGTTCTAGATCCCTGAGGAATTGCCACACTGACTTCCACAATGGTTGAACTAGTTTACAGTCCCACCAACAGTATAAAAGTGTTCCTATTTCTCCACATCCTCTCCAGCACCTGTTGTTTCCTGACCTTTTAATGATCACCATTCTAACTGGTGTGAGATGGTATCTCACTGTGGTTTTGATTTGCATTTCTCTGATGGCCAGTGATGATGAGCATTTTTTCATGTGTCTTTTGGCTGCATAAATGTCTTCTTTTGAGAAGTGTCTGTTCATATCCTTTGCCCACTTTTTGATGGGGTTGTTTGTTTTTTTCTTGTAAATTTGTTTGAGTTCATTGTAGATTCTGGATATTAGCCCTTTGTCAGATGGGTAGATTGCAAAAATTTTCTCCCATTCTGTAGGTTGCCTGTTCACTCTGATGGTAGTTTCTTTTTCTGTACAGAAGCTCTTTAGTTTAAATAGCTCCCATTTGTCAATTTTGGCTTTTGTTGCCATTGCTTTTGGTGTTTTAGACATGAAGTCCTTGCCCATGCCTATGTCCTGAATGGTATTGCCTAGGTTTTCTTCTAGGGTTTTTATGGTTTTAGGTCTAACATTTAAGTCTTTAATCCATCTTGAATTAATTTTTGTATAAGGTGTAATGAAGGGATCCAGTTTCAGCTTTCTACATATGGCTAGCCAGTTTTCTCAGCACCATTTATTAAATAGGGAATCATTTCCCCATTTCTTGTTTTTGTCAGGTTTGTCAAAGATCAGATGGTTGCAGATATGCGGCATTATTTCTGAGGGCTCTGTTCTGTTCCATTGGTCTATATCTCTATGTTTTGGTACCAGTGCCATGCTGTTTTGTTTACCATAGCCTTGTAGTATAGTTTGAAGTCAGGTAGAGTGATGCCTCCAGCTTTGTTCTTTTGGCTTAGGATTGACTTGGCGATGTGGGCTCTTTTTTGGTTCCATATGAACTTTAAAGTAGTTTTTTCCAATTCTGTGAAGAAAGTCATTGGTAGCTTGATGGGGATGGCATTGAATCTATAAATTACCTTGGGCAGTATGGCCATTTTTTGTAATATGAGATTTTCATCTTCTCTAAGTAAATCCATGAAAGTAAATTTTTAAAAAAGAAAATCTTCACATCGCTTGTAAGTTGTATTCCTAGGTATTTTATTCCCTTTGTAGCAATTGTGAATGGGAGTTCACTCATGATTTGGCTCTCTGTTTGTCTGTTATTGGTGTATACGAATGCTTGTGATTTTTGCACATTGATTTTGTATCCTGAGACTTTGCTGAAGTTGCTTATCAGCTTAAGGAGATTTTTGGGCTGAGACGATGGGGTTTTCTAAATATACAGTCATGTCATCTGCAAACAGACAATTTGACTTCGTCTTTTCCTATTTGAAAACTCTTTATTTCTTTCTCTTGCCTGATTGCCCTGGCCAGAACTTCCAATACTATGTTGAATAGCAGTGGTGAGAGAGGGTATCCTTGTCTTGTTCTGGTTTTCAAAGAGAATGCTTCCATTTTTTGCCCATTCAGTATGGTATTGGCTGTGGGTTTGTCATAAATAGCTCTTATTTTTTTGAGATACATTCCATCAATACCTCGTTTATTGAGAGTTTTTAGCATGAAGGGGTGTTGAATTTTGTTGAAGGCCTTTTCTGCATCTGTTGAGATAATCATGTGGTTTTTGTCATTGGTTCTGTTTATGTGATGGATTACGTTTATTAATTTGCATATGTTGAACCAGACTTGCATCCCAGGGATGAAGCCTATTTGATCGTGGTGGATGAGCTTTTTGATGTGCTGCTGGATTCAGTTTGCCAGTATTTTATTGAGGATTCTCGCGTTGATATTCATCAGTGATATTGGCCTGAAATTTTCTTTTTTTATTGTGTCTCTGCCAGGTTTTGGTATCAGGATGATGCTGACCTCATAAAATGAGTTAGGGAGGATTCTCTCTTTTTCTATTGTTTGGAATAGTTTCAGAAGGAATGGTACCAGCTCCTCTTTGTACCTCTGGTAGAATTCGGCTGTGAATCTATCTGGCCCTGGACTTTTTTTGGTTGGTAGGCTATTAATTGCTGCCTGAATTTCAGAACTTCTTATTGGTCTATTCAGGGATTTGACTTCTTCGGTGGTCATTAGAGAAATGCAAATCAAAACCACAATGAGATACCATCTCACATGAGTTAGAATGGTGATCATTAAAAAGTCAGGAAACAACAGATGCTAGAGAAGATGTGGAGAAATAGGAACGCTTTTAAACTGTTGGTGGGAGTGTAAATTAGTTCGACCATTGTGGAAGACAGTGTGGTGATTCCTCAAGGATCTAGAACTAGAAATACCATTTGACCCAGACATCCCATTACTGGGTATATACCCAAAGGATTATAAATCATTCTAATATAAAGACACATGCACATGTATGTTTATTGCAGCACTGTTCACAATAGCAAAGACTTGGAACCAACCAAAATGCCAATCAACCATAGACTGGATAAAGAAAATGTGGCATATATACACCATGGAATACTATGCAGCCATAAAAAAGGATGAGTTCATGTCCTTTACAGGAACATGGATGAAGGTGGAAACCATCATTCTCAGCAAACTAACACAAGAACAGAAAACCAAACACCACATGTTCTCACTCATAAGTGGGAGTTGAACAATGAGAAGACATGGACACAGGGAGGGGAACATCACACACCGGGGTCTGTCAGGTGATGTGGGCCTAGGGGAGGGACAGCATTAGGAGAAATACCTATTGTAGATGACGGGTTGATGGGTGCAGCAAACCACCATGGTACATGTGTACCTATGTAACAATCCTGCACATTCTGCACATGTATCCCAGAACTTAAAGTACAATTTAAAAAAAGAAGAAGAAAACCTGTGTAAATTTAGAAGACTGATGTTAAAAGAATAGATGTAGAACAGTGAGTCTCAACTATAGCTGTACATTAGTAAAAGCTGGGGATCTTTTAAAAAATGTTGACCTCTCAGTGCTACCATCACTTATTCTAATTTATAATTGGTCTGGAATAAGGCATAAGCCTGGATATTTTCTTTTTAAAGCTTCCCTCAGGATGCTAATGTGCAGCCAGTGTTGGGAACCGCTGCTGAAGACTGCTTTCAAACTAGTACAGCACATCTGAGCTGTATTTTAAGTTTTAAGCATGGATGTTTGTAGATAGGGTTAGCAGAACATTGTGCTAGTGTGCATTAAGTGACCAAAGCTTCCTAGAGGAAGCAACCTTTATACGTGGAATAGGTTAGAGCAGCAAGAGAGATTGTTAACATGGGCAGCTTCAATGAAGGTTTGCAATTGGATGGCTATGGGAAAGCAAATTTAATTGGAAGGGAAGGAGTTAACTAGGAAAGGGTGGCAACAATTTGGGAGGGATTTGGAAGTCCCTGAATTATGGGAAGATTATCAGGTTATGTGTCAATAATCAAGGCAATGGACTCAACTAACCTATTAGTAGTCTCAGGAGCTAACTCCCATCTAGAGCTCTTTCTAAAGTTGAGTGTAAGGGCCAGACATGTATTTAGGTCAGTGATACTCAACCTTGGATATACTTTAGGATTACATGGGGAGCAGTAAAAAAAATCCTAATACCCATACCCCAAACTTCATAGATTCAAAATTAATCAATCTGGAGTGTGGTCCAGGGAATTGATGTTTTCTGTTTTTGTTTTATTTCATTTAAAAAATATCTACGGGAGGTTACAATCCACAAATACGGTTGAGCACAACTGACCTAGGTGGATCACAAAGACCTACAAGGATTTTCTTCACCAAATAAAACAGCTTTTCTATGTGTTTTTCACAATATTGTCCTCCTTTCCTGCAACGTGAGGTTTTATGAGCATCAGACTTCCCTGACAATCCTACCCCGACCCTAACTCAACAGTCTTTTATGCTAGTGTCATACCCTCCTTAGCATTTATCATGATTTGACATGGGTAAATACATCATAACCTACCTACTTCTCTCCATCTCCACTGCTACCACTCTAGTCTCAGCTACCACTACCTCCTGGCTGGATTGCTGCTCCTGCCCTTTCTCCTTTTACTGTCTATGTCAACACAGCCACTGAGTGGCTTTAAAGATGTATGTCAGATCATGTCACTGCTCTGCTTAAAACTTGCCAATGGCTTCTCATATCATTCAGAGTAAGGGCCAAGTACTTTTTATGACCCACAAGGTCCTTTATGATCTGACTCTTCCCCTTGCCTCTCTGAGATTCTATTTCTGTGCCCCTCACTAACACAGTTCTGGTCACACTGTCTTCCTTGTTTTTATACATCAGATACACTCCCACCTGAGAGCCTTTGCATTTGCTGTCTTCTCTGCCTGGGATGCTCTTTCCTTAGATATCCATATGTATCATTCCATCTCTTCCTATTGGTCTTTTGTTAATTTATGCCTTACTGGTGAAGCCTACCTTGATTTCCATATTTAAAATTGCAAATCTTATGGGCCAAAGACCTTAATAGACATGCCACTAGAGAAGACATACAGATGGCGAATACACATGAAAAGATGTGCCACATCATACATCATCAGAGTAAGTCAAATTAAAATAGTAATGAGATGCCACTACTACACTACCTATTAGAATGGCCAAAATCCAGAATACTGACAACACCAAATGCTGACAAGAATGTGGAGCAACAGCAACTCTCATTCATTGCTGGTAGGAATGCAAAATGGTACAGCCACTTTGGGAGAAAATTAAACTACTTTTACCATACAATTCAGTAATTGCACCCCTTGGTATTTACGCAAAGGAACTGAAAACCTATGTCCACGCAAAAACCTGCACACAGATGGTTATAGAAGCTATATTCATGATTTCTATAACTTGGAAGAAACCAAGATGTCCTTCAGTAGGTAAAGAGATAAAGTGTGGTACATCCACATGATGGCATATTATTCAGTGCTAAAAAGAAATGAGCTGTCAAGCCATGAAAAGACAGGGAGAAACCTCAAGTGCGTATTACTAAATGAAGGAAGCCAATCTGAAAAGGCTACATACTGCATGATTCCAACTACAGTCAGCCCTCAATATCCACAGGCTTAGCATCTCTTGATTCAACCAACTATGTATGGAAATATTCAGAAAAATAAAACAATAAAAAGAACAATACAACAATAAAAATAACACAAATGTAAAATCAATACAGTATAACAACTATTTACATAGTTTTTACATTGTATTAGCTATTGTAAATAATCTAGATAATTTAAGCTATATGGGAAGTTGTGTGTAGGTTATACAGAAATACTATACTGTACCATTTTATATAAGGGGCTTAAGCATCCATGGATTTTGGTATCCTGGGGGCGGGGGTCATGGAACCAGTCCTCCTTGGATACCAAGGAATGATTGTATATGACATTCTTGAAAAGGTAAACCTATGGAAATATTAAAAGGATCATTGGTTGCCAGGATTAGGGAGCAATAAGGATGAATGGGTACAGCATAGAGGATTTTAGGGCAGTGAAATACTCTGTATGATACTATAATGGCAAAAACATGTCATCATACATTTGTCCAAACCCATGGAATGTACAATACTAAGAGTGAGACCTAATGTAAACCATGCATTTTGAGGTCATAATGATGTATCAATGTAAGGTCATCAATTGGAACAAATACATCTTTCTTATGGGGCATCTTGATAATGGAGGCTATGCATGTGGGCGAGCAGGAGGTACATGGATTATTTTTCTACTGTCCTCTCAATTTTGTTGTGAACCTAAACCTGCCGTAAAAATAAGGTCTTAAAAAAATTACAACTCTCCATGCTTACACGACTCAACCTATCCCCTTGTCACTGCTTTATTTCTATTCATATCACTTATCAACATCTGACATATGCATATCTGTTTATTGTTGATGGTCTATCTCTCCCCACTAGAATACAAGCCCCATGAGAGTGTAGAAATTTGTCTATTTTGCTCACTGCTAATCTCCAGAATCTGGAAAATTACCTGCCACATAGTAGAGGATCCATAAAAATTTCCTTGTTTGAATTAAAAGCCAAAGTACTGGGTTATAATTTCACTGTAAAAATATGCACGTGTTTTCTCATTAAGGGGAAAACAGACTAACACTTATTGAGTATCCACTAAACACTATGTTATGTGCTTTTCATGTGTTCTATTATTTAATTCTCAAAACAATTCTCAAAACATTCTCAAATGGAATAGATATGATTGTTATGCCCACTTTATAGATGAGAAACTGAGGCACAGTACAGCTAGTGACTTTGCTCAAGGTCAAATAGCTTAATTTGTATTGGTGATGCTAGGATTTGAATCCAAATTTATCTGAATTCCAGGGTTGTATAATTTCTGTAAATAACCTCCCTGCCAGGACTAATTATTATTTAGTAATTAACTTACTACTAAAAGAAATCGTTATTAGAAATTAACTTACCAAATTAGTTCTTATTTTAATGGGTTTTGAGGAGCGAAAGGGGTAAGGAGGGACTCAAAAACAGAAAGGAGAAGTTTCAACTTGTTTGGCTGATGAGTTTCAGGGTAGCACTTAGGGATAGCAGGCTTTGGTGGGAACAGACACCTGTGGGGAAGAGTCAGAGTTAGTGTCACCAAAGGAATCTTCTCCTTCACAGTTGGACTTATCACTTAGGCTTGGCATTAAGGCTTTGGTGTGTAGCCCAGAACCAAAGTAGAGGCATTCCAGTCCATCATAGGGGAGTTAAAGGACTTGCAACTATTATAAGATGTGAGGTAATAGATATGTTAATTTGCTTCCTTTAGTCATCCTACGATGTATACATATATTAAAACATCACATTGTACCTCATAAATATATATAATTATTATTTGTCAATTTTTTGAAAAGGCTAGAGATATTGTTCTTTTGCCTGCACTGGGTCCCACACATTATAGCTTACATTTGTCTCCTGCATCCTAGCTCTGTGCTTAAACTTACAAAGGGGCAAGGGCTGTGGCAACGGCTTTAACAGTTCACCATCTTTTGCCCAGTCTTGGGGTAGCAATGAGACCTTTAGAGGTGCTAAGCACTAAGGTTATTCCTCCTCTCCCCCTACCATAAAAACATCAAACCTTAAAACAAGTAAATGAAAGTTTTAAAGTTCTCTAATTTTCTCCCATATAATGAAATCAATGATTTTTTCCTTTATTTATCAAACACCAATATCTTTCAGAAGTGTTCCTCTTGGTAAGAGATCAGGTGGAGGATAGCTGATTTGTTGGTGCCTTAAGTGGTGCTCGTGTACCTTTAGGTAATCTAACACTGTGGGGGATGTGATTAAAGGGGCAAAACTCTCCAAAATGATTTCCCCGCCTGCCACAGAGCTGTACATTCATGAGCTCTTCTTGGGGATAAAGCAAGGACCTCTGTTAACATTCAAAGGCAGTACTGCTATACACATGACAACCCATTGCAAACAGAGAGCAAAGATCCAAGTGGCTGGAGCAAAAGGAACATCAAGTTTGAAGGGTTAGAAGAGAGGAGGGGAAGGTTTGAAGTGTGGTTTGCTGGTAGGAAAGAGAGAGCCTAAGTGAGATGAATAAGTGGGAACCTTTGGGCAGCCAGAGGGAGGCCTGAGTTCTCAAAAGCTGGGTACCTTGATTTTGTATCCTGAGACTTTGCTGAAGTTGCTTATCAGCTTAAGGAGATTTTGGGCTGAGACAATGGGGTTTTGTAGGATACAATCATGTCATCTGCAAACAGGGACAATTTGACTTCCTCTTTTCCTAATTGAATACCCTTTATTTCCTTCTCCTGCCTGATTACCCTGGCCAGAACTTCCAACACTATGTTGAAGAGGAGTGGTGAGAGAGGGCATCCCTGTCTTGTGCCAGTTTTCAAAGGGAATGCTTCCAGTTTTTGCCCATTCGGTATGATATTGGCTGTGGGTTTGTCATAGATAGCTCTTATTATTTTGAGATACGTCCCATCATTACCTAATTTCTTGAGAGTTTTTAGCATGAAGGGTTGTTGAATTTTGTCAAAGGCCTTTTCTGCATCTATTGAGATAATCATGTGGTTTTTGTCTCTGGTTCTGTTTATATGCTGGATTACATTTATTGATTTGCGTATGTTGAACCAGCCTTGCATCCCAGGGATGAAGCCCACTTGATCATGGTGGATAAGCTTTTTGATGTGCTCCTGGATTCAGTTTGCCAGTATTTTATTGAGGATTTTTGCATCAATGTTCATCAAGGATATTGGTCTAAAATTCTCTTTTTTGCCTGTGTCTCTGCCTGGCTTTGGTATCAGGATGATGCTGGCCTCATAAAATGAGTTAGGGAGGATTCCCTCTTTTTCTGTTGATTGGAATAGTTTCAGAAGGAATGGTACCAGTTCCTCCTTGTACCTCTGGTAGAATTCGCTGTGAATGCATCTGGTCCAGGACTCTTTTTGGTTGGTAAGCTATTGATTATTGCCACAATTTCAGAGCCTGTTATTTGTCTATTCAGAGAGTCAGCTTCTTCCTGGTTTAGTCTTGGGAGGGTGTATGTGTCGAGGAATTTATCCATTTCTTCTAGATTTTCTAGTTTATTTGCGTAGAGGTGTTTGTAGTATTCTCTGATGGTAGTTTGTATTTCTGTGGGATCGGTGGTGATATCCCCTTTATCATTTTTTATTGTGTCTATTTGATTCTTCTCTCTTTTCTTCTTTATTAGTCTTGCTAGCGGTCTATCAATTGTGTTGATAGTTTCAAAAAACCAGCTCCTGGATTCATTGATTTTTTTGAAGGGTTTTTTGTGTCTCTATTTCCTTCAGTTCTGCTCTGATTTTAGTTATTTCTTGCCTTCTGCTAGCTTTTGAATGTGTTTGCCCTTGCTTTTCTAGTTCTTTTAATTGTGATGTTAGGGTGTGCATTCTT
Organism: Homo sapiens; assembly: GCF_000001405.40. Taxonomy (NCBI): domain Eukaryota; kingdom Metazoa; phylum Chordata; class Mammalia; order Primates; family Hominidae; genus Homo; species Homo sapiens. The sequence goes on from NC_000023.11 coordinate 104,548,963, forward strand.
ATACACCAATAACAGACAAACAGAGAGCCAAATCATGAGTGAACTCCCATTCACAATTTCTTCAAAGAGAATAAAATACCTAGGAATCCAACTTACAAGGGATGCGAAGGACCTCTTCAAGGAGAACTACAAACCACTGCTCAATGAAATAAAAGAGGATACAAACAAATGGAAGAACATTCCATGCTCATGGATAGGAAGAATCAATATTGTGAAAATGGCCATAGTGCCCAAGGTAATTTATAGATTCAATGCCATCCCCATCAAGCTACCAATGACTTTCTTCGCAGAATTGGAAAAAACTACTTTAAAGTTCATATGGAACCAAAAAAGAGCTCACATCGCCAAGTCAATCCTAACCCAAAAGAACAAAGCCAGAGGCATCAAGCTACCTGACTTCAAACTATACTACAAGGCTACAGTAACCAAAACAGCATGGTACTGGTACCAAAACAGAGATATAGATCAATGGAACAGAACAGAGCCCTCAGAAATAATGCTGCATATCTACAACCATCTGATCTTTGACAAACCTGAGAAAAACAAGCAATGGGGAAAGGATTCCCTATTTAATAAATGGTGCTGGGAAAACTGGCTAGCCATATGTAGAAAGCTGAAACTGGATCCCTTCCTTACATCTTAAACAAAAATTAATTCAAGATGGATTAAAGACTTAAATGTTAGACCTAAAACCATAAAAACCCTAGAAGAAAACCTAGGCATTACCATTCAGGACATAGGCATGGGCAAGGACTTCATGTCTAAAACACCAAAAGCAATGGCAACAAAAGCCAAAATTGACAAATGGGATCTAATTAAACTAAAGAGCTTCTGCACAGCAAAAGAAACTACCATCAGAGTGAACAGGCAACCTACAACATGGGAGAAAATTTTTGCAACCTACTCATCTGACAAAGGGCTAATATCCAGAATCTACAATGAACTCAAACAAATTTACAAGAAAAAAACAAACAACCCCATCAAAAAGTGGGCGAAGGACATGAACAGACACTTCTCAAAAGAAGACATTTATGCAGCCAAAAGACACATGAAAAAATGCTCACCATCACTGGCCATCAGAGAAATGCAAATCAAAACCACAATGAGATACCATCTCACACCAGTTAGAATGGCGATCATTGAAAAGTCAGGAAACAACAGGTGCTGGAGAGGATGTGGAGAAATAGGAACACTTTTACACTGTTGGTGGGACTGTAAACTAGTTCAACCATTGTGGAAGCCAGTGTGGCGATTCCTCAGGGATCTAGAACTAGAAATACCATTTGACCCAGCCATCCCATTACTGGGTATATACCCAAAGGATTATAAATCATGCTGCTATAAAGACACATGCACATGTATGTTTATTGCGGCACTATTCACAATAGCAAAGACTTGGAACCAACCCAAATGTCCAAAAATGATAGACTGGATTAAGAAAATGTGGCACATATACACCATGGAATACTATGCAGCCATAAAAAATGATGAGTTCATGTCCTTTGTAGGGACATGGATGAAATTGGAAATCATCATTCTCAGTAAACTATTGCAAGGACAAAAAACCAAACACTGCTTATTCTCACTCATAGGTGGGAATTGAACAATGAGAACACATGGACACAGGAAGGGGAACATCACACTCTGGGGACTGTTGTGGGGTGGGGGGGAGGGGGGAGGGATAGCTTTAGGAGATATACCTAATGCTAAATGACGAGTTAATGGGTGCAGCACAACAGCATGGCACTTGTATACATATGTAACTAACCTGCACATTGTACACATGTACCCTAAAACTTAAAGTATAATAATAATAAAAGAAAATAAAGAAAAAAAGAAAAAAAAGAAAAAAAGAAAAAAAAAAGCTGGGTACCAAAAGGAAGTAGGAGCAGAATCAAATTGACAATTTTGGTAAATATATCCTCACTTTGGTACTGATGCAAGTGGAAGGGCCTCTGTGGCATGACAGCTAGTACTTCAGAGAGGGGCTAAATAGGTCCTTCATCTTGTCTCTGTATTTCTGCACCAACCTAGGAAAAGACCAAAGAGGCAAAACTGTGACCTTGCAAGGAGATAAATCCAGAGTTTCATTCACCCCACTGATTCCTGGCCCTCGCCCTTGCCCATTCTTCACACCTAACTCAGTATAAAGTGAGAGTTTTCATGCTCACTGAGGATCTTAGCGGGACAGGAGCAAAGTGCCTTGTAGAATTGGAACACACAGGTAGGGAGAGGCAGTTCCTTAATGGGATACTATCAAATAATGAGTTTCATAAACAAATCCCATAAAATCAGTGAAACCCCCAAAATAAATTTGAAAATATTTGGATGTCTAAATTCTCTTTTAACCAATGGCAACATTGAGAACTGATTTCTTATTCTACCATTGTATAAACGCTCAATTTCGCTGGAAGTATGTTCTCATCTGATCTATATTCTACAACATTGATATCTCTTTTCATTCACTCTTAAGCCTATTTGGAGTAAAGACTGCCAACTGTGTCATATTAGCAGTGGCTGTGAAATGGACTATTTTCCACTAGTGGCTAAGATGAGACTAGAATATGGGAAATAAAGCTTGTTTTAAAAATTCAATTTGCAGTAGATGTGTATGAATAATTTATGTGTCCTTACTTTGTAACATAATAATTAGGGTACCATCAATTTATTATACAAAGTTAAAGTATGTTTAATGATACCATTTATCTGTACATTTAAAATTAAAATATAAATCAAAGGTATTATTAAATATAACTTTACCTACGTTTCAAAGTCCATGGGTTATTTTATTCCAATGTTCCTAATCTCTTCATTCAGCTAAAAAAAGAGGAGACTCTAAGAAGTGACATGATAAATAATTTAAAGCATAACATTTTATGCCATAATCCTGACAAGAGAAGTAAAAGACGATGTAAAGTGGCAGAGGTTCTAAATTGCTGAAAAGGTATTAGAATTATTTTCTGAAGTTTTGGTGCATGAAAGAGAAAGTTATGCTTATCGATGCTTTGTAATTAAAAGATTAAGAAAGATTCAAAATTGATAATGGTTCTGTTGATTTGTAATGAATTCATAGGATCACTGTTGTGTCTGCAGCTTGTGACCATGACAAGAAAAAGAGAAACAAATTTGAGTCCTGGATGTCACATAAGGAGATTGACTCAGAGGACCTGAGAATGTATGTCTGCAGTGATTCATGATGGAGTGGCAATACTAGGAAGAGGTGAATGAAAAATATCAAGATCCAAATCCATACTTTCTTCTGTAAAATATTGTATTTTATACCCAGCATTTTCACTAAATGTGTCTGATTATTATTTTTAGCTTATTAATGATACTACAATAGTAGCTAGTTGGTATTTATCTCCAAGGCATTCTAAACACTTTGCAGGCACTTCTTTATTATTCTGCACCATATCCTTGTCAGGTGACAATATTCATCACCCTCTCCTCTCAAGACAATGGGAGAGAAAAACAGAGATAGCAAACAAGGAACAGATGAATAGCAGAACCAGGATTTTAAAAACAGCAACAGAAAAATTTCTCAGATTTTCTGATTTCTACTCTAGTATATTCTGCATGAAGCTTTGCTACTTTGCTTCAGTGTATATGATCTAAAACCACCAGCATGTAGTAAAAATCCAACACAGTAAAATTTTATTTTTTGAAAGTTAATTCTTGATGTTTTTGACAAGTGCGAGTTTTCTTTGGTACCTTCATGGGAGGTGAATAACAGTTACCCAGATCCCTGAGATGTTGTTTTATATTATAAGAAGTGCTGATTCATATTGGGGTGGGTGTGAAGCTAGGGTTGGGGGCAGTTCTTATCACAGGCTGCCCCCATATAAATGACTTATGACATTTTTAACTTAAGCTGCCCAAAGTGGGTACTTTTAAAGAGTAGGGGCTTTGAAACTTTGTTAAAAGATCTTTGTTTTAAAATTCTGAGCAGATTACAAGGCCATCTGTCCATGATATGAAGTGATAAATAAATCTACCCCTTGTGTTTCTTCTTGTTCTGTAACAATGCTTTCTAGTAAAACACAATGCTTTTTGGATTAAAATATCAGCTACTGAGCATGGCTAAGGAAAATAATGTTCTGGTTAATCCAGACTTCTTGTTAATAAAAAGTCACCAGGCCTATGACTATTTTCAAATACTAACAAAGACAGCAGTACCAGATAGTTGACAGTAAATTGATATTAAAGATACTTAAAATTTTCTCCTTCAATTAGAAGGTGCTACACAATCACACAGTGTTGCCAGGGCATCTTAATGAAGAGAGTTTTCCTTGTGCCACAAATGAGCTGAAGTGACAGCTGACAGTTCAATTGCTAGAACTCTGTATAAGAGGTTTGATGTAGAAACACACAGCAATAATTCATTGCCTTATGGAGAAGCCTTTCTTTAAAACTGGCCCCAACTTCTCAGTGTCTTAAAAGCACTCATGTCAAAATTGGAAACCTTAACCTATAGCATTGCTATGTGAATTCCAAGTCCAATTTAAAGCATCATTGTAGAGACATTATTGGCTCCTGATGTAGCAAAACCATTTCCCTAAGTATCACATGCTTTTTTACACTCTGAATTGCTGCTTCTTTTTGTTCTATGATTGGGATTTTCTTTTATTATAATGCAAAGGATTTTCTTCTTTTAGTGATAAAAGCCCAAACTGCAATCAATTGATTTAGAAGACTGTTTATAACTGACGTTACCTTTCTAGCAAATGTGCTGATGCTTAGTGATATCTGACTTTCCTTTGACAGGGTGATTCTTGGTGATTATAAAAATAAATAAATATTGACTTCCTTTCTTTGAGGGTGACAGAGGTTTTTCAGTCTGAGGCTTAGTTTTTTCCTGCTTTCTTCAGAAACCCAAGCTGATGGAAGAGTTGCTTGCCTCTCTAAGGAATAAAGCAAAGGTAAAGGGATTTAGCTGAGATATAAGTAGAAATTTTCTGACAATGTAGTAAAACATGGGAATTCATTTTGTTAAATAAAGCTGTGAAATATTAGACAGGGATCTCCCCTTCACCAAGAAGTCAATCAAGGCTTGAGATGGGAGAGGGGAATACCAGCACAACGTTATATCTGGTCTGTACTTCTCTTCTGATGCTTGATTCTGTCACTTTCTCGTGTCAGGCCTACATAGAGAAATGAGGAGGATGAAGAGAGAGGACAAGGTAACATATACTATGTCCTCATGACTCTAGGTTTTGAAAACAAATACCTATGAAGCTCTGTCATTCCCACTGAGGTAAATATAATATCCTTAGCCTGACATTTGAAGCACTTCACAATTTGGCACCAATCCATTTTTTCCAGGCCTCTCTCTCATTCATATTTTCTAGAGATGGTAGGACACAAATCATTGTACAGTCTCCTTATAAAATGCACCACAACTTTCTGCCATACACATTTACTCGGACTTAGACTTTTTGGCTCTCCCACTATTTTTTTTTTTTTAACTTGAATCATACCGCTGTCCTCTCCTTCACTTAGTCGCTGCCATACTAGTCTCTTTTCTCTTCTTCTTTGTTGGACGTGCCCCTGCCTCAAGGCCTTTGCACTTCCTATTCGTTCTGCTTGCAACACTTTGTCGCAGATACAGGATGGGTTTATTCCCTCATTTCTTTAAGATCCTCCTCAAATCCCAAATTTCCAGTGAGGCCTTCCTTGACCTCCCTATTTCAAATTACCATCTTCCTGGACCACTCTGTATCACCTATCCTGCTTCACTCTTTTCATAAAGCTATTTTCCATTTTCTGCTGTATCATACCATTTGCTTACATGTTACATTTCTTTTCTGTTCTCCACTGCCACCAGAATTTAAGTTCCATCCGCGAAGAGATTTTTGCCTATGTTCTTCATAGCATCTAGAAATAGGGTGTGACTTGGTGCACTCAACAAATATTCAGTGAACAAATGAATTAATTGACGCTATGTTCTCTGCCTGAAATTTCCCCTTTTCATGTATATCTATCTTTTAAGCCACCCTCAGATGTCACCTCTTTCACGAAGCCTTCTCTGATTTCTTCCAACATTGCCTTTCCCTCCTGTGACTCTCCACAACGATTTCTTCTGTTCAAAGTGAACTTACTGAATTTTCACCTGTGGTGTGATGACCCATGAGTTTTCTTCTTGCTTCTGGTAAATATTCACTTCCCAAGGACAGCTCTTGTATTGTTATTGTATTAGTCCATTTTCATGCTGCTATGAAGAAATATCTGAGACTGGGTAATTTATAAAGGAAAGAGGTTTAATTGACTCACAGTTCCACATGGCTGGGGAGGTCTCAGGAAACTTACAATCATGGTGCAAGGCAAAGGGGAAGCAAGGCACATCTTACATGGTGGCAGAAGAGAGAGAACCCACAAGGGAAACTGCCACTTTTAAAACCATTGGATCTCTAAGAACTCACTCACTATCATGAGAACAGCATGGAGGAAACCACCCCCTTAATCCAATTATTTCCCTCCTTCAACAAGTGGGGATTACAGGTCCCTCCCTTGACACGTGAGGATTACAATTCGAGATGAGATTTTGGTGGGGACACAGAGCCAAACCATATCAGTTATCCATGCCCCTTTCACAAGGACTTAACTTTAAAAGCTCATTTAATAGTTCTGCTTCTGGGATGGTAGCATAAGGAGCTCCACAGATCTGCTCCCTAGTGAAGCAAGCATAACTAATGAAAACTAAAACCAAAAATAAATAAATAAATAAATCGGAAAATTGTCCTAAGGGCATACAGCAGGAAATATTTATTTAAAAATATCTAAAACTCAGTAAGAGCAGTTAGAATCTTTGGCCCTCGATTCGTGATCCACTTCCTCTTTCACCCCTCCCCAGCTCACCTTGATAGAAGCTTTACTCCAGGTGGATGTGGCCAAGAAATCAGGACTCCCTCTCTCCTCAGCTCCAAATCCAGGGATATGGTAATTTACTGGTAGGGGCAAGACACCAGCATTTCTTATCTGACCCAATTTGGAGTTGAAGATGCTGAATTCCTGGTGTGTGGCTGAGAATGGAGGGAGCCCTTCCTTCATCCAGCCCACATTCATAGGGTAGAAACTCTACACAAGGCATAGGAGAATTAGAATACTGGAGATGCAGCTACCCTTGCTCTAGCTCACTCGTAGGGCAGAGGTTCCATGCTGGGAGAGACAAGCTGAGATCAGAAGCTAACACTCCTGCCCAGTGCTTGGAGTATGGCTCAGAGATTTTGCTCACATGGAGAGGAGTCCATAAGAACAGACATTTCTGAAGCTTTCCCAAAAGACTTTATTGAAGCAGAGTGTGAAGAAGTTCAAGCCTAAAAGCCTCTTTAATCAAACAATGCAGATTTTCGTAGTTAACAAATAAGAGGATGGTAGCTCCTTTTATTTAAGAACAGCAAGCAGAACCATAGCATAGCTAGTTCACTAGGGAAAAGCAAGGAAAGACACAGCTAAAAAGAGCCCTCTCGGGGTCAGAACAAACCTCAAAAGACTGGCTCAAAAACTAGTCCTGCTCAAATTTAGCTGGATTAGGCTGTGGAGCAATGTTGAAAACAATAGAGAAATCAGCCCCAATTAGTGGAGCATAACAGCTGGATGTGATACTAAGGCACACAGCCTAACAGAGAGATTAGGGAAAGAGACTAAGAGAGCCCTGCTAAAATCACAGTCATTCCAGGACGACTGACTATATGCCCAAGGTGGTATCCTCTGAAGAATGACACCAAAATCTACACACTATGAGAAAAAGAGCTTTCATTAAAATAGCCTAGCTAAGTCACAAAACAAACAAGCAAGTAAAAACAAAGACAAGCCTCAGAGAATGGAGAAGGGAATCAACATCTAGAGTTACAACAATGGATTGCCTAAAATGTCCAGGTTTCAACAAAAATTACAAGATATGCAAAAAAGAAAAAAAACGGAAAGTGTTACCCATATGCAGGAGAAATAACACTGCAGGCAGCAGAAACTGCCTGGTAGATGGCGAAGTTGTTATATTTAACAGAGAAGCCTTCAGAAAAGCCAAAATAAATATGTTTAAATAAACTATGCTTCAATAAGTAAAGGAATCCCCATAAGATAAAAGCTGATTTTTCATCAGAAACAATGGAGGCCAGAGGCAGCAGGATTTAAAGTGTAGAAAGGAAAAAAAAAACCCTATCAATCAGGAATCACATATTCAACAAAACAGTCTTTCAAAAATGAAGGCAAAAAGAAAATATTCCAAGATGAACTAATAATGAGTTTGTTGCAAGAAGAGCCACTTTATGAGAAATACTAATTGAGATTCTTTAGTATGAAAGCAGGTGACCACACAATGTAGAGTTGTGCCATGGTATCTGTGGGGGAATGGTTCCAGGATTCCCTGAGGGTGCCAAAATTTGTGGATGCTCAAGTTTCCAATATGAAATGATGTAATGTTTGCATGTAACCTACTCACATCCTCCTGTATACTTTAAATCATCTCTACATTATTCCTATAGTAATAACTAATACAATATCTGCACATCACTTCATTCACAAGGATTCAATGTAGTACTCAGTGCATGGCAAATTCAAATTTTGCTTTTTGGAACTTAGTGGAATTCTGTTTTTTTTTCCTCTAGTTATTATTATTATTATTATCTGAGACAGTTTCACTCTTTTTGCCCAAGCTGGAGTGCAATGGTGCAATTTTGGCTCACTGCAACCTCCACCTCCCAGGTTCAAGTGATTCTCCTGCCTTAGCCTCCCAAGTTGCTGAGATTACAGGTGCATGCCACCAGGCCCGGCTAATTTTGTATTTTTAGCAGAGATGGGGATTCACCATGTTGGCCAGGCTGGTCTTGAACCCCTGACAGGTGATCCACCCACCTCAGCCTCCCAAAGTGTTGGAATTACAGGCATAAGCCACAGCGCCCGCCCTCCTCAAATATTTTAAATCTCTGGTTGGTTGAATCCACAGATGTCAAACCCATGGTTGTGGAGGACTGACTCTAATGTGAATCCACATGAAAAAACAAAGGTAATTATGTAATTTTTAAAGACAATATAAAAATATTTTCCTTTGTTCTCTTTACTGATTTAAAAAGCAATGGTATAAAGTCATTGTTATTGCCTTATAACATATAGAAATGTAACATACTTTGCAATAACACAAATGAAGTGGGTAGGAGCAGTGTTGTATTAAAGTAAGAATATGGCACCAGATGGTAATTCAGATCCATGAGAACGGGTAAATAAGGTTAATAATACAAACTGTATAACATATATATTTCCTTTCCTTTCTTCTCTCAGCTTCTTTAGAAGACATAAAATTATATACAGTAATAATTATAACAATGCATTATTGGGTTTGTAACATAGATGTAATATGCATGACAATAATACAAAAATGGAGAAGAGGGAACAGAGCTATATAGGACTAGCATTCCTATATATCACTGGAATTATGTAAATATAAATCTGAAATAGATTCTCATAAGTTAAGATGTATTTGGCAAGCCCTAGAGCAACCAGTAAGAAATAGTTCAAAAATATAATGAAGAACTCATAAAAGGAATTAAAATGTTGCACAGAAAACATTACTTAATGCAAAAGAAAGCAGTAAAGAAGGAATAGTGGAAGAAAAAGACATGAGACATATAGAAAGCAAAAAGTAAAATGGCAGATGTAAATCCAACTTTACACACACACACACACACACACACACACACACACACATGCACACATACACTCACATTTTTGCTTCTGTCATTTTGGCCCTAGGGAAATAGGAGAACGATGAAAGTAGAAAAAAAGGAGGCCTAAATTGAAAATTTGAACTTCTCTATGTCAATTTTCATTGCTGATGTATATACATTAGTCTGTGTACGCCAGTGGGTAAGTAGTATGCTATAGTGGAAAAACCATAGGCTTGGAAATAAGGCAGACAAGACCATAAACAAGTTACTTAATCATTCTAACTTCTAGTTTCCTCAACTACCAAAACGAGATGAAATAATTTACCTGGCAATGTTGTTGTGAAGATTCAATCCGTGATTCCCAAACCTGGTTGATAATTGGAATCCACAAGTATTTAATGAAACTTAAATTTGCCTCCCAGTACAGATAGCAAACTCCCTGGTCCCTCTTACAAAAAACCATCACTGTTGTCAGTTTCTTTTTTCCTTTTTTTTTTATTATTGTACTTTAAGTTTTAGGGTACATGTGCACAACGTGCAGGTTAGTTATATATGTGCCATGTTGGTGTGCTGCACCCATTAACTCGTCATTTAACATTAGGTATATTTCCTAATGCTATCCCTCCCCCCTGCCCCCACCCCACAACAGGCCCTGGTGTGTGATGTTCCCCTTCCTGTGTCCATGTGTTCTCATTGTTCAATTCCCACCTATGAGTGAGAACATGTGGTGTTTGTTTTTTTGTCATTGTGATAATTTGCTGAGAATGATGGTTTCCAGCTTCCTCCATGTCCCTACAAAGGACATGAACTCATCATTTTTTATGGCTGCATAGTATTCCATGGTGTATATGTGCCACAGTCTATCATTGTTGGACATTTGGGTTGGTTCCAAGTCTTTGCTATTGTGAATAGTGCCACAATAAACATACATGTGCATGTGTCTTTATAGCAGCATGATTTATAATCCTTTGGGTATATACCCAGTAAAGGGGTGGCTGGGTCAAATGGTATTTCTAGTTCTAGATCCCTGAGGAATCGCCACACTGACTTCCACAATGGTTGAACTAGTTTACAGTCCCACCAACAGTGTAAAAGTGTTCCTATTTCTCCACATCCTCTCCAGCACCTGTTGTTTCCTGACTTTTCAATGATCGCCATTCTAACTGGTGTGAGATGGTATCTCATTGTGGTTTTGATTTGCATTTCTCTGATGGCCAGTGATGGTGAGCATTTTTTCATGTGTCTGTTGGCTGCATAAATGTCTTCTTTTGAGAAGTGTCTGTTCATATCCTTCGCCCACTTGTTGATGGAGTTGTTTGTTTTTTTCTTGTAAATTTGTTGGAGTTCATTGTAGATTCTGGATATTAGCCCTTTGTCAGATGAGTAGATTGCAAAAATTTTCTCCCATTCTGTAGGTTCCCTGTTCACTCTGATAGTAGTTTCTTTTGCTGTGCAGAAGCTCTTTAGTTTAATTAGATCCCATTTGTCAATTTTGGCTTTTGTTGCCATTGCTTTTGGTGTTTTAGACATGAAGTCCTTGCCCATACCTATGTCTTGAATGGTATTGCCTAGGTTTTCTTTTAGGGTTTTTATGGTTTTTAGGTCTAACATTTAAGTCTTTAATCCATCTTGAATTAATTTTTGTTTAAGGTGTAAGGAAGGGATCCAGTTTCAGCTTTCTACATGTGGCTAGCCAGTTTTCCCAGCACCATTTATTAAATAGGGAATCCTCTCCCCATTTCTTGTTTTTGTCAGGTTTGTCAAAGATCAGATGGTTGTAGATATGAGGCATTATTTCTGAGGGCTCTGTTCTGTTCCATTGGTCTATATCTCTGTTTTGGTACCAGTGCCATGCTGTTTTGGTTACCGTAGCCTTGTAGTATAGTTTGAAGTTTGAAGTCAGGTAGAGTGATGCCTCCAGCTTTGTTCTTTTGGCTTAGGATTGACTTGGCGATGCGGGCTCTTTTTTGGTTCCATATGAACTTTAAAGTAGTTTTTTCCAATTCTGCGAAGAAAGTCATTGGTAGCTTGATGGGGATGGCATTGAATCTATAAATTACCTTGGGCACTATGGCTATTTTCACAATATTGATTCTTCCTACCCATGAGCTTGGAATGTTCTTCCATTTGTTTGTACCCTCTTTTATTTCATTAAGCAGTGGTTTGTAGTTCTCCTTGAAGAGGTCCTTCGCATCCCTTGTAAGTTGGATTCCTAGGTATTTTATTCTCTTTGAAGCAATTGTGAATGGGAGTTCACTCATGGTTTGGCTCTCTGTTTGTCTGTTATTGGTGTATAAGAATGCTTGTGATTTTTGCACATTGATTTTGTATCCTGAGACTTTGCTGAAGTTGCAGTTTCTTGTATGTTCATCCAGCACCTGAGGAACTTATGTAAAAATGAACAAATTGTATTTTGTTTTTATTTATTTATTTATTTGATGGTCTTGCTCTGTCACCCGGGCTGGAGTGCAGTGGTGCAATCATAGCTCATGGCAGCCTTGACCTCCTAGGCCTCTAGTGATCCTCCCGCCTCAGCCTCTCAAGTAGCTGGGACCAAAGGTGTTAGCCACCATGCCCAGCTATTTTTTAAATTTTTTGTAGAGACTGGGTCTCACTAGGTTGCCCAGGTTGGTCTCAAACTCCTGGCCTCAAGTGATCCACCTCAGCCTCCCAAAGGACTGGGATTATGGGCATGAGCCACCACACCCAGCTAAATTGTATTTTAAAATTAATTTTAATTGTTTTTGAAGAGGAAATGTACTGATATGGTTTGAGAAAAGAAAAATGAAAGTATAAAATGTACTCAGTGAAATAACTCCCTTCTATCTCTACCTAGTGCAACCCTCTCCCAACAGGTAAATAATATGATAAATTTCATGCATATTTTTCCAACCAAATACATATTATTCTTCTCCTCAACTTTTTTTTACACAAATAGAAGCATCCTATGCATGTTGTTCTGCAACCTGTGCTTCTCCTTTAACACTACACCTTGCAGGTACTTCTATATCAGTACATAGAGTTTCCTCATTTATTTTTCAAGCTGAATAGCACTTCATCATATGGATGTTTCATAGTTCATTTAATCAATGTCCTAATGATAGATAACTAAGTTGCTTTTTGATCAAAGCAAGCATTTGTTAAATGGAAAGTAACAGATGCACATAGTGAATATTTCTAAGTGTAAAGTGAATTGTCTTAGTTATTCGTGCAGTAATGCTTTGTAACAACCCCCTCCTCCCAACACAAGGTATAAGTGGCACATAACAATAAATATTTATATTTCTTGCTCACAGGTCTGTAAGTCCTTTGGGGTTTAACTGAGCTCATTTGGGCTTGGCCTAAAGCTATGGGTTGCTTTCTGATGTGCACCAATATCTCATCATTCTCCTTGGACCTGGAGCTATCCAGGACTATTGGTGGATGGCAAAAGTACGAGAGGCCAAGCTGCTAACATCAAGTCTGCTAATATTTCTTTGGTCAACTCTAGTGGAGTGGGAGGTATTCAAAGTCTCAAGTTAAAGAGTGTAAATATACAATTTTTTCATAGTGATGGTGTGAAGAACTAGAAACAATAATCTAATGTCCCACATAATACATAATGAAACATAAATTGGCCTCTCACTCCCACATTGCCAATCACCTCCCCTTCCAACAAACAACCATTATTATCAGTTTCTTGAGTATTCACCCAGAAATACCTTTGTATATATGAGTATGTATATATCTACAATTTTAATAGATGTTGTCACTTTGCTCTCCAGTGTGGTTGCACTAGTTGACATTCTAGATAACTGAATGAGAATGTCTATTTCTTCACATGCTTTCCTACATTGTATGCTATCAAATATTTATTCTTTGCCATTATGGTCTAGGTTGCAGTTACTTCTCAATTTATGTGTGCCCATTTGCATTGTTTAAACATGTAGTATCTATTCATGTCATTTGCCTATTTTTCTATTGGGTTGATTTTGTTTTCCCCAATTGATTTGTAAGAACCCTTTATATAATTTTCCCTTTGTTTAAGGAATTTCAGTTTTTCTCTCAATTTATAATTTGCCTTTTGACCTTGTGTATGGTGTTTTTTTCTTTGCAGAAATTTGTACATAGTAAAAAGTATCAATCTTTTTCTTTTTGGCTTATGGATTTTGAGTTTTGCTTAGAAAATTGTTCTCCACCTGTGGAAGTCCACTCCTTGAGATTCTGATTTAACAGATCTGAGGCATTGTCCCAGGAGTCTTTAACAAGATGCTAAACCAGTAATTTTGGCCATCAGCCTGGTCTAGGAACATGGATGATATAAAATCAAGTATGTAAGGTACCTGGCATGCAGTAGACACAGAATAACTGTTTGTAGTCTGGTCTCTCCCCTTCCTATCCTAAGAGGCTACTTTGAGATTTACCTTGTGCAGAGAGAATAAAGCTCAGCATACTTTTTATTTACTTTTTTTTTTTTGCAAAGCTATTTATCCCAATTGATAACATTTTTAAAAAGTTTGGCCTTTCTAAATGGTTACCAGCTCTTCTCACCATTAATCATGAGAATATATCAAGTGCCCAAGATTTGGCAAACTATGTAAAGTTCTGTTCTTAATATTATTAGGAAGATGATATACTAACTCTACTCTAGTGGGCCATGGGAATTGATGTATTTCTTCAGAAGCAGTAATTATTTCATGTAACCTAGGGCATTTTTGCCAAAAAGGCCATCTGTAGGTAGGGGCACTAACCATAATTTGATCAAACTTGGTCATGAAATAGATTGGGTCTAATTGCCCTAAGCAGATATGACCCTGGCCTTGTTCTTGGTGCTTATCATATGACAAGATTTCATTATTAGCAATTGGGATAATTACACTCACTGCTTCTTTTCCTTTCCTGGGCTAGGCAGAATTGAAAGATTTTCTTGAAAAGCCTTCTCAAGTGTTAATGTGCATACAAAGTTACCTGGGGATCTTGTTAAAGTGCAGATTCTGGAACAGTAGGTCTGGGGTGGGGCCTGAGACTGCATTTCTATCAAGGTCACAAGTGCTGCTGGTCCATGGAAAACACTTTGAGAAACAAGGTGCTAGACCATGAGGTCTCACCCAGTCTTTTCTAAAAGTTCACTGGTTCCTTCCTCATTTTCTTGGCATCTTATTCCTCTTTGGATTCTTTATGCTTACTTTCCTGAACTCCTTTAAGATCACTTTTAAAACCATAAAACAGACTGGTATGATTGGCCAAACAAGCAGCTCTCTTTGATGAATACCAAGAGCCCATCCCCCATCCAGAAAAAAAAATCCATTGATCTACCATGGTGCGTTAAGTTTCCAATTCTCGGGAGTCTTCTTAAAGTTTCTGGTGAAGGGTGATGTAACCCAGGAAAGTTTAGTCATACTAGTCAGGCATTAATCAGACTGGAGCACCAACCATCCTCAGCAGACAGAGTACTGAAAAAATGGTAGGTACACAAAGGAGTAAGTTTTGATAGGGTAGGAGGTACAGAACTTGATACATAAAAGCACTGGGTATTAGAGTGAAATTGGGTCAAATTGGTTGTATGTGCCACTGCATTCCAGTCTAGGTGACAGAGCGAGACCCTAGATATAGAAAGATGATGAAACGAGAAACCAACAGGACAGGAAGAGGTTTGTTTTTATTTTAAATGTATTGTCTACTTGATGATTTGCCTAGGGATCTTATTGGCTAGGATCCTGAATGAGCTCCCCTCACTCTGACTGCTGGCTCCTTAACACCCCAATGTAAGTGAAGGGTCCCGTGGCTTGATCAAATGGTCTCATCCATGGACAGCCCTGCTGGTCAGCTAAGGCCCAGGGTCCGGGGGCTAGTGCCATGCTAAAGGCCAGACTGGAGGTGCCAGGGATCCAACCAGAAAGGAAAGACTTGACCAGGTGGTGTCCTTCCACCAAGGGGCCACCCCGTGTTGCTGCCTGCCGTACCCAGCTGGTTGGAAGCACCTGGCAGTTGGCATTGAGGACCACTAACAGTAAAGTAGGTGCGGAGGGGGTTGGCGGGAGGTGGTAGTGAAGGTTGCACAGGGCCAGCCGGCTAGCGTAGGGAAGTTTGCATGAGCTCCGTAGGCAAGGAGAAATGGAAAATTGGCTGGCTATCTCCCTTCAAAAGAATTGGCTGTTAAAAAAAAAAAAAAAGAAAAAAGGAAAAACAGAAGCAGAAACGGCAGGACATCTTCTGTTTTAAAAATACAGACCATTTTCCCCCTCCCATGTATATAAACAACGAAAACCAGGAGGGTAGCTTGGTATTGGTTCCCGCCCGAAGGTCCTTTCCTTTCACACCCGACCTCTCTAGATCCCCGACTTAACCCCGATTGAAGAAGAAATTTTCCAGGATGGGGGTGGGGTTTTGCTGGATTTGTCGAAAGAGATGGTCCACAGGGGAAGAGTGCATAAACTTGGCGAGAGGCGAGAGAGGGAGAATAACCTTAATCATGCACAGGCTCCGGCCTTAACAGTTGAGTGGGTGGTGGACCGAGGCCAAGCGGCCAAATAAGTGGAGTAGAAAGGCGCGAGTCTGCGCTGCGTGCCACGTACCAAACGCTCAATTCTCCCTCCTGGGCCCTGTATCCATCTCTCGTTCGCTCTCTGTGGCTAATGCAGAGCGATGGAACAGCCTCGGGAGAATAGCTGGAGAAAGCTCAGAGAAAGACAAATTAAAAGGAGCTCAGCGCAGCAGCAAATGCTGGAGAACAGCGCTCAGCTGACCCGTTAAATGAGTAATTCGGTAAAGGTGTGTTAATCAGTGCGGCGCCCCGAGAGCCCAGCGAAACACTCTGGGAAGATACCTGGCGTGGCAACGGGACTCTTCAACGCTGCGATCTAGAAACGCTGCTAGTCCTGGGTCGTAGTCCCTCTCCCCTGTCTCGCTTAAAGAGAGGGGTTCCTGGGTTGCAATACGTTGGAGAGCAGGTGATCAGATGCATGGTTGGCGAGCCCCTGGCGCATGGCAGAATGATTGAGGCCAGGGTCCTAGCTGCAAGCCCATCCCTGCGTCCCAGTACATTACCTGCCTGCCCCATGACTGGCGGGGCTGGAGAACCCTGAGACTTAAGGATCTTATAGGTGGCAGGGGTGGAAAAGAAGAGTTCTCTCCGGTCCTGGAAAGCTCTAATTGTCAGAAAAACTAGGTGGTTTGCGTCTTTAAAAGCAAGTTCCAGTCTGCGGGGAACCAAGCAGGTGAACTCCTGACTGAACTAGATACCTGTTCAGCGGCTAGAACTGGAGACTGGGAGAGCTGGAAAACTTTTAGTGGCTTTCCATACCTGCACTCAGTTGAGCGCTCGCCCCAATCCTGTACGCCGGCCTACTCTGGTAAGGACGCTAGACGGCGCTGCCGGGACACGCTTTCCTTCTCCGGAGAAAGGTAAGAGAGCGCTTTTTTTTTTTTTTTAAACCAGGGGATGGGGGACTTGGGGTTGGCAGCCTTTCTCAATCTGCCTCCCCTCCCCGCGCTCCCAAATCTAAAGGGGTGTGGAAGAGGAGGAGGAGCAGAAGCAGCTCTTTTCGTGACGCGCCAGAGCGCTTCTCTCTAATTCCCACCTCCTCCCCGGTGCAATCAGTCAGCCAGGAGGCTCCAAACTGTTAGCGACAAAAACGCAGCTCTCGGTCACTCCCACTACCCTCCCACCCGCACTCCAGGCATATTTTGGAGGCGGCAGCAGCGGTGGCAGGATGTGAGGCGAGCCTGGAGCTCATTTCCAGGCGCCCTTCCCTCTTCGGAACTAAGGGAGACTTGTGGGCTTTTGCACACTGGCTGTAGGGTTCCCGGGAAAGACTGGAGCAGCGAACAGGAGGGAGAGAGGTGGACAGGCAGAGTCTGCACCTGCCGCCTGCACCTCCGTTAGGGCGACAGGGCAGCTGGTGTTTCGCTCCTGGAGTGTGCCTACCTCGCAAGGGGGGCGAGGGCCACAGGCTGAGGCGCCCGCGTCCCGGAGTGCACCGCTTGGCCGAGGCAAGGTGTTGCTGGGGCAAGGCTGCTCCGAAGCGAAGTCGCGCAAAAGGAAGAGTCTGGGAGGCAGGCGACTTAGGAGAGTCTAGTCACTGAGAGACAGAGGCAGCATCTGCCATTCTAACTACGGAGCTGAGTAATTTAGAAACCCTCCTTAACTCTCCCTTTCCAGCTCTCCCCAAAGTCCACAGAAGCTCTGCTGAACTCTAGAAATCTTCCCTGGCTGGGGGGAAGTTTACTAGTATCCTCTTTGGCTAAGACAGGGAGTGGAAAAAACAGGCGGGGCTGTACTGTCCGCTGTTTGGGGAGACGCGGTCTTCCTCGCGCCCCCTTCAGCCACTCCGACTGCCTGGGAAGTCCCAGCCCGCGCTCTCCGGAACCCGGCTCGCCGTCTCGCCCTGGACATGGAACTACGCATCTGAGACCTGCTGGACGTTTTGCTGGCCGTTTTGCAAGACTCAGGTAATGTCCACTCGCAGAGCTGGAGAGTTGACTGGCAAGGGCCAGGGGAGAACGCGCTGCGCTCTCAGTTGGCAGCGGGGCAGGCCGCAGCCAATGGAGGCTTTATCTTTCCTGCAGCTCTGGTCTCCGCGCCTGGAAATTTGCCAGTTGGCTTTCTCTTCCTTTAGCCTTCCCAGAAAGTTTAGGGAATAGAGCTCCGAAGGCCAGGGGCTCTTCGCCTGGGAGGAGCGTGCGCCGTCCTTCAGGTGCCCGCGAGCCCAAGCGTTGCGTTTCCGCGGCGGGATCTTCATGCTCTCTGCGGCTGGCGCGCGGGCTCTGCAGCCTGGAAGGCAATTTCCAACTGGGCGCTTCTGACTGCCCACATTTCTGCCGCAGCTGGGAGAGCAACTGGAGCTGGGAAGAGGCTCAAGGCGGCTCCTGGGTGGAGCAGCGAGGGGTTCCCCAGCAATACGCTGCCGCTCCTGGGATTCCCACCAAGCACTAGGCAGGGGAGATCGCTGGATATCTGGGGCCATCTCTGTGCTCCTGCACTGAGAGCCTGAAGGTACTTCCCCTGTGGTTCCCGAGACGCCCCCTTTCCTCTTCCCGCAAGAATCCCCGATACCCCTAGAGTGGGTTTCCCAGGTCCCCACTGCTGCTCAGGCGTGAGGATCTGCCCGCGCCAAATTGCGCTTCAGACTCCTTGTGAAGGAAAACTAGAGTGGGAGAGTAGGGATAGCCACTCGCGAGTGGCTCGCCTTGCCTCTCTGGGCCTGGCATTGGAGCAAACAGCTTGATCTGTCACCATCAGACGTTTAAGAAAAATGCTTTGGCAAGGAGACCCTGGCAAGGGAAATGTGTATTATAACAAATGTCTGCTTCAGGGGTTTCTCCTGGTCCCTGCAGCCATCCCCTCTCCATCTGTGCCGCCCAAGGACTTAGAGACATTAGTAAACAAGTATTCAAGATTTTCCCCTTGCCACCCACAAAAGTTGTGACTGCACAGAAGTATTGGAAAAGTACTTCTCAGTTGAAAGCTACTCTAGAGCCTATCACAGGTGTTTTTTTTAGGGGGAGTCTATTTAGGAGTATCTTGTCCCCGAATGAGGAAGCGGGACCTGCCCACCACCACTACCTTCAATCGAATGTGTAGACCTCCAAGAAGGAATCCTCCTTTCTTTTCCTGGCCAGGGGAATCAAGCTGTAGATTATTAAACATGCGGCATAGCTGGGAACAGACCCCAAGGAAGTAAGGGAGGGAGGGAGGAAAGGACACTTCTCTGAGCCTGCAAGTTCAGCACGGGCGTCCTACAGTTCAGGAAGACTACCTCAGTGACAGAGTCCCTGGGAATGAAGGAGTTAAGTTTTTGGGACAAGTGTCTGGGACTGGGGTCCATTTTCCCACTGACATCCTCATCTCCCACCCCACCGCAGCAGCCGACCCAAGGTTTTGGCTTCATCTCTGAGCCGACCCGTACGGTGTGAACTCTCTAATTTGCGGGCCGCCCTGGGCTAGATAGCCCACAATTACCCGCCGTGGAAGCAGATTATTTGGGGCACTAGTATCCATGCATTGTTGTACCACTGGGCTCTTTGCCAGCAGGGTCTCGGATACTTAGGCTTCCACCCCTTCTTGCCGCACAGAACGCGTTCTTCTCCATGCTTCCGGCTTCCCCAAAGATAGCAATTGGGCAACTACCCTGGGACTTAGGGAGGGTGAAATTCCCAAGTATTCCTGAGCCGAGGCTTCAGCAGAAGTGCCTATCTTCGCCACTTGCATCCCTTCTACTCCTCTCCTCCGTGGAGCAACCCCTGCTCTATGGCCAGTACAGTCGCACCGTGAGGCTGCTGGACCCGATGCGGAGACTCCAGTTTGAAACCACCTGCTTACAGTTAGCTCTCCAATTTGAGGGCTGCCCTGGGGTAGACAGCCTGCAATTACTGAGGTGGAAGCAGCTGATTTAAATAGCGTTTAAATGTGGATAAAGGGCTGTGGCATCAAAGGCTCCTGGCTTGCCCACTCTAACCTCAGCTGGTCTGAAGGAGAGGCAAGTTGCGACCAAAGCTGCCTCCGTGAACAGACAGCTGCAGCCGCTTCTGCTTCTGCCCTATAGGTCAAGGCCAGACCTTTGGAGCAGTAGGGTTGAGGATTTAAATCCGGCTTTGTGGAATAGCCTCTGCTTCCCTCTCTGATATCTGGCCAGTCTTAGGTTGAGCAATTGGCCATTTTTAGTTTCTGCGGGGCTTCTACCACTTTGACCTCTCTGTGCAGAGGCTAAAGGTACTGGTCAGGGGTGGTGGATAGCAGGGTGCCCCTGGACTGTGGCATTTACAGGTAAAATCAAGTCTGAATCTTGATTTACCCATTCATTTCCTGAGAAATAGTTCCTCAATGTTGTAGAACATTCTTGTTTGCCAATAACTGGCAATAGAGTCCATACACACATATGCTGCTTATTAGGGTGAACTGATGGTGAGATAACCTGGAGAACAGCCCCTTATAACCATCTGGAACATGTCTCCACAGCTGCAAAGCCCATTGAAATTTTATTTAGCTTTAAAAAGACATGCTGTAAAGAATCTGACCATATAAAAAAGATGAATTATGAAGTGACTATTTCAGTTTTGTTTAAAAGAATAAACTTCACTTTATCAAATACACTGGCTTCCATAGTTTATTGAAGTGTCTCAGTGCAAACATTTGCTATTTGGGAAGAAGGGGAAAGATTGGGAAGGTGAAATGAGTTAAAATATGGTTGAAATGATCGTATACTTTGGTAAAACAGAACTTTGTGTTCACATCTGTGCCTTAAATAAAATCATCACGATGTGATGTGAGGCCCTGAGTAGATTCTGTGACAGGTTGTAGCACTATGATGAAACCAAAGGGGAACATATATTTATCCTTTGTATTTGGAAATTTCCTGTAACTGCAGCAGTAATGATTACAGCTGGGACTGTTGGAAGACAAATGTACACACTGCCTTCTTCGTTTGAGAAGTACCATAACCTCCTTTGTGAAAATGCACTGTAATCAAGTGGAAGAGATAAAAAGTCCCAAGTTTGAGGTCTTCACTAATAATATATAAAAGAAAAATCATTGCCAAACCTCGAGATGTAGACTAACAGGGTTTTTTCAAGGCTGGTTTCTAGCTGTAGTCAGAAACTCACACCTTTTAATCTCTGAGAACTGTCCCTTGATCCTAGGTCAGAAAGCTGTGATTGGAGCCAACTTGGTAGAGAAAGGTAAATGTGGAATGTGCAATATGTGCTTTAATTATCCTGAGCTAGGACTTGAAAATAAGCCTCTCATTATCTTTAGACTTGGAGCTGCAAGTGCCAAGGAATTTGCCAAAATAAAATGTGTCTGTCCAGGCTGGGCATGGTGGCTCACATCTGTAACAATCCCAGCACTTTGGGAGGCTGAGGCGGGAGGATCACTTGAGCCCAGGAGTTTGAGATTAGTCTGGGCAACATAGTGACACCCCACCTCTATTTTAAAAATGTGTCTAATGTAAGGCCTGATGCAAGGATGTAACACATGGATACATCTGGCCAAAGCTACCGCTATTTGGGCTGGTTCACTTTGAGTTATCTCCTAATGACATCAGAGGCACTAGAGTGAGTCCACTGTGG
This sequence comes from Homo sapiens, assembly GCF_000001405.40. Lineage (NCBI taxonomy): Eukaryota > Metazoa > Chordata > Mammalia > Primates > Hominidae > Homo > Homo sapiens. Next base: position 104,570,667 of record NC_000023.11, read on the forward strand.
GGCAGTTTCTTTTGGGCTTCCCCAGCCACAGACATGGTTCCAAATCTTTTGTCAAATGATCTAAATACATATTCCCTGTGCCAAGAAGCCTAGATTTAGTAGCCTTCTTGCTTTATTTTTCCCATTAATCTCACAGCTTCGTGTAGCTATACCTTGGCTTCTCTCTTGAGTTTCAAAATGCTTTTTAGCTGGTTTGCTTTATTCCTGTATTTGGGTGTTCTGTTGTCATGAAAATGTATTAAGACACTGACTTGACATTTTCCCCAAGCAAACTTTTGTTTTTTTTTTTTATCCCTTCCTTTTAATGAGGTCCTTATTCTCTAACCCTAGCACCTCTGATCTCATTCATCTGTGACTGCTCCTGTGTGCCTCATCCATCACTACCTCGTGCATCCTGTCTTTTATTAAATGCCCTGAATTCTGTCTCTAGAATAGGTTTTCTCCTTTGCATTTGTACTGCCACCACTTGCAGTTAGGTCTTCTAGATTCTTGATCTGGCCTGCTACAAAAGCCTTTTCTTGCTGTCTTTGATCTGCTCTCTAATTCAGTATATCCTACATGTTAGGATTAATCTTCCTGTAGCTCATGTAGTTCTTTATTTAAAAGTGTTACTTAGTGAGTGGTTGTTAAGTCATACAGATTGTTATTGAATCTAAAATAATCTCTAACCATTTGAGTTGCCTGATGCATTAAATAAGTTGCATTGTAACCTTAGGAAGTGATATGGTTTGGCTGCGTCCCCACCCAAATCTTACCTTGAATTGTAATAGTCCCCACGTATCAAGGATGGGGCCAGGTGGAGATAATTGAATCATGGGGATGGTTTCCCCACTACTGTTCTTGTGGTAGTGAATAAATCTCACAAGATCTGATGGTTTTATAAATGGGAATTCTCCTGAACAAGCTCTCTTGCCTGCCGCCATGTAAGACATGCTTTTGCTTCTCCTTTGCCTTCTACCATGATTGTGAGGCCTCCCCAGCCATGCGGAACTGTGAGTCCACTAAACCTCTTTCTTTTATAAATTACCCAGTCTTGGGTATGTCTTTATTAGCAGTATGAGAACAAACTAATACAGGAAGTTCTCTAACATTGCAGGTGAGTACACAGCACGGCCAACCATTTGGTGGGAACTCAAACATCAGATTTGGGACATTTGTTGCCTAACCCAGAGAGTCCATATCATCCTTTCAATATCCAGGGACCCAAATAGTGTGTTGTTTCCTATCAGTTGGCCTGCTGAAATTACACCTTTTAAAAATTATTAGAACTGTGTTTTATAGTCTTTTGTTTGTTAACAGTCTATTGCTATGCCCAAATAGGTCATTTTGCTCTGGCTTACTTGGGTGTGCATCACTCTAGGAATCATCTAGATCATTGTATTATGTTATGAATTTTTAACATTTATGTTGTGCTTGCTTTATACTTTGGGGAATGCCCTTCCCCTTTCTTTACCTTGCTTAATATTTATAATTATTTGTGAGGCAGGTGGTCTGTCCAAATTGGGAAACTTTGTTTTATTGGTATCACAAAGCTATTATTGCTCTGGGGTCCTGGCTCAGATAGCACTAGACTAAAGGGATTTTATTCTCTCCTCATTAGCTGTAAAACTAAGTCCAAATTCTTTAGCCAGAAGTTTAAGGCTCTTTAATATTTAGCCTCAGTGTACCTAGTAAGCCATATTTCTTACTACCTTCCTGTTCACATAATCTAGCCAGACTGGATCACTCACCATTATCCAGTTATAACCTTTGTTATATATCTTTTGTGCCCTTGCTTATGCCATTCTTTTCCCTGAAGTATTTTTCCTCCCAATTTCCATCTCTACTTCTCTGCCTGTTGAAAACAAACCATATTCAAGAAACAGCTTAATGCAACTCTCCCTAATTTATCTCTCATACCTCATAGCTAAAATAATCTGTCCCTTTTCTTTTTCTTTCTTTTCTTTTAGACAGGGCCTCACTCTGCCACCCAGGCTGGAGTGCAGTGGTGTGATCACAGCTCACTGTAGTCTTGACCTCACAGGCTCAAGCAATCCTCTCACCTCAGCCTCCCGCCCCCAGTAGCTGGGACTACAGGTGCATGCCACCATGCCCGGCTAATTTTTGTATTTTTTTTTGTAGAGATATGGTTTTGTCATGTTGCCCACGCTGGTCTTGAACTCTGGGCTCAAGCCATCTGCCTGCCTTGGCTTCCCAAAGTGCCGCGGTTACAGGTGTGAACCGCTGTGCTCAGCAATCTCTCCCTTTTCATAACTCTCTTGGCACATTGTTGATCCCCCTTTTATGATATTTACCTTGTTCTGCAAACATTATTGTTATTTGTGTATCACTCTATCTCCTCTACTAAATTTTAAACTTTTGGAAGGCTGTCTTTTGTTCTGCAGAGTGCCAAGGGTATAGGAAGCATCTGTTACATACTTATTTAATTGAGCTGCCTTTGAGATCTCAGTATTAGCCTTAGCATTTTACTATGTAAATGATAGTTTCAGGTTAAGTAGGAAATTGCCAAATCTATTATTTGCCAATAATGTCATGAAGCAGTATAATAGGGCACTGATTTTTTTAAAACAGCTATGCTCTAGAAGTGCTCTATTCAATAAATATGCAGTTGTATAAATTTAAACTGATTACAATTAAATAAGACTAAAAATTTCGGTTCCTCAGTCACCTAGCCACATTTCAAGTACTTGATAGCCACATGTGGTCAGTGAATACCATATTGGAAAGTACAGCTATAGAGTATTCCCATCACCAGAGTAAGTTCTACTGGACAGCACTATTATACAACAATGGTTCTCAACACTTGTTTCCACCAAAAACACGTTCACAAAGGTGACTGCTTTCATGGGTTTATGCAGAATTCCCAGTGCCATAGTGCTGCCACTTTTCTTCCTTCTCAGAACACAAATTAGTAACATTACAGGAATCATCTTGACTCTGTTTGGGAGACAAATTAGATATTTATGTCATATCAAACACCAGAATAAATTCCAGATAAAACTCTGAAGAAGAAAAAATTATAAAGAACTTGATCTATCACGTATAACTTATATTGGAAATTATAATGATTAAAATACTATGGTACTTGTGTAGGATCAGACACATTACTATAACAGAACAGTGTCCAAAGAAATAATCTTAAGTATATTATGGATTTTAAGAAATGACAAAGATTTCAAATTCATGCGTTTGAGGGAAAAGATAGATTTTTCAGTAAATGTGATTAGGACAACAGCTGGTCATTGAGGGGAAATTTAATAAAGCTACATCTATACCCACTATTTAAACCAAAGTTAATTCCAGCTTTCTCAAAGATTTAAATGTAAAAAAAACTATAAAGACACTCAAAGATATTTTAGATTATTTGAAAATCTATATAATTACAATTTAACATTTTATTTTATGATATGTTTATAGTCTTGAGATGGAGAAGGTTTTTCTAATTATGAAGACTGAAGGCTTAAAGGAAAAGATTGATACATTTAACCTTCAAAAAAGTCTTTATGGTAAAAAATACCATAATCAAGGTTAATTAAAAAACTAGGAAAAATATCTGTGACACATAACAATGGGTAGTTATTCTTAACATAAAAGAACTTCCACATATTAATTACAAAATAAATCTCATAGAAAAAATGGGGAAAATTCATGAATAGAATACTCACCAAAAAAGGAATACCAAACTCACTTTGCAAATAAAAACTAATAGTTTTCACATATCAGATTAAGAAGGCTTCAAAACCAACATAAAACATGGTTTTGGCAAACCTGTGAGGATATGGATGATCCAACGTACTGTTTAAATTGGTCCATTTCCAAAGATTGCATTGGCAATCTGTATAAAAATGTAAAATACCTTCTATGACTTAGCAATTTCACTAAGTATTTATTCTAAGAAGATAAATGCAAGTACTAAAACATGTATACACAAGGATGTTCATTAATGTTTCATTTATACTGGCAAAGCTTTGAAAACAATATAAGTGGCTCTAATAGTGTATTGACTAGGTCAATTGGGATGTATCATTTTAATCAGTTACTTGGACACATTAAAGACAAAGCAGACCTACATTTATTGATATGGAAATATATCCATAAATATAATTTAATGGAAAAGGTAGCTTACAAAGAAACACAATTCAATTTTTTCACTTGTTTATGTATTTGTGTACATCTATGTGTGCATATAAGCATATGAAATGTATAGAAAGTTTTTCACCAAAATGTTAATTATAGGTGAAAAGACTGAATTTTCTTTAAAAAATCAGCCTGTGCTTTTGTTTATTTACAGTGAGAATAATACAAGCATATATTTTATAATGCATTTAAAATGCTTATGGTACTCAATACTCTGCTTAAAGCACAGTGGCAGTTATTATGCTTATATAATTTATAAGATAAGCTAGTCAAAGTTAAATGTGAACTTCAGAAGGATTCAAGTGTTAAATGTAAAAAAAGGAAAGTATATAATAACTAAAATATAATAAAAGTAACCTGGGAGCAGGACTTTCTAATAATAATAAAAGAAGAAATCAGAAAAATCAATAGAGCATTTTACATAAACATAGAAAATGTATATGGATAAACATATAATAATAAAGATAAATTGGAACAAACAAACAATTGTAATATTTGATATGTAAAGGTTTATATTAGCTCAAAAATATAACTTTCCATCAGCTAACCACCCACAAATAATAAGGTGTTATTTGGACTCTTATTTTTTATATTATAAACATATTGTATATATCCTATAAATATATAGAGTTATTGAAGTATTTTACATGCTAGCTCTGGTAACACTTGCAGTGATTCTAGAGGAATATGGATTGGGGAATATGGGGAAAGGACCATGTAGTGTAATTTTCTGCTCTAACTAGACAAGGATAAAGCCTCATAAGATAGTGGCAGATGCTGCATATCTTGGCATGAACTTACCTGCTCCATTGTTCTCTATAGATTTACAGCTGCCAGTGCCACTATCGGTACAGGGAATGGTCTTGCCAGTGCCACTATCTATACAGGGAATGGTCTTGCCAGATCCAAAAATACAGCTGACTTTTTCCCCTATACACCATTAGTTTTTTAATATTCAGCATCTATGTCACCATATTTCCATTTAAGGGGATGTTTAGAACTAACAGCTCTCCTGGTTCTTGAACCAAACTCAGAATCAAAAAGGTCACATCCTCATCTGAGGAAAGAAAACCAGATCAGGGCCCAGATATCCTTTAGTGAAATATCTGCTTTAAACTTTCTAGAAAATGGAAAAATCAATTTCCCTAACGTCTATTTCCTAGGTCTTATTTAATGCCCCTAATAATGGGTAGTTGTGACACAGAATTTAGACTAAGGGCTATGACCACAAATAATGATAGCTAACATTCAGTGGAGACTAATTATATTCTGGGTTCTATTCTTAGTACAGCTTTATATGTATTAAATCATTTCATATTAATAATTATTTTACTGGGAGGTAGGTGGTATTTTTATTACAATTTTTAGATGAGGAAACTGAGACACGAGTTCAGTAATTTGCCTAGTCACAAAGCTATTGAAATGGCTGTTCTGGGGTGAGAACCCAGCCAGTCTCGCTCTAAAATCCATGCATTTAAACGTGACACAAAAGTATGTATACTAAGAGTAGTAACAGATACTATTTAGCTCAGTTATGTAGCTTTCAAATTTTCTACAATTAAGATATGTTACTTCTATAATCACAAAATATATGATATTAAAAATTAAAGCTTCAGATGGAGCCATAGACATAGCCCTCTCAACTCTTCAATTTTGTCTTTATATTCTTTTTTACAAAAGTATCCTAAGGCGTTGTACCATAGGATATATCATTTAAAAAGCCTACTTAATATTTGGAGGTGGTAATTGCAATCTGTTGACCAAAGATAATTGCATTTTGCAACCAGAAGGGATGATGGGGTAAAACCTCTGAAACTTTTGCTTCAGAGTCTAAAATGTACAATTATTTCCCAATTGAACCTAATAACTGCTTTATAATATCATTTCCTTTGTTATCCAGCCTAAACTTTGTAGTATTGTCCTTTTGCTAATATCTTCATCTGATTCTAGACTCATTATCTTGTCACTAAATCTGCCTACAACACCTCCCTCTCCGTTTTTGGATCAATCTAACCACCACTTTCTCTGTTCCAACATCTCTATGGCTGAACTCTAGAGAAGTTCATACCTGTGCCAGAAACAGTACATGGTCTAAAACCTCATTTGGGCCCTGCAGAGGTGCTAGGAAGACCTTTTACATGTACATATTCAGCTTTCTTTCCCATCTGTTTCCCATGGTAGTTATTTCAAACACCCACTGCTCATCTCAGACTACATTTTTCCATTCAGGCAGTTGTTCTTGCCTTTGACTTTACTTTCAGACTTGACTTTCTAACTCCATTCATTCTCTTGCCTCCTCCCCTTCCGTTCCCATACTCACCCAATTCCCTAGTGTTTTGTTCAAAGTGAGTAATTCCATTGGATCCTGTGTTTAAGAGTTCCATGTCCTCAGTTATCCTCTGTTTTCTCTGGGAAGTAGCAGTAGTTGGGAAGGAAGTCTGAATAGCCAATTGGAGCATTGGAGCTTGGGGGAAAGAGGTCATTAATAAATGCAGAAGAATATTTAGGTAAGAGTGAGAGTTCCAATGAGGTTAGGGATCATGACTTTATAAGTGAAAATAGTCTACACAGCTGTGCAGTTTTTTCAAGCTCTGCTCAGGTGTAAGAATGGAGGAAGTGGACAGTTGTGTTGATCCAGAACTGAGTTTTGCCAGGATCCATCACAGGGACAAAAGAATGAGAAGGTGAAGATATTAGTACAAGTTGTGGAAGTGATGGATTATGAATTGAAACTGTATAGGGAAGGAAGCATCAGGGACTGATAAGTAAGGTAAAAACTGGTTGTGAGGTGGGAAGAAAGTACAAGGGTGGTCGGGGACTGATAATTAAGGTAAAAACTGGTTGTGAGGTGGGAAGAAAGCACAAGGGTGGTCGGGGTCTGTATGAGGAGGACACAAGAGCAGGGTGATGATGCAGCCCAGCAGTGGCTAGGGCTTATGTCAGGAGAGTATATGAGGGATGGTAGCCTTGCAGGGGTCAGGACTCATACAGAGTGGGGTGGCAGTCTGGCAAGGCCGGATAGTTGACTACATGCTGGGAGAATGAGCAAATAAATATATTAAGAGTAATAGGAGTGGGCTTCTCACTGTCATAGAAGGCAGTTACAAATATGGAAAGGCGGGAGGCTAGAAGGGACTCTGTGGTTTTGAATTGGAATTATCAGAGTCATTCATGGCTATTTCTGTCTCCATCTATGTATATATTTATGTTTCTATTTGTCTATGTAAATGATTATATATCTTACACATATGTATATTTCCTAACTTTGTCCACTGAGAGGGCCAGGAATAGCAACACATTAGTAGTGATAAACATAACAAACACCCACATCTTAGTTTGTCAATAGTAATCTTCACTAAAAGTAATCAGAGTTCTTTGAAGAAATTGCTTATCTCAGGCCTGGGGCAGAGAAGCAAAAAGATGAGGGTGGGCACATCTTGTGCTGCCAGAAAGTAAGAAGTGCTCAAACAATGATAGGGGCATGTGAAAAGACAGAAAGAGAGTTTGAAGGGGCTCCTACTAGTGCTATCTCCAAGAATAGAGAGAATGCTAAAGCTGAATGGCATGAGCCTCAAAGAGGCAGAGGTTTTTACATGAAGGCAGTGATAGAAGTGGCAGTGTGAAGACACCTTACACATTTCCTGATCCTGAGCTGGATCTACCAGAGAGGGCCGAAGGGGGTTCTTTTAATGTTGAATCAGTCCCAAGGCAGAGATCACGTGCAGAATGGTGGTAAGGGATCTGGAAGGGCACACAGAGGGGATCCAGCACAGTAGTAAAGAGATACAGGCAACAGGGAATACAACAAAGATAAGAGGTGAAGAGAAACTCTAGCATTTCAGTTGTGCAAATAGGTCAAGGGAACAACTTATTGAGATTTTCAGCAGGAAGAGAGAGGGCTCCAGGAGGGATGTTCCAGGAAAATTATTTTCATGAGTTTTTAATGATCTGTTGGAAAGTTTGGGGGCACTTGGTTATAGAGATATAGAAAAATGAGTCACGTGAAAATGAGACAATTTTCATATTATAACTGCAGGAAAAACAAAAAGTTCAAGAAAGGAAATGAAATCATAATATACTATTTGGCTCACAACTTAATATTCATAATAATGTAAAATTATCACATAGCTATATTTGAATAATTGAGAGAGGACAACTGGTTATTATCTTCTGTATTAGGAACTCAATAGATAATATGTAATATTGACTAAGAAGCAGAAATATGAACATATTGTTTATAAACATGGAGATACATAACAGATGAAATAGCTTAAAAAGTTGAAGTTGTCTTTAAGAAAAAGGACTTGGGGTAGGGGCAGAGAACTGCTGTTTTATATGTATTATAGAATTATGTATAAAGATACATGTCAAAAAGTTATGGTGCAGAGAAATCAAAGACCTAAAAGCAAAAATACCATTCAACTCAGCAATTCCATTACTGGGTACATGCCCAAAGAAATATAAATCACTCTATCATAATGACATGCATATGTATGTTCATTGCAGCACTATTCACAATAGCAAAGACATGGAATCAACCTAAATGCCCATCCGTGGAAGATTGGATAAAGAAAATGTAGTACATATATACCATGGAATACTATGCAGCCATAAAAAAGAATGAAATCATGTCCTTTGCACCAACACAGATGGACCTGGAGGCCATTATCCTAAGCAAACTAATGCAAGCTAATGCAGGAACAGAAAATAAAATCCCACATCTTCTCACTTATAAGTGGGAGCTAAACAACGAGAACACATGGACACAAAGAGGCGAGCAACACCCGCTGGGGCCTACTTGAGGGTGGAGGGTGGGAGAGGATCAGAAAAAAATACTCATCAGGCACTAGCCTTAGTACCTGGGTGACAAAATAATCTGTATACGAAACCCCTGTAACACATAGTTTACCTATATAACAAACATGCACATGTATCCCTGAAGCTAAAATAAAAGTTAGAAAAGAAACTTAGGGCAAGACCAAAGTGAGGAGGACTATTTTAAAAACAGAACAATCTACTGGGGAGTTTTGAAGGGGGGAGCCAAAGGAGCAAGAGGAAAAAATATGCATGTCAAAATCTATTTTAACCACTTTTCTCAAACTAGAGCTCACTCTGTGCTGCCCTCAGCACTATTTATATTAGAATCTTCCCCACCCCTATCCCCACACAAACATCCATTGATGTGCAGGACTCCTAATTAATTGCCCAAATTACCTGATTCTACTCTTCTGCCACAGTTTCAGTTACATTCTACAGCACTTAGAGCCACAAAATACCAAGAGGAAAACAAAGCAAAACATGTTTATATTACCTCTCACTATATTCAGGATTGATGTATTGATTAAACCTCTCTGTCACTTCCATAGTGAAAGGTTGTCCTGCCATTGGTCCATTGTATTATTTTCTTCCCCCAGTACTTTCTGGCTTCTTACATTGCAAATACTCACTGTCATCCTTCTCCCACTATGTCACCTTCTATATAGACATCTGTGTTCTGTCACAGCTTTTACATTTGAACAACTATTCATTTTATAGACATTACAAGTAAAATACATTGTCCTGCAAGGAATATTACAGTTGTACTTCAGGCACGCCTGCTTTACAATGTCAACAAGAGGGATCCATTAATTTATAGTTTTGTGTTTGGTAGGGGAACCATATAATATTCTACATATATTTAGTTCTCCAGAATGTAGCTTAATCAATATGGCACCTCAGGCAACCTGAAATACTGAAGGCAACATAAGATTGTCAGACCAAGAAATTTTATGTCTGCTGATGGGGGTTTAACTCTTTTGGAGGCTGCAGAAGGTATATATATTTAGAAGATTATAGTAAAGTCGATGATAGGAAAGAATCAAACTGATGTGTATAAAAGGTACTGAGGGAGAGAGAAGTCTGTATTTAGGACCCCAAGGCAGAAACTTCCAGGTTCTAATCCTTGCCTGCCAACCTTGAGCACTGTAGAGGTTTCAATAATATTTTCTATCTCTGAGTGTCATTAGACATTTATAAAGGGAATGCCTCATGTAGGAAAACCTGCAGTACCACCTTGAGCCAACCACTGACCTCTATGCCTGAGTTTGGCACCTGCCAAGTGAGATGGGCAGTTGAACTATGTGCCTTTAGGTGCCTTTGAATCCTGTGGTTCTATGATTTTAGTACCATGCTCTGCTTATCTCAAAGAGCTATTCTGAGGCTCAAATGAAATACTTGACATGCAAATGCCACAAAAGTTTCAAGTGCTATACGAATGAATGTAAAAGTGTTTTAAATTATGCATCTCTAAATATAACCAACAACTTGCACATGCTCTCCCAAACAAAGCAAATGGGCTTCTGGGCTTCGATTTTCAATTAGTCTCAAAACATATGATTTTACTTGTTCCAATTTTCAGAAGCAAAAGGAGCAAAAGATTCAAATTATGATCTTTATTAAGAAGGTACTAAGCCACTTAGAAATGCTGGGCACATTATGTGGCTCGGCCAACTTTTTCACTGTTGTATTGTGTGGGTCTCCCAAATAGCTTTTACTGTGAAGACTAATAAAAATGATAGGAAAGTTAAAACTGAGCAGAATTAGATTAAATCTCAATCTGTATTCTGCAAGGGTTTTTATTTGTGTGTGCATACTTTTCTATATGCTTCTAATCTCTTCATATGGTTTATAGATCAGCTATTAGTTAATAGGTTCTGACATGTGATTAATATGTAGGTATTTGAAAATTCATGTGGTGCATGCCTATGTCTATGGAGCAAGGTGCTGAATCTGCACATTCACCTCAGGAACATTGGGGATGGAAAGTCAAGCCCAGAATTATCTTTTGCATGAAGGATGCTAGCTAGGGCCTTTCTAGGTCCCCAAGGGAGACACTGAAGATCTTTTTTCATTAAATAAACATCCACTAAGAACCCGATAGGCTTCATATACTATACTATTCGCTGGGAACTTCTGACCTCAAGTGATTTGCCTGCCTCAGCCTCCCAAAGTGCTGGGATTATAGGTGTGAGCCACCATGCTTGGCCCAGCTTTTTCTTTCAGATAAAAATTTTTTCTTTCAGAAAAAAAATTGCTCCTTCCTTAAAAGTTCATCATGAATTCTCAAAGAGAGACACAATGGTCAGCTCCTATGACACTAAAATTTAGATACCAGAATAAAGAATGGAAGGTAAAAACTGCCCAAACTCTTTCTGGGGTGGTGGTCAGGAGGATCAGTCCCTGAGAAGACAGAGAACTTAAAGGATATACTTGAAATTTTTATTTAATGCAAAGTATAACACTTTCTGCCTAAATACTGCTGCATTAGAAGCATTTTATTGTAAAATCTCTTTCCAGGCACATACACTCCGCTGCTATGTACACAACTACAAAAACAGGCAAGGCCAAGAGCAGTCACACCAGCTACTATGGTTTGTTAGTGGACAGAAGTGCTTGAATTTGATTAAAGCAAATGCAACAAAGGTTTACATACTGTGAGTAAAAAAAATGCTTCAGAGCACCCAACTAGCAAACAGGATGTGCACACCTCAGGCCTACCTGAAATGGAGAGCAAACAGTGATGTAAAGTGTGTTTGCATGAAAAAAAGACTGCTAAAACCGGCATTAGGCTGATTTTCAATTTATATTAAGGGTTGGTATACTTTTTTCTAACTTGGTGAACAGTCAACAAGTAATCATACAGCTTTTTCTTTTCTCTCTCTCTCTCTCTCTTTCTTTCTTTTTCTTTCCTTCTTTCCTTCCTTCCTCCCCTTCCTCCTTTCTCCTCTTTCTTTCTTTTTCTTTCTTTCTTTCTTTTTCTTTCTTTCTTTCTTTCTTTCTTTCTTTCTTTCTTTCTTTCTCTCTTTCTTTCTTTCTTTTTTTTCTTTTTTCTTTCTCTTTCTTTCTTTCTTTCTCTCTCTCTCCTTTATTTCTTTCTTTCTCTCTCTCTCCCTTCCTTCCTTCCTTCCTTCTTTCTTTCTTTCTTTTTTCTTTCTCTCTCTCTTTCTTTCTTTCCCTCTCTCTCTTTCTCTCCTTTCTTTCTCTTTCTTTCTTTCTTTCTTTCTTTCTTTCTTTCTTTCTTTCTTTCTTTTTCTTTTCTTTTCTTTTCTTTCCTTTCTTATTGAGATGATGGAGTATTACTCTGTTGCCCAGGCTGGAGCACACTGGTGTGATATCGGCTCACTGCAGCTTCGACCTCCAGGTTCAAGTGATTCTCCTGCCTCAGCCTCCCTAGTAGCTGAGATTACAAGCATGTGCCACCATGCCTGGCTAATTTTTGTATTTTTAGTAGAGTCGGGGTTTCACCATGTTGGTCAGGCTGGTCTAAAACTTCTGACCTCAAGTGATCTGCCTGCCTCAGCCTCCCAAAGTGCTGGGATTATTGGTGTGAGCCACCATGCTTGGCCCAGGTTTTTCTTTCAGATAGACATGCATATACACATATATTATCATTATTGAGGTACAATTTACATAACATAAATTTATCCATTTAAAGTGTATAATTCAATATTTTTTAGTATATTCACAGAGTCATGCAACCATCACCACAGTTTTAGATATTTTTATCATCTCAAAAAGGAACCCAATACCAATTAGCAGTTACACTCCATTTACCCAACATGATGCCTCAAGCCCAGACTTACGCAACCATTAATCAACTTACTGCCTCTATAGATTTGCCTATTCTAAGCAATTCGTATAAATGGAATCATACACTATGTGGCATTTTGCATCTAGCTCCCTTCGCTCTGGCATGATGTTTTCAAAGTGCATCCATTTTGTAGCAGGTGTATTTTATTCCTTTTTAATTGACAGATAATATTTCATAGTATCTATATATCACAATTTGTTTACCATTCATCAATTGGTAGACATTTAGGTTGTTTCCACTTTTTTGCTATCATGAGTAGTCTTACAGCTTCTTACATCAGTTTCTAATTAGCATGCACATCACTAAGCACTGATCCAGATATTAAAAGATACTAGTCTTCATAAGCTGGCCATCCCCCAATTCCTTGCCAAATCACCAAAATCAGTTAAACATATTTGGAAAACTAGACAATAGGTATAGGCAGATAATAGGCACTTAATGTTTCCTGACTCAGGAATTAATGGATGAGAAAAATCATTCCTTCAGTTCTAATTCTCCTTACAATAACATCCCTACCAGTGCCACCTGGATATTGTGTCAAGGTATGCTAGAGCTGGAATGAACGTGGAGTCCCGGGTTCCTCAAAGTGTGGGTCAAGAACCACATGTGTCAGATCCACCAGGGGAGCTTATTAAAAATACCTATTTCTGTACCCCCACCCCAGAGAATCTGATTCAATAAATCTCGGGGTGAGGCCATAGGAAGCTGCCTTTGTAATAAGCACCCCAGATAATACAAATGCATGTTAGAGTTTGAGAATCATTGATTTAGTCCAACCTCCCTACTCTATAGGAGAAGAAGTTTAGGACTTGGGTGGGGAAGGGACATGCTCAAGGTTACAGGGCATGGTAAAGATAATGCAACAGGGAGTTGAGGTTATGAATCCTGATATAGCACTTTCCATTACCTTGGGTACTCTTCTTTATCACATCTCCTTCTTTTCCTGGTGAATACATGCCTCCCTCACAGACTTGCTCCATAAGTGTCAGTGTCTGACATACCCTAAGTGCTCAATAAATAGTTTTTTTTTTTTTAAGCTTAGTCCTGTGTGAACTGAATGACTAAAGGATCTCCTTTTGGGGCAGTGTTTGCTAAAAGTATAAAGTAACAAGTATAAGGCTTAAGAAAAGAATACCAGACCCAGGAGGGAGATCTCAGTGGTTCCTGACCCAAATGTTGAAAAGCTCCTAAGTGAAAAACTGTTCAACCATGGGTTTTTGGTGAACCCATGAAGCTATGTAGTGACATTTCCTATCCAAGGTCCTTAAACCACTCTATACACCCACTGTGATCTATTTAAAGGAGCCAGGTCTTTTTAGAAAACAGTTTCTGCCAAGTTTTCTATCAGAGGAAAATCATAAAGTAGGTGAGCTACAGCCATGACTAAAAGGTAGTGGAAATTTTTCTAACTGAAAGTTGTTATGCCTGTCAAAAAGATAGACTCAGTAAAAACCCATTACTGTGCAGCAGAGGAAAAAATCATGGGAGCTATTTTAAAATTTTTTCTTTTATAGTTTTTTAAATTACAAAAGTAGTGATTTGTTGTACCGAATCAAACAAAACAGGAGTGAATAAAGAAACATTCAGTTATCTTTTCTTTTTCCTTCTGGTCTTCCTCTTTAAAATGGATTCATTTGGAATCAATCCTTCCACACTTTCTCTATCTTTATATAAACCATACATAACATATGCACAAAAAGACATATATACACACACACATATATATACACACATATGTATATATACACACATACACACATGTATATGTATTATATATACACATATATGTATATATGTGTATATATATAATATATGATATATAATATATATATAATATATTATATATATTATATAATATATTATATATTATATATTATATAATATATATTATATATAATATATATTATATATTATATATATTATATATATTATATATATTATATATAATATATATTATATATAATATATAATATATATATAATATATATATAAATGAAATCATGCCCCCTTCAGTTCTCTGCACCTTTTAAGTTCAGGGGTACATGTGCAGGTTTGCTACGTAGGTAAACTTGTGCCATGGAGGTTTGTTGTACAGATTATTTCATCACCCAGGTGTTAAACCTAGTACCCATCAGTTATTTTTCTCATCTTCTCCCTCTTTCCACCCTACACCCTTTGATAGGCCCCAGTGTGTGTTGTTTCCCTCTATGTGACCGTGTGTTCTCATCATTTAGCTCCTACTTATAAGTGAAAACGTGTTATTTGTTTTTCTGTTCCTGCATTAGTTTACTAAGAATAATGGCCTCCAGCTCCATCCATGTTGCTGCAAAGGACACGATTTCATTCTTTTTTTATGGCTGCATAGTATTCCATGGTGTATATGTACTACATTTTCTTTATCCAATCTTCCATTGATGGGCATTTAGGTTGATTCCATGTCTTTGCTATTGTGAATAGTGGTGCAATGAACATGCGTATGAATGTGCCTTTGTGATAGAGTGGTTTATATTCCTTTGAGTGTGTACGCAGTAATGGGATTGCCGTGTTGAGTGGTATTTCTGTTTTTAGGTCTTTGAGGAATTGCCACACTGTTTTCCACAATGGTTGAACACATTTACACTACCACCAACAGTGTATAAGCATTTCTTTTTCTCCACAACCTCACCAACATCTGTTATTTTAAAACTTTTTATTAATAGCCATTCTGACTAGCGTGAGATGGTATCTCATTGTGGGTTCTGATTTGCATTTCTCTAATGATCAGTGATGTTGAGCTTTTTTTTCATATGCTTGTTGGCCACATGTATGTCTTCTTTTGAAAAGTGTCTGTTTGTGTCCTTTGCCCACTTTTTAATGGGGTTTGATTTTTGCTTTAAAATTTGTTTAATCCTTATAGATTCTGGATATTAGACCTTTGTCACATGCATAGTTTGCAAATATTTTCATTTATTCTGTAGGTTTTCCTGTTTTTTCTGTTGATAGTTTCTTTGGCTTTGCAGAAGCTCCTTAGTTTAATTAGATCCTATGTTTCAATAAACAAGATTTTCAGGCCAATATTTTGAGAGATGTTGCTTAAATTCATCTAAATTCACTTTGTCTATGGCTCCACCCAGCTCTTAAATAATTGCTACCAAACTAAACTGCTACTTGGACTGTGAAATTTTATTTCCTGCAGTAGCCAGCTGTCAGATCACAAGCAACTTTACTGAACACCCACAAGAATTTTCTTTGGGTTGTAAAGTCAAGCATCTTAGTTATCATGTAAGCATTAATTTTTAATGCTTTAATTTGACCAAAAGCATTGTGTTGTTTGTGAAAGGCCTCCCACTTCTTTTGCTGTGGAAAAAATCTGGAGTCTGAGTCCAAGCTTTTTTCCTTTCTTAATTAGAAAAGCAATTTTCTCACCTTATTTTCTTTCTCCTGAGAAGGACTGAAAGTGTTTGACTAAGAACCTTGTGCACCTCTTCTTTTTTTAGTTGCTTTTTGTTTTATTCATTGGCTCAATCCTTCTTAGGTTGCTGAAAAACAGCTCCTCAATTCTGAACCCAGTGAAGGGAAGGGCAGCATCATTCTGGGATCTGTAAGCCTTGCAATTTGGGAGGATCAGAGTACTTTTAAGATGTAGGTGCCCTAAAATAAATTTCTAGGACAGGGGTACTGAACCAGCTTCACAGAGCATCACCACTTACTAGCTCTGCAGCTCTGGGTAAGTTGCTTAACTTCTTTGACCTTGTCCCAGTTATTATACATGTACAATGAAGACAGTAATGATACCTACCTCAAAGAATTGTGTGGGGAATAAATGAGGTGAAGCGTATAAAGGATTTAGGGCAGTGCTTGCTTTGCTATTATCACATTATTTGTCTTCTGCAACCACCACCACAGATGGCCAGGCCTGCCCTCAGAAGACATCTTGACATAGTAGTCCTGGAACTGTGGCACAGGCATGTGCATTCTAAGAAATCTCCTTGGGGATTCTGATCACTATAGACAGTGATTCTCAAACTTTAATGTATATTGGAATCACCCCACTCTTAGAAATTGTGCTACTTTAGTTCTGGAAGTGGGGGCCCAAGAATGTGCATCCTTTGGGAAACACTGCTATAGAGGAATCGCATGAGCACCCCTCCTTCTCTACTGTATATATCTATTGTGATAATCTTTTAAGACTGCTGACATATTGTTGGAATAGACATACCACACAGGTAATGCTGCCAACTCACTTTCAGTGGGACAAAAGGCATAAACTACAGAGTGTTTTCTTTTTCAATCATAGTAATAAATTAGCACAGATACACATCCTCTATCTCCTGAACAAAGGCATGTAGTTGCAAAGTGACTGCATGGGGTATAGTTGTATAGCCAGTTTACCATGTGGGAAGATCACCTTTGACAATAGAAATAATAACTTTGACCATTATCGATAGCCAGCCAGCAGCCACAAGTAACTGTAGGAAGAAGGGAGCAGGATTGCTTAGAGTTTATGTTAGGTATTCATTATGTAACTGGTGCTTAATGGGCCTGGTGATTTTTTTTGTTTTAGTGGAAAAATGTTTTATCTGATTTGTTTGAAATATTTTTCCATTCTGTCACACCTGAAAAGAGAAAAATGAGGGCTTTGAGGAATTTTGAACCCTCATTTGTTCTTAGCCCATGCTGCGTATCACCTGCCTCTCTACTCATTGTAGAAATGGAACTTTTCATTCAGTAATTTTCTAGATTTCTATAGCATTTTGAAAACCCACTAACCACTAAGTTGTGCGTGACTTAATGACTGCACTCCCCTCCCCGCCCCTCCACACACTCACTCATTTAAGTTTATCATCTCTACTTCTTGAGCCCTGTTCCTTTTCAAGTCAACAGTACCACCCCTGAACTTTCTGAGCAGCATGTACAAGGCAGGAGTTTCTGGAGGTATTTATCCCCCACTTGCACATTCTTATGATTCAAGTCATATCTAGGATCATCCCCTGGCTGTGTTGGTGCTAAGAATTGAAAATAGGGAAAGAACATTCTTGAAAGTTCATCTTTTTGAAACTTAGTAGAAATCTCCAGTCTTAAACTTACTTCTAGAACTTAGAAAACCAAATTATCTTAATGCCCATTAAGTGTTGTTTACTCTCAGATTTTCCAAGTGTTGCAAAAAAAAAAATTGTTTAGAGGTTTGGAGAATTAACTCTTGCTTTTAAAGGATGATCTGTTTTGAATAGTATACCAAGCAAAGTTTAATAAAGTAAGTGAGATTAATGAAGGATAGTCTCCTGAATATAAGCAAACAAGTTGCTTGTTTATACAGATCTCTATATTTCTTAAGTCCAGTGGAAAACTTGACTTCTGAATAATCTTCACTGTGGCTTTCACAGATAGCAGCAAACCTTGCTTTCTCAGTGCCTGAATGTTTGCTTTGGGGCAATCATGTTTCTTGAAGTATGCATGCAATTTGAGTTTTAAGAGGTGAAAAAAAGATTATGTCCAAGACATGGTTTATATAAATAGAAAAGATTGGTTGTTTAGTTTCTTCATTTTTGTAATGGTATGAAATATAGCTGTCCAACCATCTTGTTTTTGGAGGTTGTATCAGTCAGGGTTCTGACTGGGATAGAATTAATTTATCTATGACGGAGGTTGCAAATTTTTTTGTGTGAAAAATCAGACTTTGGCGATGACCTTGAGCAGCAGGATATAAATAACTCCTACAAGTTTAGCATTCCAATAATGGAACACTAGGCAAAAATGGATTAATAGGCTCTGCATATAAAGGGGAGTTCATTAAGCAGTATTAACTCACATGATCACAAGGTCCCACAATAGGCCATCCGCAAGTTTAGAAGCAAGGAAGCCAGTCCAAGTCCCAAAGCTGAAGAATGTGGAGTCTGATGTTCGAGGGCAGGAAGCATCCAGCACAGGAGAAAGATGTAGGCCGGGAGGCTAAGCCAGTCTATCCTTTTCACGTTTTTCTGCCTGCTTTATATTCTGGCTGTGGTGGCCGCTGATTAGGTGGTGCCCACCCAGATTAAGGGTGAGTCTGCCTTTCCCAGCCCACTGACTCAAATGTTAATCTTTGGCAACACCCTCACAGACACACCCAGGATCAATACTTTGCATCCTTCAATCCAATCAAGTTGACACTCAGTATTAACCATCACAGTGGTATTGAGAAAACACTTTGAGGTTAATTATATATTTTTGCGACATGTAGGCATAACCTTATCTCTTAATACCATTTGATTTTATGATGTCTTTTTTTCACTTTGTGACATGGGGAGGGGATTTGTATAATTGTTAGTAGCCGATGTTATGTGTAAAGACTCAAAAGGGGCTAACCTGACACATTTTGTGTCAGCACTTTGTTTTGAGAAAGCGAACCACATGTTTGCCTTAGTAAGACCCTCTAATTTGAGACCAGTTATCAGATTGACCCTTTGTTCCTAGAGTGAAATAAAAGACTCAGTGAAATTTTAACAAGTTAGCATTTGCTCACTTACACTGAAGAAGGCAGGAGGCTTTAGTTGAAACAAATTGTTAGCATTGACAATAGGAAGAAAAGAAAATTCTAATTAATATAATAGTTACCCTTTCTACCATCCATAGTAGCCTAAGTTGGGTTTTTTGTTTGTTTGTTGTTTGTTTGAGACAGAGTCTTACTCTGTCGCCCAGGCTGGAGTGCAGTGACATGATCTCAGCTCACTGCCACCTCTGCCTCCCGGGTTCAAGTGATTCTCCTGTCCTGGCCTCCCGAGTAGTTGGGATTACAGGCGTGCGCCACCATGCCCAGCTAATTTTTGTATTTTTAGTAGAGACAGGGTTTAGCCATGTTGGTCAGGCTGGTCTTGAACTCCTGACCTCAGGTGATCCATGTGTCTCGATCTCTCAAAATGCTGGGATTACAGGTATGAGCCACTGTGCCTGGCCTAAGTTGGCTCTTTATCCTTGACACACTTATCAGACTAGTTTTGAATATTTTATCACATGATTTTTGATGACATTCTTTTGAAAAATCACAGTTTCTTGAATGAATGAACCTATTGTTCTTATCTAGATGGAACATTCTCAAAAAGATGATGGGCACTCTAAATCATAGTCTTTCTTCCCCTATCTAAATAGAATCCAAACTGGTACCAACAACACTCAGGAAAGAAACATCTGCATGTGACTTTCTTGTGTGTTTTTATCAAAGTGCAGCACCTATCAAGAGAGACAAGCTGTGATCTGCATCTTACCAGTAACCAGAGGTGCTGGGCTATGGGTCAGGAGGTTTGTGTTCTAGGCTGGCCTTTGCTGCTGACCTCCTGTGTGACTTATCACAGATCATTTTTGGCCTCGGTTTTCTGACTTGTTTTCAAAAAGAAAGATTGTTTTAGATGACTACTTAGGTCCCTCACAGTACTAAAAGCCTATAGTCTGTACTTTTAATCACAATCTATGAGATGATTCGATTGTCTTAATTTGTTCATACTCTCTTCCTTTAATCCCACTGAGTGTCCTTAACATACAGGTAATGGAACACATTGACCTTTATTTTTGAAGTTAGTCCCAGATCAGGAAATTTCTCATAATGCCAATGATTTCTTAGAATACAGGACTCTTCTGCATCCCATTACCAGTAAAGGTACACATACACAGGCAAGGAAAATAAGTATATTCTTCAGGCTATGGGGGCAAGTGTCTGAAATTATTCTGATCTACCTAGAAACTATCTTACTTTTTTTCCTTCTCTGCTTTATGAGTTGAGAGAGCCTGGTTGATCTGCTTCCTTTCGTTTGACTTTGTAATTATTGTTCAGGCAAATATAAATAGTACTAGTATTGGACTAGTAGGTAGCCAAGAAAGAGAAACTGGAACAGCTATATGTGCCCACCTCCCCACTCCCCACTCCCATAACCAACAGAAAGTATAGCAACAAAAAAAGGAACAAGCACTACAGTGGATTTCCATGCCCCGCTAGCATGCATGTGTAATATACTATAGCCTATCAGATGGTTTCCACATTTGTCCTAGCTGTAAGTCACAAGGCATTTTGATACAAATAATACTTGCGAATAAGCTGTATAAAATACTCACCAAGCAACACTGAAGCTGTCCCTGGAAGTGACAGTTTGCAGTCATGAATGATGAAATATCCTTTGTGTATAAGGCAATTGTGTTGGTTATAGAAAAAGAAATGAGACTTCCTAGGTTTCTTCCTTCTGTGGCTTTTTTTTTTTTTTTTGGAAACAGGAAAGCTTCCTATACAATGATGTTAGGACCTATATTTCATTTCATTTCAACTTTCATTTACAGTTGTTGTTGTAAAGGGAAAACATTTTAATCAGTTTCTGCATGAAGGTCAGATAACACTGTGAACAAAAGTAATTTCTTTATGATAATATCAAAACAAAAGCATTGCTACACTTAAATTATGAAGCATGTTTCCCTTATCTGCAGTACAATTGTATGACTTAATAGAATCTGGGAGCGTATCTCATTTATGCTACTGGTAAACTCAAGAAATTCTCTTCCTTTTAAGGTCTGAAGTTGTGATATCGCCTAAGAATGAGACCAGATAATATTATGTCCTGGGTATAAATTAAGTTACTTTGAAAAGGCATGAGAATTATTTTAGGTATTTGTTTGTTTGTTTGTTTGTTTGTTTTTGTAAACTGAAGCAGTGTTGACATTTTCTATCCTTTTGTGGCTTAGAAGATGCCATATGATTTTTTTTAATGCCCGTATATGTGTGTGTGTGTGTGTGTGTGTGTGTGTGTGTGTGTGTGTGTGTGTGTTATTGGAGGTAATGAAGTGGGGCAGAGGTATTCATAATAAAGTCACTTTTATCTGGTTTTGGAGTGCAAAAAGATTCACATTTAGTAGATACACACAAACACGCATATCCTGAACTTCTGCCTGTACACGTCTTCTTCCCAACCTCCTTCTACATTGTGCTTATCAGTTGCCTGCAAAGGAAAATTTGAGACTGTCTACTCCAAGATCGTGGAGAAATTGATTAGAGTTGCAAATGCAGACTATTGCCTGAAGTACCTTCAGGAACATGGTATAGAGCTAGGTGATGTATAGTGATAATACAACATATGCATCCACCCACCCACATCCATACTTTCACATTCTCCAATATCCTTTCTGGTCCATCATTTTAAGAAGTTCCATAAATTTAGGCTGCAGTCTAAAGCACAAGAAGAGTTTTAACAGTCGCACAGGATGTCACAAAAATTGTGGTACTTCTAAGAATTTAATCCAGGAGAATTATTCCATCCCATTCTTAAACTGTAACCACAAGGCATTTCCCCAGACCCTCAAATTCTTATCCATATCTTTATGGCACCATATATGTTTCTAGAAGTAAGAAACATAGCCGGTTCCATTTTGGAAGTCTTCTTAAGCATTGTGACTTCATATTTTACTAGTGAGAATGCTGGGGAAAAGTAACATTTCATCTTTCATGAACATTTCTAGGATTATGTAGAGAGGAAAGAATATTTGAAATGTTTTCTAGCCACTGAAAAGTACTGTAACACTCAGACAAATCCCATCTCCCATGATATCTAAAAGTGATCCAGAGACTTATTACAGTAATTTTAGATGGGGTCTCTGAACCACATTGATCAGAAAGAAAGATTATCTAGTAACATAGGCAAAACAAATTAGCTGTCCTTAATATCTAGTTGAAATCCTTAAAAAGGAGAATTACTGTCTTTCAGTATCTGCAGGGCTGCTAACATTGGAAATTATAATGGTGACTATATACATCTTTATAATATTATATCACCAGGTCCCTGGGCTACTCTATCACTGAGCTTCTTAATCTCCTTTGACCAAATAGCAATTTAAAAGGGAATTGGTAGCATTCAGGCATCTGCTACCCTGTAGAAATATTTTAAAGCATTTTCATCTTGCCTTCAAGGATCCAATGTAATGACTTAAAAAAATATTTTGGGGAGAAACCATTGCTAGAAAGAGCACTAAACTTCAACTTCAGAAAACCTGGATTCCATCAATAAGCAGTTGAGTAACCTTGAGAAAATCACCTAGAAATTTGAACTTCAATTTCTTTATCTGTAAAACTGAGTAACTAAAACTAGGTGAGTTATTGTGATAACCTTCTAATTGAACTGTCTGCTTCTGGGCTCAGCCCCATCCCCTATTTTGCATCCCTGTTGTCAAAAATAACATACAAGTCTGACCATTTCATCTCTTCCAAGGACTGTTACAAATTTCTCCCCATCCTTCTTTCACTTCCAGTTTTATTTCCTACCACACCCATTTTTGTTTTATGCTACAGTTATACCAAAAAAATTGAAATTTTCTTAGTTTAACATGCTGCTTTACCTTTCCATGCATCTGCACATGTGTTATTCCACCTGCGTGGATGACCCTTCAACAGTGTCCTACACTCTGGTATTCCCAATAAATTTCCTTTAGTCTTTGAAATCCCAGCTCAGATTGATGCTCCCTAGCGAAGCCTTTTCTATCTACCAAAGACCCTACTGTGGACTATCTTTGTGATTTTTTCACATTTCTATTATTGTATTTATCCCAAAATGTTGTAACATATTTATTTCTTATCTGTCTTCTCTTTAATATTTTTTCAGCCAGGGCTTATGCCTGCTTTCTTGCCTGCCTTCCCCCCAACAAATACTTATAGAAGGCTTACTTTTGCCAGACAGTGTTGTCAGCCCAGAGGGATACAACAGTGAACAAAGCAGACAAGAATACCTGTCATTATGGAGCTTCTGTGTCTTATTCAGGTCTGTATCCCTAGAACCTAGCACAGAGACTAGCATTTAGTATGTAAACAAGCAATAATTTTGGTTTGAAGCCAAGAAATCAGAATTATGGTTACATTGGAAACTCCCATATCTTTCTCTTTCTTACTGCCTACACTATGCATTTAGTGTTCTACTTGTACATACATTAATATTTAGTTATAATAGTTAATCAGTGTGTCTTACTTGCCTAAGTTTCTATATAACTTTGTTTCCATTGGTGCTGTCTGTCAAACACCATTGTCTGTCAATCAGCTTCTGGGGGTGCTATGCTCTCTTAGTTGTTCAGACCCAACACACTAAAAGGGGTGCCCTTTCATTCATTTATTCAATCAATAAATATTTATTGAACATCTACTATTATGTCAAATAAGACATATGTGCTCCTGCCCTTTTAGAACTTACAGTCTATTGAGCAAGACAAGCAATGAACAAGTAAATAAATAAATATGTTATTACAACATATGATTGTTGCTATGGAGGTAATGACCATGAAGCTGTGATAGAGAGTAATGGGGACAGCTACCAACTTTAGAGTAATTGAGGAAGGCCTCTCAGAAGAAGTGACATGTAGGTCACCCCAAAGGATGAAAAGTATCCAACCATGTAAAAGGTTAAGGGACAGCATCAGGGGACAAAGGGACAGTAGGTGCAAAGCTCCTGAGGTGGCAAAGAGCTTAGTGAATTGGTTTTGGGGAAAAGAGCAGTGTAGCTGGAGTTTAGATAGTGAGAAGATGATTAAATTAGAGAAGTAGCAGGTGGCTTCGTATGGCATGTTGAGGCACTTAGAGTGTATCCTAATGGGAATGACAAACCGTCGAATGAATGATTTTAAGCTGGAGAGTAACAATCAAATTTATGTTTTGAAAATCCCATTCTGAAGACTGTGTAGAGAATGGACTGTGTGTGAGGATGCAGGGACAGCAGTATGGACCTGCTGCAGTGGTCCAGGAGAGAGATGGTAGTCACCTCAATGAGTGTGAATCCAGGAGAGATGAAGAGAAATGTCAGATTTGGGAGACATTAATTAGACTTACAATCGTATTTAATGTTGAGGTGGGAAGGGGAAGGAGTCAAAGATTATGCCTAGGCTCTGGCTTGAGCTAGTAGCTGGCTGGAGGTGCTATGAACTGAGATAGGGTTTATGGCGGGGTGCAGGAGACAAGTTGGGTGGATAGAAAATGCATTTTAATGATGACAAACATGGTGGTGGCAATGATGGTGGTAGTGGTGGTGATGTTGGATTTACTATAGTTGGAGGAAAGATTTAAAAATCTTGCAATTGTCAATAACTTTCTTTAGTGTGTTGGAGAAAGTCCAGTATATGTAATGTATTTAAATTTTGCAAGTCTTCTGGATGCTTGACCTAGAAAATATGCCTTTGTCCTGTCCTTTATCCCTTCCCAAAGTGACTAGGATTACATTTTCTCTAAATATACCATTAGGAATTAAAAGATCTCTTACAATTCAGGAAGCTATGAGAATATTTAAGACACAAGGAATAGAGAGAGTAATTCTTAAAAGGTAACAACTTTTCATTTGTTTTCATCTTGTGCAAATGGTTTATTTTCTCAAAGTTAGGTAACATTTTTAGGCCAGTCTCTATCAAAGTAATATCCAAGGATCTCTTACATAAAAATCACCTAGGGATGCTGGTTCAAAGTGAAGATCCTTGTCTACACAACTAATCAGAATCTCTAGGGTTGGGGCCCAGGAACCTTTTTTATTTTTTTTTTTCAGGCTGACATTTAAAAAGCATTGCTTGAGACAAGGTATTCTTAACCTTTTTGGTGCCCCAGTCTCTTTGGTAGTCTGGTGAACTCTGTGGATCCCTTCTCAGAAAACTGCTTAAACATGCATTCAATAAAATACAAGGAAAACAAGTATATTGAAATATAATGATCAAATATTTTAAAAACAAATTTTATATAATATTTTACATACTTTTAATTAACATATTAATAATGAGATCTAATACTGGGTCTAATACTACCATAATTTGAAGTAATAGGTGAACATAAATAGTATTTTAACTCATTTGCCACAATTCTAATGTGATATGAAATTATCTGTAATTTCTATTAGTGACAAAGTTACAGGTTCAGCTAAAACCACTGTGATTTGTTGCCTAGATTCATAATGGAAGGAAATGCTAAATTTCAGTCAGAAGTGAATGAAAATAATGGTATAATGTTTTTCCCATCCAAGTTCACAGATACCAGGCTTAGAATCCTTGGCTTTGAGATTGTGACCAACTAGTACAGAGACTAGTGAGGGTATAGTGAAGACAAACTGGAATCCAGATGCTAGTCAACAGAACAAAACTCAGGGATGAAGTCAGTGAGCCTCAATATTTGGTATTATTAATTTAAATAATTAAAAGAAGATTCAGGGACCAAAAAAATTGTCCCTGCATTGTTTGGCTTTTAATTGGTTGGTTTGGCTGTTTTGCCTGAGTGTACCTGGAGAGGCTTGTCTGTATACTCTTGTTATTGTCCCCTTCTCTTGAACCCTGGCTCTTTCAGAGGGTAGCTATGGAGAAAAGTTTAGATTTTGACCATTTTGGGGTGTTTAATTAAGAACGTTTTCCAGAATGGAGAGAGACATTCAAGGATGAGGAAGTAACATGCGCAGTAATGACAGAGTCAGGAACAGGCTAGTATTAGAAAACAGAAGGAAGTTCAAAGTAGCTGAGGCATACAGTGGGTGAGTGAGAGAGAGGCAGGAGATGAAGCTGGAGAGATGGATTAGCCTAAGTCCAAAGAGGGCCTTCAGACTTCATGTACATGTACGAGTTTGGGTATCATGATAGAGTCAGCAGGAAGCCAAAGGAGAACTATATGCTGAAAAGAGACATGATAGGCCAGGCATGGTGTCTCACGCCTGCAATCCTGTAATCCTAGCACTTTTGGAGGCTGAGGCAGGTGGATTGCCTGAGTTCAGGAGTTCAAGACCAGCCTGGGCAACACAGTGAAACCCCATCTCTACCAAAATACAAAAAATTAGCTGGATGTGGCAGTGTGCACCTGTAGTCCCAGCTACTCAGGAAGCTGAGGCAGGAGAATTGCTTGAACCTGGGAGGTGGAGGTTGCAGTGAGCCGAGATCAGGCCACTGCACGCCAGCCTGGGGCAACAGAGTGAGACTCCATCTCTTAAAAAAAAAAAAAAAAAAGAGAGAGACATGATAAAGTGTATTATTTCTTAGGAAAATAAATCTGATGGCAAAATGAGGGATGGGTTAGAGGAAGGCAGACCACTTTTGAGGCTTTGGTAAGAATGCAATTGAGAAAAGTATGGTTCTCTGAAGTAAGGCTATGGTCATGAGACAGAAGAGGGAACAGCTATGAGAGATGTTAATGACTGATTTGGATATATGCCATGAAGAAGAAGAGTTTGGGATGACTTTGAAGCTTCTAGCTTGAGACTTCAGGTAAATGGAAGCACCATTAACAGAGGATACCAATCATGAGAGGCACAGCAGGTTTTTGGGGGAAGGTTTTTAGTTCCTTCCCCTAAAGAAGAAGAATAAGAGTTTGGGATGACTTTGAAGTTTCTAGCTTGAGACTTCAGGCAAATGGAAGCACCATGAACAGAGGTGCCAATCATGAGAGGCACAGCAGGTTTTTTGGGGAAGGTTTTTAGTTCAGTTTTGGATAAGCTGAGTTTTAAGTACCTATTGAACATCAAATGAGAAATGCATGGAGTTTCCATTTTAACCATTTTTCATAGTAATCTTTTAATGTAGGTAAATGATGTGAGATATTCTTTTTGTCTATAAATTGACTGACTGAAAATTGTGGGGCAGTTATGTTTCAGAAATATGTAGGATTGGGTATTATATTGTCTTTTTATTCTAATTTTGATGAAATGTCAACCAATGGCTGTCCTCCAAAGAGTTATAGTTGTATAGTTAATTCTTCTGGATTAAAGAAATTCTTCGTATACTTATGGTAATTAATTCTAGCAACATGGAATATCAGTAGGCTTGCCTTCTTATGTCTGGAGTTTAGACTTTTTTTGTGTGTGTTTTGTATTACACATTTTTTGTTGTTCTTCACTTGGCTTTCTATCATGACTGCTGGAAGGCAGAGGGTTGTAGGTAGGATGGGAGCAAGAAGCAGTGGAAGTGTTTGTGCAGTCATTTTTTGTAACAGCTCCATGGCATGAAAACTACTCTCAGCAACTGGTGTGAACACAAAGGGAACCGGCTAGTCGCAGCCATCTCCATATTCATTGGCCTTTTAGGTTTTGGGGCCTAGAATGAGGGGAGAATTTCACTGTGAATGCAGGATGTTGAAATGCAAAATTGGCTTTTAACAAAATTATGAGGGAAGAGATATTTATCTTTGTGTTCCTTTTACCTCTGCCTCACTATTCTGAATCCCTGTACCTGATGCCTCTGTGTTAGGTTCTGGTTGGATCATGGGCCACACTTTAGCATCTTGCTTAGACTTGTTCTCTCTAACAGCCATTGTTCCTTTGACCTTTCTCTTTTTGTGATAAAATTTCTTGTTCCTATTTATATTTGATAAATTATTCTATATGAATATCTGTGGTTACTTACGGCTTAAAATATGCTATACCTTCCAAGTAGCAACTACATTTTAAGAGGGGTCCTGGGACAATGCTTTAACCTAGAGTTACTCTAATGGTAGGGACAGTACTTATCATAGTTGGGGTCCACAGGTCTTCCCTAATATTTTAAAAATAATATTGATAGCATACACATGTGAAAGACATTTAACAAATACAGAAGAAAATGTCTTCATTTATAAAGGCTGAGGTAATAGTGAGTAAAAGTAGATATACCAGGCAGAAGTCATTTGTAGAAGCTTGACTGAAGTAGATGAGTTATTTTTGAGGATAGTGATAGAAATGGGGTGAAGTGGGATAAGGAGAAATTGCAGATTTTCACTGAAATGACTTTGAGGGCAGGGACCATGCCTTTATATTTATGTCCTCCATAGGACCTGGAAGAATGATCTGTATATAGTGTGTAGTAATGGTTAGTTTAAATGAATGAGCAAATCCATGTGGGGAACTATTGATTTTAAATTTTTTTAAATAATTAATTTATTTTTTTGAGACAGGGTTACCCAGGCTGAAGTGCAATGGCGTGATCATGGCTCACTCTAGCCTCCACTTCCTGGGCTCAAGTGATCCTCCCATCTCAGCCTCCTGAGTATCTGAGACTATACGTGCATGCCACATGCTCAGCTAATTTTTAAATTTTTTTGTAGAGACAAGGTCTCACTATATTTCTGAGGCTGATCTCGAACTCCTGGGCTCAAGTGATCCTCCCACCTCAGCCTTTCAAAGTGCTGGGATCACAAGCATGAGTCACCATGCCTGGTTGATTTTTTTTTAAAGAAACCTTCTGCATGTTTATTTTTCCCTTAAGAATATCCTAAACCCAGATCGAATTTAGAAAGGAAAAGGAAACTTTTGATGGATTTAGCACACACACACACACACACACACACACACACACACACACACACACGTAATCATTTAAAAAGGTTGGTGGAGATATGAAACGACTTAGGCAAAAATGAAAACCCATTTATTCATCAATGAACTCCAGGTTGAAGAAAGTTCTATGACTCATAACAAGTTGTGCTGACGAGGGAGTCTTTAAGTTGTCCATTCATCCCTTTGTGAGATGTGAGTTTTTTTTGTGTGTGTTTTATTTGGCTTTTTAAATGTTGACAAGTCTCAGGTGTATGTTAATAGAAATTCTGTGATCATAGGTCCATTAGAACAGCATCTGGGAAGGAAAACTGATGCTAAGAAATCAGCAGTAAGAGGGAATAAAAATGCAACCAAAACCCTTTCGTTGATATGCAGCACAAGCTGGTTGGAAGCAAAGGGAGTGATGCGATGATGGAAATCCTCATTAAAATTAAAAGCCATAGAAAGCGGGGAATAGTATCAAAAGCAATGCAACATAAATCATTATCTACAGGGATAAATAAAATACAAAAGAATTAGTGTTTCCAGTTTATGCTTTATGTTGAAAATAAAAATTTGTTTCTTAGAGGTATCTTTGACATGTAACCTAACAATGGCAAACTGCCATTGAGAGTCCAGGCCTTGTTTTAATGAGTACCTCATAACTGTACAGAACTAGAAGCTACAGAGCTCTCCAGAGTATTAGTAAATCCAGTTTTATGCTATGAAAATAGAAAGTGAAAGCACGTTCACTGTACCTATTCAAAAGTAGGAACAATATTAATATTCTATTTCATTACAGAATTTCAGTTAACCTAGGTTTTAGATATGATATGCAAACCACAGAGCAATTTTCTATATTGCTATTTTTAATTTTTTTTCAACTTTTTTTTTTTAGATTAAGGGGATACATGTGCAGATTTGTTACATGAGTAAATTGTGTGATGTTGAGATTTGGGTAAAGAATGATCCTGTCACCAAGATACTGAGCATAGTACCCAATAGTTTTTCAACACTTGCCCCATTCCCTCTGCCTTCTAGTAGTCCCCAGTGTCTATTGCTGCCATCTTGATATCCATGCGTACTCATTGGTTAGCTTCCAATTATAAGTGAGAACAAGTGGCATTTGGTTTTCTGTTCCTGCATTAATTTGTTTAGGATAATGGCTCCAGCTCCACCCATATTGCTGCAAAGGACATGATTTCATTATTTTTTATGGCTGCATGATATCCCGTGGTGTATATGTATCACATTTTCTTTGTCCAGTCCACCATTGATGGGCACTTAGGTTGATTCCATGTTTTTGCTATTGTGCATAGTGCTGCAATGAACATGTGAATTCATGTGTCTTTTTGGTAGAAAAATTTGTTTTCTTTTGCATATATACCCAGTAATGGGTTATTAGTAAATAACCCATTATTTATTAGTAAATCCAGTTTTATGCTATGAAAATATTTAGATATGATATGCAAACCATGGAGCAATTTTCTTTTTTTTTATTATACTTTAAGTTTTAGGGTACATGTGCACAACGTGCAGGTTTGTTACATATGTATACATGTGCCACGTTGGTGTGCTGCACCCATTAACTCGTCATTTACATTAGGTATATCTCCTAATGCTATCCTCCCCCTCCCCCTACCCCACAACAGGCCCCCGTGTGTGATGTTCCCCTTCCTGTGTCCATGTGTTTCCATTGTTCAATTCCCACCTATTAGTGAGAACATGTGGTGTTTGGTTTTTTGTCCTTGCGATAGTTTGCTATATTGCTATTTTTAATTTTTCTTCAACTTTTGTTTTAGATTCAGGGGGTACATGTGCAGGTTTGTTACATGTGTAAATTGTGTGATGTTGAGATTTGGGTAAAGAATGATCCTGTCACACAGATCACCATTTGACCTAGGTCAAATGGCAGTTCTCTTTTAACTTCTTTGAGAAATCTCCAAACTGTTTTCCACAGTGGCTGAACTAATTTGCATTCCTACCAGTAGTATGTAAGGGTTCCCTTTTCTCTGCAGCATCACCAGCATCTGTTGTTTTTTGACTTTTTAAAATCACTATTCTATGGCTATTATTAAGCCACATTATGAAAAAGTTAAGAAACAACAGGTTGCAGAGAAAACAGAATGCTTATACACTGTTGGTGAGAATGCAAATTAGTTCAGCCATTGTGGAAAGCAGTGTGGCAATTCTGCAAAGAACTTAAAACAGAATTACCATCTGACCCAGCAAATACATTATTGGGTAGATCCCTAAAAGAATATAAATCATTCTACCATAAAGATACATGTGTCCATATGTTTGTTACAGCACTATTTATAATAGCAAAGACATGTAATCAACCTAAATACCCACCAACAGTAGATTGGATAAAGAAAATGTGGTAGGGATTTCCTGGCAAGATGGCCAAATAGGAACAGCTCCGGTCTGCAGCTCCCAGTGAGATTGACACAGAGACGGGTGATTTCTGCATTTCCAACTGAGGTACCCCATTCATCTCATTGGGACTGGTTGGACAGTGGTTGCAGCCCATGGAGGGTGAGCCGAAGCAGGGTGAGGCGTTGCCTCACCTAGGAAGTGCAAGAGGTTGGGGAATTTTCTCCCCTACCCAAGGGAAGCCGTGAGGGACTGAGCCTGAGGAACTCTGGCCCAGATACTGCACTCATACCATGGTATTCACAACCCGCAAACCAGGAGATTCCCTCTGGTGCCCACCCCACCAGGGCCCTGGGTTTCAAGCACAAAACTGGTTGACCATTTGGGCAGACACCAAAGTAGCTGCAGGAGTTCTTTTTCTCCATACCCCAATGGCACCTGGAACACCAGTGAGACAGAATCAATTACTCCCCTGGAAAAGGGTGCTGAAGCCAGGGAGCCAAGTGGTCTGACTCGGCGGGTCCCACCCTCACGGAGCCCAGCAAACTAAGATCCACTGGCTTGAAATTCTCACTGCCAGCACAGCAGCAGTCTGAGATCGACCCAGGACATTCGAGCTTGTTCGGGGGAGGGGAGTCCGCCATTGCTGAGGCTTGAGTAGGCAGTATTACGCTCACAGTGTAAACAAAGCCACTGGGAAGTTTGAACTGGGCAGAGCCCACTGCAGCTCAGCAATGCTGCTGTGGCCAGACTGCCAGATTTCTCTACTCTGGGCAGGCATCTCTGAAAAAAAGGCAGCAGCCCCAGTCAGGGACTTATAGATAAAATTCCCATCTCCCTGGGACAGAGCACCTGGGGAAAGGGGCAGTTGTGGGCGAAGCTTCAGCAGACTTAAATGCCCCTGCCTGACAGCTCTAAAGAGAGCAGTGGACCTCCCAGCACAGTGTTCAAGCTCTGATAAGGGTCAGACTACCTCCTCAAGTGGATCCCTGAACCGCATGTATCATGACTGGAAGACACCTCCCAGATGGGGCAGACAGACACCTCATACAGGAGAGCTCTGGCTGACATCTGGCAGGTGACCCTCTGGGAGGAAGCTTCCAGAGGAAAGATCAGGCAGCAATCTTTGCTGTTCTGCAGCCTCCACTGGTGATACCCAGGAAAACAGGATTGGGAGTGGACCTCCAGCAAACTCCAGCAGACCGGCAGCAGAGGGGTCTGTCAGAAGGAAAACTAACAGAAAGGAATAGCACGTCCACTCAAAGACCCCATCTTAAGGTCACCAACATCAAAGACCAAAGGTAGATAAATCCACAAAGATGGGGAGAAACCAGTGCAAAATGGCTGAAAATTCCAAAAACCAGAACGCCTCTTCTCCTCCAAAGGATCACAACTCCTCACCAGCAAGAGAACAAAACTGGACAGAGAATGAGTTTGATGAATTGACAGAAGTAGGCTTCAGAAGATGGGTAATAACAAACTTCTCCAAGCTAAAGGAGCATGTTCTAACCCAATGCAAGGAAGTTAAGAACCTTGAAAAAAGGTTAGAGGAATGGCTAACTAGAATAACCAGTGTAGAGAATAACACAAATGACCTGATGGAGCTGAAAAACACAGCAAGAGAACTTCGTGAAACATACACAAGCTTCAATAGCTGATTCGATCAAGCGGAAGAAAGGATATCAGTGATTGAAGATCAACCTAATGAAATAAAGAGAAAAGACAAGGTTAGAGAAAAAAGAATGAAAA
The DNA here is from genome assembly GCF_000001405.40 of Homo sapiens. NCBI lineage: Eukaryota > Metazoa > Chordata > Mammalia > Primates > Hominidae > Homo > Homo sapiens. The sequence continues at coordinate 104,603,769 of NC_000023.11, forward strand.
GGAATGAGCAAAGCATCCAAATAAATATGGGACTATGTGAAAAGACCAAATCTACATATGATTGGTATACCTGGAAGTGATGAGGAGAATGGAATGAAGTTGGAAAATACTCTTCAGGATACTATCCAGGAGAACTTCCCCAACCTAGCAAGACAGACCAACATTCAAATTCAGGATATACAGAGAACACCACAAAGATACTCCTTGAGAAGAGCAACCCCAAGACACATAATCATCAGATTCACCAAGGTTGAAATGAGGGAAAGAATGTTAAGGGCAGCCAGAGAGAAAGGTCTGGTTACCCACAAAGGGAAGCCCATCAGACTAACAGCAGATTGCTCTGCAGAAACCCTACAAGCCAGAAGAGAGTGGGGGCCAATATTCAACATTCTTAAAGAAAATAAATTTCAACCCAGAATTTCATATGCAGCCAAACTGAGCTTCATAAATGAAGGAGAAATAAAGTCCGTTACAGACAAGCAAATGCTGAGAGATTTCATCACCACCAGGCCTGCCTTACAAGAGCTCCTGAAGGAAGCACTAAACATGGAAAAGAACAACCAGTACCAGCCACTGCAAAAACATACCAAATTGTAAAGACCATCAACACTATGAAGAAACTGCATCAACTAATGGTCAAAACAACCAGCTAGTATCATAATTACAGGATCAAATTCACACATAACCATATTTACCATAAATGTAAATGGGCTAAGTGCTCCAGTTAAAAGACACAGACTGGCATATTGGATAAAGAGTCAAGACCCATCAGTGTGCTGTATTCAGAAGACCCATCTCATGTGCAAAGACACACATAGGCTCAAAATAAAGGGATGGAGGAATATTTACTGAGGAAATGCATAGCAAAAAAAAAAAAAAAAAAAAAAGCAGGAGCTGCAATCCTAGTCTCTGATAAAACAGACTTTAAACCTACAAAGATCAAAAGAGACAAAGAAGGCCATTACATAATGGTAAAGGGATCAATGCAGCAAAATAACTAACTATCCTATATATACATGCACCTAATACAGGAGCACCCAGATTCATGAAGCAAGTTCTTAGAGAATTACAAAGAGACTTAGACCCACACAATAATAATGGGAGTCTTTAACACCCCACTGTCAATATTAGACAGATCAAAGAGACAGAAAATTAACAAGGATATACAGGACTTGAACTCAGCTCTGGACCAAGCAGACCTAATAGACATCTACAGAACTCTCCACCCCAAATCAACAGAATATACATTCTTCTCAGCACCACATCACACTTATTCAAAAACTGACTGCATAATTGGAAGTAAAACACTCCTAAGCAAATGTAAAAGAACAGAAATCATAACAAAGTGTCTCTCAGACCACAGTGCAATCAAATTAGAACTCAAGATTAAGAAACTCACTCAAAACCACACAACTATATGAAAACTGAACAACGTGCTCCTGAATGACTACTGGGTAAATAATGAAATGAAGGGAGAAATAAAGATGTTCTGTGAGACAAATGAGAACAAAGACACAATGTACCAGAATCTCTGGGACACATTTAAAGAAGTGTGTAGAGAGAAATTTATGGCACTAAATGTCCACAAGAGAAATCAGGAAAGATCTAAAATTGACACCCTAAAATCACAATTAAAAGAACTAGAGAAGCAAGAACAAACAAATTCAAAAGCTAGCAGAAGACAAGAAATAACTAAGATCAGAGTGGAACTGAAGGAGATATAGACATGAAAAACCCTTCAAAACATCCATGAATCCAGGAGCTGGTTCTGTGAAAAGATCAACAAAATAGATAGACTGCTAGCCAGACTAATAAAGAAGAAAAGAGAGAAGAATCAAATAGATGCAATAAAGAGTGATATAGGGGATATCACCAATGTTCCCACAGAAATGCAAACTACCATTAGAGAATACTATAAACACCTCTATGCAAATAAAATAGAAAATCTAGAAGAAATGGATAAATTCCTGGACACATACACCCTTCCAAATCTAAACCAGGAAGAAGTCAAATCCCTGAATAGATGAATAACAAATTCTGAAATTGAGGCAGCAATTAATAGCCTACCAACCAAAAAAAGCCCAGGACCAGATGGATTCACAGCCAAATTCTACCAGAGGTACAAAAGGAAGCTGATACCATTCCTTCTGAAACTATTCCAATCAATAGAAAAAGAGGGAGTCCTCCCTAACTCATTTGATGAGGCCAGCATCATCCTGATACCAAAACCTGGCAGAGACAACAATAAAAAAAGAAAATTTCAGGCCAATATCCCTGATGAACATCGATGTGAAAATCCTCAATAAAATACTGGCAAACCAAATCCAGCAGCACATCAAAAAGCTTATCCAACATGTTCAAGTGGGCTTCATTCCTGGGATGCAAGTCTGGTTCAACATATGCAAATCAATAAACATAATCCATCACATAAATAGAACCAATGACAAAACCACATGATTATATCAATAGATGCAGAAAAGGCCTTCAACAAAATTCAACACCCCTTCATGCTAAAAACTCTCAATAAATGAGGTATCAGTGGAACATATCACAAAATAATAAGAGCTATTTATGACAAACCCACAGCCAATACCATACTGAATGGGCAAAAAGTGGAAGCATTCCCTTTGAAAACCAGCACAAGACAAGGATGCCCTCTCTCACCACTCTTATTCAACATAGTACTGGAAGTTCTGGCCAGGGCAATCAGGCAAGAGAAAGAAATAAAAGTATTCAAATAGGAAGGGAGGAATTCAAATTGTCTCTGTTTACAGATGACATGATTGTATATTTAGAAAACCCCATCGTCTCAGCCCAAAATCTCCTTAAGCTGATAAGCAACTTCAGCAAAGTCTCAGGATACAAAAATCACAAGTATTCCTATACACCGATAACAGAGAGTCACATCATGAGTGAACTCCCATTCACAATTCCTACAAAGAGAATAAAATACCTAGGAATCCAACTTACAAGGGATGTGAAGGACCTCTTTAAGGAGAACTACAAACCACTGCTCAATGAAATAAAAGAGGAAACAAACAAATGGAAAAACATTCCATACTCATTGCTACCCCCATCAAGCTACCACTGACTTTCTTAATAGAATTGGAAAAAAACTACTTTAAATTTCATATGGAACCAAAAAAGAGCCCGCATAGCCAAGACAATCCTGGGCAAGAAGAATAAAGTTGGAGGCATCACTCTACCTGACTTCAAACTATACTACAAAGCTACCATAATCAAAACAGCATGGTGCTGGTACCAAAACAGACCTATAGACCAATGGAACAGAACAGAGGCCTCGGGAACAACACCACACATCTACAACCATCTGATCTTTGACAAACCTGACACAAACCAGCAATGGGGAAAATATTCCCTATTTAATAAATGGTGTTGGGAAAACTGGCTAGCCAGACACAGAAAACTGAAACTGGACCCCTTCCTTACACCTTATGCAAAAATCAACTCAAGATGGGTTAAAGACTTAAATGTAAGAACCAGGACCATAAAAATCCTCGAAGAAAACCTGGGCAGTACCATTCAGGACATAGGCATGCACAAAGACTTCATGTCTAAAACACCAAAAGTAATGGCAACAAAAGCCAAAATTGACGTGGGATCTGATTAAATTAAAGAGCTTCTGCACAGCAAAATAAATTGTCATTAGAGTGAATAGGCAACCTAGAGAATGGGAGCAAAATTTTGCAATCTATACATCTGAAAAACGCTAATATCCAGAATCTACAAAGAATTTAAACAAATTTACAAGAATAAAACAACCCCATCAAAAAGTCGGCAAAGAATATGAACATACACTTCTCTAAAGAAGACATTTATGCAGCCAACAAACATACGAAAAAATGCTCATCATCACTGGTCATCAGAGAAATGCAAATCAAAACCACAGTGAGATACCATCTCACGCCAGTTAGGCAATCATCAAAAAGTCAGGAAAAAAAAGATGCTGGAGAGGATGTGGAGAAATAGGGATGCTTTTACACTGTTGGTGGGAGTGTAAATTAGTTCAACCATTGTGGAAGACAGTGTGGAAATTCCTCAAGGATCTAGAACTAGAAATACCATTTGACCCAGCAATCCCATTACTGGGTATACACCCAAACGATTATAAATCATGCTAGTATACAGACACATGCACACGTATGTTTATTGTGGCACAGTTCACAATAGCAAAGACTTGTAACCAACCCAAATGTCCATCAATGATAGACTGGATAAAGAAAATGTGGCACATATACACCATGGAATACTATGCAGCCATAAAAAAGGATGAGTTCATGTCCTTTGCAGGGACATTGATGAAGCAGAAAACCATCATTCTCAGCAAACTATCGCAAGGACAGAAAACCAAACACCACATGTTTTCACTCGTAAGTGGGAGTTGAACAATGAGAACACATGGACACGTGGAGGGGAACATCACACACTGGGCCAGTCAGGGGGTGGGGGGCTGTGGGAGGGATAGCATTAGCAGAAATACCTAATGTAAGTCATGGGTTGATGGTTGCAGCAAACCACCATGGCATGTCTATACCTATGTAACAAAACTGCACGTTGTGTCTGCTTGGTCCAGAGCTGAGTTCAAGTCCTGGAATCCCTTGTTAACTTTCTGTCTCGTTGATCTGTCTAATGTTGACAATGGGGTGTTAAAGTTTCCCATTATTATTGTGTGGGAGTCTAAGTCTCTTTGTAGTTCTCTAAGAACTTACTTTATGAATCTGGGTGCTCCTGTATTGGGTGCATATATATTTAGGATAGTTAGCTCTTGTTGTTGAATTGATCCCTTTACCATTATGTAATGAACTTCTTTGTCTCTTTTGATCTTTGTTGTTTTAAAGTCTGTTTTTTTAGAGACTAGGATTGCAACCCCTGCTTTTTTTTTTTTTTTTTTTTTTGCTTTCCATTTACTTGGTAGATCTTCCCTCCATCCCTTTATTTTGAGCCTGTGTGTATCTTTGCACATGAGATGGGTCTCCTGAATACAGCACACTGATGGGTCTTGACTCTTTATCCAATTTGCCAGTCTGTGTCTTTCAATTGGGGCATTTAGCCCATTTACATTTAAGGTTGATATTGTTATGTGTGTGAATTTGGTCCTGTCATTATGATGCTAGCTGGTTGTTTTGCCTGTTAGTTGATGCAGTTTCTTCATTGCATCTATGGTCTTTACAATTTGGCATGTTTTTGCAGTGGCTGGTACCGGTTGTTCCTTTCCATGTTTAGTGCTTCCTTCAGGAGCTCTTGTAAGGCAGGCCTGGTGGTGATGAAATCTCTCAGCATTTGCTTGTCTGTAACGGATTTTATTTCTCCTTCACTTATGAAGCTTAGTTTGGCTGGATATGAAATTCTAGGTTGAAAATTCTTTCCTTTAAGAATGTTGAATATTGGCCCCCACTCTCTTCTGGCTTGCAGGGTTTCTGCAGAGTGATCTGCTGTTAGTCTGATGGGCTTCCCTTTGTGGGTAACTCGACCTTTCTCTCTGGCTGCCCTTAACATTTTTTTCCTTCATTTCAACCTTGGTGAATCTGATGATTATGTGTCTTGGGGTTGCTCTTCTTGAGGAGAACGTTTGTGGTGTTCTCTGTATATCCTGAATTTGAATGTTGGTCTGTCTTGCTAGGTTGGGAAAGTTCTAGATAATATCTTGAAGAGTGTTTTCTAACTGGTTCCATTCTCCTCATCACTTCCAGGTACACCAATCAAATGTAGATTTGGTCTCTTCACATAGTCCCATATTTTTTGGATGCTTTGCTCATTGCTTTTCATTCTTTTTTCTCCAACCTTGTCTTCTCTCTTTATTTCATTAAGTTGATCTTCAATTACTGATATCCTTTTTTCCGCTTGATCGAATCAGCTTTTGAAGCTTGTACATGCTTCACGAAGTTCTCATGCTGTGTTTTTCAGCCCCATCAGGTCATTTGTGTTATTCTCTACACTGGTTATTCTAGTTAGCCATTCCTCTAACCTTTTTTCAAGGTTTTAGCTTCCTTGCCATGGGTTAGAACATGCTCCTTTAGCTTGGAGAAGTTTGTTATTACCCACCTTCTGAAGCCTACTTCTGTCAACTCATCAAACTCATTCTCCGTCCAGTTTTGTTCCCTTGCTGGAGAGGAGTTGTGATCCTTTGGAGGAGAAGAGGCATTCTGTTTTTTGGAATTTTCAGCCATTTTGTGCTGGTTTCTCCCCATCTTTGTGGATTTATCTACCTTTGGTGTTTGATGTTGGTGACCTACGGATGGAGTTTTGTTGTGGATGTCCTTTGTGTTGATGTTGATTTTATTCATTTTTGTTTGTTAGTTTTCTTTCTTTTTTCTTTTTTTTAGGTATTGATGGGACGTATCTCAAAATAATAAGAGCTATCTATGACAAACCCACAGCCAATATCATACTGAATGGGCAAAAACTGGAAGCATTCCCTTTGAAAATGGGCACAAGACCGGGATGCCCTCTCTCACCACTCCTATTCAACATAGTGTTGGAAGTTCTGGCCAGGGTAATCAGGCAGGAGAAGGAAATAAAGGGTATTCAATTAGGAGAAGAGGAAGTCAAATTGTCCCTGTTTGCAGATGACATGATTGTATATCTAGAAAACCCCATTGTCTCAGCCCAAAATCTCCTTAAGCTGATAAGCAACTTCAGCAAAGTCTCAGGATACAAAATCAATGTGCAAAAATCACAAGCATTCTTATACACTAATAATAGGCAGACAGCCAAATCATGAGTGAACTCCTATTCACAATTGCTTCAAAGAGAATAAAATACTTAGGAATCCAACTTACAAAGGATGTGAAGGACCTCTTGAAGGAGAACTACAAACCACTGCTCAATGAAATAAAAGAGGACACAAACAAATGGAAGAACATTCCATGCTCATGGGCAGGAAGAATCAATATCTTGAAAATGGCCATACTGCCCAAGGTAATTTATAGATTCAATGCGATCCCCATCAAGCTACCAATGACTTTCTTCACAGAATTGGAGAAAACTACTTTAAATTTCATATGGAACCAAAAAAGAGCCCGCATCGCCAAGTCAATCCTAAGCCAAAAGAACAAAGATGGAGGCATCACGCTACCTAACTTCAAACTATACTACAAGACTACAGTTTTCTTTCTAACAGGCCCCTCAGCAGCAGGTCTGTTGGAGTTTGCTGGAGGTCCACTCCAGACCCTGTTTGCCTCAGTATCACCAATGGAGGCTGTAGAACAGCAAATATTGCTGCCTGATCCTTCCTCTGGAAGCTTTGTCCTAGAGGGGCACCTTCCAGATGCCAGCCAGAGCTCTCCTGTATGGGGTGTCTGTCAGTCCCTACTGGGAGGTATCTCTAAGTCAGGGTATACGGGGTTCAGGCACCCACTTGAGGAGGCAGTCTGTCCATTATCAGAGCTTGAACACTATGCTGGGAGAAACATTGCTCTCTTCAGAGCTGTCAGGCTGGGATGTTTAAGTCTTCAGAAGCTGTGCCCACAGAGCACCTTCCCCCAGGTGCTCTGTCCCAGGGAGATGAGGGTTTTGTCTACAAGTCCCTGATTGGGGCTGCTGCCTTTTGTTCAGATATGCCCTTCCCACAGAGGTGGACTCTAGAGGCAGTTGGCCTTGCTGAGCTGTGGTGGGCTCTTCCCTGCTTGAACTTCCTGGCAGCTTTCTTTACACTGCAAGCATAAAACCGCCTACTCAAGCCTCAGCAGTGGTGGACGCCCCTCCCGTCTCCAAGCTCCAGCATCCCAGGTTGATTTCAGACTGCTGCACTAGCAGCAAGAATTTCAAGCCGGGCACGGTGGCTCACACCTGTAATCTCAGCACTTTGGGAGGCTGAGGCGGACAGATCACAAGGTCAGGAGATCCAGACCATCCTGGCTAACACGGTGAAACCCCGTCTCTACTAAAAATACAAAAAATTAGCCAGGCATGATGGCAGGCGCCTGTAGTCCCAGCTAATCGGGAGGCTGAGGCAGGAGAATGGCGTGAACCCAGGAGGTGGAGCTTGCAGTGAGCCAAGATCGCGCCACTGCACTCCAGCCTGGGCGACAGAGCGAGACTCCATCTCAAAAAAAAAAAAAAAAAAAAAAAAAGAATTTCAAGCCAATGGATCTTAGCTTGCTGGGGTTCATGGGCATGGGACCCATTGAGCCAGGCACCAGAGGGAATCTCCTGGGATGCAGACCATTTTAAAATGTTTCTTGGCCACTTGTATGTCTTATGAGAAGGATCTTTTCATGTCTTTGCCCAGTTTTTAATGAGGTTGTTTGTTTTTTGATTGTTCATTTGTTTAAGTTGCTTATAGATTCTGGATATTGAACCTTCATTGGGTGTATAGTTTACAAATATTTTCTCCCAATAGGTAGGTCGTCTGTTTATTCTGTTGATAGGTTCTTGCTGTGCAGAAGCTGTTTAGTTTAATTCAGTCCCACTTGTCAATTTTTGTTTTTGTCGAAATTGCTTTTGAGGACTTAGTCATAAATTCTTTCCCAAAGCCAATGTCCAGAGTGGTGTTGCCTAGGTTTTCTTTCAGGATTCCTATAATCTCAGGTCTTATATTTCAATCTTTAATCTAAAGTTAATTTTTGTATATGATGAAAGATAGGGGTCCAGTTTCATTCTTCTGCATATGGATAGCCACTTATCCCAGCACAATTTATTGAATAGGGAGTCCTTTCCCCATTGTTTATTTTTGTTCACTTTGTCAAAGATCAGATTTGGTGCGCAGCCTTATTTCTACGTTCTGTATTCTGTTCCATTGGTTTATGGGTCTGTTTTTGTACCAGTACCATGCTGTTTTGGTTGCTATAGCCTTATAGTACAGTTTGAAGCCAGGTCATGTGATGCCTCCAGCTTTCTTTTTGTTTAGGATTGCTTTGGGTAGTCAATCTCTTTTTTGTTTCCATTTGAATTTTTGAATAGTTTTTTTTTCTAGTTCTGTGAAAAATGACATTGGTAGTTTGATAGGAATAGCATTGAATCTGTAGATTGCTTTAGGCAGTATGGCTATTTTAATGATATTGATTCTTCCAATCAATGAGCATGGAATGGTTTTCCATTTGTTTGTATCTATAATTTATTTCATCGGTGTTTTATAGCTGTCCTAGAGATCTTTCTCCTCCATGGTTAGCTGTATTCACTGGTATTTTAATTTTTTTTGTGGCTACTGTAAATGAGATTACCTTCTTGATTTGTCTCTCAGCTTGAATGATATTTGTGTATAGAAATGCTACTTATTTTTGTATATTAATTTAGTCTTCTGAAATTTTACTGAAGTCATCTATCAGTTCCACGAATATTTTGACAGAGTCTTTAGGGTTTTCTAGGTATAGAATTATATCATCCATGAAGGGAAATAGTTTGACACCTTCTTTTCCAAGCTGGATGTCTTTTATATCTTTCTCTTGTCTGATTGATATGGCTAGGACTATAATGAATGGGAGAGGTAAGAGTGGGCATCTGTGTCTTATTCCAGTTGTCAAGGGGAATGCTTCCAGTTTTTGTCCTTTCAGTATAATGTTGGCTGTGGGTTTGTCATAGGTGGCTCTTATTATTTTGAGGTATGTTCCTTTGGTGCCTAGTTATTGAGGGTTTTTAACATCATGAGTAGATGTTGAATTTTATTGAAAACTTTTTCTGTGTTTATTGAGATGATCATATGGTTTTTGTTTTTAATTCTGTTTATCTGGTGAATTATGTTTATTGATTTGCATATGTTGAACCAACCTTCCATCCCAGGAATGAAGCCTACTTGATCATGGTGAATTAACTTATTGATGTGCTGTTGGATTTGGTTTGCTAGTATGTTGTTGAGGATATTTGAGTCAAAGTTCATCAGGGATACTTGTCTGTAGTTTTTTGTTGTTGTTGTTGTGCCTTTGCCAGATTTTGGGATCAGAATGATGCTGGCTTTGTAGAATGAGTTATGGGGGATTCCTCCCTCCTCTATGTTTTGGAACCATTTCAGTAGAATTTGTATCCACCGTGATTTGTATGCCTGGCAGAATTTGGATGTAAATCCATCAGGTCCAGGGCATGTTTTTTTTTTTTTTTTTTTTTGGTTGGTAGGTTTTTATTTTGATTACTAACTCAATTTCAGAACTCGCTATTGGTCTGTTCAGAGTTTCAATTTCTTCCTGATTCAATCTTGGGAGAGTGTGTGTTTCCAGGAATTTATCAGTTTTCTCTAGATTTTCTAGTTTGTGTGCATAGAGGTTTTTCATAATAGCCTCTAATTATCTTTTATATTTTTATGGGTTGGTTGTAATTTTACCTTTGTTGTTTCTGATTTTGCTTATTTGGACCTTCTCTCTTTTTTCCTTTGCTAATCTAGCTAGCAGGCTATTGATCTTGTTTATCCTTTCAAAGAAACAGACTTTTGGTTTTGTTGATTCTTCATATGGATTTTTACATCTCAATTTCCTTCAGTTCGTCTCTGGTTTTACTTATTTTCTGCTAGCTTTGGCGGTAATTTGTTATTGTTTTTCTAGTTCCTCTGGGTATGATGTTAGATCATTAATTTGAGTTCTTTCTAACTTTTTGAGGTAGGTGTCTTCTATGTAATTATGTGGTTTTATGAGATCTTCTTGATATTAATTTCCATTTGTATTTCATTGTATTCCAAGAGTATGATTTTATTTTTTGAAGTTATTGAGACTTGCTTTATGGCCAAGCATGTGGTCAATCTTGGAGTATGTTCTGAGTGCATATGAGAAGAATGTATATTCTGAGGTTGATGGGTGGAATATTCTGTAGATGCCTATGAGGTCCAACTGATCAAATGTTGAGTTCAAGTCCAGGATTTCTTTGTTAGTTTTCTGCCTTGATGATCTGTCTAGTGGTGTCAGTGGGGTGTTGAAGTTCCACACTATTATTGTGTGGCTAAGTCTTTTGTAGGTTTAGAAGTACTTGTTTTATGAATTTGGGTGCTCTAATGTTGGGTGTGTACATATTTAGGATATTTTAGTCTTCTTGTTGAATTGAACCCTTTATCAATACTGTTGTTGGTTTAAATTCTGTTTTATCTGACATAAGAATCATGACCCCTGCTCTTTTTTGGTTTCCATTTGTCTGATAGATCTTTCTCTAATCCTTTATGGGTGTCATTACATTTATATGTGAGATGGGTCTCTTAAGACAGCAATGGATTTCTCTCATTTTTTAATCCACTTACCACTCTGGGCCTTTTAGATGGGGCATTTAGGCCATTTGCATTCAAGATTAATATTGATATAGGAGGTTTTGATCATATCATGAAGTTTTTAGCTGGTTGTTTTGTAGTTTGTATTGTGTGGTTGCTTTATAGGGTCTGTGGGCTATGTACTCAAGTGTGTCTTTGTCGTAGTAGGTATCATTCTTTTGTTTCCATGTTTAGAAATCCCTTAAGGATCTCTTTTAAGACTGGTCTAGTGGTAAAAAAATTTCCCTTAGCACTTACTTGTCTGGAAAATATTTTAATTTTAATTTTAAGTTCTGAGGTACATGTACAGGATGTGTAGGTTTGTTACATAGGTAAACATGTGCCATGGTGTTTTGCTGCACCTATCAACCCATCACCTAGGTATTAAGCCTAGCATGCATTAGCTATTTTTCCTAATACTCTCCCTCCCCCAACCCCACCCCCCAACAGGCCCCAGTGTGTGTTGTTCCCCTCTCTGTGTCCACGTGTTCTCATTGTTCAGCTCCCACTTATAAGTGAGAACATGAAGTGTTTAGTTTTCTGTTCCTGAATTAGTTTGCTGACAGTAATGGCTTCCAGCTCCATCCATGTCCCTGCAGAGGACATGATCTCATTCCTTTTGATGGCTGCATATTATTCCATGGTGTACATTACCACATTTTCTTTATCCAGTCTATCATTGATGTGCATTTAGGTTGATTCCATGTATTTGCTATTGTGAATAGTGCTGCAATGAACAATTGTGTGCATATATCTTTGTAATAGAATGATTTATATTCCTTTGGGTATATACCCAGTAATAAGACTGCTGGGTCAAATGGTATTTCTGGTTCTAGATCTTTGAGAAATCACCACACCATCTTCCACAATGGTTGAATTAATTTACATTCCCACAAATGGCATAAAAGTGTTCTTATTTCTCTGCAACCTCACCAGCATCTGTTGTTTCTTGACTTTTTAATGATCACCATTCTGAGTGGCATGGGATGGTATCTCATTGTGGTTTTGATTTGCATTTCTCTAATGATCAGTGATGTTGAGCTTTTTTTCATATGTTTGTTGGCCACATGAATGTCTTCTTTTGAGAAATGTCTGTTCAGGTCCTTTGCCTACTTTTAATGGGGTTGCTTTTTTAAAAAAATTTGTTTAAGTTCCTTGTAGATTCTGGATACTAGACCTTTGTCAAATGGATAGATTGCAAAAATTTTCTCCGCTCTGTATGTTCCCTGTTCACTCTGATGATAGTTGTTTTTCTGTTGTTGTTTTGTTTTGTTTTGTTTTTGCTGTGCAGAATCTCTTTAGTTTAATTATGAAACTGCCTTTGCAACATTATGATGGAGACAGTGAAATAGATCTAACTTAATCAACTCCATGTTGCTTCTAACCTCCAAGCTGTCCTTGTTCATTCATGGGTATAGGCTGAATTAACTTTGGGAGAAGCTTACTTCATAGTTTATAGTTTAATATGAAGACAATAACAGCCCTTTCCCAAAGCAGACCTCCTTCATGCCTGGGAATTAGATTGCCTTTGTAGGACTAACATTAGCCACAAGATTAGAAATTATGGTTTGAAAGTCATGCGGCTGGAGGCTACAAGTTTCTGACCCTTCCTAAACTGCTCCTAAGATCAGTGCTTGAAATATTTTGCAGACCCTGCACTTGATGGATCAGCTGGCACTACCCAGGTTGATAAGTTGTCTCATCTAATCATCTAATCTTGTGGCCCCCACCCAGGTACTGACTCAGTACAGGAAGATAGCTTCGACTCCCTGTGATTTCATTTCTGACCAATCAATGCTTCTGGCTCACTGGCTTCCCTCAAACCACCAAGTTGTCCTTAAAAACTCTCCTCCCTGAATGCTCGGAGACACTGATTTGAGTAATAAAACTCTGGTGTCCCGCACAGCCGGCTCTGCGTGAATTACCCTTTCCCTATTGCAGTTCCCCTGTCTTGAGAAATCAGCTATGTCTAGTCGGTGGGAAAGGTGAACCCATTGGGTGGATATAATTAGATACAATTTGTCAAATTTTGTTTTTGTTGCAATTACTTTTGGTGATTTCATCATGAAATCTTTGCCTATGCCAATGTCCTGAATGGTATTGCCTAGATTCCCTTCTAGGGTTTTTATAGTTTGGGGTTTTACATTTAAGTCTTTAATCCATCTTGAGTTAACTTGAAGCTTAGGTTGGTGGGATATGAAATTCTTGGTTGGAATTTCTTTTCTTTAAGAATGTTGAAAATAGGCCCAGAATCTCTCTTGGCTTTTAAGGCTTCTGCTGAGAAGTCTGTTGTTAGCCTGATGGGGTTCCCTTTGCAAGTGACCTGTCTCTTCTCTAGCCATCTTTAAGATTTTTTCTTTAGCATTGACTTTGGATAGTCTGGTGACTGCATGCCTTGGTGATGTTTCTTTTGTATAGAATCTTCCAGGTGTTCTTTGGATTTCTTCTATCTGGATGTCTATCTCTAGCACGATTAGGGAAATTTTCTTGAATTATTCCCTCAAATATGTTTTCCAGGCTGTTTACTTTTTCTTCCCTCTCAGGAATGCCAATAATTTGTAAGTTACATCACTTTAGATAATCCCATATTCCTTGAAGACTTTGTTCTTGTATTTATTTTATTTTTGTCTGGGTTAGTTTGAAAGACCATCTTCAAGCTCTGAAATTTTTTATTCTGCTTGGTTCAATCTGTTGATAAAGATTTCAGTTATATTCTGAAGTTCCTTAACTGAGTTTTTCAATTTCAGAAGCTCTGATTGATTTCTTTTTAAAATGTTTATCTCTTCCTTCATTTCCTGGATTGATTTAGAAGTGTCTTCGTGTTGATTTTCAACCTTGTCTTGGGTCTCAGTGAGCTTCCTTACAATCCATTCTTTGACTTCTTTATCTGTCATTTCTGAGTTTCCACTTTGGTTAGGGACCATTTCTGGAGAGCTAGTGTGATCCTTTGATCATGTCACTACATTCAGATTTTTTATGGTGCCAGAATTCTTGCACTGTTTCTGTCTCATCTGGAGACACTGGCACTTCTAATTTTTTAATTATTTTCATGCAGGTAGGATTTCTTCTTATTTTTTCCCTGTAATATTATTGTTTTTCTTTTCCTTTCCCTTCCCTGCAGGGGGTACAACTGTAGAGAATGCTGGGTAGGATATTTTGGCTTCACTTTCATAGCCCTATGCACTTTTGGGGGGCAGGTTTTATATTGGGCTGTGTAGTTTGACCTATAAGGTAGTTGATGGTACTTACAGGTAAGAGCTGGCTGTGGCCAATGCAGTGGGGTATGTACTTGATCCTTGTTCACTGGCACAGGCTCTCTGTTGCCTCAGGCAATGGGTTGACTCATGGAATGCACAGTGGTCTGAGCTCCCTGCTCAGGCCGGGGACAGGGAAGCCCAATGGGTGGGGCCAGACCAGGCAGGTCCACTTACAGGTTCTCTGATGGCAGGCATAAGCACTGAGGGTGAATCTAGTGGGTGGCCACCAGACACCCAGAGGTGTGCCTACGTATGGAGCTGAGAAACCTCCTTAGCCCCAGGTTCTTTGCACAGGGATGGTGGGTAGCTCATGCTCCTATTCCAGAGGAATGGGTGCTCCAGATACCTGGAGATCTACCTGAGTGTGGAGCAGAGGGACCCCTGCACCAATATTTCTGCAAAGGAGGGGTGGGGGTGACTCAGGCTGCTAAACCAGGAATGCAGGTGCTCTAAATGCCTGGAGCTCTGCCTGGGTGTGTAGCAGAGAGGGCCCTTCTGTACCAGGTTCTCTGCACAGGAAGTGTGTGGTGACTCAGGCTGCTGATCCAAGCAAGCTGGTTCTCTGAATGCCTGGAGTTCTGCCTGGACATGGAGTGCAGGGGGCCTTGCTATACCAGGATCTATGCCCATGAAGGGTCAGGAAGCTCAGGCTGTTGGTCCAGGCAAGTGGGTGGTCCAAATGTCTGGATTTCTGCTTAGGGGTATACCAGAGAGTGCCCTTGAGTGATACACCATCTCAAGGGGGAAAGCTGGAGCACCCAGCAATGGCACACACAGACTGGTTTCCAGTCATCAAGCTGGCCTTGGCTGCAAGTGTCACTGTCCAGGAGAAACTGCAGCTGTAGCAGCTCTCCTCCTGCCTGAGGCTTGCAATGGAGGAGAGCAGAATTCCAGTGCCTACTTCTGAAACCCTTTCCACAGTTCTGGCTGTGGATGTCCTTATCCCAGTCCAGGGCAGGCACTCTAGAGGTCTGGTCTGAGACGGCAATGCCTGTGTGGTCATGCTGCCAGGTTGCCACAGAATGGCTGACTTTGTATGTGCCCAGATTAAAAATGATATCCTGCTCTCAGTCCCACATCTGGGAAAATGCCTGCAACTTTTCCTGGTGTCTTTCCCTTGCAGAGTCTCTAAGCCTCTCCTCAACTTACCTCCAGGTCTTGGGAGAAACAAAGTGTTCTCCCTTGGTCTTGGTTGCTCAGATTCCCAGTGGAAAGGTAAGTCACAGAGGGAGGCTCTCTGCTTCTCTCACATGCTGGAGCTTCACTCACTTAATAGCTAAATGCTGTCACGGGGGCTGTTTGCCAGTGTTCTCCACAGGACCAGGGATATCTTTCATGATTCTAGTGGATTCCCATTTTCCTCCTTGAATTAAACTGCACAGAGTTTATATTTATGCACTGTCTTGCTACTTCCGAGTGGCTGAGGCATGCTAAAAGCCCCTAATCCACCATCTTGGAAAATGAAACTGTATTGCTACTGAAGACGTGGGATGTCCAATATGGCATTGCAAATAAGCATATATCTATAGACCAACATTTATGTATATAATACTGTGTTAAATACTACAGGGAAAATATTAAAAAATAAGCAAAGATAGACATTGAAGAAATATTTACAAGCATGCTGAGTGTTATCATGGAGAAGTACAGGTGCAATGGAAATGTTAAAGTGAGGGATCTTGTCAACTCTGCAAATCAGAGGAAACGCTCTGGAGGAATTGTCTACTTAAATGAGACTTAATAGATGAGAATGTTAACCAGGTGAGGAAGTACTAGCATTCTAGGGAGAGAGGAAGCATGTATGGGGCCCTGGAGATGAGAGAGAAAATGGCATATTCTAGGAACCTTAAAAAGCGCAGTATGGCTGAAGAGTAGGAAACCATTAGGAGTTTGGCTGGAAGTAAGATTGGAGAGTAAGTTAGAAGTCACATTGTGAGGGACAATGGGAAACTATAAAAGGTTTTAAGAACAGAAAATGACCGGTGAGAAGTGCATTAAAAGATGTGGTGTAATTGGGCACAGTGTACACTGCTCAGGTAACAGGTGCACCAAAATCTCAGACACCCCCACTATAGAACTTCTCCATGTAACCAAAAACCACCTGTTCCCCCAAAACTATTGAAATACAATTTTTTTTTTTTTAAAGAGATGGTGGCTGGGCGTGGTGGCTCACGCCTGTAATCCCAGCACTTTGGGAGGCCGAGGCGGGCGGATCACAGGGTCAGGAGATCGAGACCATCCTGGCTGACATGGTGAAAACCCGTCTCTACTAAAAAATACAAAAGATTAGCGGGGCATGGTGGCGGGTGCCTGTAGTCCCAGCTACTCGGGAGGCTGAGGCAGGAGAATGGTGTGAGCCTGGGAGGCAGAGCTTGCAGTGAGCCGAGTTCGCACCACTGCATTCCAGCCTGGGTGACAGAGCGAGAGTCTGTCTCAAAAAAAAAAAAAAAAAAAAAAAAAAAAAAAGAGATGGTATACTCTTGGGTGAGGCCATCTTGGAAGACAGTAATAGGTAGTTGGTTATTTTTTGTTAGTCAGTTTAGTACCCATACTTGGCTCTTGGACTGTGCTTATTAGACCTTGATATGGAGTAGTCCATTTGTGTTCCATGAAACTTTTGAAACCAGCTGATTGTCAAATGTCAAGCATCTCAAGAGATTCTGCCTGGGTTGGCTTTATGGTTCCATTTATATGTATGTTCTATATAATATATAAATTCTATAATTTATATAATAATATAATATATAAATTCTATAATTTATATAATAATATAATATAATAACATATACATTCTATAATTCTAGTACCTACTGCTGACATGTAATATTATATAGATATAACTGCTGATCTGTAATATATATAATTCCTGACATGTATTATATATTACAATGTAATATATATTAGATGTAACATATATTACATCTCATAATGTATACCTCTCATACATTATATATATATTACAAGGTCTAATTAGAGAAGTCTAACTAGAGAAATCACATCAAGGTCTAATTAGAGAAGTATGTACATCTCAGCAGTTATATATATATATAATATTACATCTAGAATTATATTACAATAGAATATACATATATATGTGTGCATATATATAATATTACATCTCAGCAGTAGGCATTAAAATTCTGCTCTCCCCCATTGCAAGCCTGGGGTAGGAGGAGAGCTGGCATCCAGGACCAGCTTGGTGACCTGCATCCAGTCTGTGTGCCATTGCTGGGTGCTGCAGCCTGCTCCCCTGAGAAAGTGGTGCAGCAGGGTGCTCTCTCTGCCGTACCCCCAGGGTGCTCTCTCTGCCATACCCCCAAGCAGAAATCCAGGCATTTGGAGCACCCACTTGCCTAGACCAGCAGCCTGAGCTGCCCCACCCATTATGGACATAGGTCCTGGTACAACAGGGCCCTCTCCACTCCACACCCAGACTGAGGCCGATCTCCAGTTTATATATGTATTAGGAGATGTTGGTAATGATTTGGAGTGGTTATTAGCCAATCAGGAGACAAATTGATAATTTTTTTCTCCCAAAATAGAAGAAAGACAGGAGAGAAATGAAGAGAGAGGAAAGGTAGAGCTATATAACCCAGTAGCAAGATGGACTATGAACAGTACTCAGTAGCTTTCTCATATGCTGTCAATGGATGGAGTGTGGTTCAGGAGGTTTGGATTCAGTTATATTATTTTCATATGACTTACCATTTTAACTTCCTTAGGGAATCACTTAAATTAGTCATGCCTTAGTTCTTTTCATGTAAAGACATTCTGGCTCAGAACCAACCATTGTGCAGTTTCACTTGATGAAATCATGTCATTTAGAGCATCTTGAACTCCAGAGAGAGGTATCTCATGCGAGAAGTTTTTATTACAATTGTTATCTTCTGCTTGTTTGCACCTCAGTTCCTTAGAAAAGAAACACATTTTGAAGAAATTCCTTTAATAAGGACTTGGCAATGTAGGCAGACTGCCTTGTGATATTCACACTTTTCTAACTGCAATATTGAGTGTGTGTCTTTGATGGGTCTCTTATGGCAGGTGTACTGACTTTTTTTCCCCTCCTGGTGTCGGTGTAATATTTTTACAGAACGGCAGAGGGTATATGAATAGATCCTGATGTAAGGTGTGAACAAGGAAGAAAGATGTTTGCTCTGGCTTTGGCTTATCTTCTAGCAAAGTTGCCTAGAATGTGGTTGTAAATGACTGTCATGTAGTAAACTCTGCCTACCTTCCCTGTCTCTTCTCTAAGCTAAAATAACTAGCACTGTTTTGTTCATTTATGCAAACTTGTGCTTTTTTTTTTTAATATGTAGAGAGATGATGCTAAGTCATCAGCAGCATTGTGGCTCTGACTTGTTTTTACTAGTAGATGGGTTGCATCTGAGCTTTTCACTTGCCTTACTTCACTGAGGACCAATATAGTGTCTCTGGGGGACAATGGTCAAGGTGAGGCTTTTCGTCTGTGGCTGTGATATAGAGTGAGTCTCATTGGCTTACACAGGATATAACTGCAATTTTGACCTCAGTGCTATGCTCAATTTAGTTGAGTGAGGTTGCTTATGGGGTACCAATGAATCCCAGAGGGCAGAACTCACTCTCAAAAATGTAACTTGTCTATTAGTCAGTGGACAAACATATAACTGAAGAGTATGCAGATGTTTCCCATTGAAATGAGAAAATAAATTTTAATAACTTTTTTTTGTATCTTTTAAGGAAGAGCCTGGAATTCTCCATTCAGTTGCCACCCATAGTGTGTCTCATTGTTTTCTGTTATTGTAGGTTTCTAGGTCAGATGCTGATCACGAAATTATTTGTCATAACCTTCTGTTTGAAACTGAAGCATTTTTTTTTAAAAAAAGTTTTGTCTCATAATGTCTAGAAACTGCCTTTACATTATAAAGTTGCTTGTATTTATCCACAGCCTGGAATAATCTATTGATGGTATTTTACTTCTAAACAGTAAGAAAGATATGCTGTAATCTGTTGGGAAGACTGTATTCTTTGTACTTATCTAGGTTAAAGGAAACAGTAGTAGCTTGACCTCTAGATATTTGGCTTCATATGCCTTGGCTGCTTGGTAGAAGTCATCCCATATTGAATATACATTGTTTCCAAAGGACATTTCTGCTTCTGGAGTAGCTCCAAACACACACTGCTATGCTTATAAAACAGGGCTGAGGGAAGTAGTTTGCTGGAACCAGTTTGCTCTTGCTAGTTAAGAGTCGATTGTGTACATTTCTTTTCAACACTGTGTTGAATGACATAACATTGGTAGATTGAAACAGGTCATGATGGGAGTATTCACACCACAGGAATAGGCAAAGGCTACCCATCAGGGGTCCCTCTCCCCTTGGAGAGTCAGTTGTTGAATACTTAACAACACACCACTGGTTGGAGGTTGTTATCCCAGCCATTGAGGCCTACCCCAGAGTAGACTTGACATATTCCATTTTATTCCTGGAATTGGGACTGACTCAGGCCTCCCCAGGTTTTGGGGGAACTATTCTAAAGGAATAAGCCAATTCAAATCCACACTTTTGAAACTGGGTGAGAAAGAGCCAAGTCATCTGAAGGATGAAGGTCCAGAATGGGGCTGAATTACCATTCAGTTTATCGCATTCAGAGCAATGTTGTCTAACAGACTGATTCCAGGTGCTAGCCATTTACTGTAAATAAGAAATATGAACTATTTTGTCACTGGAACAATTTACCAAACAAGTACCTTCCTGTCAATTCATGGTAAAGTAATGAGAGAAACAAGAGAAGTCCTCAACTTGAGTATACTTTGTAAGTGGTTTAGCTTCCTGGCAGGCACTGATGTATTTCATGTGTATCCATCTCATCCCTGCAGATTCTCTTAGCTTAATGATTGTCAAAACACTGTAAATAGTCGGTGATATTGAAGATGGCAATTTCCATAAACTATTTATTCTTTCTTTTTGACAAAAAATGACTTCCTATTTTTTTAAGAATGCCTCAAACACCTGGGTTTTGGTGCTTTCATTTTTAGAATGAACATTCCTCCTACTTGGCAGTTAATATTTTCGACTTTCAGAACACTTTTGGAATACGGCTTGACTTTAAAACTTTTACCATTAAAATATTTACAACGCATGTAATAGGTATAGGGATACTTTCATTACAAATCATTAAAAAAAATCTGAACACCTGAATGAAAACTTGGACAAAAGATATGAGCAAAGCTATCTACAGAAAAAAGGAAATACAAGTAGTCAATAAATATATGAAAAGATGATCTATCTAATTCATATTGAAAATGTAAATGCAAATGAAAACACCATATCAATGTTGGTTGAGAATATGAAGTAAATAAGCCATCTCATATACTATTGGTGGGAGTATACATTGGTATTAGGTTTATTGGAGAAAATAAGGCAATATTTTCAAAAGGTAAGATGCATTTAGTTTTGGGCCCACTGTCCTTACTTCCAGAATTTATCTTACAAAAATATTTGTGTATGAACATTACATATACATATACATACACATGGCTATTCATTATAAAATTGTTTTAATAGCATAAAAACTGAGAAGTATCCATCATTAGGGATGATCTAACTAATTAGTTAAATTAATATGGAAACACCAGGCAGTGGTGTACTTTGTATTCACTAGAAAGTATGAGGTAGATCTACTTACACTAGCATAGAAAGATGTTCACTAAATATAGATGGCACTTGGTGAAAAAAATATTGTCCAATAATATGTCTTGTATTACCTCACTTTCATTTAAAAATTATATATCACTCTTCACTATATATACTTCTGTAGAATTGAATATTTGAAAATAAGCAGGCATTACTCTTGTGTTTAAAATCTATTGGAAAATACTTTTGTTTTTATACTGTTCTGTAAGCTTGTTCTCCTCTATTAACAACATACTTTGAACTTATCCCTCCCTCACTCTTCCCAACTGACGTGCAACATCATACCCCATGGATAAGCCATCCTCCATCCATCCATGCATCCATCCACATATTCATCTATCCACATACCTGTGCACCAAATTATTTCTTACTTACTTATTTAAACAATTTCTTTTTCCAGTTATAGAAGCAATGCTTACCCTTGGCCAAAACAAAACAAAAAATGAACAAGCAAAAACAATAACAAAATGGTACAGTTAGAGAAGGGTACATAAAAAAATACAGCTTGGACTCATTCTCCAGAGGCAACCACTTTAAGAGTTTTTGTTCTAGTGGTTACTTTTTTGCCATTAAATAATGTACTTATTATAATAATGTAAGTATTTATATCAACATTATATTATAATATTAGTAATATGCTTATATCTCCATTTGTTGTCTTCTTTTTCTTCTTCTCTTCTCTGCTCTCTTCTCCTTTCCTTGTCTATCTGTGTCAGGCTCAGAAGAAAGCCATAATCAGGATATCTCTAACCCTGGCATAGTTCATGCCTTGGGATATTTGACCAAGATGGGAAGAACCAGAGAGGAAAATGGATATAATCATAGAGGGGTGGACCAGTAAAGAAATGTGGCCCCTCGTCTGTGCCAGTTCCTTACCTGAA
This sequence comes from Homo sapiens, assembly GCF_000001405.40. Lineage (NCBI taxonomy): Eukaryota > Metazoa > Chordata > Mammalia > Primates > Hominidae > Homo > Homo sapiens. The sequence continues at coordinate 104,625,757 of NC_000023.11, forward strand.
ACCAGAGAAGGCTAGATTGCAGTTGGTGTTTTAGCTGTGGATAAAACTTTAACCCAGAGTTCCTGGGACTCTTAATGGTATGACGAAATGGAGAAAAACATGGCTTTTGAGTCCAAAAGACTGGATTTTGAATCCCCACTCTACCACTTTCTAGCTGTATAATCTTCAGGCAACTTGTTTAACTCCTTTGGGCTCTAGCATCCTTATCTGTAAACTGACAGTATTTTACTCAATATTATACTGTGGAAGTTAGATGATGATAATAACTAGCATTTGCTTATTACTATGCATCAGATATGATTCTAAGTGCTAGATTGGGTCTCTGATTACAATGTATATCTCCTTCTCATGCTTACTATAATTATGATTAAATAATTTATTGTTTAATGTGTGTCTCTCCCAATGAATGTTAGTTTCATGAGGGCAAGGATCATGTCTGTCTTCCTCACAGTACTGTATTTTTAGTACCTGCTAAGTATATATATTGATTCTCAGTATTTATTGACTAAATTAAGAGATATCTGGGTTGTGACTGTCTCATGCGTGTGTGTGTGTGCGTGTGTGTGTGTGTGTGTTTGTGCGTGTCAGACTTTTATGACCCTGAGGCATAATTCGGTATTTGACTTCAAAGTGAGATGACCAGATGGTTTGTTTTTTATTTTACCAATGTCCTAACAGTCCTTTGGTAGCCCCAAATAAATATGAAATATAGAGTTGAAAATATTTGGGATTAATAATTCCTTATAAAAATAATTCTGCATTGATGGTCACCAAGTAGTAATACATGCCCAGAACTTGGCTGTTTTATTAAAGTTTATTTAAGGAATAGGGAAATTTGGTAGGAAATACAGATCAGTGTGCTCAATAAAAAATCCTGCCAACTTTTCTATCTGTAAAGTGTATCTTTAGGCTATAACTCATAAAAAAAAAAGTAATGTTTTAATTGCAGATGACATATCAGTTTCTACCAGTTTGTTGTTATATAGGTAATGCAATTGATTAAGCTCAATTGGACCAGATCATTCTTTTACTGAATCTTTGTTCCAATTGTAGTGTTTTGTAGATAACTTTTTTTTTTTTTTGAGACAGAGTCTCACTCTGTCTCCCAGGCTGGAGTGCAGTGGTACAATCTCAGTTCTGTAGCCTCTGCCTCCCAGGTTCAAGCAGTTCTCCTGCCTCAGCCTCCTGAGTAGCTGAGACTACAGGCACGCACCAACACACCCGGTTAATTTTTGTATTTTTAGTAGAGACGTGGTTTCACCATTTTGGCCAGGATGGTCTCCATCTCCTGACCTCATGATCCGCCCGCCTCGGCCTTCTAAAGTGCTGGGATTACAGGCATGAGCCACCAGGATATCTTTGCTCAACTGGGTTGGACAGTCGAGAACTGATTTTAATTTTATTGAGGGAAGCATTGGCTTGAATTTGTCTCTTTAAAACATCAATCTCATTGTTCAATTCCCACCTATGAGTAAGAACATGCAGTGTTTGGTTTTTTGTCCTTGCGATAGTTTGCTGAGAATGATGATTTCCACATGGACACAGGAAGGGTAATATCACACTCCGGGGCCTGTTGTGGGGTGGGGGGAGGGGGGAGGGAAAGCATTAGGAGATATACCTAATGTAAATGACGAGTTAATGGGTGCAGCACACCAACATGGCACATGTATACATATGTAACAAACCTGCACATTGTGCACATGTACCCTAAAACTTAAAGTATAATAATAATAAAATAAATCAATCTATGTTTCTATTTTAACACCAAATAATTATGTTAACAAAGACCACAGACAGCAGTTGCTTTTGCTTATCCTTAATCACTTCCCTAAGTATAAAGATTTTGGTAATTCAACTTTAAGGCTATCTATTCCTATTGTGAAAAAGGACCCCCTCCCCACATATTCCCATGTGTCAATGAGGGAACATAAGGCTGATGTGGTAAAGACTATGATGACCTGGTACATTTCAAGATGTTTTATGGTACTTAAAACCAAAGGGATCTGAAAAGGGAGCCTGGTGATAGAGGAGGTTTAAACCAAAAAGACTCTGGGTTGAACGTGACCAGTAATTGCTCAACCTGCCTGGTATGTCTAAAAGGAATAACACACTTGGTATATAATCTAGAACTGTGATTTTGATGTGTGAACATATCATTGAAAAGAAAAAAAAATCTATCAACTGATCTATTATGATGTTAAATTACTTATTTGACCAATTTTAAATAACGTTAAGATGAAATTTACATATACTTCAATGATTTAAAGGATAGAACTAAATAATTTTATATTTATTTACTTTTCATGATACATAATATTTTTACATATGTATGGGGTACATGTGATATTTTGTTACATGCATAGAATATGTAATGATCAAGTCAGGATATTTAGGGTATCCATCCCTCAAACATTCATCATTTCTCTGTGTTGGGAACATTTCAAGTTCTCCTTTCTGGCTATTTTGAAATATATAATATATTGTTGTTAATTATAGTCACCCTACTCTGCTATAGAATATTATAACTCATTTTTTCATCTAGCTATATATCTGTTCCCATTAACCAACCTCTCTCTGTTCCCCCTCCCCTAACACCCACCCTTCCTAGCCTCTGGTATCTATCATTCTACTCCCTACCTCAGTAAGATGAACTTTTTTAACTTCCACATATGAGTGAGGACATGCAATGTTTGTATTTCTGTGCCTGGCTTATTTAACTTAATGACCTCACATTCCATCCATGTTGCTGCAAATAACATTATTTTATTCTTTTTTTATGGCTGAATAGTATTCCATTGAGTATATATAACACTTTTTCTTTGGGAATAAAGCTGCAATAAATATGGAGGTCCAGGTATCTATTTAGTGTACTGATTCCTTTTCCTGTGGATAAACACCCAGTAGTGGATGGCTGGATTGTATGGTAGTTTTATTTTTAGATATTTGAGAAATCTCCATACTGTTTTCCACAGTGGCTGTAGTAATTTATGTTCCCACCAAGGGTATAAGAGTTCTGTTTTCTCTGCGTCCTCACCAGGAATTCTTTTTGTATGAATCTATACTACAGCAATCCAAATGGTTATGCATAAAAATATGTGCACATACAAGGATAGCCAATGCAGTATGCGTTGTGATGGTGAAAATCTGGTAACAGACTAAATACATTTTCATGGGTGGTGGTGGTACATTCATACTATGGAATACTATACAACCATTAAAGAGATGGAGATAGACGGGTATGGATAGAAATGGGTAGATCTACAAGATATATGAAAAACAGATATGATTCCACATATAATGGAAAAATCTATCTATGCATGCATAAGAATGTGTGTATATCTGTATGGAAATCTATAGAAAAAGGTTTGGAATTTTTAACATTACTATAACTCTTAGGAGGGGAGTGGTTAAAGTCTATGGTTGAAGGGTAAATTTCACTTTTGTCATTTTAATAATAACCATTCTGACTGGAGTAAGATGATATCTCATTGTGGTTTTGATTTGCATTTCCATGATGATTAATGGTGTTGAGCAGTTTTTTTCATATACCTGTTGGCTATTTGTATGTCTTCTTTTGAGAAATGTCTATTTAGAGCTTTTGCCTATTTTTAATGAGATTGTTTCTTTCTTTGTGAGGTTGAATTGTTTGAGCTCCTTGTGTATTCTGTATATTAGTCTCTTGTTAGGGAATAGTTTGTAAATATTTTCTCCCATTTGACGGGTTGTCCTTTCACTCTGTTTCTTGTTTCCTTTGCTGTCCAGAAGCTTTTTAGTTTATAATGGTTTCATTTGTCTATTTTTGTTTTTGTTGCTTATACTTTTGAGGTCTTAGCCATAAATTATTTTCCTAGGCCAATGTCTTGAAGTGTTTCCTCTGTTTTATTCCAGTAGTTTTATTGTTTGGGATTTTACATTTAAGTCTTTAATCCATTTTGAGTTGATCTTTATATATGGTGAGAGATAGGGATCCAGTTTCATTCTTCTGCATATGGTTATCCAATTTTCCCAGCACCATATATTGAAGAGTGTCCTTTCCCCAATGTGTGTTCTTAGAGCCTTTATTGACAATAAGTTGACTGTAAATATATGAATTTACTTCTGGGTTCTGTATTCTATTTCATTGGTCTATGTGTCTGTTTTTATACCAATAACGTGCTATTTTGGTTACTATAGTGTTGTAATATATTTTGAAATCAGGTAGTGTGATGCCTCAAGCCTTGTTCTTTTTTTTGTTTGTTTGTTTTTGAGATGGAATCTCGCTCTGTCACCCAGGCTGGAGTGCAGTGGTGTGATCTCGGCTCACTGCAACCTCCACCTCCCTGGTTCAAGCAATTCCCCTGCCTCAGCCTCCATAGTAGCTGGGATTACAGGTGCATGCCACCACACCTGGATAATTTTTTTTTTTTTTTGAGACGTAGTCTCACTCTGTCACCAGGGCTGGAGTACAGTGGCGCGATCTCGGCTCACTGCAATCTCCGCCTCCTGGGTTCAAGCGATTCTCCTGCCTCAGCCCCCTGAGTAGCTGAGATTACAGGCGCCCACCACTATGCCCAGCTAATTTTTTGTATTTTTAGTAGAGACGGACTTTCACCATGTTGGTCAAGCTGCTCTCGAACTCCTGACCTAATGATTAACCTGCCTCGGCCTCCCAAAGTGCTGGGATTATAGGTGTGGGCCACTGCGCCCGGCAGGCTGATTTTTTTGTATTTTTTTTTTTTTTCAGTAGAGATGGGGTTTCACCATGTTGGCCAGACTGGTCTCGAACTTCTGACCTCAGGCAATCCACCTGCCTTGGCCTCCCAAAGTACTGGGATTACAGGCCTGAGCCACTGTGCCTGGCCACTTTGTTCTTTTTATTTAAGATTGCTGTGGCTATTCAGGCCATTTTTTGGTTTCATGCAAATTGTAGGATTGTGTTTTCTATTTCAGTAAAAATGACATTGGTATTTTGATAGGCACTGCATCAAATCTGTAGATTGCTTTGGGTACTGTGGTCATTTTAACAATGTTAATTATTCCTATGCATGAGCATAGAATATTGTTTCATTTGTTTGTCTCATTCATTAGTGTTTTTTTTTTCAAGCTTCTTTTTTTTATTATACTTTAAGTTTTAGGGTACATGGGCACAACGTGCAGGTTAGTTACATATGTATACATGTGCCATGTTGGTGTGCTGGACCCAGTAACTCGTCATTTAACATTAGGTATATCTCCTAATGCTATCCTACCCCCCTCCCACACCCCACAACAGGCCCCAGTGTGTGATGTTCCCCTACCTGTGTCCATGTGTTCTCATTCTTCAATTCCCACCTATGAGTGAGAATATGCGGTGTTTGGTTTTTTGTCCTTGTGATAGTTTGCTGAGAATGATGGTTTCCAGTTTCATCCATGTCCCTAGAAAGAACATGAACTCATCCTTTTTTATGGCTGCATAGTATTCCATGGTGTATATGTGCCACATTTTCTTGATCCAGTCTATCATTGTTGGACATTTGGCTTTGTTCCCAGTCTTTCCTATTGTGAATAGTACCAAAATAAACATATGTGTGCATGTGTCTTTATAGAAGCATGATTTATAATCCTTTGGGTATATACCCAGTAATGGGATGGCTGGGTCAAATGATATTTCTAGTTCTAGATACCTGAGGAATCGCCACACTGACTTCCACAATGGTTGAACTAGTTTACAGTCCCACCAACAGTGTAAAAGTGTTCCTATTTCTCCACATCCTCTCCAGCACCTGTTGTTTCCTGACTTTTTAATGATCGCCATTCTAACTGGTGTGAGATGGTATCTCATTGTGGTTTTGATTTACATTTCTCTGATGGCCAGTGATGATGAGCATTTTTTCATGTGTCTTTTGGCTGTATAAATGTCTTCTTCTGCGAAGTGTCTGCTCATATCCTTTGCCCATTTGTTGATGGGGTTGTTTGTTTTTTTCTTGTAAATTTGTTTGAGTTCATTGTAGATTCTGGATATTCTGACCCTTTGTCAGATGAGTAGATTGCAAAAATTTTCTCCCATTCTGTAGGTTGCCTGTTCACTCTGATGGTAGTTTCTTTTGCTGTGCAGAAGCTCTTTAGTTTAATTAGATCCCATTTGTCAATTTTGGCTTTTGTTGCCATTGCTTTTGGTGTTTTAGACATGAAGTCCTTGCCCATGCCTATGTCCTGAATGGTATTGCCTAGGTTTTCTTCTAGGGTTTTTATGGTTTTAGGTCTAACATTTAAGTCTTTAATCCATCATGAATTAATTTTTGTATAAGGTGTAAGGAAGGGATCCAGTTTCAGCTTTCTACATATGGCTAGCCAGTTTTCCCAGCACCATTTATTAAATAGGGGATTGTTTCCCCATTTCTTGTTTTTGTCAGGTTTGTCAAAGATCAGATGGTTGTAGATATGTGGCATTATTTCTGAGGGCTCTGTTCTGTTCCATTGGTCTATATCTCTGTTTTGGTACCAGTACCATGCTGTTTTGCTTACCATAGCCTTGTAGTATAGTTTGAAGTCAGGTAGCTCGATGCCTCCAGCTTTGTTCTTTTGGCTTAGGATTGACTTGGCGATGCGGGCTCTTTTTTGGTTCCATATGAACTTTAAAGTAGTTTTTTCCAATTCTGCGAAGAAAGTCATTGGTAGCTTGATGGGGATGGCATTGAATCTATAAATTACCTTGGACAGTGTGGCCATTTTCACGATATTGATTCTTCCTACCCATGAGCATGGAATGTTCTTCCATTTATTTGTATCCTCTTTTATTTCCTTGAGCAGTGGTTTGTAGTTCTCCTTGAAGAGGTCCTTCACATCCCTTGTAAGTTGGATTCCTAGGTATTTTATTCTCTTTGAAGCAATTGTGAATGGGAGTTCACTCATGATTTGGCTCTCTGTTTGTCTGTTATTGGTGTATAAGAATGCTTGTGATTTTTGCACATTGATTTTGTATCCTGAGACTTTGCTGAAGTTGCCTATCAGCTTAAGGAGATTTTGGGCTGAGACGATGGGGTTTTCTAGATATACAATCATGTCATCTGCAAACAGGGAATTTGACTTCCTCTTTTCCTATTTGAATACCCTTTATTTCCTTCTCCTGCCTGATTGCCCTGGCCAGAACTTCCAACACTATGTTGAATAGGAGTGTTGAGAGAGGGCATCCCTGTCTTGTGCCCGTTTTCAAAGGGAATGCTTCCAGTTTTTGCCCATTCGGTATGATATTGGCTGTGGGTTTGTCATAGATAGTTCTTATTATTTTGAGATACGTCCCATCAATACCTAATTTATTGAGAGTTTTTAGCATGAAGGGTTGTTGAATTTTGTCAAAGGCCTTTTCTGCATCTAGTGAGATAATCGTATGGTTTTTGTCTTTGGTTCTGTTTATATGCTGGATTATGTTTATTGTTTTGCATATGTTGAACCAGCCTTGCATCCCAGGGATGAAGTCCACTTGATCATGGTGGATAAGCTTTTTGATATGCTGCTGGATTCGGTTTGCCAGTATTTTATTGAGGATTTTTGCATCGATGTTCATCAGGGATATTGGTCTAAAATTCTCTTTTTTTGTTGTCTCTCTGCCAGGCTTTGGTATCAGGATGATACTGGCCTCATAAAATGAGTTAGGGAGGATTCCCTCTTTTTCTATTGATTGGAATAGTTTCAGAAGGAATGGTACCAGCTCCTCCTTGTCCCTCTGGTAGAATTCAGCTGTGAATCCATCAGGTCCTGGACTTTTTTTGGTTGGTAAGCTGTTAATTATTGCCTCAATTTCAGAGCCTGTTATTTGTCTGTTCAGAGATTCAGCTTCTTCCTGGTTTAGTCTTGGGAGGGTATATGTGTCAAGGAATTTATCTATTTCTTCTAGATTTTCTAGTTTATTTGCATAGAGGTGTTTATAGTATTCTCTGATGGTAGCTTGTATTTCTGTGGGATCGGTGGTGATATCCCCTTTATCATTTTTTATTGCGTCTATTTGATTCTTCTCTCTTTTCTTCTTTATTAGTCTTGCTAGCGGTCTATCAATTGTGTTGATAGTTTCAAAAAACCAGCCCCTGGATTCATTGATTTTTTTGAAGGGTTTTTTTGTGTCTCTATTTCCTTCAGTTCTGCTCTGGTCTTAGTTATTTCTTGCCTTCTGCTAGCTTTTGAATGTGTTTGCTCTTGCTTTTCTAGTTCTTTTAATTGTGATGTTAGGGTGTCAATTTTGGGTCTTTCCTGCTTTCTCTTTTGGGCATTTAGTGCTATAAATTTCCCTCTACACACTGCTTTGAATGTGTCCCAGAGATTCTGGTATGTTGTGTCTTTGTTCTCGTTGGTTTCAAAGAACATCTTTATTACTGCCTTCATTTCGTTATGTAGCCAGTAGTCATTCAGGAGCAGGTTGTTCAGTTTCCATGTAGTTGAGCAGTTTTGAGTGAGTTTCTTAATCCTGAGTTCTAGTTTGATTGCACTGTGGTCTGAGAGACAGTTTGTTATAATTTCTGTTCTTTTACATTTGCTGAGGAGTGGTTTACTTCCAACTGTGTGGTCCATTTTGGAATAAGTGCGGTGTGGTGCTGAAAAGAATGTATATTCTGTTGATTTGGGGTGGAGAGTTCTGTAGATGTCTATTAGGTCCACTTGGTGCAGAGCTGAGTTCAATTCCTGGATATCCTTGTTAACTTTCTGTCTCTTTGATCTGTCTAATGTTGACAGTGGGGTATTAAAGTCTCCCATTATTATTGTGTGGGAATCTATGTCTCTTTGTAGGTCTCTAAGGACTTGTTTTATGAATCTGGGTGCTCCTGTGCTGGGTGCATATATATTTAGGATAGTTAGCTCTTCTTGTTGAATTGATCCCTTTACCATTATGGAATGGCCTTCTTTGTCTCTTTTGATCTTTGTTGGTTTAAAGTTTGTTTTATCAGAGCCTGGGATTGCAACCCCTGCCTTTTTTTGTTTTCCATTTGCTTGGTAGATATTCCTCCATCCCTTTATTTTGAGCCTATGTGTGTCTCTGCACATGAGATGGATTTCCTAAATACAGCCCACTGATGGGTCTTGACTCTATCCAATTTGCCAGTCTGTGTCTTTTAATTGGAGCATTCAGCCCATTTACATTTAAGGTTAATATTATTATTTGTGAATTTGATCCTGTCATTATGATGTTAGCTGGTTATTTTGCTTGTTAGTTGATGCAGTTCCTTCCTAGCCTTGATGGTCTTTACAATTTGGCATGTTTTTGCAGTGGCTGGTACTGACTGTTCCTTTCCATGTTTAGTGCTTTCTTCAGGAGCTCTTTTAGGGCAGGCCTGGTGGTGACAAAATCTCTCAGCATTTGCTTGTCTGTAAAGGATTTTATTTCTCCTTCACTTATGAAGCTTAATTTGGCTGGATATGAAATTCTGGGTTGAAAATTCTTTTCTTTAAGAATGTTGAATATTGGCCCCCACTCTCTTCTGGCTTATAGAGTTTCTGCTGAGAGATCCACTGTTAGTCTGATGGGCTTCCCTTTGTGGGCAACCCGACCTTTCTCTCTGGCTGCCCTTAACCTTTTTTCCTTCATTTCAACTTTGGTGAATCTGACAATTTTGTGTCTTGGAGTTGCTCTTCTCGAGGAGTATCTTTGTGGCGTTCTCTGTATTTCCTGAATCTGAACGTTGGCCTGCCTTGCTAGATTGGGGAAGTTCTCCTGGATAATATCCTGCAGAGTGTTTTCCAACTTGGTTCCATTCTCCCTGTCACTTTCAGGTACGCCAATCAGACGTAGATTTAATCTTTTCACATAGTCCCATGTTTCTTGGAGGCTTTGTTTGTTTCTTTTTATTCTTTTTTCTCTAAACTTCTCTTGTCACTTCATTTCATTCATTTGATCTTCCATCACTGATACCCTTTCTTCCAGTTGATCGCATCGGCTACTGAGGCTTGTGCATTTGTCATGTAGTTCTCGTTCCGTGGTTTTCAGCTCCATCAGCTCCTTTAAGGACTTCTCTGCATTGGTTATTCTAGTTAGCTGTTCATCTAAGTTTTTTTCAAGGTTTTTAACTTCTTTGCCATGGGTTCGAACTTCCTCCTTTAGCTCGGAGTAGTTTGATCGTCTGAAGCCTTCTTCTCTCAACTCGTCAAAGTCATTCTCCGTCCAGCTTTGTTCCATTGCTGGTGAGGAGCTGCATTCCTTTGGAGGAGGAGAGGCACTCTGATTTTTAGAGTTTCCAGTTTTTCTGCTCTGTTTTTTCCCCATCTTTGTGTTTTTATCTACCTTTGGTCTTTGATGATGGTGATGTACAGATGGGGTTTTGGTGTGGATATCCTTTCTGTTTGTTAGTTTTCCTTCTAACAGTCAGGACCCTCAGCTGCAAGTCTGTTGGAATTTTCTGGAGGTCCACTCCAGACCCTGTTTGCCTGGGTATCAGCAGCGGAGGCTGCAGAACAGTGGATATTGGTGAACAGCAAATGTTGCTGCCTGGTCGTTCCTCTGGAAGTTTTGTCTCAGAGGAGTACCCGGGCATGTGAGGTGTCAGTCTGCCCCTACTGGAGGGTGCCTCCCAGTTAGGCTACTCAGGGGTCAGGGACCCACTTGAGGAGGCAGTCTGTCCATTCTTAGATCTCCAGCTGCGTGCTGGGAGAACCACTACTCTCTTCAAAGCTGCCAGACAGGGACATTTAAGTCTGCAGAGGTTTCTGCTGCATTTTGTTTTGCAGTGCCCTGCCCCCAGAGGTGGAGTCTACAGATGCAGGCAGGTCTCCTTGAGCTGCGGTGGACTCCACCCAGTTCAAGCTTCCTGGCCACTTTGTTTGCCTACTCAAGCCTTGGCAATGGCGGGCACCCCTCCCCCAGCCTTGCTGCCACCTTGCAGTTTGATTTCAGACTGGTGTTCTAGCAGTGAGTGAGGCTTCGTGGGCGTAGGACCCTCCAAGCCATGCATGGGATATAATCTCCTGGTGTGCCGTTTGCTAAGACCATTGGAAAAGCACAGTATTAGGGTGGTAGTGACCCGATTTTCCAGGTACCGTCTGTCACCCCTTTCTTTGACTAGGAAAGGGAATTCACTGACCCCTTGTGCTTCCCAGGTGAGGCGATGCCTCGCCCTGCTTTGGCTCATGCTCAGTGTGCTGCACCCACTGTCCTGCACCCACTTTCTGACACTCCCTAGTGAGATGAACCCGGTACCTCAGTTGGAAATGCAGAAATCTCCCCTCTTCTGCGTCGCTCACTCTGGGAGCTGTAGACTGGAGCTCTTCCTATTCGGCCATCTTGGCTCCACCCATCTCATTAGTGTTTTATAGTTTTCCTTGTAGCAATCCTCCACCTCATAGGTTAAATTTGTTCCTAGGTAGTTTGGGATTTTTTTTTTTTTTGTAGCTATTGTAAGTGGAACTAACATTTTTGTTTCTTTCTTGGCTGGATCATGATTGGTGTATAGAAACATTGCTGATTTTTGTACACTGATTTTGTATTCTGCAACTTTACTGAATTTATTTATCAGATCTGATAGTTTTTTGGTAGAGTCTTTAGTTTTTTCTAGATCATGGCATCAGAAAAGAGGGACTATTTGACTTCCTCTGTTCCAATTTGGATGCATTTTTATTTCTTTCTCTTACCTGACTGTTCTGGCTAGTACTTCCAGTACCATCTTGAATAGGAGTGGTGAAAGTGGGCATCCTTGTTCCAGTTCCCAGAGGAAGACTTTCAGTTTTTCCCCATTCAATATAATGTTAGCTGTGAACTTTTGATATATAGCCTTTATTATGTTGAGGTATGTTTCTTCTGTACCTGGTTTGTTGAGAGTTTTTTTTTTTTATCATGAAGGGATGTTGAATTTTATCAAATGCTTTGTCTGCATCTATTGAGATGATTGTATGTTTTTTTCGTTCATGTGCTATATCACCCTTATTGATTTGTGTATGCTGAACCATCCTTGCAACCCTGGAATAAATCTCACTTGACGATGATGTATTATCTTCTTGATGTGTTATTGGATTCCATTTACTAGCATTTCGTTGAGGACTTCTGCATCTATGTTCCTCAGGGATATTGGCCTGTAGTTTTTGTGTATGTGTGTGTGTGTGTGTGTGTGTCTGTGTGTGTGTGTGTGTGTGTCTGTGTGTCTGTGTGTGTGATTATATGGTTTTGGTATCAGAGTAATGCTGGCCTTGTGGAATGAGTTAGGGAGTATTCCTTCCTCTTTAATTTTGTTGGAATCATTTCAGGATAATTGGTGGTTTTCTTTAGAAGTTTGGTAGAACTTGGCAGTAAAGCCATCTGGTCTTGGATGTTTCTTTTTTGGGAGACTTTTTATTACTGATTCAATCTCATTACCCATTATTGGTCTATTCTCATTTTCTGTTTCTTCCTGATTCAATCTTGGTAAGTTGCATGTGTCCAGGAACTTATCCATTTTCTCCAGGTTTTCCAGTTTGTTAACATATAGGTATTCTTAATAGTCTCTGATCATCTTTTGTATTTCTGTAGTATCAGTTGAAATGTTTTTTTTTCATTTCTGATTTTATTCATTGGGTGTTCTATCTTTTTTGTTGGTTAGTCCAGCTAGTGGCTTATTAATTTTATCTTTTCAAAAAAGCCAACTTTTCATTCTATTGGTCCTGTATCCTTGGTATTATTCTTTTAGTCTCTATTTCATTTAGTTCTGCTCTGATCTTTATTTTTTTCTGCTGATTTTGAGTTTGGTTTGTACTTTCTTTTCTAGTTACTTGAGGTGCACTATTAAATTATTTATTTGAAAGCTTTCTACTTTTTCAGTGTAGGCATTTATTACTATAAACTTCTTAGCATTACATTTGCTGTATCCCACAAGTTTTAGGATGATGTGTTTCCATTTTCATTTATTTCAAGACATTTTTTGATTTACATCTTAATTTCTTCATCTACCCAATAATCATTCAGGAGCATGTGGTTTAATATCCATGTATTTGTATAGTTTCCAAAGTTCTTGTTTGTATTGATTTCTGGTTTTATTCCATTGTGTTCTGAGAAAGATACTTGATATAATTTCACTTTTAAAAACAATATGTTGAGATTTGTTTTGTGGCCTAACATATGGTCTATTCTGGAGAATGTTTCATGTACTATGGAAAAGAATATGTATTCTGAAGTTGCTGGACAGAATGTTCTGTAAATGTATATTAGGTCAATTTGGTCCAAAGTCCAGTTTAAATATAATGTTTCTCTGGTTTTTCTGTTTAGCTGTTAGGTCTAATGCTGAGAATGGGATGTTGAAGTCCCCCACTCTTCATTGCAGTCTATCTTTCTTTTTAGATTTAGTAATATTTGCTTTATGAATCTGGGTACCCCAATGTTAGGTCTATACATGTTCATAATAGTTATATTTTCTTGCTAGATTGATACCTTTGTCATTATATAATGAACTTTTTTGTCTTTTTTTTAACTACTTTTGATTTCAAGTCTGTTTGATATAAGTATGGCTACTCCTGCCAGCAGTGGACTGGGTGGGTGGGTTCTTAGGCCCCTGAATAGCAGGCATGACATAAGTTATGTCAGTAGTACATGGCTTTTTATTTCCATTTTTGTGGAATGTCTTTTTCCATTCCTTTACTTTCAGTCTATGTGCATCTTTACTGGTAAGGTGAGTTTCTTGTAGGAAGCATATAGTTGGATTATTTAAAAAGCCCATTTAACTATTCTATATCATTTAACTGGAAAGCTTCATTCTTTTATATTCAAGATTATTATTGATCTGTGAGGCTTTTCTCCTGTCACATTGTTAATTGTTTTCAGGTTGTTTTATATATTCTTTGTTCTTTTATTTTTCTGTTATTTTTTGGCATTGTGGTTTGGTAGATTTCTGTAGTTGTACCATTTGCATCCTTTCTTTTCATTCTTTGTGTGATTGCTTTACCAGTGAGTTTTATACTTTCATGTGTCTTCATGATGGTAAAAGTCCTTTTGTTCCCGGGTTTAGGACTCCCTTAAGTATTTCTTGTGGGTTTCATCTAATGGTAATGAATTTACCCAGAATTTACTTGTCTGGGAGAGACTTTATTTCTCCTTCATTTATGAAGGATACTTTTGCTGGACATGTTATTCTTTGCTGGCAGTTTTTTTCTTTCAGCACTTTGAATATGTCATCCCATTCGCTAAATCTGCTCTTAGTCTAATGGGGGAATTTTCTTATAAATGACTAGATGCTTTTATTTTGTTGTTTTTAGAATTCTCCCCTTTTCTTTGAGTTTTGGCAGTTTCACTATAATGTGCTATGGAGAAGACCTTTTTGAATTGTATCTGACGGGATGGCTGAGCTTCCTGTATCTGAATGTCTAAATCCCTTCCTAGACTTGGGAAGTTTTCAGCTATTATTTTGTTACATAGGTTTTCTATCTTTCTTTTTTTTCACCTTTTGGGAACACTGAAAATTCAAACATTTGGTTGCTTTGTTGTATCCCATATGTCATGTAGGCTGTGTTCATTCTTTTAAATTACTTTTTCTTTATTTTTATCTGACTGGGCTATTTCAAAACACCTGTATTCAACTTCTGAAATTCTTTCTGCTGCTTGACCTAGTCTATTATTGAAGCTTTCAAATGTATTTTTTTATTTCATGTGTTGAATTCTTCAGTTCCAGAATTTCTGACTGGTTCCTTTTTATGATATGTATCTCTTTGGTAAAGTTCTCATTCATATCCTGAATTGGTTTTTGGATTTCTTTGTATTGTGTATCTGAGTTGTATTGTACCTCACTAAGCTTCTTTAATATCATTATTTAAAATTATTTTTCCATGATTTCATAAATTTCTTTTTCATTGGAATCTGTTGCTGGAGAATAATTATGTTTCTTTGTAGGTGTCATATTTCCTTGCTTTTTTGTGTTCCTTTTGTCCTTATGTTGATGTATGTACATCTGGTATAATAGTCACTTCTTCCAATTCTTTTTGAATTTGCTTTCATAGGGGAGTACTTTTTCCTGAAGATGTATCTATGATGCTGGTTGGGGAGGACTCTTTGGCTTTGATCTGAGTTCATGCAGTAGTGTAGTAATCTCCATATGATTTCTTCTGCTATATAGCATCGTTAATGCCTGTGATTTCCTTAGTAGCTTAGGGTATGATTGTTAATGGAGACTGTGGTGAAGTTGTGCTGGGGACTGAGATGACAAATGGGCCAGTCTTCAGGCCCTGGTGGTGGCAGTGGCAGGCCAAGTATGCCTGTCCTTGGGCCCCATGGCTGTGTATGCTGGCATCTGTGTTGACAATTTCTGGCAGGTCAGTTCTTGGGCCTTCAGGTGGCTTGCTCAGATGCCAGCTGTGTCAGCAGTGACTGGGTAGGTGGGTTCTTAGGCCCCTGAGCCACAGACAAGGCATGGGTAATGTCAGTAGCAGTGATGTGATGATTCTTTGTCTCCCAAGAGGTGTACATTGATGTTGGTAGTGGCTGTGGTGGGCTGGGTTGGTTACGCTTCAGGCCTGCAGGTGGCACTTGCAGGTAGATGCCAGCTGAGGTGGTAGTGGCTAGGAGTTTAGGCCCAATATTATGCCTTTGGGAGGAGTGCTCAGGTGCCCACGGTGGTAGACTGGGTTGGGTAATCCCCAGGATCCCAGGCTACGTACTCTGCCTTGGGGTTGGGAATGGCAAAACTAGTCTGGGTAAGCTGCTGCTTAGGCCCCCTAATGGTGAGAGATGGTACCACCTGTGGTGAGTAGAGGTGTAGTGATCCTCAGTCCCCAGGTGGAGTGCTCAGGTGAGGGATGATAGCGGCTGTGCCGAGTCCCTGCCACTGGAGAGGGTGGGACTGTCTTTAGTGGCTATAACCTGGGCTGGTGGGTGAAGAATGTGTATTCCTTTTATATTCTGGTCCCACTGGGGCTTGGCTCCCAGACTTGCCAGTAGTAGCCTATGTCTAGATCATGCCCCCACCCCAGATGCAGGAGTCCCCACTCAGCTGGCAACCAAGTCCCAGTGGAAACTGATGCCTTACCCACATCCCATTCTTTATCCCAGCAGTGCTCACTTCCCAAGACCGGCAGCTGCAGCCCACACCTGCATGCCTTATTAGTCCTGGTTGTGGAATGCTCCCAGCTTGCTCCTCAGTCACAGCACTGACAGCCTGATAGCCCAAGTTTCCATAATGCCCCAGTTCCAGTGCTGTTGGGCTCCAGGACTGTGTTCATTCTGCCAAAAACTATGCTTGAAAATGATGCCTTTTTGTAGCTGCTTAGGTCTCAGAAATGGTGTGGCACCCAGCACAGACTCACTCCCTGGAACACTTCCCTCCCGTGGTCTCCTGGCAGCTCCATATGTTAGTTTCAGGGTTTGGCAGGGGGTCAAGGGGTTCTCCCATAGCCAAGATTGCATGATTCCACAGTGTGGATATGGGTCACTGGAAGTCTCTCATTTACCCTTTCCCTCAATTGGAAAGTCGCTCCCAGCTGCCACTCAATCCTGGCCAGGCAGCCTACTTCTCTCCCTCTCCTTTCTCCACTTTTGATGTTTCTTGTCACTTCTCTGTTGAATTCCAGTATTCTCTCTTGGATAATGTATTTTAAGTGTGACTGTCCATACACTATTTTCGTTCTTCTAAGTGGAGGAAGAGGACATGAAATACTTCTAATCAGCCATCTTGAAGCTCCTCCCTTAATTGTTAATGATGGTGTAATATTCCACCATATGGGTATGCCATAATTTATTTAACAATCTATTATTGGACATTTACATTATTTTCAACTTTGGTAGTGTAAGTATTGTTGAGATGGACATAATAGTGCATAAATCTTTAGTTACATTTGGGATTCTTTTCTTTTTTTTTTTGACGGAGTTTTACTCTTGTTGCCCAGGCTGGAGTCCAATGGCACGATCTCGGCTCACTGCAACCTCCACCTCCCAGGTCCAAGCAACTTTTCTGCCTCAGCCTCCTGAGTAGCTGGAGTTACAGGCACCCGCCACCACACCCAGCTAATTTTTTGTATTTTTTAGTAGAGACAGGGTTTCACTATGTTGGCCAGGCTGGCCTCAAACTCCTGATCTTGTGGTCTGCCAACCTCGGCCTCCCAAAGTGCTGGGATTACAGGCATGAGCCACCACACCTGGCTGGATTATTTTCTTAAGATATACTGGGTAAAAAGGTTTGAATTTTGTTTTTGCCTGAAATTTTGCATTAAGATAGAATCATGCTTCATCATAGAGACACACTGTACCTGACATAACCCTTGCTGTATTTTCGGGTATCTTTTAGTTTTGTTATTAGGAATGTTAGAATAACATCCGTGTACATGAGTCTGACTGTATTTTCTGAGATAGGTAATTTTTAAAGGTTATTATATAAACTTAACAGCTAATTTGTTCTCCAGAAAAATGAATGACAATTTATATTCTCATTGCCAGTATATGAGAGTGTTTTGCTGCAGGCTTTCTAACATTGAGTTAGGTTGTTACTTTTAAACCATTGCTAGTTTGATAGATGCTACCAATGTTGATCAGCAAAAGGGGGATCAAAAAATAGGATATCAGTTGGGAGAAAGAGGTAAATTTTTTGAAGGCTTTAAGAAACAATTAGTATGATCCCAGGGTGTAGTTACATATTTGCACGGACTTTTATGCCTGTATTGAAAAGATATGTGAACACCAGTGATCTGGAAATAAGATATCCAGGCTAGTAATCGTTACGATTATGGCTATTATTATAAAAAGACCTACTGTTCATTTATTGAGTTAATCCCTAGAAGACTAAATTAAAATACATATCACTGAGGATTAGTTTTTTAACTTTCTCCCATTGGTTCATTTTCAAAAACAATTATGTGTGGTGAACCAGTTGCTACCTGGGGCCTTAAAGAGGTTAAAACAGAAGTTTTAAAGGGGAAAATATCATTTTTTTCACAAAGAAGTGAAGTAGGAGTGCCCAATTGAAGGAGGCAGCAGATTCCTGGTTTCCTGATTTGTGCTGAATATGAGTTGTAGGGCAGCAGGATAAATTTTACTCAATTCTGAAAATGGAGGGAGGGGAGAGAGATACTTGCACTTTTCTTTTGCCTAAGTGTAACTTCAGAGTATTATGGTTATTGATCAGTGAGGAGAAAATATTAAATCATTAATATTAATGATCCCTAATAGGAAAGAAACTTTATAAAATGTGAATTAATTGATTTGCCTCCAATTGATTCCTTGCTGTAGTAAAATTACTTAGCTCACTAAGCCTCCGTTTCTCTGTATTTTACACAAGGGTAATGAGGTTGGTCCACTTCTTAAAATACTATAAAACCTCAATTAGCTGGAGTGTGGAAAAGGGAAAGTGTAAGGATTAAAGGGGTTAGAAAAGTTTTTTGGCATGGTGGTAAACAGAGAAGATGCCCTTTCAGCTATTGCCACGCAATTCTTGTTGAAAACATTTTTTTTAAAGTTTATTTTATTATTGTTATACTTTAAGTTTTAGGGTACATGTGCACAATATGCAGGTTAGTTACATATGTATACATATTAAAGTCATAGAAAAAATGCAAATAAAGAATATTAGATGTATTTAATGACTCAATTGGAAACAAAGCAAAAACAAAAACTTGGCCTCCAGAAATTTGAATCAGTGAACTTAACATTCAATGCTAAAAAAATCCTAGAATGAACTACTTAACTATTGAGAAGATATATGCCTCCTCAAACCTCCAACTCTTCCTTTTCTACAGATAAACTTGCCAGCTGTTTCACAGAAAATGTAGAAGCCACAAGATGGCAACTCCCCACCATAAAACACTTACCTGCACCATCATCTGTAATTTCTGCCTTCCTCCCATTTTCAATTGAAGATCAGAAAATCCTCCCGTGTATGTCAAATTCTTCCACTTGAGCTCCAGAAACCTTTTTTTAATCTGTTTTTTTTAAGTGTCCTTACTCCATACAATAACCTTGTGTTTTCTTTCTTTTCGACCATTCCCCCTTTTCTGGCTTCTTTCCCTAATCATTTAGAGCTTGTTCAAGTCCCTCCTATTCACTAAAGAAAAAAAAGTCTGATGGTATTCCCCCAAACCAGTAAATTCAGTCTAATCATGAGGCAAACATCAATTAAAAAATTATTCTCTAACCTTCTGCCATATGCTTACCCTATCTCTCTCTTTCCTATCACAGCTAATCTTTGTGAATATTGTCTCCACTCAGTGTTCTACTTCCTTACCTTCAGTTTACTCTTCAATCTATACAGTCTGATTCTAACCCCGCTACACCACTGATCTGTTTCTGACAATCTTCTTTTGGTTAACAGCCTTTTTACTTGGCTAAATATAAAGGACACTTTTGAGCCTCTGACTCACTTGATCACCCAGCGTTTAACATAGTTGTCATTCTTGAAATATGCTATTCCCTTGGTGTTCCTCCTGGTTTTCTTTGTACCTTTCTTGTTACCTTTTTCTCAGTCTCTTTTGTAGGCTACTCTGAACCTTCCCAACTCAAATGTTGGTGTTTCTCAGTACTTTATCCTTCGCTACCTTCTTATTTTGCCTCTATCTTTTGGTAGTTCATCTACTCCTGTGACATGAAGTACCATCTCTGAGCTTAAG
This sequence comes from Homo sapiens, assembly GCF_000001405.40. NCBI lineage: Eukaryota > Metazoa > Chordata > Mammalia > Primates > Hominidae > Homo > Homo sapiens. Next base: position 104,645,239 of record NC_000023.11, read on the forward strand.
ACTACAAAATATTTATACCAATTCTGTTTCCTTAACTTCTATTAGTATCCTCAATTTTTCACTAACATCTATTCTTAGATGTACTATAGGCAACTCAATCTGTACATGATCTTAACCCCTGATCACCTCACCAGTGTCAACTGTCTCTATTCCTCCTATCTATTAATAACACTCTGTGATTCTGCCATATTGAACTCATTCTACTTCAATGAACATTCCATGCCCTCTCAGCTCCAGGCCTATGTCCAGGCTATTACCTCTTTTTAGAACGATCTTTCCTATCGCACTCTAGGTTTCAACTTAGAAGTCACTTTCTCCAGACACCTTTGTCTTTCTCATAAACATGAGTTTGATTTCTTCTCTCTTTCCTTTCAAAACACTCCATATTTCTCCTCTTATTACATTTAAAATACTTCATTGTTGTTGTCTGTGGTTTTTTCTTTTCTACTAGACTGTGATCACACAAAAAGTAGATACAATACCTATCATGTTCCCATTGTATTCCTATCATAGGCATACATTAAGTTTATTGAATAAATAAATTAATGGATCTTAGGAGCAAATCAGACTAAACAAAGTTATTATTTTCCTTTGGTAAAACTGTTAGAATGATATATCACTATGAAAGCCTAGTCTATCACATGCATGATCTCTCATGACAAGATGTGCCAATATGGTCTAGTTAAATGGATTTTAGTATAGTTAAATGATTCATACCAAATTGGTCAACCAGATTAATGGATTAATGCTGACATGTAGAGAGATCTATGGTGGTAGGCCACAGATCTCTGTTATATGTCATATCTTATTCAGAATTTTAAAAATTATTGACTTGATTGAAGGCAGAGAAAGCAAGCTTATGAAATATTCAGATGACACAAAAGTAGGTGGGAGAGTTAATAAAATGAATAAAAGCCTTATGCTTTGAAATGGTCTTCATGATTTGGAATAATAGAATAAAACTAACATAATGACATTTCATAGGGATTAATATAAATCTATAGGTTTAGGATAAACATTTTAAAATCCATTTAATATTCAAGAAGAATGGATTGCATACCTACTGTGTTCTAGTCAATGGTGCTGGGGATGCAAAAAAAAAAAAAAAGCATAGCCTCTGCCCTTGAAATAGTTAAATTTTGACGATGATATTGAATCTAGATCATGGTACATAATAGGCTCATTGCACTTTGTATTTTCTACATAGAGAATGTTGTATGCTGTTGTAGGTATCATATTAATTTTACAATATATGCAGAAAGTATACTATTTAGTTTAAAATTTAAACATTTCAATGGTATCAGTCGGAATAATTTAGATTATGCTATTGTAATAATCCCCAACTCTTGGTGGTTTGTAAAAACAAAGTTTTATTTTTCACTTATGTAATGTGTTGGCTAGAAGCTCTGCTCTGTGACTCTTCATTCTGTGGCCCAGGGTGATGGAGCAACCACCATCATAAATATTACCAGTCACTGTGGCAGAAGGAAAGATAGCTGTGGAAGGCGTCACATTGACAAATAAATGCTCTGGCCTGGAAGTGACATGCAACTGTGAGCAATGACTTCTGGTCACAAATAATTGGCCAGAACCAGATGCATCACTCCATCAATCACAATGGGGCCAGGAAGTGCGGTCATATCATGTGACCGAAGGCAAAGAGGTGTTAAGTATTTTGAGAACAGAGTTAATGATCACCATTACTATATTGAGTAAAAAGTGAAAATTACCCTTCAACCTTAGACTTTATCCACTCCCCTCCTAAGGATTATAGTAGTGTCAAAAATTCCAAACTTTTTTTTTTTAAGAGATCTGAAGTGATTTTACCTTTATTTCCTTCACTTTAAGCCAGTGATGAAATTTCACAGTGATTTCTGGGATAGGGGCAGAAGGAAGGTGGTGTTAAGAATCATCAGGGCTGTGGCCTAGTCAGCCTGCAGAGGTGCAGGCAGGGTGGGCCCCCACTGGGACAGCTGGAGGAGGCAGGTAGGTGATGTTCTCAGAGCTGAGAGCTGGTATGTGATGTCCTCTGCAGCTTCCAGCACGCTCAGCTCGATCAGGCCGTCCCCTGCGGTGGCCAGTGAGTTGGGGATCAGCTTGGCTTCCATGGAGTCACCCTCAGCAGAGATGATGGCTGCTATTTTCTGCTGCTCAGCCTTTTCCACCACAAATCTGGCCCTCTCTGCTTCCTGCTGATCCACCTCTTTGGCTTCCACTGCTTCTGTGAACTCCTTCCCGAAGGTGGGATGTGTCAAGGACACATCGTCCAGGATGAGCCCAAAGGTGGCTGCTCACTCCGTAAGATTGTCACTCACCTGCCTGGAGAGCAGCTCTCTCTGGGTGATTAGTTCTCCAGCATCAAAGTGAGACACCACCGACTTGAGGATCTTGGTAGTGATGGATGGCAGCACACGCTCATCATAGTCCTCTCTGATGCTGGTGAAGATGCAAGGAAGCTGGCTAGCGACAGGCCAGGAGAGGATGTGCAGTGTGATGTTGACATTCTGTAAGTCTTTGCTACCAGTGATGACTGGTACATTAAGTGGTCGAGAATGGCAGTCAAAGATAATTGGTTTCTGTACCCATGGGATAGGAAAGTGAGTCCCTTCCCCTACCACAATGTCCTGTACTCCACAGAATCGGTCAAAGATGACAGCTCTGTGACCAGCATCCACATTATATAAGGCAGAGTTCAGCATGCTTCCTACAACAGCTAAGGCCAGGCCAAACTTGCCAATGGACACAAACACTTTGGCAGCCATGTTTTCTTCTGCTGGACCCTCTCACACCTGCTTCCACTCTGACCTCCACATGAATTCCCCAGCCACACATCCAAACCTCTTCCTACAGATTTCCATACACATACACACACATTCTCAGGCATGCATACATACATAGATTTTTCCATTATATGTGGAATCATATCTATTTTTCATATATCTTGTAGATCTACCCATGTCTATCCATACCTCTTTATCTCAGTCTCTTTAATGGTTGTATAGTATTCCATTTATGAATGTATCACCCCTACCCATGACAAGGTATTTAGTCTGTTATCAGATTTTCACCATCACAATGCATACTGCATTGACCATCCTTGTATGTGCATATATTTTTATGCATAATCATTTGGATTGCTGTAGTATAGATTCATACAAAAGCAATTCTTGAGCACTTTAATTTTTGCCAAATACTAACAAATTGCCTTGTAAAATGCTGTCCTAATTTATAATGTCATAAACAGAATATGAATGTGTACATTAAATTTTGAGAAGACTATTGACAAACACTTTTATTGATGGAAGAAAATGTTAGATGATGAGGGATTTAGACACCACATCAAAAATTGAGTAAGACTCATTGATCAATGAGTGTGATTGAAGACTTTTTGTCTAAACTGCTTGTAACACCTTATACCTACTACTTCTAGGTTTCCTGGCTGGAGAAACCCTGAAAAAGACTAGTCCCTGTAACACATAACACTTTTGATTTTATCTTAATGGTCAGAACTCAAGATTATATCTTAATGATCAGAACTCAATACCTTTCCATATCCAGCTGCTAGGGAGGCTGTGAAATGAAATTTTCATTTTTGTGGACTATGTATGGAGCCCAAAGCTGGGGACTATGATCACTACAGAAATCAAAAAGAAACCCTATAGTTACTTATGCCAGTTTTTTTCTTTATACTTGCTTCTCCTTGCATTCTCTCCTGAGATAGTCCCTTCTGCTGTCTCTCAATGTTTCATCACTCACTATTCCTCTTATCTATTCCCCTTTTTTGCTATGTCAACTTTTTGAGTCTCCACTTCTAATTTTTTCTCTCTCTGCTTCTTCATGTTTTTTCTCTTTCTCCTCTACGATTTTTTTCCCTCCCTTTCTGTGTCCTATCCACCTGACTCTATCTTTTGCTATCTCTGTTTTCTTACTTGTGTGCCTTTGGCTATGTTGGTTTCAGTCTCTGTGTCTCTTTATTTCTACCTCTGATTCTAATGGTTAGGGCTAACAACAGACTTGGCTGCCACTTTATGCAGTTATTTTCAAATGACAGAAGTGCTTGAGAATAGGCTAGATATAGGAATGCTGTAAAAAGGATTTCTTGATTGGTTGAAAGTTGGACTAGGTAACTATTGAGGTCCTTTCCAAATTTGAGTTTGAGAGCCATATTTCCCTCCATAGTAGATAGAATCTAGTTAACATTATTGCATCTCTGTTTTCTGATTGAATAGCTAATAGGACCTCAGGGCCATCTCTATGTGAATACCAGACTTCATTGCAAATTACTATAGAATTATAAAATGTAAGAGATAGAGATAAATGTGTGTTGACTAAAGAACTGTCTTTCTCTGTATATATGTATGTACGTGTCTGATTTTATACATATATATACATATATGAAAACCTTGTGAAGATATCAAAATTTTCTTTGATTGCAAAAATGTAACAAGAAATGATTATAATTGTGTGCTATTTGAAACTAGCTGATATTTTAGATTGGGTCTATTAACTGTGTCCAAATGTATCCATAAGTTAAATGTGTTTTGGTTTCTAGAGTCAAGAGTTTGCCATATAGGTACTGTTAAAAATTAGCATGAACCAGAAACCTGACATATCTGGTACTTTAAGGGAGGAAGGGAATAAAGTGAAAAAGGTAATTTGCAAACTATACTTGAAAGTCATTGAAGCATAACATCATTACAATTATCTGTCAAAAGATTTAGTTCAATTACAGTTTTAAAGCTCTCTCTTCAATATGGCATTACTCATATCAGGATTTGATACTCCAATGAGAGGAATACTAATGCCTTCATTAGCCATTGTCTTAGCAGCTTCATTCTTTAGAATTCATTACGTGGCCTTTTGGGATTTTTATATACTAACCCTAGGGAATCAGTAAACACAAATCTCTCAGGGGAATATGAACTTCAGAAATAAGAACCATTGCATATTTATAGCCATGGCAGGGGGGAAGACTCTTTTTAGGAAAAAAAGTAATTTTGAAATAATTGAATAACAGTATAATTGCCATGATAGTAGGTATTATACATGCTCCTGTACACTTTCTTCACACAGCAGTAAGTTGGTTGTAAAATCACCAACAGGAAAAAGTTATAATGTAATAAACCTAAATTTCAGTGTAAGGTTTCCAGGAGTAACTCGAGCTGCTTCTGAAACTTTTACTATTGAAACAGATGTGTGGGAACCATATGTTGGGAGCCCAGTGGTCACTGTTGTAAGACATTCCTTGATCAATGATGATATTTCAGGCCGACTGATGCTGTAGATGAACACTGCTACTAGATTGATTACACTGGCCTTTCTCTTTGACTATTTGAATTGAGGCAGTTTGACAGATTTTCCCTTTCAATGGGAAATCTGAATCACCTACTGAACATGCTAAAAAAAACCACTTATTTTACTAGGTATTCCCTTAGCACTTAACAAATATAGGTTGCTCTTCATTGTCCTGCACTTGACTAAGTACTCTACTATGCATGTATCGCCACAGTGAGGTTATAGTTCCTTGAAGAAAAGAAGCTACATTTTATAATCTTAGACTTGGTTTATGACTCCCATAGCATCTAACTTCTAGGGCAAAAATCGTTCAGTAGTGGTTAAGAGATTGGGGTTTGTTGTCACACAGACCTACATTCAAATCCTTTTTCCATAATTTATTAATGTCATGAACTTGGGTAAGTCACAAATGTCAGTTTCCTGAAAAGTAAAATGGAGATTATAGTAACTCATAAGATTGTTGAGAGGATAAAATGACATATAACAGTTTAGCACAATGTCTGGCCCACACAAAGTGCTCAATAAATTATTATCATCATAAAGTATAATCATTGTTCAGCAAAATTTGTTGAATTAATTGACTCTTCTGTGGAAATGGGATTGGTAAATATATGGACTTAAAAACTTTATATGCTCACTTTTTCTAATTCTGACTGATTTTAACTGACAGGAAAAGTAGCATATGAAATAATTCTGTAGTTAAATTGTACAGTTCCAATGATTATTTCCCTATTCACAGTCAAACATTAACTATTTTATTTCACAAAGAATAGGGAGGGGTGAATTAAATAGGGAAGTAGAAATATTTCTGCATCAGTTATTTTCCACATAAAATATCTCTGAATATCAGTTATAAAATCTAGTTCATGTTTTTGGTGAATATGATCACATAATGTCCACTTGGCAAACAGAGTTTTTAAAGGGCTTTCTCAAATCAACTTTTTTTGCCACCATTTATAAAATATCAGAATTATAAAAATGATATTTGATTTTAGCAAGTTATGGTCCCTACACACTGTCAGCTTTCAGACAGAAATCGTGAAGGTACAATCATAGATAGAATAGGTTTGCGGTAAGGAGAGCTTGGCAGACTCCTAAAATCTAACCAGTATGGTTGAGTTGGTAACTAAGTGAATATATATAGCAGGAAGAGCTATAGCAGAGATGAGCCAATGTTCTTAACAAAGTCACTGGCGTTATATAAGTTCTAAATTGGGGGGTAAGACAGAGGAGCTAGAATGGGCACGTTGTTCAAGAAAATTTTGAATCATAAGCCTTCCTTTGAAAGTTCAGAGCCTACATAATCATCTGGAGATCTGGCAGATAAGGTCTATGGAAAACAAAGAATCCTGTGGAGTACTTAATGGTCTTTTCAGTCTTGGTTTGGGGTCTCCAAAAAGCAGAACTCTAAGGATTTGAATGTAGGTAGTTTATTTGGGAGGTGATCCCAGGAAGTACTGCAAGGAAGTGGCAAAGTCAGACTGGAAGGGAGGTAAAGCAAATAAGCAGGTTGCCACTCAATATTACTGGAACATACCAAAGGGTGAGGGAGCTAGGGTATTTATTCATGAACTTTCACAATTGATTGAGAATCATTTAGTGAATATTAACAACCTGGCACTTCTAGTCATCTCCTATACTGGCCAAGCTGCTTTTGCAGTTAAAGAAGCCCCTCTGGCAGAGAAACATAGGAAGACTTCTGCAGATGACTTTTAGAATGGGTCAAAGAAGACATGGGCAGGGCACCAACAGTGTTTATGACAGCAGGAAATATGGTACCTCTCAGATCTGGATAATCCCATGTTAGACAAGAGATGTTCTATTTCAAACAAATGAGTAACTTGAAAAAACACTAAAAGTTTCCACTCATTTGCATTATTTAAACATTTGATAAGATGTTATCTACATAGATTTTGTTCTTTTATTCATTAAAAATATTTATTAATTAGTTATGTGTCAGGCTCTATGCTAGGTGATGAGAATAAAACAGTTAGTGACCAAGTGGCTGCCCTCATGAAGTTTACATTCTAGTGGGCAAGGAGTAGGCAAAGACAACCAAGCTAATAAATTTAACCGATTCATTAAGTGTTTCAACTCATTGGAGTATAAACTTGAAATGGTATTATTTTTCCACTAATTGCTATTTACTGTGTTCTGTTGTATTTACCCTCTTCCACTGAGAGATTAGGACAATGATAAACATTTCAATCTGATTGTATAACTTTTTAGCTGCTTTCAGATATTAGGAGAGTCTCATGCTGATTTTAAAGCTTTGGCTTGCTTACTCCAAGCCCCTATCTGATGAAAATGCTTCTCTTCCTTTTTCTTCAAACAGATGGGACATATGGCTCTAGCGGCTAGGAGTTTGGGGACATGTATGGTAGCCTTTCATACATCTCTTCTTATTTCTTCCCTTTCCCCTGTGCCTGTTTTGTTATTGCTTTGGGAGGAGAGTTGCTGGGGAAAAGGGAGAGGAAAAAGACAGATGCTTGTGACTGTGTGTGTCTTCTCCTTGGTTGGTCACAATTGCTCTTCTAGCTGTCTATGGGCACTATATAAACAGGTAGTTATAACAGCCTGCTGATGGGAGGCTTCTCCAAGCATCTCCTCTGGACATTGGAAATCCCTTGCAAGATTATTACATCTTCTGTTAGACCTTCAGCTGGTGCCATCAGATCACTTTATTTTCACATGCATTCATCTTGCCCCATGTTGCAAAGCCTCTGGCAAGAATTATGCAGTTACCTAGTCCAGCTTGGACCTTTGGGCATATGCCAAATTCATTTTCCATGTCTCTTGGGACCCATATATGGCTGTGTGTTGGGAGTAGGTGAGAATTAGTCTCGGTCCTCTTGTCATCTGGAAATCTCCAATATCCCACCTCTCCCGAGGGTTCTTTATCCTAGCTCCAGTGGTGCAGGGAAAGTTCAGCATGTCTAATGGTAAGTATATGGTTAACTGGGAAAGAAAAAGCCTGTTTTCCTTGTCAAAACGTAGCCTTCTCCTCCTTTCCAGGTTCCTTTGTTTATTGATGGAGTTGGGGTGAGGTGATATGGAACTAGCTGCATTGGTTCATTGTGCTGGTGGCTTCAGACATCAAACTGGAAGTTTTCTGAATTTAGGATATCAGGTAGATCTTTGAGGTCAATTCTGGGAAAAGAGGATCCTACCAAGCACTTGATATCACCCTGTTACTCTTATATTCTGGGTAAGGCTCTATACCTTTAGGTACGAACTAATTATTTTTAAAAATCTTTACATAGAATACTGGACCTTTACATGTCATCCAGAGGCTATTGCCTTTCCAGGTTTTCTTCCATTCATTATTTCAGTGATTGCTGTAGTTTCACCCTCATACCTCCCATTGCCATTTTTGTATCTTGAATTTATCATGAGCCCAAAGTACTTCAGTGGTACTTATATTCCGATTATTTTAAAGGACCCTAGCTGAACCACCATATAGGTAACCAATTTACTGATTTTTTTAACTCAATAGGGACAAAAACTTAAAGATAATTTCCCCCCCACCCCCAATGTCTACTGGTGGCACTTTACAAACTCCTTTCCCTGTTATTGGATGTGGAGATTTAATAACAGCTTGGTTCAATTCCTTACCCTTTTCAGTTATTTTTGATTTTGGAAGAGTTTCATTCTAAGTGCTTGAGACTCAATACTGTTCATTTAAAAATGAACTCAAAGTAGTGTAAAAACTCTTCCTATCACATAAACAACTGTAAATGCTGATCAGTCTTATGAATAAAACAAACAAAGAGGTGAGCTAGAGATTGACAGAGTTCAGATTGGGTAGTTGAGAAAGGCCTTTTTGTGGGACTCAGACATGTAGGATGTTAAGAAACTGAGTGAACAGTGGAGAGTATCTCAGGAGGAAGACAAAGTGCAAACACCGTGGGGAAAAAAAAATGCCTTGGCACATTCCAGGAACAGAAAAAATGACCATCATGGCTGGAGCATAGGCAGCAAGGAGGAGAGCTTTGTGAAATAAGATCAAAGAGGCACCTGGGGGCTCCACCTATAGGCCTTTGAAAGTCTAATGATTTGAAATTAGGTACAGTGGTACCTCCAGCTTTGTTCTTTTTGCTTAGGATTGTCTTGGCAATGTGGGCTCTTTTTTAGTTCCATATGAATTTTAAAGTAGTTTTTTCCAATTCCGTGAAGAAAGTCATTGGTAGGTTGATGAGGATGGCATTGAATCTATAAATTACCTTGGGCAGTATGGCCATTTTCACGATATTGATTCTTCCTATCCATGAGGACAGGATGTTCTTCTTCCATTTGTTTGTGCCCTCTTTTAATTCGTTGAGCAGTGGTTTGTAGTTCTTGAAGAGATCCCTCACATCCCTTGTAAGTTGGATTCCTAGGTATTTTATTCTCTTTGTAGCAATTTTGAATGGGAGTCCACTCATGATTTGGCTCTCTGTTTGTCTGTTATTGGTGTATAGGAATGTTTGTGATTTTTGTACATTGATTTTGTGTCCTGAGACTTTGCTGAAGTTGCTTATCAGCTTAAGGAGATTTTGGGCTGAGATGATGGGGTTTTCTAAATGTACAATCATGTCATCTGCAAACAGGGACAATTTGACTTCCTCTTTTCCTAATTGAATACCCTTTATTTCTTTCTCCTGCCTGATTGCCCTGGCCAGAATTTCCAACGCTATGTCGAATAGGAGTGGTGAGAGAGGGCATCCCTGTTGTGCCAGTTTTCAAAGGGAATGCTTCCAGTTTTTGCCCATTCAGTATGATATTGGCTGTGGGTTTGTCATAAATGGCTCTTATTATTTTGAGATATATTCCATCAATACCTAGTTTATTGAGAGTTTTTAGCATGAAGGGGTGTTCAATTTTGTTGAAGGCCTCTTCTGCATCTATTGAGATAAACATGTGGTTTTTGTCATTGGTTCTGTTTATGTGATGGATTACATTTATTGATTTGCATATTTTGAACCAGCCTTGCATCCCAGGGATGAAGCCCACTTGATCATGGTGGATAAGTTTTTGATGTGCTGTTGGATTCAGTTTGCCAGTATTTTATTGAGGATTTCCACATTAATGTTCATCAGGGATATTGGTCTAAAATTCTCTTTTTTTTGTTGTGTCTCTGCCAGGCTTTGGTATCAGGATGATGCTGGCCTCATAAAATGAGTTAGGGAGGATTCCCTCTTTTTCTATTGCTAGGAACAGTTTCCAAAGGAATGGTACCAGCTCCTCTTTGTACCTCTGGTAGAATTTGGCTGTGAATCCATCAGGTCCTGGACTTTTTTTGGTTGGTAGGCTATTAATTATTGCCTCAATTTCAGAGCCTGTTGTTGGTCTATTCAGAGATTCAGCTTCTTCCTGGTTTAGTCTTTGGAGGGTGTATGTGTCGAGGAATTTATCCATTTCTTCTAGATTTTCTAGTTAATTTGCGTAGAGGTGTTTATAGTATTCTCTGATGGTAGTTTGTATTTCTGTGGGATCGGTGGTGACATTCCCTTTATCATATTTTTATTGCATCTATTTGATTCTTCTCTATTTTCTTCTTTATTAATCTTGCTAGTGGTCTATCAATTTTTTTGATCTTTTCAAAAAACCAACCCCTGGATTCATTGATTTTATTGAAGGGTTTTTCCTGTCTCTATCTCCTTTAGTTCTTCTCTGTTCTTAGTTATTTCTTGTCTTTTGCTAGCTTTTGAATTTGTTTGTTCTTGCTTCTCCAGTTCTTTTAATTGTGATGTTAGGGTGTCAATTTTAGATCTTTCCTGCTTTCTCTTGTGGGCATTTAGTGCTATAAATTTCCCTCTACACACTGCTTTAAATGTGTCCCAGAGATTCTGGTACATTGTATCTTTGTTCTCACTGGTTTCAAAGAACATCTTTATTTCTGCCTTCATTTCGTTATTTACCCAGTAATCATTCAGGAGCATGTTGTTCAGTTTCCATGTAGTTCTGCAGTTTTGAGTTAGTTTCTTAATCCTGAGTTCTAATTTGATTGCACTGTGGTCTGAGAGACTTTTTGTTGTGATTTCTGTTCTTTTATATTTGCTGAGGAGTGCTTTACTTCCAACTATGTGGTCGGTTTTGGAATAAGTGCAATGTGGTGCAGATAAGAATGTATATTCTGTTGATTTGGGGTGTAGAGTTCTTTAGATTTCTATTAGGTCCACTTGGTGCAGAGCTGAGTTCAAATCCTGAATATTCTTGTTAATTTTTTGTCTCATTGATCTGTCTAATATTGACAGTGGGGTGTTAAAGTCTCCCATTATTATTGCATGGCAGTCTACGTCTCTTTGTAGGTCTCTAAGGACTTGTTTTATGAATCTGGGTGCTCCTGTATTGGGTGCATATATATTTAGGATGGTTAGCTCTTCTTGTTGAATTGATCCCTTTACCATTACGTAATGGCCTTCTTTGTCTCTTTTGATCTTTGTAGGTTTAAAGTCTGTTTTATCAGAGACTAGGATTGCAACCCCTGCTTTTTTTTTGTTTTCCATTTGCTTGGTAGATCTTCCTCCATCCCTTTATTTTGAGCCTATGTGCATCTTTGAATGTGAGATGGGTCTCCTGAATACAGCACACTGATTGGTCTTGACTCTTTATCCAATTTGCCAGTTGGTGTCTTTTAATTGGAGCATTTAGTCCATTTACATTTAAGGTTAATATTGTTATTTGTGAATTTGATCCTGTCATTATGATGTTACAAGGCTATAGTAACAAAAGCAGCATGGTACTGGTACGAAAACAGAGATATAGATCAATGGAACAGAACAGAGGCCTCAGAAATAACACCACACATCTACAACCATCTGATCTTTGACAAACCTGACAAAAACAAGAAATGGGGAAAGGATTACCTATTTAATAAATAGTGCTGGGAAAACTGGCTAGCCATATGTAGAAAGTTGAAACTGGATCCCTTCTTTACAACTTATACACAAATTAATTTAAGATGGATTAAAGACTTAAATGTTAGACCTAAAACCATAAAAACCCTAGAAGAAACCCTAGGCAATACCATTCAGAACACAGGCATGGGCAAGGACTTCATGACTAAAATGCCAAAAGCAATGGCAACAAAGCCAAAATTGACAAAGGGGATCTAATTAAACTAAAGAGCTTCTGCACAGCAAAAGAAACTACCATCAGAGTGAACAGGCAACCTACAGAATAGGAGAAAATTTTTGTAATCTACCTGTTTAACAAAGGGCTAATGTCCAGAATCTACAAAGAGCTCAAACAAATTTACAAGAAAAAAAAACCCATCAAAAAGTGGACAAAGGATATGAACAGAGACTTCTCAAAATAAGACATTTATGCAGCCAACAGACATATGAAAAAATGCTCATCATCACTGGTCATCAGAGAAATGCAAATCAAAACCACAATGAGATACCATCTCACACCAGTTAGAATGGCATTCATTAAAAAGTTAGGAAACAACAGATGCTGGAGAGGATGTGGAGAAATAGGAAAGCTTTTACACCATTGGTGGGAGTGTAAACTAGTTCAACCATTGTGGAAGACAGTGTGGCGATTCCTCAAGGATCTAGAACTAGAAATAGAATTTGACCCAGCAATCCCATTACTGGGTATATAACCAAAGGATTATAAATCATGCTACTATAAAGACACATGCACACGTATGTTTATCATGGCACTGTTCACAATAGCAGACTTGGAACCAACCCAAATGTCTGTCAATGATAGGCTGGATTAAGAATATTTGGCACATATACACCATGGAATACTGTGCAGCCATATAAAAGGATGAGTTTATGTCCTTTGTAGGGACATGGATGAAGCTGGAAACCATCATTCTGAGCAAACTATCACAAGGACAGAAAACCAAATAATGCATGTTCTCACTCATAGTTGGGAATTGAACAATGAGAACACTTGGACACAGGGCAGGGATCATCACAAACCAGGGCTTCTGGTGGGGTGGGAGGCAGGGGGAGGAATAGAATTAGGAGAAAAAACTTCTATAAATGACAAGTTAATGGATGCAGCAAACCAACATGGCACATGTATACCTATGTGACAAACCTGCACGTTGTGCACATGTACACTAGAACTTAAAGTATAATAAAAAAATACAAAAAAATTGAAAAAGAAAGTCTAATGGAAGGAGTTCAGATTTCACTCTAAATCCAGTGGGAAGCCACTGAAAAGTTTTAAGCAGGGAACCTGACATGGTTTAACTGTGAACTTTCATGTTTTCTTCTATTTGCAAAAAATAAAGCCAGAAGACCCCAGATTGTCATTGTTTCTCTAATGGAGTTTTGAAAAATGTAAAATTATAGGTGTGGTTTTGTTGAGGCCAAGATCTGTGGTTCAAACTTTATATCCTTTTTTTTGACTTTTCAGCTGTCAAGAAAAGTGAAGGATGAAGCCACCATTTCTTTTGGCCCTTGTGGTCTGTTCTGTAGTCAGCACAAATCTGAAGATGGTGTCAAAGAGAAATTCTGGTAAGTTGCTGGCAACTTGCCACTATTTGGTCAAAAATGTACAGTTTTGTGAGCACCCAGAGGGCACCTGTGCCTTTAACTATGAATGTCTTTAAATAGAAGCACTCGTATTCCAGTTATGTTGGAAAGTAGCCAAAATAAAAATGATGTTTAATCCTACCACTGAGAAATTGTTGGGAAATCAGTGGAATTTTGTTAAACTTCAATGACCAGTATACTCTCAGTGGACAATGAAATGTTAAGGGCCTACTTAGAGTTGGTTACATTTGCTAGTGAATAAATACCTGGGAGCAAACATTTACAAATGAGAAGGTAAGAAACCTTTAAAAATATACATCCTTTGCCTCCTAATTGAGTGTGTAGCATTGCAATTTAAAGACTTTGATAAATATCTGAGTTTTAGTTCCTTATAGTTGTACCCAGTTGCTAACAGGCAGGGGTCTACAGCCTCCAAGTTCAGAATTATTAGCTAATTGCCCGAAGAGGAATTTCTCGAGAAGAAAAATCTATTCCTAGAACATGTTGGTCTGGCAGGCAGCCATGACTGTACTAAGAGATTAGCTGTAGCCAGTACATAGTCCAGTCAAAGCTTAATCATTGTTTAATAATACTTGGATATATATGTCTTTCAGTTTTGATTATACATTCTAGCTGTAATTACAAACTTTGCATGAGATTTTAAGAATTGATTTTCTGTCTGTAATCATTCCAGTAAGACATTGAGGAATGTGTTATTATATGGAAACAAAAGATTGTGTTGAGACTTTCTACTGGCTTCTAATTCATTTATTTCTGAGAATTAAATGTATTTGCTTTACTTTCTCATTAAGTATCAAATCTAGTCAATGAAATGCATGCTTACTTTTCAAAGCAAAAAATGCGGATTGGGGGGAGGTGCTTGGAGTTTGGCTAATGTTTGTTTCCTGAGATAAGAATACTTACTAATTGAAATACCTAACAAATAGTTTTGTCTTCAATTGATAGCATATTAATAAATGTTTCCAAAAGTGAGAGATTTATCACAGACTATAAAATAGAGTAACACTGCTGAAGTCCAAAGGATCCTGGAGTGATAAAGATAGGGCAATATATTGTCTTTTTCTCTTCTTATAGATTCAGGTCTATATTTAAATTACTTTTGTATGTTGTGACTCTCTTTCAGCTGAATTTGTGTTTAATATTTTACCTATTATCTCTCCAGCTCAGCATATCATTCATGGCTGCCTTTCCTTGCTTTACCTTTGAAGTCCCATTTTACTTTCAATCTTGGTTCAAATTGATAGTTGCTGAAATAAAATATTTAGAGAGATTGCTTAACAGCAAACATAACCTGTTGAACCAGATTGCATTTTCCTTACTCGGTCATGTCATAATGTCTGGAGCAGATCCGAAAGGAAAAAAAGAAACGAGGGTTTAAAAAGTCATCTGTATTATGGTAGCTTAATTGAAGTAAAATCCAAACTGAAAAAAAATAAGTTGCTGTCAATGTATTCTGTCTTATACCTTGGTTTGCTTATTATATAAGAGAAGAGAGGCTGTTAAAATATATATATATTTTATATATATTTATATATATAAAATATATAAATATATATATACACACAAATATATATGTGTATGTATAGACACACACACACACACACACATACACATATAGCTGGGCTATTACAGGTGGCTCACACCTGTAATCCCAGCATTTGGGAGGCCAAGGTGGGTGGATTGCTTGTGCTAAGGAGTTTGAGACCAGCCTGGGTAACATGGTGAAACCCTATTTCTACAAAAATGTAAAAATTAGCTGACATTGTGGTGCACACCTGTAGTCCTAGCTAATCAGGAGGCTGAGGTGAGAGTATGGCTTCAGCCTGTGAAGCAGAGGTTGGTGAGCCGAGATCATGCCACTGCACTCCAGCCTGGGTGACAGAACCAGACCCTGTCTATATATATATATATATACACACACACACACACACATACACACACACATATAGAAGGTTATCATTAATGCACAGATGTCATTAAAAGATCAACTTTTCAATGCTTTGCCTCTTTATTTTTGCTTGTTAAGCGTGAGGCTATTTGTGGCTTACTAGGGTTTCTTAGCTTTGTTTTCTTAGTGTGGACAAATGGTATCATATCTGCAGTCAGCTTCATTGAAGAAACATTACCCAAAAAGATATTTCACTTACAGTCAAAGTGTTAGAATGGTTTCAGTCTCTGCTTCTCCTTCCCTTTATGCTGCACTCCCCCTCCATCCCTGCCAGGACAATAGCAATTGTAATATTGGAACAAAACTTCTTACAGGTCTGTGCAGTTGAAATCATTTGAATGCACAGCTGGTTCTTTTATTTTATGCCTTACTGCTTCTGTTTATGGTGTATACGGAGTAGGCAGAAAAGACTAATAGGTTAGTGTTGGTTTGTGCTTGTCTCTGTGTGTTTTTTGTTTGTATGTTTGTTTATTGTTTCATAATGCAAAAAAGATAGGGCATGGGATGAATAAAAGACATCTTAAGTTGCTGATGAAAACGAGGATACTTTGGAGCAGTTCTTTTCAACTCTACCTTTCTGTTTAGCCACCCCCATCATAACCCCCTCTCCAGCCCTATACCTCTGTTAATATTATTATTTTATGTAGAAAATATAATTATTTGCACTTTCATTATCATAGTGCTATTTGAGTTACCTTATCTTTTGAAGAACATTAAAAATGCTTTGGCAAATCTGCAGTACAAATTTTTGCTTCATGTAGCTTGTGAAGTCCTTTGCTCATTGCCAATCAAAGAGATCCAGGTTTAAGCTCGCATGGATGTTCATCATGGAATCACTAACGGAACTCGTAACTTTTATTTTTTTCCCCTCTTCCCTTCCCTCAAGTCAAGAAATGAAAAACGATTGCACCCTTTATTCATTAACATTTATGACTGTTTAGTGTCTGATGTGAAGATAGTTATAATGATTTCTATGCAGTTCATTGTAGACACAAATCCCTTTCACTGAGATCCCTACAACTGCTGTTGCTAATGGCCACCCTTATGCACAAGACAGAGAGAGGACCAAGGGTGGAAGTTTTTTCTTCTGTACTTGTCAAACATGGAAAAGAACTTAGTAACAGATGTGAGTTAGGTTTTTGGTTTTGGAGGTTGGTTTGTTTGTTTTAATCTACTCTGGGCACATATTGGAGCAAACCTGCTTTTGGGTGGTGTACAATTTTTAGAGGTGATAGCACAGGCTATGTTTCCATGTAATGCCCATTCACACTGGGCAAGTCCAACAATCAACCCTGGCTTGGGAAACAGCAAAGATGGCTCTGAGACTGCATCTAGGGCCTGATTGCTTTAGAACATATTAAAATGCACAGCATTTAATTTTAAGGACTATAGCTGATTATTCAAGTGTAAGTTTTTGGTCTTCTTCACATAACACTCCTTCAGTATTCACTTTTTATAAATTTAGGACTGGATAGATAAAAGTCATTTGGAAAGCCTACTCTATCAAAAACAAGTTTACTTAAAGGTGTCATTCTTTATGTCAGGAAATTGGCTAATATCTTGATGATCAATAGCAGAAATGGCCATTTCTTTTTCCTGTAGAGGACACAGGTACCTAAAACTAATTTTTAATAGGGTGGGTGGGAGAAATTACTCTTCCTCAAGAAGTCACTCAAGACCTTCTATTTAGCTATTTTTTAACCTGAAAAACGTCCTCAGAATATACATGAACTTTATTATTTGGGACATTAAATCATCCCCTTAACTTTCTTTTGGCTTTTGCTGCTGCTGCTCCTGCATGAAAATGTGAGCCATGTTATGCAGTTGTTGGCATTCAGTTCTTCCAGCATGGACCTCTGTATCAGAGAAAGCATCAGTCTGATGAGTGGGTATGTTAATATTCAACCCAAATTGGGTCATCTTACAGTCAGTTCATCTGGAGGATGATCTAGCACAAAAACTTCTCAGTGTTGGGAGGAAAATTGCAGAGCTACCTGCATATCTCAATCAGCTAGAAAATGTAGTCCCCAGTGGTAAGAAGAATGTGAAGACTTGCTGGCACACAGTGGGTATTTAAAGATATATTTTGGATGGACTTGAAAGAACCACTCAGTTCCACGTAATGAGAGAATGGCTTTATTTGGGGCTTTGGTTTATAAAATTATGATATTTTCTGATTGTTGATGAGGAAATAACAGCTTGTTTTCACTAAAATACATTTGTTTTAGAATTTCCAGTTAGATAACTGAGGACGACCATAAAGGCAAAAGTAGAGGTTATATGAGCTTACATTTCTGGCCAAAGCTAGAAAGGGACTCTTATACCACTTCCAAGTAAAAAGAAAATAACTTCTTTTGTGAAATTTATTGTTATATAATTAAAAATAAAAGGAACCATGCTTTGAACCCTCAAAGGAAACAATAAAATGTTTTATTTAAAAATGCTGGTTAGAAGTAATGTTGCTCTGTGGATATTCACACTGTGCTTTTAGCTGTAGAGTGTAAGAACACTAGAAGTTAGAAAATCAACAATGTGATATTGAGATCTCATCTCCTAAATGTATTCTAATGAGCTAAGATCAAGGAGGAAAATACTTCCCTATGATTTGTTCTTTAATTGAAAGGGACAATCTGAGACATGGTACTTTTATCTCTTTAATTAGGGTGACTTCTCTGGAGGAAAATGGATCTTTGAAGGAAGGGAAAGTGGTACTAGAAGAATTGGTTAGGTCATTGGAAGTGATATAGGACAATGTTTGGAGTATAAGACAAAGTTTACAGCAACTAGATAATAGGCAGGGATGAGAGATATCGGTCAGAAAGAATGTGTGGCCAGAATTGAGCTGAGTGAAACACAGTTATTGAATAAGTTGAAGGGGAAATAATTTTACAGTTCTTATCATTGAATTTGATATGGCCAAAGGCATACTTGTTGAACTGTTACTGTATGTGCAATATTCCACTAGTCCTGAGGTGGGGCTGACGGGGAGGGAAAATAAATCAAAACTCCCTTGTTTAAAATACTTAATATCATTGAGATCAATGAATGGCTAAGCAAATAATGGTTTTAGGGTTAGGGAGGGTGGAGTGTAGGTCCTGTTCTCTGGAATGTTCCATTCTCTAAAGGTAGAACATTTCTGGAGTTTTAGCTGGATGCCCAGATGTTAACAAGATATTCCCTAGCACTGCTAATCCTTTAATATCTTCTTCCATTATCAACTCTGTAGTGGTCGTTCCGCAATGATAAGCCTTTGGCAGTCTTTTCCAGGGCATGTTCAGTCCAGTTCTCAATCAGGGATCCATAGAGGACCTCCACATAGATCTCATGGGCTCCCCTCTGGGAAGCTCTCTCCTTTTACTGGGAGTTCCAGCCATTTTAAATGCCTTGAACTCTGATCTCTGTAGCTCCAGCTCAATAATACTACTGGGCTCTGTTAGGACTCTAACTCACCAAGCCATAGTTGGGGAATTGTCCCCAGTCGGAGAGCTGGGTTGATTGTGGGGCTCACACCATTAGTCCTCCTTTTCTCCGAGATCACAGCTTAACACTTCCTGAATATTATTGCTTTACACATTTCTTCCACTTTTGTTGTTGCTTACTGTGGGAGAGTTAGTCTAGTTTCAGTTACTTCCTGTTACCTTCGATACCCCATCATTCTTTGGGTGCTTTCTGTCATAAAGAAGTTGTGCTAGGGTTACCTTGATACTGATTCTTTTTAGTGGAAAATGAATTTAGAAACCTTCTTTTTCTTTTAAATTGTTATTTCATTGAGATACTTCCAATTCAAATCCAGCATCACAGGGCTCTTCCTTACCTTTCTCCATTCCATATTTGTATTTCCTTTTTCCACAGTGAGAACCCTCATTCTCATCAACATCAATATATTTACTTGTTTTGTCCTATAAGTTATACAAAATAGTTTTAGAATGTCTACACCAAAACCACTACAAGCAACAAACTTACTAAAGTACAAGATATTTTATAATTCTTTTTGTCTTTAGAATTCATCCCACTAAAGTTGTACAGTCAGAGTGATATGTTCAAAAGTTGCTTGAATTAATTTCTTTTTCTCTGTGGTCATGTTATTAATTCAATATATAAATAAGTTAATTTGTGTTTCTATGCAATTTGCTTTTTTATCCTTTTGGATTAAATTTTATTTTTGAATACATAAAATTTTTACATCATTGGAAATTCAAAATTATAGAAAAAATAATAAATCCAAGAAGTCTCACTCCCATGCCTATCCCTTCTACCTGGTCTCACACATGTCCTAGTTGTAACTAATTCCTTTAGTTTCTGATATTTCCTTTCTTTTTCTTTTTTGCACAAATCAATGTGTATATTTTTAGTTCCACTTGTTTCATAGTAGCAAAAAATAATTATCCATTTAATTTTTTGGTTCTTGATTTTTTCACTAATGTATCTTGGAAGTCAAGCATTTTGGATTCTGTTAATATTTTTTTCTTATTACAATTGTGTATCATGCTTAATGAAATTTAAAATAATATTAAAATAGAAAACTCTCTTGTTTATATCCCTAGAGTTAACTCATGATTGAATTTTTTATAGATTCTTCCAGATAGTTTCTTTGGATATATATGTATATAGATGATTTATGTATCCTAAATCATATGCATTTTTCAAACTTGGAATCATACTGTACGTACTATTCTCCAACCTGATGTTACTTCACATGATATTTATATCTGTAACTTCTAATTCTTGACACTATATAACTAAATCATATTTTTAAATACTGTGAAATATTCCATTGTGTGGACTTATAATAAAATTAAAACCAGTGCTCTGTTTATGGAAATTAGAGTTTTATCCCTAGGTTTTGCTATTGCAAAACAATGCTGCGAGGAGTGCCCTATTACATAGATCTTAGTACACTAGAAGAGTAAACATTTTTGTAGGCTAGATTCCTAGAAGTGGAAATGTTGGATAAAGTTTTTATTTAAATTTTGAAATGATACTGACAAATTGCCCACCAATGTCACTGTGCCAATTTTGCCAATCTAAATCCAAATGAAAAACATTTCATTGTTTACTAAAATCCCCAGGTTGGCTACTATGAGTATGTTCTTTGGATTCAAATAACCTTAAAAGTGTGTGTGTGTGTGTGTGTGTGTCTGAGACATAGAGAGAGAGAGAGATCAGCAGCAAAACAATCCATACAGTGAAAATCTCTGCCTATTCCATTAAGTTTGGCAACAAAGAATGGCAGAGAAGAGAATGTGAGTTAACAACTAAGTTCATTATTATTTTGGTTGTTCTACAACATCAACATCTGATATGATTGAAATATTAAAGTTCCTTATGACACTGGTTCTCTTTAAATGAAAAGGTGTGGATAATTAAGCTAATTATTTAATGAAAGCTGGAAAGTCCGAAAACAATTCCATGGGGGATTTCATCCAGCTCTGTAGCATCTTCCAAATACAGAAGTCACCGAGCTTGGTATCATGTTGGATTTGTTACTGTCCATAAGGTTAAAGGATGAGAGAGAAGGAAGAATAATTGAGCCTTCTATTAATTTTGATATTGGGATTTATCCCATCCATAAGTACAGCCAAGAACTGCAGTGAATGAGCTCCTTTCTACTCTGTTGTTTTGGAATGAAAAGATATTTTATCTGCCAGAGTGGAGACATGCTTTGAATGTCTGTTATTTCTGCCAGGTGAGTTTCTATCATAACCCAACTCATGTAGGCACATCAGTCTAAAGTGCATCCCTTGTGGCTTTGCTGACTTCTACAGGTGTAATTTGCCCTAAACGAAGTATGTGCTCTGCAAAAGCACACCCTTAATGCCTACTGTAGTTTGGTCCCTGGAGAAAGCTAGCACCCAGAGATTTCTTAGAATATGCATGACTTTCCTAGTCTATGAGAAGGACACTGAATATGCAGTTTTAAACTTCCATTCATATTCCTATTCTTGCCTCATATTTGCTTCCATATATTTATTTGAGACTGTCATAGAGAAGCATGATATTTTGTGAGGCTTGCACCAGGACTATTTTCTAAAAGAAATGCTTTGACATTCAATGACCTTCCCCCAGGCTAAGAAGAGTCAGGCCCTGCCTCTCTCTGTGGGTGTGAGTTATGAGAGCTGTATTGTAAGTGTGCTCTCCCTAAATGGTTACAGACAAGAAACACATGGTTTTAAGAGGCACCCATTAAACCCTTAAGATGAATGGCATGTATTTGGCATCTCTACTTTGTGGAGAAACAAGACAGTGGTTTCCTGAAATCAAATTCTGCCAAGGATTGTCTTAGAAATAGGGCATTTATTAATTCACCAAACATGCAAGCAAACTAAATGCAAGCAAGCAAAATAAAATGTCTTATGATGGGTCCCTCTCAGTGATTCAGAAATTGACCAGACATGCTTTTAGCCCCCCAAGAAACAAGTAAATCATAGGGGGAAGGGAGAAACTAACATGCATCGAGTGCTCCTATATGCCAGGCACTTTACATACATTGTCTCCTAATACAAAGACACTGAGGTAGGTAGGTCCAACTCTTGTTCTCCATATAGGGAAACTGAGGCTTAGAGTAGCTAAATAATTTGACCACTCTCTTACATAGCTAGTAATTGGCAAAGCCAGGATTTAAACCCAGATTTGTCTGACCCCAGAGTCCTGCTCTTAATCACTCGTCCATGTTGTGCCTTTGTGTGGACATCATTAGCCTCATTTTAAAGATGAGAAAACTGAAGCTCAGGGAGGGTGAGTTTATCTGAGGTCCCCAACCATTAAGTGGAAAATTTAGGTTTCAGATGATCGACTGATTCCAAAGTTTATGCTCTTTCCACAACACCATGGATATGTCTTATTTACAACTCTTATAAAAGGCATAATATAATAAGAGTCATATAAGAGGCATGGATATAGTTCATATCAAGGAGATATTATTTTCAGCTGGGTGTGAGGGTGATTAGGGAAGGCTTCATGGGACAGGCATCATTTGACATTGACTGTGAAGACTGGATTGGGCAGACTGGATTGGGAATAGTGACGGGGGATGGTATTCTGAGCAGAGGTTAAAATAAGAGCAAATATGTGGATGCATAAAGTGCAGGATATTTTTGAATATCAAGTGGCCTAAATTGACTGGAGGATAGTATAAGATTCAGGTAGTTAGGAAACATATTTGTTGAGAAACAAGTAGCTAGACAGATGGTGTTTTGAATACCTCCACAATTTTAAAATTATAGGATATATATTGAATCCAGAAAGGAAATGTTGGTTAAGGCGCTTTAGATTGGAAGGCAGGGGGCAAGGTTGCTGAGACATTCTAGCTCTGTGCTAGTGTTTCTTTTTTATTTTTATTTTTATTTTTTTATTATTATTATACTTTAATTTTTAGGGTACATGTGCACAATGTGCAGGTTAGTTACATATGTATACATGTGCCATGCTGGTGTGCTGCACCCATTAACTCGTCATTTAGCATTAGGTATATCTCCTAATGCTATCCCTCCCCCCTCCCCCCACCGCACAACAGTCCCCAGAGTGTGATGCTCGTGTTTCTGTTCACATGCTTTACATTTGCTATAATAGGAAGGTTCAATCAAAGCTTTGTTTTCAATTATGAAAATGTTTTGAATTTAAAAAAAACTGAGTAAGGCATTAACCTTAATTAAAAATCAGAATAAAGCTTATTTGTATCTTCAGCTTCAGGGAATTAATGATTTTTTTTTTTTTACAGTAAAGGAACTTGTTTCTGGTCTTAACATTACCAGCGGGTGGCACTGTAATACATTCCTTCTGCATCTCTGAAGTAGCGTTTTACCATCTCATGGCTGTCTTCAGAGTCTGAAATTAGAAGGAATAACAGCTTTATAGTCACCATAGTGTGATTGGTCTAATCTTTGAACACATTTACTAAGCACCACCCCCACAACCACGATTCTTCAGTTTTTGAGAGCTATTCTGCTTAGGTTCTCACCAAACTACCTCTGAATCTTTTCATTTTTTTCCCAAGAAGGTGACTGTGAGGCATAGCTCTCGTTACTTTTCAAGTAGTTCTTCAAAGTTAGGTATTCAAAAGCCAAAGGCAGGAGAAGTTATGAGACTGGCAAATTTTACCTTTGGCACTCCCCCTGGCTACTTTGCTTTTAATATCTTTGCTTGTTTCTTGTGCATTTCGCCCTCCCCAAGGCTAAAGAGAATTCAAATGATTCACAATTTTCTTGACCTTTACTCAGAACTTTCCTATTCTTTGATAGGTGACAGCTAGTTTAATCTTTAAACCAATCCAGACTGATACACTGAAACACTACTGAGCATTCGGTGTTATTGGACACACCTCTTCCTTTTTGACACTCTCTTCTTCTGCTCTAGTGACATCATTTTATCTTGGTCCTATCTGTATCTTTCTGGCCATTTTTTCCCGGTCTCCATCATTATCTCATTTTCCTCTCTGTCTCTTAAAAGTCGCTTTTCTCCAGCATTTTCTCCTTGTTACTCTTTTAACAAACCACTCCATACGTTTCCAAAGTTTCTACTCCCTTGGTATTAACTATCTACCCTCTTGGTGCTTCTCAGCAGTGTCTGCATATTGGAACCACCCAGGGAGCTTTTAAACCATATTCCTGTGCAAGTACCACTCCCAGAGTTACTGATTTATTTGGGCTGGGGCCTCGGAATCTGTTGGTTTTTTGTTCATCTATTTGTTTTAACTACAAGGTGATTCTAATGTACAGCCAGGGATGAGAACCCCTGACCTATTGAGGTTTCTAGCAATCCAGTCTTTATGTCTCCTCTGAGTTACATGCATTATTTTCCTTCTAGACATCTTCCCTTGGCTGTCCCACAGGCACTTTGAACTTCAAAACTCAATTTTTAATCTATTTAAATTCCACCCTTCTTGTGTACCCCATCTTAGTTAAAATTACATTATCATTCTATTTGGGCCAGAATATATGGTGTGACTCTCAAATCTACTGCAAGTTTCCATATTCAGTAATCACCAAGTTCTGCAGTTTGAATTCTCAAATATCTTCTAAACTACCTGTATTAGTCAGAGTTTTCCAGAGGGAAAGAACTAATAGGATAGATGTATATATGAAAGGGAGTCTATTAAGGAGAATTGACTCACACGATCACAAAGTGAAGTCCCACGATAGGCCATCTGCAAGCTGAGGAGGAAGTCAGTAGTGGCTCAGTCCAAGTCCAAAAGCCTCAAAAGCAAGAAAGCCAACAGTGCGGCCTTCAGTCTGTGGCTGAAGGCCTGAGAGCCTCCAGCAAATCACTGGTGTAAGTCCAAGAGTGCAAAGTCCAAAGAACCTGGAGTCTGACGTCCAAGAGTGGGAAGCATCCAGCAAGGGAAAAAGATGAAAGCCAGAAGACTCAGCAAGCCAGCTTATTCCACCTTCTTCCACCTGCTTTGTTCTAGTTCTGCTGGCAGTTGATTGGATGGTGCCCACCCATACTGAGGGTGGATCTGCCTGTCAAGTCCACTGACTCAAATGTTATCTCCTCTGGCAACACCCTCAAAGACACACCCAGAAACAAGTACTTTACCAGCCATCTGGCGTCCTTCAATCCAACAAGTTGATACCTAATATTAACCATCACACCACTCCAGTCATGTTTTTTTTAAACAAATTTTGACTTTTATTTTAGATTCGGGGGTATACACGTGCAGGTTTGTTACCTAGGTGTATTGTGTGATGCTAAGGTTTGTGGTATATATGGTCCTGTCACCCAGGTAGTGAGCGTAGTACCTAATAGGTAGTCACCCCACACTTCTTCATCCTATCTGTTGCTGACCTAGTTCAGCCTTTCATAATTTCTTCCAGCCCTTCTACATTACTGCCCATTTTCCATAATACTTGCAAATGGTGTTTTTACTTGTTTGCTTGTTTTTAGTTATAGATGTACAGCAATTTCAAGCATTTATTCCATTGTCTAATGAACATTTGTAGATCAACTGCTAGATGCAAGACCTCTACTTATGAAATAAAACTCCTTTGACTCCCTATTGCATACAGGATAAAGGTAAAATGCCTTGTAGCATATAATATATGGCATACAAGACCCTTAATTTATTCCTTAGTTCACTTATTCATTCAATACTTAAATATTCAATGGCCTGTAATAGGTACTATGCTAATTTTTATATAAATATAAAAACACGTGTGCTATTATATATGTATGTATAGGTATATACATATGCATGTGTATACACACACACACACACGCACACACACAAACACACAATTCATTTAGGCTCCAGGCTTCTCAGTCCTATTTTTGTGCCCCTCAGTCCTATTTTTGTACCCCTTGCCACACACCTCTTCACACAAGAGCCATCCTGAGTTATTTATCATTCTGAAAAAAGAACTGTTCATATTCCCAGCTCTGAGCATTTTATCTTATGCTTTTCTTCACATGTGAATCACTTCCCACCTTCTCTGACTTTTGATACTATTCATCTTTGAAGAACCATTTCAAATGTCATTTTCTCTGTGTACCTTTCGTTGGATTGCCCCCATCGACCCACCTCTTCCAGGCAGAATTAATTGTCCTTCCTCTGTGCTCCTGTAGCATTTTGTTTAGACTTCTATACTGGAACTGGTCATATTGTGATTTAGTTATTTGTACGTCTGTCTTTTCCACCATACCTGGGAGCTTTTTGAAGGCAAAAATTGTTTCCTCGATTCTCTATACCTGGTAGACTGCCTTGTACATAATAGTTGATCTACGAATGTTTATTAGATAATTGAATAGATGCTTGTGGATTACTGGCACCCTAGCAGTCTTTAGGAGCAGAACACATGTGATTGAAAGTCATTAAACAACCTTGAAAAACTGAGTATGCCACCTATCACAGTTTGGAATTGTGGCCAGAGCACAGCCTGCCTACTCTCAGGTTTTGCTGTTTTGACAAGGAGGATTTATCAGTGCAATCAGGGCCTTTGAAACTCTATCCTCATCTGCAGAGCCCACATTCACATAGACTTTATAGTTTATAATGAGATTTTAATGTCTGAACACCACCCACCTCAGTGGTCAGTGACTTGGCTTATTTAGGATTCATGTGGTATGAACTAGCTAAGAACAGAGAGCATGGTGGGCTGGGAAAGGGCAGGCCAATTGCTTTCTTTCTTTTTTTTTTATACTTTAAGTTTTAGGGTACATGTGCACATTGTGCAGGTTAGTTACATGTTACATATGTATACATGTGACATGCTGGTGCACTGCACCCACTAACTCGTCATCTAGCGTTAGGTATAACTCCCAATGCTATCCCTCCCCCACCCATAACAGTCCCCAGAGTGTGATATTCCCCTTCCTGTGTCCATGTGATCTCATTGTTCAGTTCCCACCTATGAGTGAGAATATGCGGTGTTTGGTTTTTTGTTCTTGTGATAGTTTACTGAGAATGATGTTTTCCAATTTCATCCATGTCCATAAAAAGGACATGAACTCATCATTTTTTATGGCTGCATAGTATTCCATGGTGTATATGTGCCACATTTTCTTAATCCAGTCTATCATTGTTGGACATTTGGGTTGGTTCCAAGTCTTTGCTATTGTGAATAATGCCGCAATAAACATACGTGTGCATGTGTCTTTATAGCAGCATGATTTATAGTCCTTTGGGTATATACCCAGTAATGGGATGGCTGGGTCAAATGGTATTTCCAGTTCTAGATGCCTGAGGAATCGCCACACTGACTTCCACAATGGTTGAACTAGTTTACAGTCCCACCAACAGTGTAAAAGTGTTCCTATTTCTCCACATCCTCTCCAGCACCTGTTGTTTCCTGACTTTTTAATGATCGCCATTCTAACTGGTGTGAGATGGTATCTCATTGTGGTTTTGATTTGCATTTCTCTGATGACCAGTGATGACGAGCATTTTTTCATGTGTCTTTTGGCTGCATAAATGTCTTCTTTTGAGAAGTGTCTGTTCATGTCCTTCGCCCACTTTTTGATAGGATTGTTTGTTTTTTTCTTGTAAATTTGTTTGAGTTCATTGTAGATTCTGGATATTAGCCCTTTGTCAGATGAGTAGGTTGCAAAAATTTTCTCCCATTTTGTAGGTTGCCTGTTCACTCTGATGGTCATTTCTTTTGCTGTGCAGAAGCTCTTTAGCTTAATTAGATCCCATTTGTCAATTTTGGCTTTTGTTGACATTGCTTTTGGTGTTTTAGACATGAAGTCCTTGCCCATGCCTATGTCCTGAATGGTAATGCCTAGGTTTTCTTCTAGGGTTTTTATGGTTTTAGGTCTAACGTTTAAGTCTTTAATCCATGTTGAACTGATTTTTGTATAAGGTGTAATGAAGGGATCCAGTTTCAGCTTTGTACATATGGCTAGCCAGTTTTCCCAGCACCATTTATTAAATAGGGAATCCTTTCCCCATTGCTTGTTTTTCTCAGTTTTGTCAAAGATCAGATAGTTGTAGATATGCGGCGTTATTTCTGAGGGCTCTGTTCTGTTCTATTGATCTATATCTCTGTTTTGGTACAAGTACCATGCTGTTTTGGTTACTGTAGCCTTGTAGTATAGTTTGAAGTCAGGTAGTGTGATGCCTCCAGCTTTGTTCTTTTGGCTTAGGATTGATTTGGCGATGTGGGCTCTTTTTTGGTTCCATATGAACTTTAAAGTAGTTTTTTCCAATTCTGTGAAGAAAGGCTTTGGTAGCTTGATGGGGATGGTATTGAATCTGTAAATTACCTTGGGCAGTATGGCCATTTTCACGATATTGATTCTTCCTACCCATGAGCATGGAATGTTCTTCCATTTGTTTGTATCCTCTTTTATTTCCTTGAGCAGTGGTTTGTAGTTCTCCTTGAAGAGGTCCTTCACATCCCTTGTAAGTTGGATTCCTAGGTATTTTATTCTCTTTGAGGCAATTGTGAATGGGAGTTCACTCATGATTTGGCTCTCTGTTTGTCTGTTATTGGTGTATAAGAATGCTTGTGATTTTTGTACATTGATTTTGTATCCTGAGAGTTTGCTGAAGTTGCTTATCAGCTTAAGGAGATTTTGGGCTGAGACAGTGGGGTTTTCTAGATATACAATCATGTCATCTGCAAACAGGGACAATTTGACTTCCTCTTTTCCTAATTAAATACCCTTTATTTCTTTCTCCTGCCTAATTGCCCTGGCCAGAACTTCCAACACTATGTTGAAGAGGAGTGTTGAGAGAGGGCATCCCTGTCTTGTGCCAGTTTTCAAAGGGAATGCTTCCAGTTTTTGCCCATTCAGTATGATATCGGCTGTGGGTTTGTCATAGATAGCTCTTATTATTTTGAAATACGTCCCATCATTACCTAATTTCTTGAGAGTTTTTAGCATGAAGGGTTGTTGAATTTTGTCAAAGGCTTTTTCTGCATCTATTGAGATAATCATGTGGTTTTTGTCTTTGGCTCTGTTTATATGCTAGATTATTTATTGATTTGCGTATATTGAACCAGCCTTGCATCCCAGGGATGAAGCCCACTTGATCATGGTGGATAAGCTTTTTGATGTGCTTCTGGATTCGTTTTGCCAGTATTTTATTGAGGATTTTTGCTTCAATATTCATCAAGGATATTGGTCTAAAATTCTCTTTTTTTATTGTGTCTCTGCCTGGCTTTGGTATCAGAATTATGCTGGCCTCATAAAATGAGTTAGGGAGGATTCCCTCTTTTTCTATTGATTGGAATAGTTTCAGAAGGAATGGTACCAGTTCCTCCTTGTACCTCTGGTAGAATTCGGCTGTGAATC
Organism: Homo sapiens; assembly: GCF_000001405.40. NCBI lineage: Eukaryota > Metazoa > Chordata > Mammalia > Primates > Hominidae > Homo > Homo sapiens. Next base: position 104,674,717 of record NC_000023.11, read on the forward strand.
CATCTGGTCCTGGACTCTTTTTGGTTGGTAAGCTATTGATTATTGCCACAATTTCAGATCCTGTTATTGGTCTATTCAGAGATTCAACTTCTTCCTGGTTTAGTTTTGGGAGAGTGTATGTGTCAAGGAATTTATCCATTTCTTCATAGATTTTCTAGTTTATTTGCGTAGAGGTGTTTGTAGTATTCTCTGATGGTAGTTTGTATTTCTGTGGGATCGGTGGTGATATCCCCTTTATAATTTTTTATTGCGTCTATTTGATTCTTCTCTCTTTTCTTCTTTATTAGTCTTGCTAGCGGTCTATCAATTTTGTTGATCCTTTCAAAAAACCAGCTCCTGGATTCATTAATTTTTTGAAGGGTTTTTTGTGTCTCTATTTCCTTCAGTTCTGCTCTGTTCTTAGTTATTTCTTGCCTTCTGCTAGCTTTTGAATGTGTTTGCTCTTGCTTTTCTAGTTCTTTTAATTGTGATGTTAGGGTGTCAATTTTGGATCTTTCCTGCTTTCTCTTGTGGGCATTTAGTGCTATAAATTTCCCTCTACACACTGCTTTAAATGCGTCCCAGAGATTCTGGTATGTTGTGTCTTTGTTCTCATTGGTTTCAAAGAACATCTTTATTTCTGCCTTCATTTCGTTATGTACCCAGTGGTCATTCAGGAGCAGGTTGTTCAGTTTCCATGTAGTTGAGCGGTTTTGATTGAGATTCTTAATCCTGAGTTCTAGTTTGATTGCACTGTGGTCTGAGAGATAGTTTGTTATAATTTCTGTTCTTTTACATTTGCTGAGGAGAGCTTTACTTCCAAGTATGTGGTCAATTTTGGTATAGGTGTGGTGTGGTGCTGAAAAAAATGTATATTCTGTTTATTTGGGGTGGAGAGTTCTGTAGATGTCTATTAGGTCCACTTGGTGCAGAGCTGAGTTCAATTCCTGGGTATCCTTGTTGACTTTCTGTCTCTTTGATCTGTCTAATGTTGACAGTGGGGTGTTAAAGTCTCCCATTATTATTGTGTGGGAGTCTAAGTCTCTTTGTAGGTCACTCAGGACTTGCTTTATGAATCTTGGTGCTCCTGTATTGGGTGCATATATATGTAGGATAGTTAGCTCTTCTTGTTGAATTGATCCCTTTACCATTATGTAATGGCCTTCTTTGTCTCTTTCGATCTCTGTTGGTTTAAAGTCTGTTTTATCAGAGACTAGGATTGCAACCCCTGCCTTTTTTTGTTTTCCATTTGCTTGGTAGATCTTCCTCCATCCTTTTATTTTGAGTCTATGTGTGTCTCTGCACGTGAGATGGGTTTCCTGAATTCAGCACACTGATGGGTCTTGACTCTTTATCCAATTTGCCAGTCTGTGTCTTTTAATTGGAGCATTTAGTCCATTTACATTTAAAGTTAATATTGTTATGTGTGAATTTGATCCTGTCATTATGATGTTAGCTGGTTATTTTGCTCGTTAGTTGATGCAGTTTCTTCCTAGTCTGGATGATCTTTACATTTTGGCATGATTTTGCAGTGGCTGGTACCAGTTGTTCCTTTCCATGTTTAGTGCTTCCTTCAGGAGCTCTTTTAGGGCAGGGCTGGTGGTGACAAAATCTCTCAGCCTTTGCTTGTCTGTAAAGGATTTTATTTCTCCTTCACTTATGAAGCTTAGTTTGGCTGGATATGAAATTCTGGGTTGAAAATTCTTTTCTTTAAGAATGTTGAATATTGGCCCCCACTCTCTTCTGGCTTATAGAGTTTCTGCTGAGAGATCCACTGTTAGTCTGATGGGCTTCCCTTTGTGGGCAACCCGACCTTTCTCTCTGGCTGCCCTTAACATTTTTTCCTTCATTTCAACTTTGGTGAATCTGACAATTATGTGTCTTGGAGTTTATCTTCTCGAGGAGTATCTTTGTAGCGTTTTCTGTATTTCCTGAATCTGAACATTGGCCTGCCTTGCTAGATTGGGGAAGTTCTCCTGGATAATATCCTGCAGAGTGTTTTCCAACTTGGTTCCATTCTCCCCGTCACTTTCAGATACACCAATCAGACGTAGATTTGGTCTTTTCACATAGTCCCATATTTCTTGGAGGCTTTGCTCATTTCTTTTTATTCTTTTTTCTCTAAACTTCTCTTCTCTCTTCATTTCATTCATTTTATCTTCCATCGCTGATACCCTTTCTTCCAGTTGATCACATCGGCTCTTGAGGCTTCTGCATTCTTCACGTAGTTCTCGAGCCTTGGTTTTCAGCTCCATCAGCTCCTTTAAGCACTTCTCTGTATTGGTTATTCTAGTTATATATTCAAAATTTTTTTCAAAGTTTTCAACTTCTTTGCCTTTGGTTTGAATGTCCTCCCATAGCTCGGAGAAATTTGATCATCTGAAGCCTTCTTCTCTCAGCTCGTCAAAGTCATTCTCTGTCCAGCTTTGTTCCGTTGCTGGTGAGGAATTGCGTTCCTTTGGAGGAGGAGAGGTGCTCTGCTTTTTAGAGTTCCCAGTTTTCCTGTTCTGTTTTTTCCCCATCTTTGTGGTTTTATATACTTTTGATCTTTGATGATGGTGATGTACAGATGGGTTTTTGGTGTGGATGTCCTTTCTGTTTGTTAGTTTTCCTTCTAACAGACCGGACCCTCAGCTGCAGGTCTGTTGGAATACCCTGCCGTGTGAGGTGTCACTGTGCCCCTGCTGGGGGGTGCCTCCCAGTTAGGGTGCTCAGGGTTCAGGGGTCAGGGACCCACTTGAGGAGGCAGTCTGCCGGTTCTCAGATCTCCAGCTGCGTGCTGGGAGAACCACTGCTCTCTTCAAAGCTGTCAGACAGGGACATTTAAGTCTGCAGAGGTTACTGCTGTCTTTTTGTTTGTCTGTGCCCTGCCCCCAGAGGTGGAGCCTACAGAGGCAGGCAGGCCTCCTTGTGCTGTGGTGGGCTCTGCCCAGTTCGAGCTTCATGGCTGCTTTGTTTACCTAATCAAGCCTAGGCAATGGCGGGCGCCCCTCCCCCAGCCTCGCTGCCGCCTTGCAGTTTGATCTCAGACTGCTGTGCCAGCAGTCAGCGAGACTCCGTGGGGTAGGACCCTCCATGCCAGTTGTGGGATTTAATCTCGTGGTGCGCCGTTTTTTAAGCTCGTCGGAAAAGCGCGGTATTCGGGTGGGAGTGACCCGATTTTCCAGGTGCCCTCCGTCACCCCTTTCTTTGACTCGGAAAGGGAACTCCCTGACCCCTTGCGCTTCCCCAGTGAGGCAATGCCTCACCCTGCTTCGGCTCGCGCATGGTGCGCGCACCCACTGACCTGCGCCCACTGTCTGGCACTCCCTAGTGAGATGAACCCGGTACCTCAGATGGAAATGCAGAAATCACCATCTTCTGCGTTGCTCACGCTGACAGCTGTAGACCAGAGCTGTTCCTATTCGGCCATCTTGGCTCCTCCCCCCAAAATTGCTTTCTTTTTATTAAGAGAAAATATCATCTATACAGCATGGAATTACAAAAAGCCTTAAGAAAATGCTGTGTAAATGAACAGCCAAAGTACCTTCCTGCAATCTAGACCGTGGGATCCCATATTTAAACTTATGCCTGTGCAACAAAATATTAGACAAAACAATACCAGAGGGAGAATGGTGGTGAACAGTTTTTAAACCTATGTAGAGTAAATATTTGTGGTAGTGTTTTCCTTTACACAGCATATGCAGTAGAATGACAATATAAAGGAAGTAGAACCCCATTTGTCAGGGGAGTAGGAAGGCCTGATTTTTATCAGCATGCTTCTATTGGCTACGTCTAAGTTAGCCTTTTTATAGAGCCACTGCATCTCATCCTTCCTTTTTACTTTTGTTCAAAGTCGAGTCTCCCAGCTCTTTGAGCTCTTCCTCAGTCACTCTAATTTCTGCTTTGATAGTAGATCCTAGACTTCTTTTACCTCTTTCCATTTTATTCAGTCCCTAAGTGTCATTCGCACATCCTCTGTGCTTCACCTAACTACAACTTGGCCAAAGCTGTTGCTACTAATTTCAGTTTACTTAGAATTAGTTCAATTGTTCAATTCCCACTTATGAGTGAGAACACATGGACACAAGGAGAACAAGGAGAAAACATGGACACAGGGAGGGGAACATCACCCATGGGGCCTGTTGGGGGATGAGGGGCGAGAGGAGGGATAACATTAGGTGAAACACCTAATGTAGATGACAGGTCGATGGGTGCAGCAAACCACCATGGCACGTGTATACCTATGTAACAAACCTGCATGTTCTGCACATGTATGTCAGAACTTAAAGTTTAATAATAAAAAAAGAATTCAATTTTCTTAAAGAGCTGATCAATTTGTGCGGAGATGTATAAAATCTGATTTTGAACTAAAGAAACTTACCTTACATCCTGATTAGATCTTTAATGTCATAAAAATGTAAACTGTACAGTGAAGGGGCCCTTAGCACACAATTGTTTAAAATCCACTACCCGTTGTGTACTTTTGTCCCTTCCTTTTCTAGTTGTTCCTTCAAGATATGGACTGGAGCCCATGAATGACACTAAAATGTGGCTCACCTACTCATCCTGCTGATTAAAAAAATAAACAGGAAACACATCACTTCTGGTGAATGTCATGACCAGGATGTTAGATAAAAACACCCTTAGGGGCCTTAACAATTTGTGGCCAGAATGACCTTTGTTTTTGCAGTTGTTTTTCAGTCTGCAAGGGGCCTTTCCATTTCCTCTTAGAAGGTATGAACACTGACCACAGCATTTTGAGGCCCAGGCTGTGCGGCTTAACTCTCTTGCATACAAGAACAAGGAAGAGAATAAACAGTTCCGTTTCCTGGGTAATCTTACCTTCCTCTTTCCTAATGTTGTTTTAGGATTTTTATCTTTGCACTTTTATTCCTTGAATTTTATGATGGGGATTGTCATATTCTCTGACTTTTCATGGATTTTATTAGAAATCACTTGTATCATCAGGCTTCTTGGATCTACCACTTTGGATTTGGTGCCCTTTTTGCTGCTCTTGGTAAGAGCTTTGTCTGCCATTTTCACATTCTTGATTATTTATGCTGCTTTGAATGTCCGTTTGAGAAAGTAATCAGATTTTTTTCCCTCTGAGAAAGCAGGGGAATGATCTTTTGCATCACTTTGCATAAAATTAACATGTTGATTTTCTATAAACCCATAGGTTCAGGTTAATTTACATAAACCTGGCATTCAGGAAGCTCAACCTTTACATTGTCAAGGAAAATGAAATAAATCAGGACAGCTGAAATTAAGTATATTCAAGCCATCAGAAAATGGGGTGGGCAAAGAGGCGCTATGGGGTAGAAAATTTCATAGTTCCTTATAGTTACACTCACAAAATCTTAATGTGTTAAGGGACCAGACAGGTTTTTCAATCCAGCCTTTTCCCAGTGTAGGAATCCCATTGAGAGCACACCATGCAAGTGATGGTCCAGCTGACAGTTACACTTGCAAAACAAAGTGCCTAGTAAAGCAGACTCTTTACTTTGGAATGCCTTTAATTGTTAGGAAACTAAAATCTGTTCTTTTGTGAACTCCTATTAATGGGTCTTAGCTCTGCCTCCTGGAATCAATCTAATCCAGTGGTTCTTAATTTGGAATCCCTGGACAAGGCTTAAATGAGTCCACAACCCCCCTGAAACTGTATGCAAAATTGTATGTGTGGGCATGTGTGAGTGTATGCATGTATCGATAGCTTTCATAAAATTTTCAAAGGGACATATGATCCTCAATCAGGGATAACTTTATAAGCATACAATTTGTGCAGCTGCACTAAGCCCCACACTTAAAAGGAATTTGTACTTGGATTAATGCTTTTCTGTTGCCATCCTGAAATTCTTAATAATTTTTAAACATAGAGCCCGAATTTTCATTTTGCTCTGGGCCCTGCAGATTATAGGGGAACTACCCCCAAAGACATGAAGTTATTAAAAAAAAACACTAAAATTTCTATAAAATGAATCATTGGATAGTTCTACTTTCAGGAGGCCTGTACCATCCTTCTGTTTACCTTCTGACCTTCTTGTGTTTCCAAACATTATCTTCTTGATTTAGAATGAAATGAGGGCAGTCTACTTCCTCTTTAAATTCTTTCCAATTTCTTCCCTGCCCTATATGAAAGATTCTTAACTTGGAATATTAACTTGGATTCATAACTTGGAATCCATGCCCATTATTTTATTTTACAACTTATCTAATTTATCTATATAGTATTTCAAACTTTGAAACCAATTTAACACAACAACTGTATTGTGTCTGAAGAAAATTAACCATTTTTATTAACACTGGGACAGTTCTTATCTTTTTATCCTTGGGTATCTGAAATTAGAGCACAGCGAGTTCTGTCAGAGCAAAAAATATACTTTTAAAGCAAATCATTCAGATGTATCCAATTCAATTTTACTAACTTCTGTCTTGCTTCATATGAAAGCTTTTAAATTGATCTCTTTCTTTGATTGATCAGGGTCTTTCCCCCTCACATATAATACTCTCAATAAATTTAATACACTGAAATGTATATTCTCATACCAAATAATTCACTTAATTTATAACATCAAATACAGAAAAACTTAATTTAAAATTTTAATTGCATATTTTATGTCAGCATGTTATTAAAACGAAGTTCATAACACATTAGTAATTTTATTGGAGAAGTACAAGTTCCCCTGAGGGTCAATAGGTAAATGTGTTATTACTCTTTGGTGACCTTGGACTCTGCTGTGGGAAGAATGCAAATCATAGCCACTCTGAACAACGTGAGAAAGAGAAAGAAAATAAGCTCTAGGACGAAAGTTTAAAAGTACTGCAATTATTTTTCCTTGGAATAAAGAAGTCTAAGGATAACCTGAAACAAATGAGGTATTTTTGATGAAGAAGAGTTGTCTTCTATATTCAAGAGAAATAGATGATTTGAGATTTAGGTTGACATTTGAAGAAATTTTCTTTTAAACTAATAGAATCATGTCCTGTGTAGGTTAGAGACTTACTTACCTAAGGCAAAGGCTTCAGCCAGATGATATCTTGAGGTTCCTTCAAATTCTAAGTTTCCACCCTTGGGCTTAAAATTCCACTTCTGTGATACACCAAGGCTGGCATGGACTCTTTTGCTGATTTGCCTTTCATCTTGGACTCTTCATTTTCATTCTTAATTATGTGTTGAACACATGTCCCTCCTGGGGAAGAATGAGTTTGGAAGTAATGAAGTTAATTTGTTGAATGGCTAGAATGACCACCCATAAATATCTAAGTGAGGATTGTCTCTTTCACCTTCATCATCTGGGAGGCCAAAACTGAAATATAGTTATTTCAATTTTGTTGTCATTACTCAAATGTTTTTGCATCTATTATTTGAGAACTCCCTTCAGAACCCATGGCATAATCTGGGTAACTCCAGTTTGGACCTAACCTTTGAGTGTGATTTGCTTCTTTAAGATAGCCAACAACAACAAAATAACCAACATACATTTGCACCCATATCTTACTAAGTAGGTCAGTGTGGTAATATATTTTCTGTGAAAATCATGTTATAACTGTAAGGTAATAGAGGGTTTCTTTGGCTTGCAAACAAATTGGATATGAAGGCACAATTAGGACAGAAATTTCAAAAAATTACAATAGATCCTAAAACTGTGCTAGTTGGTAGACTATATGGCTGGTGACTAACATAGGTGACTGCTTTGTTAACTAAAGGAAAATATTCATCCCAAATTTAAAAATCAAAATAGTCTCATTATATCATACATATACAGCCAATCAACAGAATAGAATCAGAGAATAATGGAATATTAGCTTTTGAAATCTCTTGGAGATCATTTTGTCTAATGTCTTCACCTCCACCTCTGTGATTCTCACATTCGTGTTTCAGCTGAAGTTTCATTCTGGGAAGACTGTCAGTGGACTCCCAAGAATAGCTTAGATTCCTTAGTGCCTGAGTCAGGGCCTAATAAATAATAGCTACTCAATAAATATTCATTGAATGAATGAGTATATGAACATATTTAGAGGTTTGGAAGAAGCTAGAAGAAGCTGGAAGTTACAGTGTCTTGAAGTTATTATCATAAATGTTAATAATTATTCAAAACAGCTAGGGGAGAAGAAGTAATCCGGTTGTATGAGCATTCTGATTGTTGCAATTCTAGTTAAATGAGATTTTTCTATAAACATATATGTAAAGATTGTCCTATCTCCTCAGATATTAAAAAGGGTTTTATTTTTTTAAGGCTATGTTTGGAATTTGAACCAAATTCGAATGTGACTGCTTCTTGCTCTTATAACTGCTAATTGCCAAGCACTGTATAGAATCGTTTGGCCTGACATTGCTTCTGAAAGGAGCTAACCATGCTCTGGTAAGAAGGGACCGGATCTATGGAAAAGAAATGCTCTGCTGTATACCTAGCTTTCACCTGATATACACTTCACTTCTTGGGATGTACACTTGCTGTATACTGCCCTACTGCACAATCTTCCTCACTTTTCTCCCTGCCTGGCATAGTTGTACCCATAGAACAGAGACCTGATCTACTTCAGCCACATGTAAAGAATCCATATGGATCAAGTGCTGGATGAAGATTCTGTACACCTTGATTCTAGTCCTGGGAATATCACTCTATCTATAGCACTGTGGTTAAGTACTTTCTGAGCCTTAGCATTCTCATGAAAAAAATAATGAGGGGTTTGGGCTTCATCCAAATTGTTCTCAAATTGTCTTCTGTGCATTCCTAGGGGTTCATTGGAGGCACTTCTGGGGCTAATACAGAGGTCAGAGAAAGAAGCAGAATGACGGGGACTTTGGGCTCACCCACTCCACTTCAACCACAGCAGCTTCACTTTTGTTTGATATGCTTCTGTGAAATATTTTGTTTGAAAACCATATGCACTGACATGGTGAGAGTGCATAATAGATATAATTTAGTCATTCAGGTAGGTGAAATGATTCCACCGACTGTTTCATGATCCAATATTATGGCTTTTTGTGTTGCTGATTGAACTGAATGATCATGCAACAATCTGATCAATTGCTGTAAGCAGCTATCTTCTTGGCCACCTGGCTGCATCTATTCATGTCAACTCAGCAGTAGCTTTAGATTAAAGATGTGAAAATTATGAGCCCAGGAATAGAAGAGTCTGGCTTTCCTTCTCATGGAGATTGAGGTGGGGGTATGTGAATAGTTCTGGGCAGGACTATATGGAGTTCTATTAATAGACCCTCCACCTCACCTACTTTTCCTTCCCTAGACCTGGAGCTGGACTTTCTATAAATGATTGCCTGCTTATATACTAAAAGCTAAATTGATCCAAGTAAGAGTCACACCCAGGGTACATTTTATCATTTTATTATCTCTCATCCTTTCAAACTCAATCGATTGTTTACTATAAGAAGCACGATTAGTGCTCCTAATAGGCTGACAGGAAGACATAAAGTACCCTAGAGATGGACCAGAAAAGGGGGAAATACATTTGGTCTGAAATATGAGTTTTATTTTCAGGTATCCACTGATCTGTGGTTCAAAGTGTGATGATTTCTCAATGGGAATGACCTGATTTTTTTCTTGGATTTTGTTACTATTTAGCATTGATTGTGTGTAGCATTTTCCATTTACCTAATGGCTAGAGGTCATGCAACCAGTCACCACTCTCATTCCAGCGTCACAGATGAGGAGCCAGAAACCCAAGGAGAAACTAGTAAGTTGGCTCTAGCTCATATGCTAAATTGATGCAGAGGTGCAGGGAACCAACATCAATTTTCTAAAACCCCTAATGTACATCTCCTTACTGGTTCCAATCTCCTCCTGCAGGGACACCATACAGTACAAATAAACCCTTCCACTAAGCTAGTTGGAGGCCTTGATTATAAAATGTCAGAGTGGGGCTTGTGCCTTGCCCTGATCTTTAGGGTCATCTGAAGAGCTTGCGCTGTGGCTTGACCTTATGGGAATAAAGCAGCAAATGCTTTAGGCTTCTTGTTGAAAACCTGCAGGAGAAGATGATTGGCAGTACAATTGTTGTGACATTGTTCATTTATGAAGCATCAGAAGTGGGTGTGTAGGCATGGCAGAGACACTCACCAAAAATTATTTGGTTTTGCTGGAATAAAGTGCATCTTGGATTGCTTATAGGAGGATTGTATTCAGGGTTCGTTTGACAATCTAACTTCCACACTCTGATTTGCCCAAAAAGCTGTGGCAGCACTGTGTTTGGAGTTATGGATTATCAGTTTTGTCAGCCAAGATAGCTTCTGTTTTCCTCTTCAACTCAAGGGTCAGCATTCTTTGCTCAAAAATATTTAAATCCATTTTAAAGTGAGCAGAATGAGGGAGCAGAAGGAAGGCAAATTGAGACAGAGACAGGAAGGGAGTGGGTAGATTATACGTAGAGTTAATAGTTGCTATGTGAAATTCAAGCTTCTAGGTTTATTTGTTCAATAAATATAAATTAAACACTCACTTGTTTGCCAGATGCATGCAAGAGGTAAAAGATTATTACCTTTTGATTCTCTTAACTGACAGAAACAGTAACCTTGAAAGTCCACTCAGGCATTACCCCTATCCTCTTCTTTCAAGACTTCCATGACTAATTGAGCAGTAGGAAATTGTTCCTGTTCCATTTCAACTTAATTGTGAAAATTTGTTCTCTTCTTGCTGTAAGATATGCTTTTATCTATTTGCACCTGCTCAATATACATGCATTATTTCTGTGTAATGTGGGTACCTGTTCGGCCAAGTTAGATAACTAAGAAAGAGGTAATTGAGGGGGCCTTGCTCTGGAGCTGTACCTACTTAGATTTAAATCTGATATATGCAATAGGTGACTACCTATGAAACCCTGAGCACATTGCTGAATCATCAGTACTTCTTCTCTACAGTGAAGTTATCTACTGGGCAAGAGTCACTGTAAGAACTAGAGAAAACATGTAGAAAGAATAACCTGGGGTGGGGGAAGGGGGAAGGGAAAGCATTAGGAGATATACCTAATGTAAATGACGAGCTAGTGGGTGCAGCACACCAACATGGCACATGTATACATATGTAACAAACCTGCACGTTGTGCACATGTACCCTAGAACTTCAAGTGTAATAAAAAAAAATTAGCCAGGCGTGGTGGTGGGCGCTTGTAGTACCAGCTACTCGGGAGGCTGAGGCAGGAGAATGGCGGGAACTCGAGAGGTGGAGCTTGCAGTGAGCTAAGATTGCGCCACTGCACTCCAGCCTGGGCAACAGAGTGAGACTCTGTCTCAAAATAAATAAATAATAAATAAATAAATAAATAAATAATAAAAACTTAAAAAAAAAGAACATCCACATAGGCCTTGCTATATGACATAATGCTCAATAGATGGCAGTTGTTTTGTTGTTGTCATATTCTTTAGATCAACATTTCCTTAGTTACCGTAAACAAAATCAGAATGTGAGAGTAGTCCCAAAGAGGGGTCTTTAGTTCTGCTTTTCTGGTCAGAGAGAACATTTTGTGTATTTAAGTTTAAAGGGTACCACCAGACAGTAGGTTTTATTATTTCTCTTATTTCACTTTTCCACTTTTCCATAACTAGCAGTCATCTGTAGTTTTCTTTAGTGCTTAAGGTGTTATGAAATATTCATATCATTTTATGAAAGGCTATTTACACAGAGGAACCAGATGTAACCGAGTGTACATACAAATACTGGCCTTATTTTTCACGCTTGGTAAGTAGCGCATAACTTGAAAGCTAAGAGAAGATACTTTTTGTTTTGGCACCAATAATTCCAGAAGAAGGGCATCCTATTAAAAAAATCTATTGATCTAAGAGGGACTAGAAATTTGGCTGAATATTTTAGAAATTGTTTGTTTGCCCTGAGCTTCAAAAACTCATGGCTTAGAGTTTCCTGGGAAGGGTAGAATCACTGAATAGATAGGGTCCAGCTAGCTAAGTTTCCTGGTCAGCCCCTGAAGAAAGTTTCATTGCATAAAAAGCGTAGATTTGTCTTCAAAGTTTTCCCCAACACTTTATCTCTGAGGTTTTCTCTATTCATCTTGAGAATAAAGCCCTGTTGGTGAACATAAATACACTCCCAGAGTTGCTTATCAGGCAAGACAGAATTGAGCAGTTGGGCCTGAACTCTCCCACCGTTTAAACCAACGTTCTCAAGGAGTTGTTAGAGCAATTTATGCTTCCCACATCTGTTCCTAGATGTTATGACTTGTTTATGGAAGCAATGTAAATACCAATTCTAACAACAGCTACAACTAATACTCAATGTTTACTCCATGCCAGATCCTGTGCTGAGCACTTGACATGTAAGACTTCCTTCAGTGCTTGCAACAACCGTACAATAGGTGCTACACGAAACAGAAGATTCTATGGTCAAAAAAAGCTCTAGAGCAGTGGGTAGAAAAAGTTGAAGGTGTTTCTCTACTATAGGATTTACCAAGGACTTGGAGTGTGCAGCTTTTCCAAGTGTATTGGAGCATGGAGGCATTTTTTCTCCTGTCTTAGTCCATTTGTATGGCTATAAAGGAATAACTGAGGCTGGGTAATTTATAAAGAAAAAGAAGTTTATTTGGCTCAGGGTTCTGGAGGGCGTTCAGGAAGCATGGTGCCAACATCTGCTTCTGGTGAGGACATCAGGCAGCTTCCAGTCATGGCAGAAGGTGAATGGGAGTTGGCACGTGCACATCACACAGCCAGAGAGGAGAAAGGAGTGGGGGGAGGTGCCAGGCTCTTTTTTAACAATCAGTTCTTGTGGGAACTAATAGAGTGAGAACTCACTGATTACCTCAAGGATGGCACCAAGCCATTTACGAGGAATCTGCCCTCATGATCTAAACACCTCCCACCAGGCCCCACCTTTGACACTGGAGATCAAATTTCAACATGAGATTTGGTGGGGACAAATATCCAAACTATATCATTCCCCAAGGGCCATCTGGAGAGATGGAACACCATTTGGGACATGCTATCCTATGAGTTTCTTATGGAACCCATGCTTATTAACTTTGGAAATTGGATCAAATTTCAAAAATTTCTGTCTTTGCCCTGGCCTTATCTTGTCCTTAAATAACCCATACTACCTAATCTTAAAACAACTTATAAGTTTATATATGTGTCCTGGAGAACTGGATCTATGTTGCTTATCTACCAAGTCCAAGCCACCATCATCCCTCAGCTAGACTATTACAGTCACCTCATACTCATTTTCCTGCTTCCATTCTTATCTTCTTGTAAACTCCTATCTATGCTGCAGCCAGGTTCGTTCTAAATAACAAAGAAACAACAAAAAACCAAAACTGTGCCACACTACTATTTTGCGGCAAACCTTTGAAGACTTACCATCACATTCAGGATTTGAACACTGTACCATCACCTACACAACTATGCATGACCTGAACCATGCCCATCTCTCCCCGCCAGGCTCCTGCTGCTGTAGCCAAACTGTCAGTTCTTCTAGTGTTTCAGACTAATTCCTGCTCGAGGCATATTCTAATTCCCTCTGTCTGAAATATTCTGTCACCCGTCTTTCTATTCCTACTCGTCCTTTGTTTCTTTGCTTAAATGCTGTTTTCTCAGAGAGGTTGTCACTAACCACCCCCAAAATTAGGTGTACCCAGTTTTTGTGTTCAATAAAGTTAAAGGGATTTTTTTTACAGTAGGACTTATCAGGGCCTTTGATATGTTAACATGTATTATGAATTTCAAGAGGGACATGGAGTATCCTGCTTTTTTTTCCTTCAGATCACTTATCACAATGTTTATTTGTTTAATGGCTATCTCCCCACTAGACTCTGGGTTCTATGAGGGCAGAAATCATGCCTCTCTACTGATCCTACACCCCCAACGCTTAATGCAGTACCTGGCACATGGTAGGGGATAAGTGTATGTTTGTTGAATGAATGAGGAAATGAATGTGATTCTTCCTGCTGCTGGACTGCCTTTTTACAGTGGGGCTGCCATGGAATGATTTAATATTTTTCATATAACCTCTTCCTACTAAGATTTTCACCTCTCTTGTTTAACCCAAGTCACTTTTGGAGGAAAAACTAGAATTATATTCAGCACTGATTGGTAACAGTTGAGGATTAATGAGAGCAATACCTGGCTCTTATATTTTTAAATATTAATCTTTTAAAATTATTGAATATTTTATTAACTATTTTAACTTTTTTAATATTTAAAATGATTTCCAATTAATGGAATTCTTTAAAACAGCTTTTTAAATTTTAAAAGTTCTAGTTCAGAGCAAAATAACAAAGTAAGATAATGCATTACAACTGTTGTTTCCCAATTAGCCATATCTATGGGAAGCAATCCTTAGGCCATGAAGTCTAAGCCCAATGTGCGCCTAGTACCATCTGACCTTCAAAGTTGGTCCAGAGACCCTGAGAGAAGGAAATGCCTTTATGAGTGCTGAGTCTGCAAATCCAAAAACCAACGTATAAGTACACGCTAAATATGTGTTGGTAGATTTTTATGTAAGACCTTGGTGGTGTTATATATATTCTTTCATCTGATCTTTCTTGTTACTTATGTAACACATTTTCATTGCTACCAAGCAGGATTACAAGTTCAATTGTGACCTATGGAACAAAATGACTGACTAGACCTTGTGATATTTTAAACCATGACGTGGGGTGCATTAACTGGGTCCTGCAACCAAATGAGGCACATGCTTACCTAATTTTCAGGGTCCTCTGGGCCACTTTGAGAGGGCTAGTGCAGGTAGAGCCAGCAGGATAACAGAACAGTGTACAGCCCAGAAGGTCACTTTCTGGTAGTTGGAAAGGGCAAGCTGTCCAGTGTTAGTTCTTTGACAAGAGCTGCCCCTAGGTCAGTGTACACACACATAAAATGTGTGTGAAAAGATGTAGACAAAAGGAATTCTCTGGGAGGTTATTAGTGTCAGTTACTTGTCAGTTACATCCAAGGGCCACAGCACTGCTGGTATAGCTTCCGTTGAGTTTCTGTGCCATATTTTGGTTTTACGGGCAAGCAGCCTTCACCAGGATATGCTAAAGAGTCATCAATGGATTAGTATCACTAACAAAAGGAAGATTCAACTTAATGAGAGAAAGTGTGCCTCATTAATGGTTGGGAAATTAAGCAGTCAGTTTCTAATCAATGCTAAGTGATAGAACTTCAGTGGAGGCTAAAGCTCATTAGTAGAATACACATAGATGGTAATGACCTCAAAGGTATTTAAAATATAGGTGAAAAGAACTACATTAATAAGGCAAATCTATTCCACCTGTCCATGACTTGGCTCACTGTTCCCCTGTGTTATCTGTATGTCATTTGGTACATTTATTTATGAGAATAAATTTGCATTTGTGTGGCGCAATTGGTTGGTATGCTTGGCTCCAACTCTGGAGAATAAATTTGCCTGATAAAATATATGGTTTTCAAATTTCTACATAGATAATGGATTATGAGCAACACAATAATTTGCTTTCATGAAAAAAGTCTATAGGAAGAATTGACTTATAATAAGGGCTTTGTTTATTCAGTAACTCATTTATTCAAGAATAATTGCCTTGAGGGAAAAATGGATAGCAAACCTAATGCAATAAATGTTTATTTGGAATTGTATTTAACTATTTCTTCCTTTTCTTCCTTGTGAAATGCTTTCTCAAATGTGATCTGTTAATAAATTATGCCAATATCGCCAAGGGCCTTGCTGAAGATGTTCATATTGAAATGTTCCAAAAATATGCCTTAGTTTCCCTGGCAGAAAGCCAATGGTGACATCAGAGATGGCATGACTATACTTCAAACAGGACAATGCATATGACAGCCAACTTACTAGCTCTATTCTTATCCCACGCTTGCCAAGCTACTGCAAAAGCCTCAAGTGGTAATGCATAGGTAATTTGTAAGTCTTGTATCTCCTTTCTTTCACCTGGCCAATCTGTCCTCCTTAAGAGGCAACTTGAAGACTACAACGAGGAGTTTTAATAAAATCGTACTCTCCTATCTTCTCTTCCTCTTGCCTATCCTTTAAAATTTCCTTTTCTTGTTCATTCTTCTCAGAAATCCTCAGTTGGTTCTGGCATCTTTAGTGAAAACAGCCAGATGAGGTGTTTATCAATTCCTAGGGCTCCTTTTGTTTTCATTTAGATAAGAAACTCCCCAAGGGTAAGACCTTTATTTCTTGTTTGGCGAAGTGCAACATTTGTTCACAGCTCTCTATCCCCGATAAATGGAATTAGGAAATATGTCTTGAAGTAGAGCCAAGCACTGATACAAAGGCATCCAGCCTGCTTTCCATACCCTTTGCTTAGGAGAGTGGTGCTGTGACAATAAATGGCCCCTGGTCATTTGTAATTGGTTAATGTCCAGGGGTAGAGCAATTTAAAAGTCTAGAGAGCAAAGTGTAAGAATGATTTTGGCTCTTTTGAATATTTCCCCAACCAAGATCATCGGTAGATTGTAAGATCTGCAATCAGTAGAGGTTCCAGATATTTGCAGGCTTTTAATTAATAAGGCTAAAGAATGGAATCAACCATTTTAGGAGCTCTGCAATGGTTACCATGTGTATCACATTGCTTAAAGCAGATGCTGCCTCTTGTCACGTCAGGGCCTAGCTTCTCCCTGAAGCCTTCTTCCCCTCATCCTGTCTCTGTTAGTTTTTCTTCTCTGTCATCCTCTACCACTTTCATACTTACCAGGCTCTGGGATTTCTTTAAAGGTCTACCATGTTGGATGCTCACTGTCACCTCAGTTGTGAAAACAGACTCATTTATACCTCAGGACATATGGCTGTTTTGGTTAAACTCCAAGGGCCTTGGTCTATTTATTTGTTGGAATCTTTCTAGTTTGTTATTAAATGACAGACAAGACAAATGAATACCACCTCTGGGTAAATTTACAAATTTTAATGACATTTCTCTCCATTAAGTTTTGACCTTAATAAGACAGCAGGGACCTTCATATAATAAAGTAGTTCATGCATTTTGTTTAGCTTTATAGACAGAGGAACACCAGAAGCATTTTCTCTTGAAACCAAAATGAGCTGTAAGCAACTGTACTGAGTCTCTAGAAAGGAATTAGTTTTGCCAGCGAGAGTTGAAACAAGGACGCTACTGCTATGTTCTGAGACCCTGAATTCTGTTCCAAAATAGATAAGACTGGATCTTGGCATCTGACTTTTTGTTTTTTCAGTGGTAGTCTGTTTTGAGTCACCTATATCTGTATGGTAACGATAGAGTGAGGAGCCATAAGTATTCATCCAGACAGAACAAGGACCTGAACAGTCAGGTCTTCTCAAGCACCAGATGGCTCTATTTTACAGAAAAGGAAAACAATGCCTAGTTAGGTAAAACAGCCAGACCAGAGTCACTCTGCAAGTTAGAAGTGGAATCTTGCTCTCTTGCTTGTGTGTTACTGGTTAGCACATCACTATCCTGAAGAACAATTAATAATATCTCATTTCTTGCCTTAGGAGAAGTCTTTTAAATTACTGGTGCCTCAGTTTCCCTTTTATATAGATGGGACAAATGACATCATAGTTTATTCACTAATCCATTCAGCAAAAATAGTCTAGGTACTACAAAGACAGCCATATATCAAATGTAGTCCATATCTGGATATATGCACTTTTTCTATCAAAAAGCTACACACAAAAATTACAATACACCTTATTTTGCACTGCTATAGAGTTTAGGACAATGTACTGTAAGAGGATTATATATATATATATTTATTATTATTAAAGTTTTAGGGTACATGTGCACAACATGCAGGTTTGTCACATATGTATACATGTGCCATGTTGGTGTGCTGCACCCATTAACTCGTCATTTAGCATTAGGTATATCTCCTAATGCTATCCCTCCCCCTTCCCCCCACCCCACGACAGGCCCTGGTGTGTGATGTTCCCCTTCCTGTGTCCATGTGTTCTCAGTGTTCAATTCCCACCTATGAGTGAGAATATGCGGGTTTCTGTCCTTGCAATAGTTTGCTGAGAATGATGGTTTCCAGCTTCCTCCATGTCCCTACAAAGGACATGAACTCATCATTTTTTATGGCTGCACAGTATTCCATGGTGTATATGTGCCACATTTTCTTAATCCAATCTATCATCGTTGGACACTTGGCTTGGTTCCAAGTCTTTGCTATTGTGAATAGTGCCGCTATAAACATACGTGTGCATGTGTCTTTATAGCAGCATGATTTATAATCCTTTGGGTATATACCCAGTAATGGGATGGCTGGGTCAAATGGTATTTCTAGTTCTAGATCTCTGAGGAATTGCCACACCAACTTCCACAATGGTTGAACTAGTTTACAGTCCCACCAACAGTGTAAAAGTGTTCCTATTTCTCCACATCCTCTCCAGCACCTGTTGTTTTCTGACTTTTTAATGATCGCCATTCTAACTGGTGTGATTATATTTTTAACAGTAGAAGCAGACTTTGCTGGACTCTTTCGAGCCCATGAAAGAAAAATGTAGGGTGTACATGCACAGGTATACCCTAAAACTTTTTGAAAATTGTGTATAAACATACAGTGTTTTCATCTCTTTTTCGTCATCATCCCCTGTCAAGCATGCATCATGTTCATACCATTGTACATGTGTTAGGAAAAAACTGGACCATTCAAAGATTGGCAAGATTGGCTGGACCCTTCATCCCATTCTTCTATCTTTACCTTTCTTCATTCTGTCACTCCTCCTTAGAACCCTCTACCCTGTCTATCCATATCAGCTTTGTTTTTCAAGGATCCACTTGAGGGACCAATAGGTTTGTATTTAGGTTATCTGTAGAGGATCTTAAATGCACATAGGACATTACATTTTAAAGTTAGCTAACTCTTATTTTAAAGGCACTTGTCAAGCACTGGCCAGTACTCAGGGGTTTGCTGCATGATGGGTCACCTTCATTGAGGAGCATTTGCAGAAACGGACTGCCACACGGTGATAACTTGGCTGGACTAAAGCACACAGATGTTTGAGCTGTTCTTTAATCATAGATTTAAATTTCCTATTTTCAGAGAATTCACTTTGGTTATAAGAAGAACCTTGTAGCAGGAATGGACCCCAGTCATCCTTTTATTGGGGAAAATTTTATGTTTTGAAAATGTTAACTAAGCCATAAAACATTCAGCCATCCAGTTTTTAGGACTGAAATATGGGAATCATTTCTGGATTTAGCTCTGCCTTTGTAATTCAGCTCCCCCAATATTAGAGCAGCCTCCATATGTCCCAATTAAGTGGCCAAAGCTTGGCTTCTGTGGATTGATTCCATAATGCAGACCGTAATAGCTCATAATGACTCTGAAAGAACTGTCTAGCCAATCTTGCCAAAACTAAAATTGCCTTTCATTTTTAATATCCCCAACTGTTCTCACCCTGTTGGGGATAGCAAATATATTTGCATTTGGGGGGAACCTCATATGCAGCTCTGTGGAAAACATGGCACTTCTCGCTGTGATTTTATGAGCTATATGTAGCCAAGCCATGCATATCGTGAACATATCTGCACACAGACTTGCCAGGACCTGTGATTCTTGCAAGCCTTTTCATTGTTCCTCAGAATTTGTCAGTAGGAAGTTGGTGAAATACATCTGCCCACCCTCCTCCTTATTTGGGAGCAGAATTCATACCAGGCATTTGGTTTCTTCAGACTGTAATTAACAACTATGGACTTAGAACTATATCCCCCACCCTAGCTGGTAGTATAAACAGGACACGTGGACAATAGCCTGACCATTCACTAGTCCTGTTATCTAGTGCTGCTAAGACTGGTTAAATGTTCTGACCTGAAATATAAGTATTTTGCCATTCTCTATTGTTCTGTACCATTTATTCTAGTTGATGTCACTTCTGTTCGTAACCTATAGAACTCTTTGTAGATGGGAGAGAGATTTTGACTATCTAGAAATGAGAGGGGTAATTAATGCAGTAAAGACCTTTAGAAGGTGAAGGGGAATGGGGTCCAGAGCCCAGGAGGGCGGGCTAAAAAAATAGAGACAGTTCTTTGATTCTAAAAGTAGGGAAGGAAAAAAAGTTGAGGATACACGCAAGATAGGTTTGGGTGACAGTCAAGGTGACTTCCATTTTGTAAACTAAGTTAGAGGTAAGGTTGATCAACTGAGGGGGAAAGGGGGAGTGTAAGAGTAAAACTTGAGAAAGTGGCTAGAATTTGGATAGATCCTGCTTTTCCCCAAACTAATTGTCTCTATCAGCAAGGACTGGGCCAGCTACCCTGAAATGATTCTGCCACGCAGTGACCATATTAAAAATCTTGAAAGCTTCATCAGTAAACTGCTTTAATGAGTAGGGCTCTGCAGCACTGATCCCACAATATGAGTTGGTCCCATTACAAACTGATAATGTCCAGCCTCAGCTGGGCTCTCACTGTCACTCAACAATCCATTGATGTGTCTTGGTCTGCTACTTCTGCCATTACACACTACCTTCACTCCCAATAAATACATTAGGTGGTAATACTTGGGCTAGAAAATTTTCAGTGAGATGATTCCTTTGCCATGGCAGGGACCTAGCTTGTGTGACTATCACCTAATCTTTAGTGCTAATTGTGAAAAGGCATGAGTCTTTCTGGACTTCTGAGGGAAGAAAGTCTTCTATTCTTTTCAGTTAAATCAACTAGGATGCAAAGCAGAATATAATTTCTCTCTAAAGTCCAGATTCCTTTGCCTTTTGTGGGGCAGCAGGAGAGAGAGAGAAAGAGAGAGAGAGAGAGAGAGAGCGAGCACGAGAGCACATGACATTCCTATGAGTGACATTAGTAGAAGAGCTAGAATCTTCTACCATAACAGGAATATGTTTATGTATGGCTAATGGTTTATATGAAATGAATGTGCATATGACTAAGGGAAGACTTTGAGATGAAAAAGTGAGAAACTTTGGGATGAGTGAACTTGTGATGAATCTAATGGGTGGCCTAGCATCAGAACCATAACATGAGTAGTAGCCAGGTGGGCCAGGTAGATATAGCAGGTCAGATGAAATCCACTTTTCAGAATACGGGACTAATATTGAGCTGAGGTATTTGAAGAACAGGCATCCAGATATAATATAATATTAGGGATTACTGTGTTTCAGGCACTGTTCTCAGTACCTTATCTGTACAGTATTAACTCATTTAATCCTCACAACAGCCCTGTGAAGTAGGTACTGCGGTTTTCGTTTTGTTTCGTTTTGAGATGGCGTCTCACTCTGTCACCCAAGCTGGAGTACAATGGCCTGATCTCAGATTACTGCAACCACTGTCTCCCGGGTTCAAATGATTCTCCTGCTTCAGCCTCCTGAGTAGCTGGGATTACAGGCGCCCGCCACCACACCCGGCTAATTTTTGTATTTTTAGTAGAGACGGGGTTTCACCATGTTGGCCAGCATGGTCTCGAACTCCTGACCTCAAGTGATCCGCCCTTCTCAGCCTCCCAAAGTGCTGGGATTACAGGCATGAGCCACTGCGCCCAGCAAAGTAGGTACTGCTTTTATCCACTGAGGAGTGGGGAGTGTAAGTAAATTGCCCAGAGTTACAGGGCTAATTAACAGTAGAACTACATTTCAAGCCCATGCATTTAATTGGGAAGACTGTGAAGAAGCTATCACCTGTTTTTAAAAGAGAGGGGTAAAGCAAATTACACAAGGTTAAACAGCTAATGGAACTAACTTGTTCAGGAACCCAGGTGTTCTGTGTGTAAGGTATTGTTTTGTTACTGCACCCTTAGTACTCAAAGTATCAGCAGCATTGGCATCACTTAGGAGCTTATTAGAAATGCAGGCTCTCAGTACACTTCTCACACCTGCTGAATGCAAGTGTGCATACAGTTATTTGTGTGCATATTAAAGTTTGAAAAACACTGAGCTATTACTTCATTGGCACTAGTTTGCGGGACAGATATTTACAAATACTGTTAGCCAAAGGCAGAAACTACATCCCAATTATCCATCTAAGACAGGGAAAGTATGAAATTTGGCAGGGTTTGGGGGTGGAGTTCACATAGTAGGAAACACAGGGATTTGAATAGTTGACCAGCCAGTATTGGAGAGGTTAGAGTTCAGAGGTAAATAAAATGGGATTCTACAGGAAATGAAGTTCTATGCAGTAACTTCATCACATAAGAGTTCCTGACTAAGTGAGGTATGTAGGCAAGCAGTACCAGAAGCTAGCCCTCCTAGAGCTCCTGTTATTTATTTGTCAAAGGGCAGAGCTGGTTTTGAAGTGAATCTGACTTTTGCAGTGGTTGCAGCAGGGAGGGTCAAAGGATAGATTTGGCACACCGTCTAGTTGATTTTTCAGCTTCCCTGTCCTGGGGGAATCACAGATTTCTCTGCTTTAAGTAAACTTGATATGTGAATATCTGGATTTATAAAACAGTAAAAATTATAGGTGTGGCAATCTCAGTTTATAGACTTTGTAACTAAATTATTCATTTTATTAGAGAGCACATGATATGTTGCTTTTTAATAATGAGCTCCCCTAACACATTTAAGACAGAATTCAATTTTCAGCCCTGTTAAAAATTCAACCTAGTAAAAACATATACAATATAAGTAAGCTGCCCTTGCATGAGCCGGGATAATTTGCCTAAGCAACTGTGTAAAATGGTCTGAATGTTTCCTGAATTCAGGACAAATAGGATTTTGGTATATGTCACCCTTTGAAAGACAAAAGAGGTGCTTTCTGGAGAACACACTGCTCTTGACTTTAAGCCTCCTTCAGTTCTGTTTCACAGTTTTTATTCTTCATGGTCTGTTGAACTGAACTTGTGACTTCAAGTGGTTCACTGAACTGAGATTTATTGCAGTTTGAGGAAGGAAACAGTAAAATAAGAAGGCAGTTTTGCTATTTTTGTACAAGACCTCCTAAGCAACATTTCACAAAACACATGGTTTCAATTACCTCTGTGGCATCCACCCACCCACCCACTCATCCATTCAGCCAATATTGTCCAGTGTCACTATGTTAGGGCTGGGAATGCAGCAGTGGACAAGATACATACAGTTTCTGCTCTTTGGAGCTTATAGTCTAGGGTGAGATGCAGCCAGGTTAACCAGGCAGTTTCCAGTAGAGTGTGATTAACAGCTAGGATGATTGAACTCTGGGCTGTCATGAGAACATAAAAAAGATGTCTATGACCCAAACCAGCTGCAATGAATAGACAGAAATTATATTAGCTATCTGTGGCTGCATAAGAAATTACCCCCAAAATTAGTGTTTTAAACAATATGTATTTGTTATTCCACAGATTTCCATGAGTCAGACACCTGGTCATGGTTTAACTTAGTCGTCTGCTTCAGTGTTTCTCATTGGTTGCAATCTAGGGATTGACCAGGGCTATAGTCATCTCAAAGTTTAACTGGGGAATGATCAATTCTAAGCTCACTTGCATGATGGTTGGCAGGATTCAGTTTCTTGTGGGTTGTTGGACTGTGGGCACCAGTTCCTTGACGGCTGTTGGCTAGAGGCTAGCCTCAATTATTTGCCATGGGGCCCTTTCCATAGGGCAGCTGACAACATGGCAGCTGGGTTCATCGAAGTGGGAAAGTGAGGGAGAAAGAAAATTCCAGCAAGACAGAAATCAGTATTTTGTAAATGAATCTAAGAAGTGACATCTCATCAGTTTCGTCATATACTGCTCCTTAGAAACAAGTCACTAGGTCCAACTGTACTCAAAGGCAACAGCCCAACACCCAAAGAAAAGAGAAAAGGTTTATATAAGGATGTGACTGTCAGGAGGCAGGAAACATTGAGAGCCATTTTAGAAGCTGGCTACCACAGAAATGTCCTCCTGTACAGAGATGTAAGTTGTAGCTCCTTAATGGCTCTGTTGAACTATTCTTAGTCTCATTCTTACTCAAACTCAAAGTTTGTCACCAGGCTACCCTGCCTCCGGTTCATAGTATATTGTCATAGTGTTACCTCGATTGGCATGAAAAATAGTTATCAACTCCCTTATTTCTTCGATCATTTCAATCATAATGGTTGGGAGGGTCAGGAAAATGCCTTCGGAAAGCAAGGATATTGGAACAAGTACAAATTTAATGCCGGCTTTCATGATATCTGTCTAAGATTTCTGGTAGGCCTTTTCTCTGAGACACCTGTTTTTAATTAGATTATTTTGATTTCTATGGCTTATTCAAGGTGCCTTTAGTAATGGATAATGTAGAACAAGTATATTTGTCCATTGGGATCTGGAAAAAGCTTGAAAACCAGCTCTCAGGAAGAGAGGTATATTAGTTAGGGTGAGGGCTATACTTCTATAAGAGACTACAAAATAGAATGACTTAAGTGAGATGACAATCTCTCTCTTATTCTCACTCTGTAGTCCCTCTCCCTCCTCATCCCCTTCCCTGCCTTGCTCTCTTCTCTCTCTCATTACATTATAGCTGGTATAGGCTGGTAGGGAAGTTGTGCTCCATGCAGTAGTTCAAAGCTCCAGATACCTTCCATTGTTGTTCTGCCATCATCTAGACCAGCGGTCCCCAACCTTTTTTACCAGGGACTGGTTTTGTGGAAGACAATTTTTCTGTGGACTTGGTGGGGGGATGGTGTAGGCATGATTCAAGTGCATTACATTTATCATGTACTTTATTTCTATTATTATTTCATTATAATATGTAATGAAATAATTGAACAACTCACCATAATGTAGAATCAGTGGGAGCCCTGAGCTTGTTTTCCTGCAACTACATGGTCCCATCTGGGGGTGATGGAGATAGTAACACATCATCAGGTATTAGATTCTCCTAAGGAGCCCACAACCTAGATCCCTCACATGCATGCACAGTTCACAATAGGGCTCGCACTCCTATGAGAATCTAATCCCGCCCCTGATCTGACAGGAGGCGGAGTTCAGGCAGTAATACCAGCAATGGGAAGCAGCTGTAAATGCAGATGAAGCTTCGCTCGCTTGCCCGCCACTCACCTCCTACTGTGTGGCTTAGGTCCTAACAGGCCACTGACTGGTACTGGTTCACGGCCTGGGGCTTGAGGACCCCTGATTTAGACCACAGATTGATAGATTATGGCTGGCAGATCAAATCTGGCCTGCTGCCTGCTTTTGTAAATAAAGTCGAATTGGAACACAACCAGCCCCATTCATTTATATATTATCTATGTCTACTTTAGCACTACAACACCAGAACTGAGTAGCTTTTGACAGAGACCTTACCATCTGGCCCTTTATAGAACAAGTTTGCCAGCCCCTACTCTAGGACATGGTCCTTGTGTGCATGTTTTCATTCCAGATTGTGGGAAGAGGGATGGGCAAGAGTTCAGAGTAAATAACTATATTTTAAGAAATTGTTGAGGAAGTTGTATATATGACTTTTGCTCAGAAGCCATTGATGAGAACTAGTCATGTGGCCACATCTGGCTGTAAGGGTGAAAGGAAAACGCAGTCCCTGATTGGGTGGCTTTATATTCAGACAGTACTCATGACAAGAGGATAATGTATACTGATATACCAATATTATTGACATTTTTCAATTAAACAATCTAATGTACAGATAAGCAAATTTACTTTCTTAACGACACAGGGGTAGTAAGAAGTACTTTCTGACATCAGCAGAAAATATAATAGAGTTGAGCTGCTAGAAAAACAAAAACAGTTAAAGAATTGGGCTACATAGAGATTGAAGCTAGAATACTATTCAGAATCCAGGGCAGCTTCAGAGACCTGAATATCGGGATAGGTGATTTTCAGAGGACCTACTTTCTTTCTCTCCTCCTGAAAACTGGCTTTCTAATTTTGTACTTGGTATAGCTTTTCTCTGTATCCCCTTTTCTTCTTACTCTTGTATTTTCTCCTTATTTTTCTCTTGACCATAATTTCCTCATGACTCTAGTTTTACGGCATGGCATTTCTTGATTGATCTTTTCAGTCTCACTTCTCAAGGTCCTCTTTGTTCATTGCCTTGTTTTCACATTATTACCCTGTTCACATTTCTAAAAGGCAGAGTGAATTCTGTCCAGATTGTTGTCTTCAGAGTTTCTGGCCACTTTTGCAATGGCTTCCTGAGGGTTAAGAATTACGCTTGTTTGTGGCATTGGTGACTACAGAGGGTGGGGTCATTTGGTATAAAAGATTATAAAAGATGGCTTTCAAGGGCTTTCCCTTGAACAAGGGAATGGATATGGGCAGTTGACAGGTTTACTATAATACCATAGTCATAAGAGCTACAGCCTCTCTTAAACACTTAATACTGCCCAGGGCCGTTATGTGTATCTTTTTATTTGTCATAACTAAAGCTTGTCAGTCTGCTCTTATTTGTGAATAAGCCAAATATCACCAATTCTTGGCATTATGTATTTGTAAAAAACAATTCTTTGAAGTTTGAGGATTCCCCTAGTGTAGATAGCTGCTGGCAGTTACAATTTGTTAATGAACATGAACCTCTTGGTAGGTTTAGCTGTAATAGAGGGACTGAGTAAAAACTCAAACTTCTTAGATGTTTGAGAAAGTTGGATTTATAACTTCACATTTTATTGTGTTCATCTTATCACTTCCCACAGCAGCAATTTTCACCTCAAAATTCTCTTGCATTGTAGGAATGAAGGCTTAGTGTGTGGAAGGCACTGTGTTGAATGCTCTACAATACATTTATTTAATTTTCACACAAATGTTGCAAAGTAGGTACCAATATTATCCCCATTTTACAGTTGAGGAAACTGAGGTACAGAAAGGTCGAGTGACTTTCCTCAAAGTCACAGAGCTAGTAAGTGGCAAAGCCAGAATTCAAGCTCGGGTGGTTTGAATTCAGAGGCAAGTACTTCACCCCCATAGTTCATAAAGCACTTGAGTATCCCGTACCCCAAATTTTCTAGTGACACAGATTGTAATCTGTTTTGGATCCCTTTT
The DNA here is from genome assembly GCF_000001405.40 of Homo sapiens. Taxonomy (NCBI): domain Eukaryota; kingdom Metazoa; phylum Chordata; class Mammalia; order Primates; family Hominidae; genus Homo; species Homo sapiens. The sequence goes on from NC_000023.11 coordinate 104,701,496, forward strand.
CTCCTCATAAACTACTTTCAGGAATGCTCTAAGAGCTCTGTGTTTACCAGCTACTGATGTCTCTAGAAAAACCATCAGAGTCCATCAAGTAAACTATGCATGTTAAAAAATATTTAGTGATATGTATTCATGATGGATGCTAAATCTTCCAACGGAGCCATGAAGGTCCATTGGCTAAATGAATGTGCTTCTAGATTTGTCTAAGTACTTACTGTCTAGCATAAATAGTTCACATTATCTTGGTAAATGCAGAGGGTTGATTTTCTTAGTACAGGTTATTTATACAGCCACAAATAGTCCCAGTTGGTAATGACTTTTGGGTGAGTAATATGGGTTTTAAGTCTTTTACAAATATATGAAATTTTATGGTAAGTATGCAGTGTTACATTAATATACAACTAATGTCAGAATGGCCTTTGCTGGGATAGTAATGCTGATAAAAATTTTTTTTGAAAACATTCAGGCTGCAAATATAACAGTTGGTCTGCAAAATTTGAATGTACTCCTTATCCCTATTTACTCTCATCTTATTCTGTCTATAAATTATGCTCTACCCTTCCTTTAACACCTGGTACAAAATGCACGTCCAGGAATCCAGTCCCAATTAACTTCACCTAATGCATCACTCCCTCCCTATGTGCTCTTAGCACCTCTAGATACAGTTCATAGAGACATTTGCTTTTGTTTTCATGTTTTTTGTAAGTGGTCTTAAGTCACTTCATGTATGTTTGTTTTGTCACATTATATAAATTGAATTGTCTTCATGATGTCAGGAAGAGCCGTTGCAAACAGAAGGTGAACAGTAAATAATGTTGACTGACTGCCCTTAAAGAATAGAAACATCTGTTTGCTTCAGGTCAAGACTCTTAGAATACTCATTGAATATGGATTTCCTTAATCACAAGGACATGCCAGGAAGAAGGAAAGGAAAGCACTTATAGTTTTTACAACAAAAAACATAAAAAAAGAATAAAACAAAATCCCTCTCTGTTTGATTTTCTTCATGCCCACTCTGATTGCTTCAGACTGACTGATTAAGGCTGTCCAACAGTATTTTGTAAATAAGGGATAAAGTCCTCCTACACATTAATTTCTTGAAAAGAATATATGGAGATTTGGGTGTTTCATTCCTCCTTAAAGTTGCCATAATGCTTTGTAGAATGTGCTAGTGCACCATCTTGCTTCTGTGGTCAGGTGAAGAAGTGAACAGGGAGGTGGTGGTGGTGTATGTGTGTGTGTGTATAGAGTCTTCTGTCATAATATTGACCCCCTTCTGCTGAGATTTGTGTGATCCCTGATTTATCATCAGAAATTGATCACAAGAGTTTATCTGTATAGGAGAAAAAGCAAAGCCTTGGAATTGAAGCAAGGAAATTAAGAGCTCAGTTTTGCTTGAACTCATAAATTATAAATTATGAAGGGAAGTTGACAGGCCTGAATTTGGTATGATGGAGAAGTATTTTAGAAAAGATCAATGAAATTCATAGGTATTTAATAGAGAAGCATATGGACAAGCATGGCTCCAAATCCAGAAGCTTTGGAGGGAAATGTCCTGGTGATCATAGTTCTCCTATACCATCCCTGGTCCCGAGCTGTGTCCAAAGAATTGGCTCAATTATTTTCTAGCTCTAAGGATGCTGGTCTAGCCTAGGAATGACCTAAGGAGTCAACTCTGCTGGCTTATTTTTGCTCTCTTAAGACTAGTTTAAGTTAGGATATCCAGTGCCGTCCTTCAAACATGAAGGCAGACCAATTAATCTGCCATCCATAGGACACGGGTTTGTGTAGTTGATCAACTATAAAGGACTGGGCATTCTTGATCTTCTACTCTTTCTCACTAGGTCTCCTTTATGACCAGTACAACCTTATGCTTGGTCCTGTGCTCACAGCTCTTTGTGTGTTTCCACTATCACAGAATGTGTTCCATTTTACTTGGTAAAATAATTTTTTATGCAACTAGTAAATATAGTTAGCTATTTATATGACTGTTTCCTTCATCAGACTGTCAGCTAAGGACAGGGTCATGTCTTATTCTCCTCTGTATCACCAGCACCTAGTAAAAAGCCTGTTCATAAATGTTCTATAAATGGATGAGCCCAAGCTGTGGCCTAGGTGAAGTTAGTTGCAGTAATGAAAATAGTAACAGATAACTGATATTTAGCACTTACTAATACCAGGCCTTGCACTGAGCACTGAAATGAACTATATCACTTAATCCTCACAAACTACTCTGTGTGGAGTTATCATCTACATTCATAAGTGAAAACACAGAGGCCGAGAGATGTTAAGTCATTTGCCCAAAGACACACAGCTATTAAGTATTAGAGTGAAAATTCAAACCAAGGGATGTCAGATTCCAAACCTTCAACATTACACTGCCTGCTAGGATGTCAATCTCATGAGAAGAAAATAAGCTTGGCCCATTTGGTGGAGAGCTCAGAGTGACTTCAGGTTTCTGAACCCAATCTAGTTTCATATTAGAACAGACTTTAATCCAAATTATCCCAGAAATCTGGGGACTTACTAGTGAAATCAGATTTTTTTCCAGAAGAGGTAGACTACTCCTAATTTGGGGATAAGGATGCTAGTGCTAGAAGAGACTTATGTGGCATGGTGGCATTTGGTTTAAATAGTTTCTTTATAATTCTCCCTCATCAGACTGCGTGTTTTCTCTGTTATATTTTCCTAATGTCAGGGATTGGACCTCTAAGAATAGGTGAAAAGTGTCCCTGGCAGAAGGAATATAACTTATGATGGTCTTGAAGTGAAAAGGAGCTTGGCATAATCAAGCAGCACAAAAGTGGCCAGTGTGGCTGGAACACAGGGACTGAGTGGCAGAAACGCTAGATGAGCCTGGGGGCAGGAGGGTTGTGGTAGTGGTGAACTAATTCAGAGCCTCCACAGTACTTGGGGTGAGTTTAGTGGGACAGTGTTACGAATGAATAAATAATAATAGGTGGAGATTCTCCCTTACTCTCAGTGAAGTAAATCCCTTGAATATATTGGACATGGCCTCTTTGTTGAATTATCTGCTATAATGGACTGTGTTCTAAGGAAATCCAGAGTGCAGTCAGGCCCTGAATTATACTCAGAATATCTTCTTAAAGAACGTAGTCTCTATGAAAAATTCAGGAGTAGAGACTTTGGGCCAAGATTATACAGTTATATCTACAGAGAGATATAAATATACAGATAATTTAATGAAATGAAATTATTTAAACTCAATATACTCTAATAGATTTATTAGGTATGTTGAAACCTTTAGTCGCTAATTACAACTTAATGAAATAACAACTTAATTCCCGTTCCTACTCCCTTCTTTTTCAATCTACAGTTCACATAGCAAATTATTCATCTAATGGTTAATCATCTGACTCCTCTATTAGACTCTGATGAGATAGCCTGAGGTTTGAAGAAAATGATTCTTGAAAGACACAAGGATTTATGAAACCCAGGGGGCTCCAGGCATCTGAGCTTCCTTACTTTTCTATTGGGAAGATGGGAAGGTGGGGAGGTCCCACATTTTGTACTTTTCTCCACAGAAGCATTGGAGGGGGAGGAGAAGGTATGCTGGGAGGTGACCTGGCAATAAAGGGAATAGAACTAACAATTACTGAATGCATACCATGAGTCAGCCATCTTACATTCATTATGCCATTTAACTGGCACAACAACCATTTGATACAGGTACCATTTGTTATCATTTTACACATGAGGAGATGGAGACTCAGAAAGGCTAAGTGACTTGCCCAAGCTCATACAGCTAGTTAGGTTGTGGAGCATGGAATCTAATAACGTGCAACTGTGGGTGCCTGCAAAGTTTGCTCTTCCAACTTACTCTGTGCCTGCTTCTCATTTTTCCTAATACCTGAATTCTCCTTGCCTCTCAGATTTTCATCAGGAGGTGGCTTCTCAATCTGGAAATCAGGGCCCATGAGGGAGGAAAGCTGTAGTAAATATGCTTTGGTGAGCAACTAGCTTTTCTATTTCCAGGATATGAACATCTCATCAGCTGAATAAACTTAAGGTTATTTCTGCCCACCCACCCACCTACACTGTCACTATTGCTACCTGACACTTCATGATAACATCACCCTTCAGGATTCTCCAACTGCACGAAATGGAACCCCAGAGATAATTTGAGGCTGAGCTCAGAATTTATGTACCATGTATCAAAAATGAAACGTTTTAGTCAGGTTTCCTGAGACCCGATAGCCCCAGCTAAACTGGAGGCGAGAGGGAAATCTTTTTGAGTATGGTTGGTTAGGGAAAGTTCAAGCCTCTGTAGAACATGATGGTGAAGGACCTTTGACAGCCTAAGGCCAGAATAAAGGCAATGGGTGCTTGGAGTCACTAGGATTAATAGTTCTTTAAAGGCGGGGACCAAGTTTTGTTTTTCGTTTCTAGCACCTAGTACAGTGACTTGCATTAAGTAGGTGCTCAACAGATGTTTATTAAACATTCAAGTGTAAAATTCTATAAAATATTAATACTTGAAGATAAGTACCTATTTGTTAATAGGCATCTTTTAAAGTAATTCAAGCTATAAGAACAAAGTCAAGAAAGTATAGTGGTCCTTTGGGGGAATAGCTATGATTAAGAGATAGGGACCCTGACAATGATGTTGCAGAGCCCTAGATTTTTGCCCCAACTCTGCCATTAACTGGCTGTGTGCCCATGGACAAGTCACTTGACTACTCTATGCCCCATTTGTCTTATCTGTAAAAATAGAGGGTAAAATGTTCCTACAAGTGTTTTATTCATATGTTCATTATTTTATGCACATAATAAAAATACCCAATATTCATTTAGCTCCTCGCAGATTACAGACTCATGTATATCACCTCGTTGAAGCCTTCCACAATGTGGTGAGGTAAATATTATCTCAGTTTTACAGATAAAGAAACTAAGGTTCCGGTTATAGAAGTAATTGTAGAAGACTACTGCTAAGTAAGTCTTTTGCCTCAAATCCAGTCCTCTTTCCAGGTACCACAGCTCTTTTCACATAGTAATTAGCTGTATGTAAATAATGCTTCCCAAGTGCTTGAAAAATCATTTGTTCCCTTAAGTCTTCAAACATCTCTCCTCCAATTGTGTTTGATTGTTAATTTACTCAGCAAATTCATTTCCAAATTTCAAGCCAGCTGAAGTTGACTTACTAGGAATTTCACATTCTCTAGGTCATAATTAACAAGGCTTGCCTTTATTTTTCTGCAATAAGCCTTGGTTTTTTGGTGAAGGAAATGCACATGCCCTGCTGGAAGCTTAGGCAGATTATGAGGGGCCGTACTTTTTAGCTTAGCTAGAAATGGAATCTATGTGGGAATTGAACTACCTCTATTTCAGCTAACAGCAGAAAGTACACCTGCCTTTGCTTGTATGCAGATTCATATATATTGGTGCAGATATGACATTATTAACAAACCTGTACATGTACCCTTTTAGAATATTTTGTCTTCCATTAATGGAAAATTAATATATCCAATGACAAAATATCAAATCTACTACTGGATATTTTAACATATATTATGACAAATCAGATTCCCTTACCACTTTGTACTGTTGGGAATGAGTCCTCAAATGTACCCTCTTTCCCTAGGGCATGACACACTGGCTACATTTTCATAATTTAACAAAGTATAAAGGGACTTTGGCAGATATCACCGAATCTGTCAGATTTAACTGCTTGTAAATTCAATTAGTCGGGGGAAAAACAGCTCTGGAGAATATATCAAAATTCAATTAGTCAGCAAATCGAGGTTTTTAGCCTACTCTTTTGGGTAATCTATCAAAAGGGAAAGGGTACTTCACACTTATGATCAACTAATTAAATGCATTAGGCCCTGATGGGATAGTTTTTAATATTCACCACCCTTTCAAGTCTATTTGGCCAGAAAACCTAGTATGAAAGAGTTCCAACAGTAGGCGTTATCTAAACAAGTGTATAGAATGTCTAATTAAGGTACAGGCTGAAGGTGTTTCCTTGCCTTCTTCTTTTAATTGATTGAAAGAGCCTGGCTCTAAATTTTCAATACCTTTTAATAACCAATTTAAGTGTTACTGGGATGATAATTTTATTGTACACCAAATACTGCTTTCTTTTGAAAATCTTATCACTAATGAAGGTGTTTATAGCTATTAACTGATTATAGTAGTGCTCCTTCAAAAAATGGGTTTCTAGTGAGCTAATGATATATCTTAAGTGTTTTGAATGATGTTTAGAGGAATTACAATGTGGAGTGACTAAACCAGAGGCTGCAAACATTGTATGGGGGTGTTCTTTCAAAGTAAATATGTCATTTCTGTGACTCATAACTTAACTTTGAGTAGATTTATCATAGGCTTGCTGTAATTGAATTGTTTCAAGGCTGTATTTTCTTTTGTTTGAAATTCATCCCACAGTAGTGCAAATGTTAACAATATTGTTTTGCTTCTTTATAATCACTTGTCACCCTCCCCACTATTTGGGCAAACATTTACTGGGAAGCTTTACTCCCTCATCCCTGAAAGGAGAGGAGTGTGGCAGGTCTTGTCATTCTAAGACAGCAGTTAAGAATAACAACCCATGAGGAATGGTCTGGATTAATGTTTTTGCCACTTGCAGCTCTGCAAATATCCCTGCTTGCTCTCTGACTTTGGTGAAGTTACAGCTTCTTTCAATTTTGGCTTCCTCATCCATGAACTCCCAATCTCATCCAGTTTAACATTTCCATTCCTTTTTATCTGTTGGCATTCATATCATCACACAGTTGTTCTTACCTTTCTTTAGTCTTTTGCTTTCTATCTGACTGTCTTTGGGTAACCTTGGTCTTGTAGTCCTTTTCACCTTGAAACTGGCTCACCTTATTTTTATCTCCTCATGCCTTCTATTTATTAATGCAGGACAGCAGAGCCACCTGCTTTCTAATATTTGCGCTAGGCCCTTTTTTGATGACATTGCTTTCCAGCCTTTCTCTCTGTAATGGGGAGACCTTTTTATCTGTCAAGTGTCACTACCCTACAGGGGAATAAATGAATTGAAGGCAACACAGAAATATAAATTAAACTAATTTATACTTATCTGATTTTTAATTAGAGCAGGACACATCAAAGTTTGATCTGTGGGTGGCAAATACATTTATTTACTAGATATTGCATCAATTTGTTCCCTGCATAACACATCCAGTTGAACTGTGGTGTGACTGAGAGGTGGAATGATATAGGAAGCAAGGAAAATATTATAGAACACAGGAATTAAGGGATTGTTATCATCTGAGCAGGGAATTGGGGAACATTGACCTTAAAGTTGTTATAATCAGCCTCAATTATCAACTCTATCTAGGGCAGATCTTTCAAATCCAAGTTAGTTTCTCTCTGGCTTCTAGAACACTCCTGGGCTGCTTTTCTGATTGGTAGGTGCTTGGGGAATACAAACTAATTTTAATACTAGCCTGCCAAATTTAATTGAGAAGGAATATCTGCTACTGAAAATTAAAAATTTGTAAGATAGATGATTGGTTTTGGATAATCTGCCCTTTCAGATTAAATGTATGCAATGAATTTAACATGTTATAAGGAAGATCTATATAGCGCAGTGCTTAAGAATGTATCTCTGGATTCAAATAAGTTGAATTTAAACCACAGGTACACTTTGGCTCTTTGACCATAGGTAAGCTACCTGTCACTCTAAACACTGCTGTAGCAGCTCAGACAGTGGTTTTTTTTTTTCCATAGTGGGCTGTTGAGCCTGTCCCATTCAGAGAAGACACTCTGAAATTTTAAGAATAAAAAGCCTGGATAATGGCAAACCCACTAACTGATGTTTCACAGATGACTGTACCAAGAGGTGCTGAGGCTTCAAAAGTAATTTCTATAAGTAAAAAGCAGAGAATGGGGAAAAGTAGCCTAACACCTTTGAACCAGCTCAACTTCTCTCTTTTTTCACACCTCGCTTGAATGGTCATACTGACGAGTACTTTCTATATGTTACCTCTCTCCTGTCCCTTTTTCTGTCACTTGCACTTTGTCTTCTCCGCCATTCTCTTCTTACCCATCCCTCTTCTGTGTGTATTGCCTTTCCCCTACTCCCCATATTCCTATCTCTGTGTCTCCTCTATCATTCATGACTCTTCTCTTTTTGGCATGTGTAATATTGAATTCGAGTTTAGTTAAAATATTTGTTAACATCATCAAAACAAAACACTTTTATGTATAACCGTGATCAAGAAAGTGAAAAGATAATGTACAGAATGGGAAAAATATTTATAAATTATATTGCTAATCAGATATTAGTATCCAGAATATATAAAGAACTCTTACAACTCAACAATGAAAAGATAAGGGACACAGCTTTAAAAAACAGCAATGGTCATTGTTTCAAAGAAGATACGTAAATTGCAAACAATCCTGTAAAAAGATGCTCAACATCATTAATCATGGAAATGGAAATTAAAAAAAGCAGTGAGGTACCATTTCACATCTATTTGTATAGCTATAATAATAAAAAAAAGAAACAAACAGCAAAGTTGTGGGGAAATTAGAACACTCCTGCATTGCTGGTGGGGATGTTAATTGGTTCAGTTACTGTGGAAAGCAGTTTGGCAGTTTCTCAAAAGGTTAAACAGAGAATTGCCATATGACCCAGCAAATCTGCTCTTAGATATATATGTGAAAGAACTGAAAACAGAGACTCCAACAAATACATGTACAGCCATGTTTGTAGCAGCACTACTTAAAATTGCCAAAAGGTGCAAATGGGCCAAAAGTTTATCAGTGGATAAATGGGTAAACAAATTATGGTACATACATACAATGGAATATTATTTAGCCGTAAAAGGTAACGTACAATGTGGACAAACCCTGAAAACATGTTATATTAAAGAAGTCAGATGCAGATGTAGAAGGCTACATATTGTGTAATCCACTTATATGAAAATCCAGAATAAGCAAATCCATAGAGACAGAAAGCAGATTAGTAGTTTCAAGGGCTAAGGTGAGGCAGAGATGATAAAGAAAATGCTTAATGGCTATGGGGTTTTGCTTAGGGATTAGTGAAAATGTTGTGGGACTAGACTGAGATGTTCTGGGACTAGCCTTGTGAACGTACTGAATGCCACTGAATTGTTCACTTTAAAATGTTTGTTATATGAATTTCACTTCAATACATTTTATGTACAGATGTACATATACTCATTTGCTGCGTAACATGGGTCAATGATGAATTACATATAGGATGATGGTCTCATAAAATTATAATGGATCTGAAAAACTCCTATCATCTAGAAAAGTCATAGCCATAATAGCACAATGCATTCCTCACCTGCTTGTGATAATGCTGGTGTAAACAAACCTACTGCATCGCCAGTCATATAAAAGTATAGCACATACAATTATGTACAGTACTTAATGCTTGATAGTGATTATAAATGTCTATGTTACTGGTTTATGTATTTACTATACTCTTTATCATTGTTTTAGAGTGTGCTCCTTCTACCTATAAAAAAAAGTCAACTGTAAAACAGCCTCAGGTGGGTCCTTCAGGAGATATGCCAGAAGGCATTGTTATCATAGGAGACAACAGCTCTCTGCGTGTTATTGTCCACTGTACCTTTCCTATGTTCAGGTCTGTTTAGATACACAAATACTGACCTTTGTGTTACAATTGCCTACAATATTCAGTACAGTAACATGCTGTATACATGTGTAGCCTAGGAGCAATAGGCTGTACCATATGACCTATCTGTAGTAGGCTATAATCTAGGTTTGTGTAAGTACACTCTGTGAATACATGACTGTATGCATGTTCTGAGATATACACACACCCATTAAAGCTATTGATCTTGTGTTTTACCTTTATGTGACACTTTACCTTTAAAGTTCTCTTTGTGTGCATGTGTACAGGGGTTGGGAAGAAGCAGTTCAGTATCATTTAATAAGGGGGAGAAACCCAACCCCAAGATACTTGATGAAATCTAAGGAATACAGTCTAAGTAACACCTACCTGCTCCTCCCACCAATATAAGAAGAGCTAAAATCATTAATGCATGTATGTATAGGAAAATAATGAAAGACAAATATGGCAAAATGAGGTCAGTTCAAAGGATTTATCTGTGTGCTAAGAGATGAGATAGAGGCTAGTGGCATGAGAAAAGCAAAAATGGAAATAAGAGGAAAATGAATAGGTAGAACTGAGGGCAATGACCTGGCTCATTGGAAAAAAAAAAGATTTTTTGGTAAATATTCTGTATTCCAACCATGTCTAATAGGGATTTATGAAGTGGGGGAGGAGACACTGGAAGAGAGAGAGAGTAAATATGAATGTATTTGTATTAAAATCTCTAGAATAAATGTAGTCATATAAATCTCTGGAATACAAATTTTCACTTCAGTACTTCACTGTGCAAAATAGTTTCTGAGGCAATGAAGGAACATACCAGGGCTATTAGAGAAAGCTATGGGATTGGCAAATCAGTGAGGGAGGACTTGCCAGCTTTGAATGCCTAGTAAGTTTATTTACAGTATACCCCTGCTTGGTCCATGAACTGTAGTCTTACCACAGAAATAGCTGGAATTTTGAGAAAAACTGTTTTTGAAGTTATAAATGATCAGCTGCTGTAATACTGGCTTATAAGACCAGATAGTGTGGCCACAAGTGAAAAGAGAATAACCTAGGAAGTTCCCCTCTTCTCCATGAGTTGTCATTAACTGTTTGATTGTTCCCAGCAGTATTATAACTCTCCCTTTTCCCTGGAGCAGTCTGCCATTTTTGCAAAGTGAGGACCAATTTAATGGGGTTTACTTAATGGATTGATAAGGCTGAGGGGCAAAGGTTTGCCACAGGGAATAAATTGATGGTTAATGTATTTTTGCCTCCAAGGCCAGAAAGGAGACATAATGAAAAGAGTGAAGTGAAAAGATAAGACTAGGGTTTAAACGACAGCTTGTGGTCCTCTGCAGATGATTCATTTCTGCTGCTTGGCATGTGCTTTAGACCTATATGTTTACAAGGACAAAAATGGGAAAATTACTCCCTGATCCTCTATATATGTACAATATATATAAGGACCTATTCCTAAGGTCCTTGTAAATCCCTAGCCCTTAAATAAATATACATTTGAGAGAAAATATCACAATATAGATTTAACATTGTATGGAGTAGGGAGTAGACCAGTAATTTTTTTTCTCACTGAACGAACATTTAAAACATTAATATCCTCTTGCATCACTAAGAGCAGTAAGACTGCACCATCCCCTGGTTATTAGTGTTCATAGCAAGCTGTGTGAATCTTGTTGGCAAAACTTTACTAGCCTTTGTAGCAGCCCCTGACCCAGGGGCATCTCTACAAATCCCCTTTGACAGCTGTTTTCATATGCACTGAGAATAGACAAGAAGAGGTAGATTTTGACTGAAACAGGAGGCATTTTGGTGAGAGTTATTTCAAGGAATTTTATTGGGAGGAACTTTTTTTCAGATTGATAATAAAAACAGGTCCATAGGCAAAAGCTTTATAACAGTATTTTAATGGCAAATTAGGTGTGTTTGCATCAGTTCTGTAAGCTTTCAATGCTGGTGTTTTAGGAGACAAATGTCCTACTTTCCTACAGAATTGTCCCTGGTGTTACTATTGGAGAGCAAATTATGTACTGCATGGGCCCTGGGATATCTTTAATTAGTCAGTGACGAAAGCTGGGAAATCTTTCACCAATATTCTTTAACTTTCAGGTTTAGGATGGCTCTAACCTGGCCTGGGTAAAGAATAATGGACTTGGTGACCCTCCAAGGCCACTTCCATTTCAGTGATTCTATTACCTACTTCTGTCAATATTTCTCCACTTCCTCCTCCCCTGCAGAAATGAGAGAAATACAAAGCAATTTGTGATCAGCTTCCCTAACAAGCCCCCTACACAGACCACGAATATGAGCTCAAAGCACATTACTTGAAATTGTTTAAAATGTAATCCCTTCCACCTTACTCTTGTTTTCACTCAGGACAGAGAACTTGTTTTTGAAATTCAGACTCTTATTTCTATACTCAGAGGCATGCAACCACAATCAAGATGGGGTTTGGTTGAATTCAAGTTTTTTAAACCTATTCTTCATGTATAACATCACATCTTTTTATGTGTATATATATATATATGTAGAATTATATGTGTAATAAATTACTTCAGTTAAGTTGTGTGAGGCTAGGGTAGGCTGCAGTAATAATCAACACTCACATTTCAGTGGTTTAACCCAATAGAAGTTTACTTCTTCTGAGAGTCCAGGTTGCTTTCCAGGGAACCCGTTTCCATATAGTGACTCAGGGGCTTAGACTGCTTTGATCTGATAGTTTCAGCCTCATCTCTGAAATGACATATGTTCACTTCCCCTCATGGGCCATTGGTCAGAATTAATTACCTGGCTTTGCCTAAATTTAAGGGGGCAGAGAGAAGCCGAGAAATAAGTCTTCCATGTTTCCAGAAGGAGAGGAGAATTTTTGATATAGGTGAATAATAGGGATATATACAAGTTTAGTGAATGAGTCTGCTTAAGAAAATTTTGAGACTATGGGGTTTTTTTAGATATAGGATCATGACATCTGCAAATAGGGATAGTTTGACTTCCTCTCTTTCTATTTGGGTGCTCTTTATTTCTTTCTCTTGCCTGACTGCCCTGGCCAGAACTTCCAATACTATGTTGAATACGAGTGGTGAGAGAGGGCATCCTGGTTTCATGCCAGTTTTCAAGGGGAATGCTTCCAGCTTTTGCCCATTCAGTATGATGTTGGCTGTGGATTTGTTATATACATGGCTCTCATTATTTTGAGTTATGTTCCTTGATGTGGTTTGGCTCTGTGTCCCCACACAAATCTCACTTTGAATTGTAATAATTCCCACCTGTCAAGGGTGGGACCAGGTGGAAAAAATTGAATCATGGGGGCAGTTTCCCCTATGCTGTTCTCATGGTAATGAGTGAGTTCTCAGGAGATCTGATGGTTTTATAATGGGCTTCCCTCTTCCTTCGGCTCTCATTCCATCTCCTGCCACCCTGTTAAGTGGTGCCTTTTGCTGTGATTGTAAGTTTCTTGAGGTCTCCCTAGCCATGCAGAACTGTGAATCAATTCAACCTCTTTTCTTTATAAAGTATTCTGTCTTGCGTATTTCTTCATAGCAGTGTGAGAATGGACTAATACCTTCCTTTAATGCCTAGTTTATTGAAAGTTTTTAACATGAATAGATGTTGAATTTTCTGAAAGTCTTTGCTGCATCTACTGAGATAATCGTGTGGTTTTTGTCTTTAGCTCTCTTTATGTGATGACTGACATTTGTTGATTTGCATATGTTGAACAAAGCTTGCATCCCAGAGATAAAGCCTACTTGATCATAGTGAATAAGCTTTTTGATGTGCTGCTGGATTCAATTTGCCAGCATTTTGTTGAGAATTTTTGCATTGATATTCATCAAGAATGTTGGCCTGAAGTTTTCTTTTGTTGTAGTATCTCTGCAAGGTTTTGGTAACAGAATGATGCTGACATCATGCAATGAGTTGGGTAGGAGTCCCTTTTCCTCATTTTTTGGGAATATTTTCAGTAAGAATGGTACCAGCTCTTCTTTGCACATCTGGTAGAATTCAGCTGTGAATCTATCTGGTCCTGGGCTTTTTCTCATTGGTAGGCTATTTACTACTAATTAAGTTTTGGAGCTCATTATTGGTCTGTTCAGTAAATCAATCTTTTCCTGGTTCAGTCTTGGGAGGGTATATGTATATGGGAATTTATCCATTTATACCCAGTTTTCTTGTTTGTGTGCATAGAGATGTTCATACTATTCTCTGATGGTTGTTGGTATTTCTGTGGGGGTCTGTAATAATATCCCCTTGTCATTTCTGATTGTGTTTTTTTGAATCTTCTCTTTTTTCTTCATTACTCTAGCTAGTAGTCTATTTTATTTTCTATTTTTTCAAAAAAAAAAAAAAAAACCAGATCCTGGATTAGTTGATCTTTTGAACGGTTTTTGTGTCTCTATCTCCTTCAGTTGAGCTCTGACTTTGATTATTTCTTGTCTTCTGATAGTTTGTCTTAGCCCAAACTCTTCTTAAGCTGATAAACAACTTCACAAAGTCTCAGGATACAAAATCATTGTGCAAAAATCACTAATATTCCTATACACCAACAACAGCCAAGCCACGAACCAAATCAGGAATGAGCTTCTATTCACAATTGCTAAAAAAAAAAAATAATAAAATAAAATGCCCAGGAATACAGCTAACTAGGGAGGTGAAAGAGCTCTACAAGGAGAACTATAACCCACTACTCAAAGAAATCAGAGATGATACAAACAAATGGAAAAACATTCCATGCCTATTGATAGGAAGAATCAATATTGTTAAAATGGCCATACTACCCAAAGCAATTTATAGATTCAATGCTATGCCTATTAAACAACCACTGACATTCTTTACCGAACTAGTGAAAACTATTTTAAAATTCATATGGAATCAAAAAACAGCCTGAATAGCCAAGGTAATCCTAAGAAAAAAGAGCAAAGCTAGAAGCATCACACTAGCCGACTTCAAACTATACTACAAGGCTACACTAACAAAACATCATGGTACTAGTATAAAAACAGACACATAGTCCAATGGAAGAGAATAGAGAACCCAGAAATAAGACCACACACAACTATCTGATCTTCGACAAACTTAACACAAACAAGCAATGGGGAAAAGATTTCCTATTCAATAAATGTTGCTGGGATAAATGACTAACGATATGCAGAAGATTAAAACTAGATCCCTTCCTTACACCACATACAAAGATTAACTAAGATGGATTAAAGACTTAAATGTAAAATCCAGAACTAAAAAACCTGGAAGACAAAATAGGTAATACCATTCAGAACATAGATACGGACAAGGATTTCATGATTGAAGACACCAAAAGCAATTGCAACAAAAGCAAAAATTGACAAATTGGATCTAATTAAACTAAAGAGCTTCTGCACAGCAGAAGAAACTATCAACAGAGTAAACAGATAATCTATGGAATGAAAATATTTGAAAACTATGCATCTGACTAAGGCCTAATATCTAGAATCTATAAGGGGCTTAAATCAACAAGCAAAACACAAACAATCCCGTTAAAAAATAGGCAAAGAACATTAGCAGACACTTCTCAAAAGAAGACATACATCCACCCAACAAGCATATGAAAAAAAGCCCAACATCACTGATTATTAGAGAAATGCAAATTAAAACCACAATGAGATACCATCTCACACCAGCCAAAATGGTTATTATTAAAAAGTCAAAAAATAACAGATGCTGGCAAGTTTGTGGCAAAAAAGGAACACTTATACACTATTGGTGGGAATGTAAATTAGTTCAACCATTGTATGTGACAGTGTGACACTTCCTCAAAGACCTAAAACAGAAATACCATTAGACCCAGCAATCCCATTACTGGGTATATACCTGAAGGAATAGAAATCATTCTGTTATAAAGACACACGCACATGTATGTTCATTTCATCACTATTCACAATAGCAAAGACATGGAATCAACCTAAATGCTGACGAATGATAGACTGGATAAAGAAAATGTGGTACATATGCCATGGAATACTATGCAGCCATAAAAAACAAGATCATTTCCTTTGCAGGGGCATGGATGCAGCTGAAGGCCATTATCCTTAGCAAACTAATGCAAGAACAGAAAACCAAATATTGCATGTTTTCACTTATGATTGGGAGCTAAATTATGAGAACACATGGACACATAGAGGGGAACAAGACACATTGGGGCCTATCAGAGGGTGGAGGTTGAAAGGAGGGAGAGGATCAGGAAAAATAAATAATGGGTACTAGGTTTAATACCTGAGTGATGAAATAATCTGTATAGCAAACCCTGTATTACTTCATTGACAGAACCCCCATGACAGAAGTTTATCTATGTAACAAACCTGCACATGTACCCCTGAACTTAAAAGTTAAAAAAAAAAAAAAAAAAGAACATTTTGATTCCTTCTTTTATGGTCTTTATCCAAGGGTTCATACAAAAATGGGAAGGTAGGCCTATTTATTTGTAAGTTTTCAAAACTGAATTGAGCTGAGTTGCCTGAGGAGGGGGGGCAGACACTCAATCAACAAACACATTCTTTTTTTTAATTATTATACTTTAAGTTTTAGGGTACATGTGTACAACGTGCAGGTTTGTTACATATGTATACATGTGCCATGTTGGTGTGCTGCACCCATTAACTCGTCATTTAGCGTTAGGTATCTCTCCTAATGCTATCTCCCCCCCCCACCCCACAACAGTCCCCGGTGTGTGATGTTCCCCTTCCTGTGTCCATGTGTTCTCATTGTTCAATTCCCACCTATGAGTGAGAACATGTGGTGTTTGGTTTTTTGTCATTGCGATAGTTTGCTGCGAATGATGGTTTCCAGCTTCATCCATGTCCCTACAAAGGACGTGAACTCATCATTGTTATGGCTGCATAGTATTCCATGGTGTATATGTGCCACATTTTCTTAATCCAGTCTATCATTGTTGGACATTTGGGTTGGTTCCAAGTCTTTGTTATTGTGAATAGTGCCACAATAAACATATGTGTGCATGTGTCTTTATAGCAGCATGATTTATAATCCTTTGGGTATATACCCAATAATGGGATGGCTGGGTCAAATGGAATTTCTAGTTCTAGATCCCTGAGGAATCGCCACACTGACTTCCACAATGGTTGAACTAGTTTACAGTCCCACCAACAGTGTAAAAGTGTTCCTATTTCTCCACATCCTCTCCAGCACCTGTTGTTTCCTGACTTTTTAATGACCGCCATTCTAACTGGTGTGAGATAGTATCTCATTGTGGTTTTGATTTACATTTCTCTGATGGCCAGTGATGATGAGCATTTTTCTTAGTACCTGATATGGTTTGGCTCTGTGTCCCCACCCATATGTCGACTTGTCTTCCCCATGTGTCAAGGGAGGGACCTGGTGGGAAGTGATGGGATCATGAGGATGGATTTCCCCCCATGTTGTTCTCATGATAGTGAGGGAGTTCTCACAAGATCTGCTGGTTTTAAAAGTGGCAGTTTCCCCTGTGTACTCTCTCTCTCCTGCAGCCATGTAAGACGTGGCTTGTTTCCCCTTCACCTTCCACCGTGATTGTAAGTTTCCTGAGGCCTCTCCAGCCATGTGGAACTGTGAGTCAATTAAACCTCTTTTGTTTATAAATTATGCAATCTCAGGTAGTTCTTTATAGCAGTGTGAAAACGGACTAATACAGTACCCATGGTATATGCAGCCTCAATTTTTGAAAAATGATTTACTGCAGGATTCTTTTAAGTTAAGAGTCAGCAAACATTTTTCTGTTAAGGGCCAGATAGTACATATCTTCAGTTTTGTAGGCCATACAGTCTCTGTGACAACTATTTAACTTCCATTACTGTGTGAAAGTAGCCGTTGACAATAAGTAAACGAATAAGCTTAGCTATGTTCCAAACAAAGTTTGTTTACAAAAACACATAGTGGGTTGTAGTTTCTGACTCCTGCTTTAAATAGAGAGACTCCCTTGTGAATAAGAAAGTTTAAAGATACCTGTTTACCAAAAGGTGAGCAAGAGCAGAGAAATTTTAAAACTAAGTCAGTGACAGTTCATTAGAAACAAAGACAAAACTACTGTGAAATAAGCCAATGTGAAAATAGTTTATCATTTGTCACAAGTGATTTACATTTTGTATCTAATTATATGTGAACCTGTAAGTTAAGATGCTCTTGATCACAAGGAATAGAAAAAAATTCAAACTGGCTTATGCATATAAATGTATTGGTTCATGCTATACAAAAGTTCTGAAATAGTCTTTATGTAGTTTCATCAGAGCCTCAACATATTTCTCTTTCATTATCTTGACTCTGCCTTTTTGCTAGCATCAGCTTTGTCCCCTGGCTGGCCAACATTAATTGGGGCTACTTGCTTTCATAGTCACATATTGGAGAAAGAATGGATATCTCTTTTTTAGCCATTGAACAAAAGCACTGTGCTTTCTCTGTTTTATGTGCCCTTAAACCAATTAATGTAGCAAGGGAATAGCATTACTCTGATTGTCTCATACCAATCTGGGTATTGGGTGCATTGCTGGAGCTAGGGTTGAGGTCAAACCTATCCAGCTGAAAGACTGAATGAATGTTTAAAAGCAACTCCATTACCTTCCACAATGACCGCTTCACCCTGTTGCAACTTGTAGCTTCACCGTTTCATCCTGTTGCAATTTGTTGTAGCATATATGTGCAGAGAGGTGGGAAGGCCATAGGAGAATTTTTATTATTAGCAAGAACCTCAACCCAGAGATCTTTGAATGTGGATACCATGTTGTAGCTTTTGCTGAAAGCCATGTAGACACCGCATAATGTCCCTGATTTGCCTCAGGGAAGATCAGATTTCTTGCTGGGAGTGATGGTGGTCACAAAGGTCATTGGATATTTCTGTGTGCTTTCTGCAGATAGTCATACTGGATATAATTAAGGTATACAAGAACTGTGGAGAATAAATATGTTGTTAGGGGAATGAACAGCTAATGGTAAGCTGATATCCAGAGTATCCTGTACTACATCAAAAGATCTCAATCTGAGTCCATTCTAACAGTATTCTATTTCTACATTCCATTATGCTATGCTTATTTTTGGTTGCCATATCTTAAAACAATGCATCAGAGTTGAAGAATGTCCAGATAAAATTACCATAGGCATATCTGTCACAAAATCCAGAATCAGAAGCAAATCGACATTGTTGGGTTTTATTAGTGTCAGTGATACAATGGCATCGCAAATTTTCCAATGTAATTCAGAGAGATCCAAGATGAACAAAAATATTGGGGCTTTTCAGTCTGGACAAATAAATACTGAAGGAATATCATTAAAACCTATAAAATAAGAAATTAAACATAAGGTATACATAAACATATTTATTAAATTCTAATATATTAGGACAGATGGACACATATTTTAGCTCAAAACAATTTTAAGGCAAATGAAAAGACATGCACCTTCATAAAATGAGAAATCAGGTCGTAGAAATAATAAGCACCTCCAGCAATTGCTACTAGCTGGGCACATACCCTTGAAAAACAAGTTCATGGTAGTTAAAGACTGATCTGTCTGTATCAAATGATGAAGGGCAATGAAGATGTTTTGTAGACATCCTGGAACTTTGAGTTTAGCAGCAGTGAGAACAGCTTTGCTGTACCTTGAACTATACCCCTTTATGGTTCATGTAGCAGGACTGGTATTTTCTTCTTCTAAATATCTACTTTCTTTGCTTGCTGTACCTGTTTGTACCTAACCTTCAAGCTGTTCCATTTTAAAACACTGTCAGTCCAACTGCCTGATGAACTGAGAAGAGCTTAAAATGGACAAAGGGCATGAACAGGCACTACTCAAAAGAAGACATTCATGTGGCCAGCATATGAAAAAAGTCTCAACATAACTGATCATTAGAGAAGAGCAAATCAAAACCACGATGAGATACCATCTCATACCAGTCAGGATGGCAATTATTAAAAAGTCAAGAAACAACAGATGCTGGTGAGGTTGCAGAGAAATAGGAACGCTTTTACACTGTTAGTGGGAATGTAAGTTAGCTTAACCACTGTGGGAGACAGTGTGGCAATTCCTCAAAGATCTAGAACCAGGAATACTATTTGACTGAGCAATCCCATTACTGGACATATACCCAAAGGAATATAAATCATTCTATTACAAAGATACATGCATGCGTATGTTCATTGCAGCACTATTCACAATAGCAAAGACATGGAATCAGCCCAGATGCCCATCAATGATAGACTGGATGAAGAAGGCATGGTGCATATACACCATGGAGTGCTATGCAGCTATAGGAGGGAGTGAGATCATGTTCTTTGCAGGGACACAGATGGAGCTGGAAGCCATTATCCTTAGCAAACCAACTCAGAAACAGAAAACCAGACACCACATGTTCTCACTTATAAGTGGGAACTGAAGAATGAGAACACATGGACACAGGGAGGGGAACAACACACATTGGGGCCTCTTGGCAGGGCAGAGGGAGAGAGAGCATCAGGATAAATAACCAAGGGATGCGGGGTTTAATACCTAGGTGATGAGTTAATAGGTACAGCAAACCACCATGACATACGTTTACTGATGTAACAAACCTGCACGTCCTGCACATGAAACCCAGAACTTAAAATAAAAATTTAAAAAAATGCATACAAATATAATTGAATAGAATACCTATACAAAGATATAAACATAGAACTGTGTAATTTAACAAATACCTTTCTTTAAGACTCAAAAACTCATTCTCAATATATTATTGACCATAATAATGCTGCAATTGTCAAAGTCTGGATTTTCACACAGATAGGTTTGAAATTCAGCCATGTATTTTGATAAGCGCTATTGTATAGGAATTGGAGTGTACTTTCATTCCTGCTTGCCCTTTTGTTCTTTCTGGACAATATCCAAAGCACAGTATCTTGCTCTAATAGCTATTCTTGACTGGATTTCTGGCAACGGCATTTCCTTGCATTGCTCATAGGTGCCTTGTTTAGTGCCCTGCCCATTTTTAGTCCTATCTACTTCTAATCGTGGTAAAAGAGGGTGATTGTTCATAGCAGAGGTAATAAAACACTATCTGTAAAGAGGCAAATAGTAAATACTTCAGGGTCATAGGCCATACAGTCTCTATTGCAATTACTCAACTCTGCCATTGTAGCATGAAAGCAGCCATGAATGATATATAAATGAATGAGCTAGCTGTGTATCAATAAAATTTTATTTATAAACAAAAATTTGAATTTTATATTATTTTCATTTGTCATGAAATATTCTTTAAAAAATTTCTAGGTCATTAAAAAATGTCAAAAATGTTTTTAGCTCATGGGTCATATATAGAAACATGGGATGGGCTGGATTTGGCCAGTAGGAGTAGTTTGTGGAACACCTAGTTTACAGTGAGGATATTGAGAGGGAGACAGGGTCTATGTTTTGGCTTTGCTTCAATTCCTTTACTTGTAGTGCTCTTATATTGTGGAAGTCAGCTTTATTTTGTGTTAGCTGTTTCCTCACTTAAGGTGATAACTCTGTCCATGTGTTCAAAATGTTAAGTGAGCCTCAACTTGAAAGAACTAGAGGAGGTGGTTTCTACTTTGTCTCTCATATTGCTTTTCCATAGTATATGTTTGGAAACTCTGTAAGAAAGCAGATCAAATATTTTCTCCATGCATTGTTTTACAGTAAAAGCCTGCATGTAGCACCATGTGATGTACGAGTTGTCTGCAAAGATTAAATCCTAAGTGGACATACACAGGACATGCATGGAAACCAGCAGAATCTGACGAATGGATGGTATAGCAAGGAGCATATATGATAATATAATGCAGAGCATGCATTCTAATGAAATATATTGTTGCCAGTAGCATTATTTTGATTACAAAAATATAATTAAGTTTAATTGTAATGGTAATAATAATGAAGGAGAAGGTAAGAAATAGGGAAGCCTTCAAGAACATAGATTCCTTCTTTGCCATGCTATGGTAGGATGGTCATCCCCTTATCAGATTGCTATTCACCCAGTATGAACTGGTGTAGGCATTTCAGTTATTTGCAGCTGACATCCATTTTGACAGAGCCAGTCTCCATTGTGTTTGAATTGGTACCCATGATCTATTTTGAAAATTTAAATGTGTGTTAATCAAAACTGCTAGATTGAGTCTTGCAATGGAGCATAAGAACAAAGTTGAAGGGTGAAGTATCACCACTGATTGTAGAAAATATTTTTAAAATGATTAATTTCCAAAACTGTGGATGATAAAATATAAATATGGTCAGTTTTCAGAAATATTGCAGATACATGTAACGTCCTGTTACTAACCCTTGGAAATTCTGATAAAATGTAACACCTCAGGATGACACAAAAAATTCCAACTTGCCAGAAAAAAAGACTGTAACTGCCAGGGGTGGGGTGCAGTACAGTCAGACTGTGTAAATTAGGAATGTGGGTTTTCATGACCATGTAACAAAGGAGGTGAGGTCTCAGGTGTTTGTAAAGTGAGGTTTTGGAATTACAGATCCCTAAGGAGAGCTGGTACCCTTGAATTTCTAACCTTTAATAAAAGGGTGAACAACAACAAAAAAATCCTACCCACAGAGAAATGACAAGGAATTTGGCTCTTTGCCTGAGATTTGGATGGAAAAAAAAATCTCCTACAGAGATTTGTAACTATAGGCTTACAATTCGTTTGTGTTTGGAGTTTCATTTTCTATGATCCCCAAACTTAGAAGGTAGCAAAAAATTGGTTCTGAGCTAGTGTCTCCCCTGAGTTTCCTGGCAGAAGCAGTCAAAAGAGCTTTTGAGGAACATACAGTACAGGCTACAAGGTATTGTTGCAGAAAAAGTAACCCTTTATAAGACAAATTCACAATAAAATGTTACCAACATGTGACTAAACAGTTCACCCTGATGAAAGTCAGTAGACACAACAAACAATAGAATTATATCCCTAAGAATTAGACATAGCAGAATAGAGATACAGGAGATAATTGAAAATTAATGTTCATCATAGTGACTGAAAAGAAGTCAAAATCCTAAGAATTGAACAACAGGCTTTGAGAACAAAAGATTTACAACAGAAGA
The DNA here is from genome assembly GCF_000001405.40 of Homo sapiens. Classification (NCBI taxonomy): domain Eukaryota; kingdom Metazoa; phylum Chordata; class Mammalia; order Primates; family Hominidae; genus Homo; species Homo sapiens. The sequence goes on from NC_000023.11 coordinate 104,724,133, forward strand.
AAATAAAAGTTTTAGAAAGGAAAAGTATGATTTGATTTGTGGGCTAATTATTGGATAATATGGAGCTACAGAGATTAGTAAACTGATAAATAGTCTGAGGCAGTCACTCACAATGCGACAGAGGGATGAAGGGATGGCAAAATATGAGAGGTTAAGAGACACGCAAATGAAAAGATTCAACATATATCTAAAAGGGGTGCTAGGATAGCATTAGGAGATATACCTAATGTTAAATGATGAGTTAATGGGTGCAGCACACCAACATGGCACATGTATACATATGTAACAAACATGCACATTGTGCACATGTACCCTAAAACTTAAAGTATAATAAAAAAATTAGCATGGTGGAGGAGCAATATTCAAAGAGATAATGGCTAATAATTCTTCAACACTGATAGAAAACCCAATGCAGATTTAAGAAACTCAGCAAACATCAAGCATATTACGTAAACAAAAGGAATCCACATGTGTAATGAAACTGGAGAGCCCCAAAGAAAAATGGATAATGTTAAAAACCACCAAAAAGGCAGATCATCTATAAAGGAGCAGCAAATAGAGCAACTATAGACTTCACAACAAAAATAATTGAGGCCATTCTTGTTCATATGGCAATGCAATTTTCCCAACACCATTTATTGAATAGGGTGTCTTTTTCCCACTGTATGTTTTTGTTGACTTTGTTGAAGACCAGTTGGCTGTAAGTATGTGGCTTCATTTCTGGGTTCTCTAGTCTATTCCATTGATCTATGTGTCTATTTTTTAAATTATACTTAAAGTTCTGGGATACATGTACAGAATGTGCAGGTTTGCTACATAGGTATACACGTGCCATGGTGGTTTGCTGCACCCATCAACTCGTCAACTACATTAGGTATTTCTCCTAATGCTATCCCTCCCCTAGCTCCCCAACCCCGACAGGCCCTGGTGTGTGATGTTTCTCTCCCTATGTCCATGTGTTCTCATTGTTCAGCTACCACTTATGAGTGAGAACATGTGGTGTTTGGTTTTCTGTTCTTGTGTTAGCTTGCTGGGAATGATGGTTTCCAGCTTTATCCATGTGCATGCAAAGGACATGAACTCATCCTTTTTATGGCTGCATAGTATTCCATGGTGTATATGTGCCACATTTCCTTTATCCAGTCTATCATTGATGGACAGTTGGGTAGGTTTCAAGTTTTTGCTATTGTGAATAGTGCCACAATAACCATACGTGTACATGTGTCTTTATAGTTGAACGTTTTATAATCCTTTGGGTATATACTCAGTAGTGGGATTGCTGGGCCAAATGGTATTTCTGGTTCTAGATCCTTGAGGAATCACCACACTGTCTTCCACAACTGGTGAACTAATTTACACTCCCACCAACAGTGTAAAAGCATTCCTATTTCTCCACATCCTCTCCAACATTTGTTGTTTCCTGACTTTTTAAAGATTGCCATTCTAACTGGTGTGAGATGGTATCTCATTGTGGTTTTGATTTGCATTTCTCTAATGACCAGTGATGATGAGCTATTTTTCATATGTTTGTTGGCTGCATAAATGTCTTCTTTTTGGAAGTGTCTGTTCATATCCTTTGCCCACTTTTTGATGGGGTTGTATGTTTTTTTCTTGTAAATGTATTTAAGTTACTTGTAGATTCTGGATATTAGCCCTTTGTCAGGTGGATAGATTTCAAAAATTTTCTCCTATTCTCTAGGTTGCCTGTTCACTCTGATGATAGTTTCTTTTGATGTGAAGAAGCTCTTTAGTTTAATTAGATTCCATTTGTCAATTTTGGGTTTTGTTGCCATTGCCTTTGGTGTTTTAATCGTGAAGTCTTTGTCCATGCCTATGTCCTGAATGGTATTGCCTAGGTTTTCTTCTAGGGTTTCTATGGTTTTAGGTCTTAGGTTTAAGTCTTTAATCCATCTTGAGTGAATTTTTGTAAAAGGTGTCAGGAAGGGATCTGGTTTCAGTTTTTTACATATGGCTAGCCAGTTTTCCCAACACCATTTATAAAATAAGGAATCCTTTCCCCCATTTCTTGTTTTTGTCAGGTTTGTCAAAGATCAGAGGGTATGTGGCACCATTTCTGAGGCCTCTGTTCTGTTCCATTGGTCTATATATCTGTTTTGGTACCAGTAACATGCTGTTTTGGTTACTGTAGCCTTGTAGTATAGATTGAAGTCAGGTAGCGTGATGCCTCTAGCTTTGTTCTTTTTGCTTAGGATTGTCTTGGCTATATGGGCTCTTTTTTAGTTCCATGTGAAATTTAAAGTAATTTTTTTTCTAATTCTGTGAAGAAAGTCAGTGTTAGCTTGATGGGGATAGCATTGAATCTATAAATTACTTTGGGCAGTATGGCCATTTTCACAATATTGATTCTTCCTATCCATGGGCATGGAATGTTTTTCCATTTGTAAGTGTCCTCTCTTATTTCCTTGAGTTGTGGTTTTTAGTTATCCTTAAAGAGGTTCTTCACATCTCTTGTAAGTTGTATTCCTAGGTACTTTATTCTCTCTGTAGCAATTGTGAATGGGAGTTTGCTCATGATTTGGCTCTCTGTTTGTCTATTATTGGTGTATAGGAATGCTTATGATTTTTGCACATTGATTTTGTATCCTGAGACTTTGCTGAAGTTGCTTATCAGCTTAAGGAGATTTTTATACCATTACCATGCTGTTTTGGCTGCGATAGCCTCATAGTATAATTTGAAGTCAAGTAATGTGATGTTTCTACCCTTGTTGTTTTTGCTCAGGACTGTTTTGGCTATTAGGGCTCTTTTTTGTCTTTATATGGATTTTCTATCTCTCATCATATACAGAAACCAACTCAAAATGGATTAAAAACTTAAATGTAAGACCTGAAAATTAAAAAAAAAAATCCTAGAATAAAACCTAGGAAAAACTCTTCTGGACATTGGCTTTGGCAAAAATAATTCATGACTAAGACCTCAAAAGTAAACCCAATAAAAATAAAAATAGACAAATGAGATGTAATTAAATTAAAACGTTTCTGCACAGAACAAGAAATAATCACAGAATGAACAGATAACTTGCAAAATGGGAGAAAGCATCTGACAAAGGACTAATATCAAGCATTTACAAGGAACTCAAATGTCTCAATAACAACAACAAAAACAGCCCCATTAAAAAGTGGGCAAAGGATGTGAACAGACATTTTAAAAACATTCAAATGGCCAACAAGCATATGAAAAAAATAATCATCATCACTAATAATCAGAAAATGCCAATTAAAACTACAATGAGATACCATTTTATACTAGTCAAAATGGATATTATTAAAAAGTAAAAAATAACGGATCCTGGAAAGATTGCGGAGAACAGGGAATGCTTATACACCACTGGTGAGAATGTAAATTAATACAACCTTTATGGAAAACGGTATGTAGATTTCTTTAAGAACTAAAAATTGAACTGCCATTTGATCCAGCAATCCCACTACTAGGTATCTACCCAAAGGAAAATAAATCATTTGTATAAAAAGATGTTTGTACTCATATGTTGATTGCAGTACTATTCACAACAGCAAAGATATGAAATCAACCTAAGTGTCCATCAATGGATGATTGGATAAAGAAAATTTGGTACATATGCACCATGGAATACTATTCAGCCATAAAAATAAATCATTTTGCAGCAGAATGAATTTTGTTTTTGGATTTTTTTTTTTTGCAGCAACATGGATGGAACAGGAGGCCATTATCTTAAGTGAAATAACTCAGAAAGTAAAATACTGCATGTTCTCACTTATAAGTGTGAGCTAAATAATGTGTATACATGGGCATAGCAAGTGGAATAATAGATATTGGAGACTTAGAAGGGTGGGAAGGTAGTGAGGGATGAGAAATTACTTAATGGGTAGAATGTTCACTCTTTGGGTGATGGCTACATTAACAGCCCTGACTTCACCACTACATAGTATATCCATGTAACAAAATTGCACTTGTAGCCCCTAAATCTATAAAAATAAAGAAAAAGAAAAAGAATGAGACCAAAAGAGAAAGGAATATTATCTTCAAGAGCTGAGGAAAATAACAATCTAGAACTTCTGTACTGAATATCATAAAAGAGTGTGAGCAAAATAAATGTAAATGTCACTGAACACTGAAATAATTTACTACTCATAGACACTTGGTGAAAGAACTACTAAAAATATATGTGCTAGTAGAAAGAAAATTGAATCCAGAAAGAAGCCAGATGCATGAAGCAATGGTGAACAGTGAAATTGGTAAATAGAGGTATATCTAAATAAGAGGTACATCTAAATAATGTTGATGAACCACTTACAGGTTACAAGTATGATATGGTTTGAATTATGTCCCCTCAAATTCATATGTGGAAGTCCTAAGCCCCAGTACCTGTGTATTTGACCTTACATTTGGAAATATGTTTGTTGCAGACATAATGAGTTAAGATGAGGTAATCTCATCTTGGATAGGGTGCGCACCTAATACAACATGACTGACGTCCTTATAAAAAGGGGAACTTTGGACACAGAGACATTCACACATGGAGGATGTCATGTGAAGATTGGAGATAAGCTGCCACATACCTGCAACAGGAACAATTAGATGCTAGGGGCAGGGCCTAGATATAGATCTTTTCCTAAAGTCTGCAGAGAGAGCACGGGCCTGTTTTCTTAATCTTAGACTTCTAGCCTTCAGAACTGTGAGACAATACATTTCTGTTGTTTAAGCCACTCAGTTTGTGGTACATTGTTACAGCAGCCCTAGCAAACTAATATAAAATACAAAATGGATCAAGACACTTGAAAACTGTAATAGGTAAGTATAATCAGAATTACATTTTCTCTAAGGCTCTTGTATTATAGTCTAGGAGGAGGAGTAGAGATGTTGATCACCTTTAGACTTTAAGTCAAGTATGCATGTTAAAAATTTAGGAGTAATCAACAAAATTATTTAAATAGAATCTGTATATCCAAATCAGTAGAAGAGGACAGAAGGAAATTGTAAAAACTTCACTCAATATGAAGCAGGAAGGAGAAAAAAAGAAGAAAATAAAAAGAGTGATAAGTAAGACATACAATGGTAGAAATAAATTCAAGTATAAAATTAAGTTCAAAATGTAAAACAATTAAATTCATATGCCAAAGGTATAGAAGCTCATATCAAAAATTTTTTAACAAAATTATAAAGCTTTAGAAGGCTAGTAGGGCTTGATCATCGTCCCAACTATTGGTTGGAGGGTTGTTGAGATTTCACATGAATAGTTGGAATTTTAACATGGGAGCAATATTCTAACCAAGGGGTGAGCAAATGATAGCCCACAGCCCAAATAGGGCCTGCTGCCTTTTTTTTTTTTTTTTTTTTTTTTGTACAGCCTGCAAGCTAAGAATGGATTTTACATATTTTTAACTTTGTATTTTAGTTTCATGGGTACATATACAGGTTTGTTATATAGGTAAAGTCATGTCATGAGGGCATGTTGTACAGATTATTTTGTCACTCAGCTGCTAAGCATAGTACCCAATAGTTTTTTTTTTTATCTTATCCCTCCTCACACTCTGCACCTTCAAGTAGACCCCAGTGTATGTTTTTCCCCACCATGTGTCCATGTGTTCTCATCATTTAGCTCCCACTTACAAGTGAGAACATGTGGTATTTGGTTTTCTGTTCCTGTGCTAGTTTGCTAAGGATAATGGCCTCCAGCTCCATCATGTTCCTGCAAAGGACATGGTCTCGTTCTTTTTTATGGTTGCATAGTATTTCACGGTGTTCATATTAAATTTTTAAGATTAACTGTATGCTCTTGACCAGGGAGAAATGTAAAACAACACAGAATAATTGAAAATAAATGAATAAAAGAGATGGATGAGAAATATCAACCGAAAGAAAGCCAGCATTACAATGATGATATAAGGAAAAAATATTTAAAGCAAAAAGCCTTATTAGGGACATGGAAGGTCACTACTTAATGATAAAAGACAAAACTCACTATGAAGATATATATTTTAAACAAGTTAGTCTCAAATATATAAAGCAATATTTGAAAGAAATACTAGGAAACGTTGAAATATTCACACTCATATTTGAAGACTTTTTAAAAATTAAACTGAAGTAATTTATTAAAATAATTTTATTATACTTTAAGTTTTAGGGTACATGTGCACAATGTGCAGGTTAGTTACATATGTATACATGTGCCATGCTGGTGTGCTGCACCCATTAACTCGTCATTTAGCATTAGGTGTATCTCCTAATGCTATCCCTCCCCTCCCCCCCACCCCAGAACAGTCCCCAGAGTGTGATGTTCCCCTTCCTGTGTCCATGTGTTCTCATTGTTCAATTCCCATCTATGAGTGAGAACATGTGGTGTTTGGTTTTTTGTCCTTGTGATAGTTTACTGAGAATGACGATTTCCAATTTCATCCATGTCCCTACAAAGGACATGAACTCATCATTTTTTATGGCTGCATAGTATTCCATGGTGTATATGTGCCACATTTTCTTAATCCAGTCTATCATCGTTGGACATTTGGGTTGGTTCCAAGTCTTTGCTATTGTGAATAGTGTCGCAATAAACATACGTGTGCATGTGTCTTTATAGCAGCATGATTTATAGTCCTTTGGGTATATACCCAGTAATGGGATGGCTGGGTCAAATGGAATTTCTAGTTCTAGATCCCTGAGGAATCGCCACACTGACTTCCACAATGGTTGAACTAGTTTACAGTCCCACCAACAGTGTAAAAGTGTTCCTATTTCTCCACATCCTCTCCAGCACCTGTTTTTTCCTGACTTTTTAATGATCACCATTCTAACTGGTGTGAGATGGTATCTCATTGTGGTTTTGATTTGCATTTCTCTGATGGCCAGTGATGATGAGCATTTTTTCATGTGTCTTTTGGCTGCATAAATGTCTTCTTTTGAGAAGTGTCTGTTCATATCCTTTGCCCAATTTTTGATGGGGTTGTTTTTTCTTGTAAATTTGTTTGAGTTCATTGTAGATTCTAGATATTAGCCCTTTGTCAGATGAGTAGGTTGCGAAAATTTTCTCCCATTTTGTAGGTTGTCTGTTCACTCTGATGGTAGTTTCTTTTGCTGTGCAGAAGCTCTTTAGTTTAATTAGATCCCATTTGTCAATTTTGGCTTTTGTTGCCATTGCTTTTGGTGTTTTAGACATGAAGTCCTTGCCCATGCCTATGTCCTGAATGGTAATGCCTAGGTTTTCTTCTAGGGTTTTTATGGTTTTAGGTCTAACATTTAAGTCTTTAATCCATCTTGAATTAATTTTTGTATAAGGTGTAACAGACTTTTTTTTTGGGATGGAGTCTCACTCCTGTCATGCAGGCTGGAATGCAGTGGCGCAGTCTCTACTCACTGCAGCCTCCACCTCCCAGGTTCAAGTGATTCTCCTTTCTCAGCCTCCTGAGTAGATGGGATTACAGGTGGGCACAACCATGCCCAGCTAATTTTTGTATTTTTAGTAGAGACAGGTTTTCACCATGTTAGCCAGTTTGGTCTCGAACTCCTGACCTCAGTTTATCCACCTGCCTCGGCCTCCCAAAGTGCTAGGATTAAAGGTGTGGGCCTTTAAAGGCGCCTGGCCTGTTTGAAGATTTTAACATAACTTTCAGTAATCAATATGCAAGGAGAAAAAAATCAGTGCTTATGTTAAACAGACTTGATTTAATGGACATAAATAGAACTCTGGGCCCAATAATTACAGAAAATATTAGAGTAAAAATAATTAAAGAAATAATTAGAGAAAATACTTTTTCTTTTGAGTTACATGTGAAATATTTCTAAAAATTGACTGTGTACTAGGTGACAAATCTCAAAAATACCCCAAAGCCTCTATAAACACCTCTTTCTCTGACCACACTGCAAAGAAGGTATGCATCAGTTTAAAAATAGCAAAAAGTCCTTGTTAATTTTGAAATTAAAAATACTTTGATGTAATTCATTGGTTAAGAAAATTTTATGTGGGAAATTAGAAAATATTTAGAATTGAATAATGATGACACAGCATAGCAAAACTTGTGGGATGCTGCCAATGTCAGAGTTGAATTTTCAGTGTAGAATGTGTAAGAGAAGGAGAACTAACAGAAGCTGTGTCCACTTTAAGTAGTTAGAAAAGGAACAAGATAGTTGATTAAAAAAGGGAAGGAAATAGAAGTAGAAATGAATGAAATAGAAAACAAAGAAATGATAGAGAATCAACAAAACCAGCATTTGGTCTTTGAAATTATTAGTAGACAAGCATACCAAAATAAACTTATTGTAACACTGATTTTACAAAAAGACTTGACAAGTCATCAGTATTAAGAATGAAAAGGGAGATGCTACTGTAGATACAGTCAAATTTAAAAACACAGTAACAATATCTTGAAAAACTTTGTACAATAAATAAATCATAGAATTGAACAAATGGATACTGTCATGCAAAAATAAAATATATTAAAAGTGCCTCAAGGAAGAATAATTAACCTGGATAAATCTAGTACCTACATTAAAGAAATTGTATCAATAGTCAAAAATCTACATACAAAAAAATCACCAGGCCTAGAGGATTTCACAAATTAGTTTATCAAATTTTCAAAGAACAGATAATCTCCATTTTATATAACTTCTTCAGAGAATTAAAAAAGAGGGAAAATTCCCCTGAACTAATTTTCAGAGTCTAATATAATCTTTTTACCCAAACAAGATAGATACACTTTGAGAAAAATAAATTACAGATTACCTCACATACATGGCAGCTAAATGTCATAAATACAATATCAGCAGGTTAAATCCATTAATAAGTTTTATTAATGAAATACTGCCTCATGCTGATCTGAATTTATACCAAAAATATTTAAGAATGGTTTAACTTTTTAAAAAATTATTTAATGTCTTTGATAACCTTAAAGAAAAAAGTAATATAACCACCTCAACAGATTAAAAAAGCACTTAATATAATTCAATATAATTTGATTTTAAAAACTCCTAGCAAACTCCTAGAAAACTATACAAAAAACTTTTAAAATTAGATAAATGTTATTGACCAAAAACCATTTGAGACAAAGTAATCTTGCCTGCTATCACTACCTCTAAGCAACAGGAAATAAGAATAGAAAAATGAAAGTTATGCGTATTGGAAAGTAAACAACCCAAAACTTATTGTGAAAGAATGATTGTCTTGATATAAATTTAAAAATAATATTCAGGACCGGGCGCAGTGGCACACACCTGTAATCCCAGCACTTTGCGAGGCCGAGGTGGGCGGATTGCCTGAGGTTAGGAGTTCTAGACCAGCCTGGCCAACATGGTGAAACCCCATCTCTACTAAAAATATATGAAAACAACAACAGCAGCAACAACAAAAACAAAAAACCGGGGTAGTGGCATGCACCTGTAATCCCAGCTACTCAGGAGGCTGAGGCAGGGGAGTTGCTTAAACTGGTGAGGTGGAGGTTGCAGTGAGCAGAGATCATACCACTGCATTCCAGCCTGAGTGACAGCGAGACTCTGTCTCAAAATAATAATAATAATAATAATAATAATAGTAATAATAATAATCATGCAAACTGTTAAAACTAAAAAGAGTTCAGCAACATTTCTTGATAAAAAATAGAAAATACAATACTATAAAACTTCTAGAAAAACACATAGGAATTCATTTTCATGACCTAGGATTAAGAAAAGAGTTCATCATAAAAATTATAAACTTCTTTTCTGGGAAGGACACTGTGAAGAGGATGAAAAGGCAAGCCACAGACTGGGAGAAATATTGGCAAATCACATATCTAATAAAGGACTTGAATCCAAAATATATAAAGAATTCTCAAAACTCAGGAATAAGGAAAACAACAGCCTAATTTAAAAATGGGTAAAAGATTTAAACAACCACTTCACCAAAGTAGACTTATAGTTGGCAAATAAATAAAGTACATGAAAAGATGCTCAACATTATTAGCCAATAGGGAAATACAAATTAAAGCCATGATGGGATGTCACTACATGCCTATCAAAATGGCAAAAATAATAATTTTAAGAATACAATTATCAGTGCTAGGCAGAATGCAGAGTAGCTGAAATTTGCATACATTTTCAGTAGGAATGTAAAATGGTACAGCTACTCTGGAAAAACAGTTTGGCAGTTTCTTATAAAACTAAACATACTACTTCCGTACAACTGAGCAATTGCGCTTTTGGGCATTTATCCAAAAGAAATGAAAACTTGTACACACAAACCTGCATATGAATGTGTATAGAAGCTTTGTTTCTAATAACCCCCAATTGGAAACAACTCAAATTTGCATCAACAGATGAATGGATAAAACATATTGTGGTGTATCTACATAGTGGGACACTATTCAGCAATAAAAAATGAACTTTTGATTCATCCATCAACTTGGATGAATCATAAAGACAGTATGCTAAATGAAAGAAGCCAGTCTCAAAAGGCTGCATATTGTATCATTTTGTTTATATGACATTCTGAAGAAGATAAAACTACAGTGACAGAGTGGTTGCTAGGGTTTAGGAGTAGAGGGAGAGTGTGACTACAAAGGGATGGCATGAGGTAGTGTTTTGGGGTGATGGAACTGTTCTGTATCCTGATTCTGGTATTGGTTACATAAATCTATACATATATTAAAATTCATAGAACTATATAACAAAAAGTCAATTTTACTGTATATTAATTTAAAATAAAATTTAAAAATTTAAAAATTACTTCATAAAAAGGAGGATATGTACAGTATCAGAAGGTTGATCATACATCCTAGTGGGCCTCAAACAGGCCCACTTTATGCTTTTATCCTGGTGTAATTATTAATAGTGTCAATTGTAGAATTCTGTTTGAATGGTAAATTATATGCTTATCCTAAATATGAAACTGTATTCTTACTGTAAATATGAAACCATTCATTTTAATTTTAAAGTATACAAGACAAAATTAAGAATGTATTGCTTTTGATTACCATTTATATGTAGTAGCATGGAAATTGCATGGAAGAGAAATAAAATCTTTAGGAAGAAAGGGATAACAAAAGAATGGGGGCTTCAGCTGACATAAATATGACAAAATTAGAAATAAAAAATTCAAAAATAAATATAAGGTGGCTCTCAATGGAAATTCCAGAAAATAAGAAAATGGTATTTTGATTAACAGCTTATGTTTATGTTAGAACCTTGATCAGTTCTTGAAGCAAATAGGTGATAAAAATGGTGGTCCTCTTGGTTTGCTGAAAAGTGAAATGATATGTGCTGATGTCACATATCCTCTGACTGTTCCTGATGAACCTACCTCATTGTCTGATGTCCATGAATGGCAGTTGCTATAGAAGTCTGTGCATGGCAGTTATATGAACAATAACCATTGTGACAAAGGGAACCACTATTACCCTAATGGAAAGAGAGAAATTAGAGACACAGTAGCCACACAAAACTAAAATATATTAAATATTAGTGTTGTCTACTTCTTTAATGGGGAAAAAGAGCATATCATTAGTGTCAAGCGCATCCCACAGTAGGCTCTCTTTAGAAGAATAACTCAGTGCAATAATGTGAATTGCTTTGTCTTTGATTTTGAACATGATTAAATTGGCAGGCAGTGGGTGGGAGTATGTTGTTCAGGATAGAAGTTTGCATAACTGGTAACTGTAGCATTTTTCTCAGACACTATCATTGTGTCAAACTATGATGCACAATGATACACAATGCTGTGATACACAAGCTGTGATACACGATGTTAGTTATCATTGTGTCAAGATCTCATCCTTAACATCTGCAGTGATTTGTGCTCTCTGCACTAAGTCAAACCTTCTTAGCCTGGCATCTAAAACCCTCCATATTATGGCCCACCCTATCTATCTAAGCTCTCATACCAATGTTTCCCATCACACACCATTTACTGTAGTCATCTGTCTCCTTCATTATTCTAGAAGCACACTGAGTTCTTTCTCCCCTCCTCACATGTTGTTTTCCTTAAGTGGAATGCCCTAACTTCTCTTCCACACTAATCTAAACCCTGCAACACTCAATCCAAACCTCTCTGGTCCATGAAGCCTTTCTTGGCTAGATCAACCTTCACTGATCTCCTTTGAACTATGACACTTACTATTATGAATACAGATTTATAGTAATGACATTTTCCATTGTTTGTTGTTGTTTCAAATGTATTACTATTCTCTTCCTCAGAAGATTATATAGGCTATTGGCAAGGCAGTGCTCATATCTCATAAGTCTTTTTGACTCCTTGTAGCGCATGATAGATGCTCAATAAACATTTCTGACTGACTTGAATGCCCATTCCAAATTATGTTTCACTGTTTTAAACATCACAAACTGATCACTTTTATTGTCAGCTACTCCCAGAACTTCTTTTCTCTCCTGTGATTTTCACTCTTTAGTTAATCATTGAGTGTTTTAGAGATATAAGACCAAAACAGTATATCCACCATGAAGTCATTTTACAGTTCTATGCTTCTATCTGCATTTCCTGGTGCTGCTTTCTATCTTATAAGAACACAACACTACCAAAAGCAAACATGACTTCTTAAAGCAATTTTAAAAAGTAGCCTCTTGTCCTCCAAGGGAGCTTAACCTCTGCTGAAGAACAAGAAATTAACTTCAGATTCTGACCAAATTTTTGCCAAGAGCCTAAAGTTCCTTGGAGGAATGGTATAATAATCATGCTTGTGGTTGTAGTGATTGCAATGTTAGCAATCCTGGCCTGAAAATATTTTTACTGTAGGCATAGAACATGAACTTTTCAGTAAGCCAAAAATAGTGAATGGTGATCATTGATGGAGGTGAGGATAAAAGGTTAGAACCAGAATTAAAGTCTCAGCTGAACTCAGAGATACATGCAAAAGTTGGATCAGTACAGCTAGGCAGTCAAGATCTAAGCAATGGTACAGGCATAGCAGAGATCATAAAAGTTCTCAAAAGAACAAGAATTCTTTAAGTTGAATCAACGTCATCCAGAACCATTTTATTTACTTCCCATTTGGGCATGAGCCCATCTCAGTTCAAGTCAGCTCAAGGCCATGGAAAACTAAAGTATGTGTCTTAATCTGCTTTGATTGGGAAGTGTGGAACCACAGGAAAAAAAAATCACACTTGCATTCCAGCAAAAGAGCATTCTAACAACAATAAGAACAGAATGGTACAAGCAATATGTATGTACAGGATTTACTTGAGGTGTGCCACAATATATTGTAAATTGGAATGCAGAACTGCTTTGTAGACGACTCAATGACTATTGATTTTGATACTGCTGAAATAAGAAGTTATTCATGCGTATAGGTTCTGTCTGATACAATTCACAGCCCAATTGATTAGCCTCCAATAAATCTGAAAAAAAGGAGGATGGCAAGCTCTGCTTTAAATAATGAAGAATCATTACAGCTTATTAAGATATTCTGGCATGAGGACTGAATCTGTCTTAGCATTTCTTCCAGCATAGAAAGTAGGCAATTTGAGAACTAGAATCATGGTAGAAGGGATGAATAGATGACAGTTACTGCCCATGTTGCTCTGCTGGTAATGCCTGGCAAGGTAAACATTCAAGACCTGTCAGTGACTTGGCCTTTCAGTCAGTGAGATGACTATCAACTCTCACTAGTAAAGGTGAGAAGTATTTTATTATTCATAGACACCAAGCAGAGCCTATGTGTTCATGAATCTTTTGGCTTTGCTCTTTTTCTTGTTCTTCTTCCAGCCTCATTTTTGCTCTTCTACAGCTATCATTGCTCATGCTATTCTTCCTTTCCACTCTAAATACTCTCTCACTGCCTGCCTAACAATTCAAATTTTACTCATCCTTCAAGGCTCAGCACAAGTCTGACTGTCACATAAAGCACTATTTGGTAATTCCCGTGGACTAGTTATGCTTGTTCTGATCTTCTAGTTTTCTTTTGCAGTAAAATATCAGTCAGCATTCAGTCATTGTAATTTTGTTTCTTTCATTCAAATTGAAGTTGAATATTGAAACTCACACATATATTTATCTAATGCTTCCACAGTGCCTGGCACCACCATAGCTACACAGCTATACCATATTCACACACCACATTTGTTTCAGAATAGGGTCATTGTAGAATTTATTGTCCAAACCAGGATACTTTTGAGTGTAAAAGAGGATGCCCATTAATAATTATCCTGGACTTCCTTTGAAATGCTTCTAAAAATAGGATAAGCTAATAGATGGGTAGAGAGAGGATTAATGAACAGATGTGTGATAAAGTGCAGTAATATGCTAATGGCAGATTTTAGGTGGTGGTCGCTGTAAAATCATTTTCACCATTTGTGTATTTTTGAAAGATTTCATGAGAAAATATTGAAAAAATATAATTATGCTGAGACAACACAGGTAAACTGAAATGTTATGGTCAACCCTTGCTCAGAGCTGCTGTTATTGACCTCAGAGAGAAAAGTATGAGTAGGTAGACAGAGGAAAAGGAGTGAATAGAAAGCAGTGTAGCTAAGTGGGTGGGTATAGTATAAACTAACACATGAATTTAACACCTAGAATTAGGTATCTGGCTTTAACATCAAGACAGTTCCAGGCCAGATGTGGTGGCTGATGCCTGTAATCCCAGTGCTTTGGGAGGCTGAGGTGGGAGGATTGCTTGAGGCCAGGAGTTCAAGACCAGCCTGGTCAACGTGGTGAGACCCTACCTCTACAAAAAATTAAAAAATTAGCCAGATGTGGTGGCACATGCCTGTAGTCCTAGCTACTTAGGAGGCTGAGAACAGAGGACCGCTTCAGCCCTGGAGTTTGAGGCTGCAGCGAGCTATTATTGCACCACTGCATTCCATCCTGGGTGACAGAGCAAGACCCTGTCTCTTAAAACAAACAAGAAAGAGTGACAGTTCCATTTGTCTGATACCGAGAATGATGTAGTTTGGTTGATAAGGAGCTTTTGGCCATTCTATTTCAAATGGGTTCTAAGAGGGAGCAATGATATAACCAAGGGAGGAGAACCAGTGAGTAGGAGTCATTATATGAACCTCCAACCTGGCACTTATGTAGCACCAGACCTCTGTGAAGCATGTCTTTGGGAAGCAGACCTTTTGGTTTGTTGATTTCAGTAGCAGTAGTTGGCATATCAGGTGGTAAGCCTAGAAACATTCATTGAAAAGCCCCAAGAAATGTTGGTTCTCTTATTTGTTAGTTTGCTTTGCATGGCAGATGTGTTTCTGAAAGGAAAATGTGGATTTTATTTATTTTTAAAAAAACAGGCTGTATTTTCCTAAGGTCTAACCCAGTGGTTCTCAAACTTGGCTTCACATTGTAATCATCTAGATCGTTTTATGACATACTGGTACCTGGGGCCACCCCCATTGGTTTTGATTTATAATAACTGCGTAAGGAGTGTGGTCTGGGCATCAGGATTTAAAAAATCTCCCCAAGTGATTCTAAAGTTTGAGAACCACTGATTTCACTCTTAAAGATGCTGACATATCTTCTATTTGAAGGAGCTCTTGACCATATGGATTGCTCCCCAGTGAGGCTGAAACTGTTATGGAGAGAACAGGGTTGAGTCCCTCTTTGTAGGAGAGAAAGGCAAGTAAGAAAGAATCGTGTGAAGTTTTGCTCTGTGGATCAAAATTTAAACTACAGCACTACTTCTACCAATTTTCATGTCTTTTGTCTTACCTCCTGCAATCCATAGTCATATATTTAATAATCATTTTATCATGATACTATACCCCTAATTTTTCCATCTTGTATATTTGGATATTTATTTATTGGATTTTCTCAGATTGAGGTCCACCTGTTGTTTTAGAGCATTATATATCTAATTAGGTCATGTAATGCAAAACACCTGTCACCTGACTACTGTCATGACTAATGGTGAAACACTGCTAGATGGGGATGGTGAGGAACATTGTACTATCCTGTTTCACCTGTTTGATGGAGGTGTCTTAGGAAGTGGGTAAAAGTAGTATTTTACTAGAAACTATCAGCAGGAAGTAGATAGTAAACAGTCTATTTTAGGCACCTACATTTTTTTCCTCCCTCGATCAATAAGACCAGTCACTACTTACATTATCTGTTGCCTATCTGTAATTGCTTGCAACAGTGACATGAACATCCTTTTTGCAGAGTTCTAGTACATGGTTTCAGGTCATCAGAACTTGAGTGGTTTGGTCACTTGTCAGGTAGGAATGTCATTGGGTAGACAATGTATTTGATTTGCTGGTGAGGACACTGATTTTAAAAGTCATTGCTTATTTAACATAAAATATCAACTGGAGTTGCATTATGATTTTAATCTTTTTGGGATATCAATTATTAGAACACAAAATTGTTGTCTGTTATATTAGTGTCCATTTTACATTATTTTTAATATGCCCAGAAAACTGTTAGATTTATCTCCTCTATGTACGTTTTCAAAGTAATAACCTGAGCTTTAATGGAATTGGGATTCATATTTGAGAAAATGAAGTCTGTGATATTATGAAAACCCATTTATTCTATCTACCTTTCCTTTTTGTTTTTCTTTTCTTTTTTTCATAGCTTAGTTTATAATTATTGCTCTAAACCTAGTCCGTTATTTATCGGGGAAACTCAACTCTACGTTTGATTGGCCTTGGCTTTATTCAATCTAACTATAATAATTTGATTTTTTTTATATAAAATATTCAATCATGCTTTACCATATGATGAACTTCATTTATACATAAAAGCTACTTGCTGTTCTACCTTTGGAAATTGTTAAAGAATCTCAGTAAGGGTTTTCTAGCCATCTGCTTCCCTTTGAAACCTTGTGTTAATGTAGATATCTACAGTGGTGACTCTAGGGTTATTAAACTGCAGTGTCCAGTTAAATGCCGTTGTTCATAATTATCTAGAACTCCAGTCTACATTAAGAAATCACTTCTATTGTTTTGATATCAATGTGTCTTAAAGTGGACTTTCTAGTTTTACTGCATGGAGGCATATACCTATCTCACATGCATCTGTCTTTCCAGTGGGGTACCTCTCTTTAAGAGAGCCATTGTAATAAGATTCATACTTACCAAACATAATAGTTGTGGTGCAACTAATCACATTATTAAAGTCGTCTTCACTTTGTTAGAAATAATTCTCCATGATAGTTCTTTAAATTGGAGTTTCTCTAGTACATTTAAGCATCTGTTTATAAATCTGTAATTGACAGAAAATAAAGGAGGTGAGAAAAATAAGCCCAAGTGCTATAAACTACTGCCAACCGGTCCAGAAATTGAAATAAATAATCTCTAATACTGTAATATAAATCAATGGGGAAATGATGCAATTTACAAAAACTCAATTTAGACTTGAATTTTGTAAAACACATTTTTTGCCCAGGGTGATGAATATTTGTATTTGGATTAATGGTATCGTAAATTTTTTTAAACAAAAGACTATGTCTTTTGGTTAACAATTTAACTATTTTATCTAAAGGAAAATGTGTAGTGAGATATGAAGTGAACCTATTGTCTCTAGCCTCCACATTAATTTGTAATAACATCTATAAATTTTTGTTTGTAATATTTATAAACATTTCACATTTTGATGGTAATAAACTTAAAAACATGTCAACCAGAGAGCAAAGAAGCAAAATCAAGAAGAAGTTTGTTGTTGTTGTTGTTTCAGCACTGAGGATCAGTGAAATGACTTAACATCCATGAAATGATAAGTTATTCAGTTATGAAAGTAACCTCCAAGTACTGCAGTTAGTTAGGAGCATCAATTTTGACATTCAGTGCAAGAAAAAAGTCACTTTTCTATAATGAAATAATATTGCAGTAAATAGTGAGATTCCTGTAAACCTGTAATTCATGGCACTTTGCACAGCTATCTTGATCTACTGAGTGAATTTGTAAGAAACAGTAAGAGATAATTTTCTCATTTTGTGCAGAGTGTTTCCATTCTTTCTATGACTAAATACAGATCTCTGAACTAAATTATAAGCACAGAGTAATATTCAGGGTACATGAGGAGAAAAAGCAATTTAGTGACCGTTTTGTCATTAAAAACTGAAGCAAAACTCCCAAGCCTGAAAACCACAAAATCTGTTTATTGCCAGCATAATCTTGGCAGTGATGAGTTATATTCACGTTATTCAATGAGACAAAAGAAGGGTCAACTACTTTTTCAAAAACATTTTACTTGCTTTATAAGCATTTGGAAGGACTTACTCCTGTTTCCTCAGGGCTTTCACTGACCTTATATGTTGGGGTATATTCTGAAAGTGAGTAACTTTGGGAAGTTTTAGCAGCCTAAAGGAAAGAAAGGGCAAGGCTGGGACAATATTTTCACTGCACTAAAGGTTGAGTGTGTTTGTACACATACAACTGAATTATGTTTCTCTGGCCAATTGTAAATGGCTCAAGGGTGAGGCTCTCAGTCTTTGATTTATTTGGAATTTCACAATAATACAGGGCTAGCTCATAGTAGGCACTCAGTAAATGTTTGTTTAATGACACTGAGAAAATGTGTCACATGGTGTCTGTACAGTGCCAAGTCCATAGAAAGCACTCACAGTTGATTTTTTTAATAGTAAATGAAGTCATTCAGTTCTTGGATATTTTGGTTGACTGTACATATTCCAAAGGCATGGATTCAGGTTAAGTGCTCACCACTTCAGAAGGTGCAGCTGACATTTTAACCCCAAATTGTTAATACTTAACTCTTTCTTACCCCCAAGGGAAGCCCTTTGACCCATGGTGATAGAGCCTTTCCAGAAAGAAGGAAAAACTCCATTTGATATGGCCACAGAATCTGGCAGGAGGATTCACTTTTAGATTTCAAAGACAAGTAGAGAATATGGAAGTAACATGAGTTGAATTTCAAAACAAATCGTGACTTCAGGTTTAATGCATTTCAACACCAATTCTAGTGTCTCTTCTGAATACAGCTGACCTGCTTGGCATCAGTTTATATACCTGTTATTCTGCTTATATGTTTTGTAGAAATATAGACTGACAAACTACTGCCGACTTAGAATTCTGCTTGAGACCAGCTCAAGAAGTTAAGCAGTAGCTGGTATGCTTCATTAGAGGATTTAATTGGCCTTAAAATGCAATGAGTTGTGTGTGTGTGTGTTTACTCTCTTTACTCCGAGTGCTTCTTTTCAATGTTCTTAAATATACAGTAATATATATTTCAAAGTTATTATTGCACTTATGTTCCCTCTTTGAGGCCACTTATTTGCTTCAGACCTTTTTTCTGCCTTTTTGATTTTGGTTTCAAACTATTTTTTTTTTTGCATTTTTATTATCCCTCTACAAAGGTAATTGAAATTGGTTTGGAGAGCCTTTTAAAGACCACTTTTTTCAAGCTCAGAATTTACCTCCCTGTGATTGAAAACCACAGTAGAGTAATGGAGGGAAAGTAAACACCTTGGCTTATATAGTAATAATTACCACTGCAAAAATGTAAAAATTATTAATTCAAAAAACTTCAAATGCTCTCTGGTCACACAGTGTAAAATTTTAGGACTGCAGGAGAGTTCCTATGGTCATTTGGTACTTCCTGAGCCTTCTGGAAATTTAATAGCCTCTGAGCTTTTCTTTAGCCTGAGGTGCAAAAGGATCCTGCTGCTTGCTTCATTGGGCTTGAAAATAGTGGGCAGAAAAAAATCTTGTGCAAACACAGTATGCATAGTCTTTCATATACAGATTACTTTGCAGACTTCCTTTCAGTAGAAAGTGTTAGATAACTTTCAGTGGTTGGATAACTTACACTGAATCAATGGCACCGTCTTGTTTGCTGTCCCTTTAGACCACATATTTTTAAGATGGGTGACAGGTTCAGAGATACAGGCTAGACTGGAGAGCTAAGTGAAGAAATCCAAGCCTAAGCAGGAAGCAAGCAGACAGCTTTGGTCTCATTAATGCCTATTTTCAAGCAGAAAACAACCTCACCTAACCAAAGGGAAAGTGCGTGGTTCCTGGGTTAGGGGGTGTTCTATATTGATAACCAGAATGCAGGATGCTGAATGAGTGAAAGTGTTTGCTGTACACAAAGGGATGGGTGGCTGGGTGGAGATGGTGTCAGGAGGTAGGAAAGGGTCAGACACTGGTAAATATGGATGGAAAAAATGTGGACTGAATGTATTTTGAACAAATTTGATCATTTTGGGGGGAGAAAATAATAAGGATAACCGCACTTCAGGAGGGAAGAATATTATGAACTGTGGATTTTGAATGCATTTAAATATTTATGAAAATATTTTCTTTAGACTTTTTTTCAATATTCTGGATAGCAAAGAAATGTTCTCAAACTTTATTTCATTTATTTTTGCAAATTTCTGCTGGAAGGATTTGGCAATACAGGCAGCACTGTACTAGGCTTCTCAAAACATAGTAGGTTAATTCTCCTGTGTGACTTTCATCAAGTAACTTATCTTTTTGTGTTTTCAACCATGAATGTACTTATTATTCAGGCTAGCTGTGAGATTAAACAGTATATGCTATTTATTCATTTGTTTAGTCACTTATTCACTCAACAAATATTTATAGAGAGGCTAACGTGTGCCAGACACTTCATAGCACAATTTATTAATTCAGTGAATGTTTATTAAGCACCTACTCTATACTGTTAGAGCAGTGAATATAAATATATTATAGAGGTCTCTCTTTTTCAAATTTCTCATTCTCTCTGTGTCTTTTAAAACTTTACTTTTGATTTCTTTATCTAGATTTTATTATAATTAATTTAAAAATCTCCTTGAAAGTAGGCAAGTTATCAGTTATATATAAATAAATAAGACAATATATGTGGAATCAATTTAAAAAGTGTAAATCAGTGTATATATGTGGAGTGGTGTTACTATTATTTATAGTCACTTATCACCCTTGATGGGGCAATGATAAACAGCTCATAGAGAAGCATAGAATGACTAGATCCCCACCCCCTCCCATAGAAAGTGGCATAGCAATAGCTGGATGGATCAGAAAGAATGTGACAAATAGAAAAAAAAAAGTTTTTCTTCCCTCTAGTCTGTCATTCCATTTTACCAAAGCTGGTGTACTTTGGGATAGTGTGATTGTTAAGCCTCCCTGTGGGTTGCAAGTATGCTTTTAACTGTGACTATTGATGCTGCTGCTACAGACCCCCTCTGATTTTCCTTTACGTGCTTTATGCTGTGAAGAGGTTTTTTAAAAAGAAAGATCCATCTCTAGCTCTCTCCCCTTTAATAGGGTAGATCAGATTGGTTTTGTAGGGCTGAGTTTTCACCAGTACTATAGTTGTACTGGAGTCACATGCCTGCAGGGAGCCCCTGCTGAATTGTAAATGTGCCAATCCCCAGAGTGTAGCTCAGTGTACCTCTGCAAGCAGTCAGTAGTTTTTCATTAAGCAGTGATTTGATTAGATAAAAATAAAAGTTGCTTGAGCATTCATTTTTGCAGCAGTGCATAACAAATTTATGCAAATTCCTGTGTCAGTAATCTGCATTCAAAATATAAAAGTGTGATTACCAAGCCATGTGCACCTGTATTGAAGTTTAATCAGGTACAAATATTAATGGAAAGAATAAAGCGTTTAACAAAAGTCACAGCTGTTCGAGGTTTGTAAAATATTGCAATGAGAGCGTTAGTACATTAATGATAATTTTAGCATTTTCAGATTAAGCAAAATTTTATTTTAAAGGAAATCCCAAATAAGGCAATTCTTTAGTGGCACTTGGGAAATGCAGAGAAATAAGATTGGGCTAAATGACTCAGCTGTTTAATAGTGAAGGTGTGATCAAACTGTTTGAAATATATATTAGAGAACAGGTATTTATTAAGAATTTTAATGTATTCTCAAGGACAACTAGAATGATTCTAGGAAGTAAATGGATATTTTACACCTAGCATGGTGTCTAGCATGTAATAGATGCTCAATATAAATGTTTGTAAAACTTTTTCCTTCATTCATGCTGATTCATTGCGTAAATCATTTAAGATATTGTAAAAGGAGTAATGTATCGACTTCCAAGTTTGTAAATGAAAGGCTGTGTTTTATATTTTACAATGGTAAGAAAACAAAACAATAATATTTATTGAATGCTAGGAACTGTGCCGGACACATTACATACATTCTTTTAGTTCATTCTCTTAACAACTTATATAGTAATAGCTTACTTTTAGAGATGGAGGAACTGAGCCTGAAATAAATCAAATCCATGGCCACAAATCATAGCTAGTCTGACTCCAAGGTCCTGGTTTTTCCTCTGTATCACAGAATACATATTATCCCATAATTATCTCAGATAATGCATGGTTACTTCTAGGAGAGCACTGGTGTAACTTTTGGCTACTTGTATAAAATTCATCTGATAACCTAAGAATCTAAATCAGAACGCCACAAAACTTAAAGCATGAATTTCCAAATGTAGCAAAAATACTATGGTGAAGGATTGACCTCTGCAAATGTGATTTTTAAAATAATATTAATTTTTTCTCATCTTTAGAATAGTGATCTGAGTGACACTGGACAAGAGAGAGGCTAAATTGTGATTTTCTACGTCTCTGTCTCTTACAATTTGTAGTTGTATGGGATGAGTCAGAACTTTTTTTCTGAATATTGTTCTTTAAAATTGAACATAATCCCATCTTCATTCATAGCAGGACTAAAAACTAAAAGGTATAATTTAATGCTTCAAGTTTTCCATCCTGTTCGTTTTTGGGAATGAAAGCCCCATTCCTGTTTATTTTCAGGGGAAGGACAGAGTGAGAAAGGGGGTCATTTCTGGGCTTAAGTCAGATGTGGCTTTCGTGCCTTGATAGAAATAATTCATTCAATTGGAGAAAAAGTGATAGCCCCAGGATTAAGTTATTCTGTAGGCCATAGTGGTTCACAGAATTTGGAAGACCTATATCAATCCTTAGCTCAGAAATACAGTTTTCCAGTCCTTAGATCTAACATTTTATCCAGGCATGCAAAGCTCAAATGATCTGGCTTCAATTTACCCCTTCAGGGATATCTCTGGTTAGTCTTTACAACAAACTGACACTAGCCAGACTAGTGTACTTATCCTTTACTGAAACTTTCCTTCTTTTCTCATGTCTTTTTTCTCCTTTTCTGTCATGTTTTCCCTCTACTTGTCTCCATTCCTCACTCCACCCAGATATGAATCTTTTCTTTCAAGGTCCAACTCAAATCTCATCTGCTCCATGGAGACTTTCTTGAAACTTCAGCTCAAAGCAATCTTCCTTTATGTGTATTCCTGTAACATTCTCTGTCTGTTTCATTGCCTATGCCTTTTCCCTTCCTCCTTCCCTCCTCCCTTCCCTTGCTTGCTTTCCTCTTTCCTTCAACAATTACTGAGACAGTGTCTGCCAACCAGAACATATTTGCTTCTGGGAATACAATGGTGCCTCAGGAAGATACAGGCCCTACTCTTACGGAGGTCACACTTAAATGAAGCAGACAACCACTGATCAAAGAAACAATCAATTGCTTCCTGGAAGTAAAAGAATATGGTTCGAGGAGAGTGGATGACAAAGGGGCCATATAGACTAAGAAAACTGACTTAGGGAAGGGGGACAGGAAATGCCTCCTGAGGAAGTAATAATTAAGCTGTGGTCTAAAGTTTGAGTAGTCGTTAACCAGGCTATGGGGTAGAGCCTGCAAAGAGCATTGGAGGCATGGGAATGGCATATGGAAAGGCCCTGTGGAAAGAGGATGAGTGTACTTACATGACTCTTTTTTTGTTGTTCATGTTCTCTCTCCTCAAACATACTGTACAATGCTTTTGGATGTGAACGATGTGTTGTATTTATTTTTACCAAATTCTTTTGAAAGGACTTTAATTATCATTGAGTGCAAACTTCAGCAGGCCCTGAGAAAAGTTCAGTGGTTTACTGAAGGTCACACACATAGAGACATGGGTCTCCTGTACACCCCCTCCTCATGCCCAGTGTTCTTTCATTGAAATGATTCTTTATAATTTTGTGTAAATTTAGCCAACATACATCTGGAATAAGTCTCTGCATGTGGAAGATGGTTCATTTACAATTGGTAACTGTGCGGTCATGTATAGAATAGAGGAGAGCAGGAAGGTACAGAATCAAAAGGTGTTTCATTACATGGAAAGTTTTATAGGACAAAGAGGTACATGTTAGGGAGGAAATTTACATTTGTAAAGGACCATGCTAACTAAGCTTTGGAATGCATAGGGTAAGGATTCAATCTTTGAAGAAAATCTGTGTGAAATAAGATATGAAAAACATTATGATGATTAGAATTCAGAGAGCCTTGGATTTAATCCTGTTCCAAATACATTTCTTGAAACTGAAAGAAAAAAATGATAATAATTTGGTAGTGCTATATTTGTGTGACAATTCTAAAATTTGGCCTACAATTTTTTGACATTTCCAACCACTGACAGGTATGGGCTTATGTCCCTTCCACTTGAATCTAGTTGACCAAATAGAATACAGTGAAAGTGACACTGCCAGTTTCTGAACCTAGGTTTCAAGAATATGGAAGCTTCCACTTCTTCTTTTAGGAAGCTTGCTCTTACACCCTAGCCAACATGCTGTGAAAAAGCCAAACTTCCCATGGGAAGGCCTATATGGGGAACAACAATGGCCTCTTGCCCACAGCCCTGGGTGGGATTCCAGAACCTAATTATATTCAATGTGAATGAACCATCTTCAGAGTAGATCCTATAATCTTTAGTTGAGCCACCCCAGCTTAGAATTCAGAGAGCAGAGAAAAGCTGTTTCTGCCAAGACTTGCCAAAAATTGCAGATTTGTGAATAAAGTAAATCATTGTTCTTTGAAGCAACTAAGTTGTGGAGTGGCTTATTCAGCAGTGATTGATAATTAATAGATTTGGGGAGATCATTCAGATCTGCTGAGCACTGGAAAGTTAGAAAGATCTCAGTTCTTATATAGGGCCCTTCAATTTTAGAAGGAGAAGGCAAATTGAGGAAATCAAGAACAATCTGATAAATGGAAACAACACCAAAATAAATTCATCAATCAGAGGGAGCAATTATGGAGTCCCAGGGAAATATAACAGTAAGGATTTTATTTAGAGTGTGTGGGTAGAAGATATAGAGAAACTAGATACCAATGTTAGGATTCCAGGAGAATAAAGTTAGGAAATGTATGAGAAGGCATAATTTATTTAAGAACTTAGGGAAAATAGGATAGGGCCAAAGACCAGGTCACCAGCAGAGATATAAGTACTGAGGTCCTTGAATATCTGGCTGCACCTGGTAGTGTCTCTTCCTCAACCTGACTCTGGCTTGAAGTTTAGCCCCTGCATGCCTAGCCCATCTGCTTCCCTACAGGGTCTTGACACATACTATGCCAAGCACCTTGGGGGCACTGAGGGTTTCAGTTTATAGTCCATGTATCTAAATTTGAAAATTAATGAGAAGATGGTGAATAGAGTCAATATATTTCAAAATTGCATGTCAGATATGGAAATAAAGTTTGAACTTGTAGTTTAATTATACATGTAATTATCTTTCATTTACATGCAATGTCAATTTTTCCATGACCTACTTATAGGATGAAGATGAACTCATGTAATTTAGAGTTAGAGTTGACCATAAAACAAGTCTGGAGAAGAATATTCTTAGCTTAGAAAGGGTGGAATATATGTTCCTTTGAGCTTTTGGGTGAAATTGTCATGACTGAAATTATAAATTAGGTAAGAAATTATGCCATGTCTGGTACCAAGTAGTTCCTGCCTTTGATGAGCCTATTTATTTCAATGGGTGAATATATGTAATAGATTAAGACAATTGAGAAATGGATAATGTATAAATGCGTTACTGTAAACAAAATGGTTTCATGTTTGATGGCTACTTTCATGTTTGATTAAGTTGGGCCTTGGGACATACAACCATTTCATTTCTCATAGGTTTAGGAAAGTTTAGTGTTAGCCTGATAGGCAAAATGGCTGACTGACTAGGAAAAAGGCAATGGAAGATATAATTTTTGAGAGTATTTTGGAAGAATTGATTCTTCTGAGAACTGGATGATATTTATACTTTTCTGAGGCTTGCTCGCTAGTGCAAGTGCTATTCTAAATGGAGTGCTTTGCAGATTCCAGACATATGCCACATTCATGTTGTCTAGATGATGAATGACTTATTGATAGTCCAGGCTTTGTACTATTTGAGATGGTAGTTCTTTTAATAGCCATGATGTCATTGAGATAAAACTTAGTGGGATAGATGTTATTAATGGTCACCATTCAGCCTTTTATTTGCAATGAAGCCAAAGGGCAGTTGGAGGGGGATGAGGTCAGCCTGAATCACTGATTCCCTTGAAGTCTTCTGTGTGTTCCCATTTTGGGATCCTGTGAAAAAACAGAAGCCAAATTGAACACCACCACATTTTGGATGAGTTTCCATTTGAGGAGCTCCAAAAACTCCCACAAGTCAGATTCAGAAGAGTTTTCAGGAGATTGCCAAAGACTGTGCAGTATTGCTGGCAGGAATAGAAACAACAAGCAGATGTTTTAGCAGAGTGGAGCCCATTCTGAGAGACTATTCCCGGGCATTCAATGAAAGAGACTGGAGAGGAGGTTAGTTCAGAACAAAGATGAGAGAGCCTGACTTGGGCGTGCACTTGCCTAAAAATAGACTTACAAATTTAAGAGTTCCAAAGCCCCTAAAGTAACTTCAGATGGATATAGTTGCTAATTAATCTCTTGAACTTCACATGAAAACTCCATCTGGCACTGTAATCTTGTGACAACTTGCTATTGTTGTGGTATTGGTTTAATTTGGTTTGGCTTTCTTCTTTTTTGGAAACACACTTCTCCCTGTGCTTATCACAGTTTTTAAAAACCCAAATTAAAAAAAAACCCAAATAGTTAAAAATTCATAGCTGCTTTCATCACCAGCTGGTTGCATGACCTTTGATAAGTCGCCAGATTCACTTTCTTCATATATAAGAGGAAGAAAGTAAACTAGATGGTATTTTAGGTCTATTCCAACTCTACAATCAGTTAATTTATTTGAACACAAGCTACAAGATTATGAGCCCGTAAAACCAATATTTATAAATTTTCTCTTCATTTCTGACCACTGATGAAAATGGGAAGAATATAGAATTCCTCTACAAATGGCAGATTAATCACTTTAACAGTAAGACAGAGCTCTGAGGGTGAAATTTGCATGTATATCATAACTCAGAGATGTATTTGTTCAGCAAATATTTATTGGGCACAAACTATATGATAGGTGCTGTGCTAGGTGCTGGAAATTCCACAGTGAGAAAAACATATGGTTCCTGCCCTCAGGGAGTTTAAAATCTAGTTCAGAAAAAACAAATATTAAATACTGTAATCATATAATTATAAGTGGGACTAAGTGCTAAGGAAATGAATAATAGTGAACCTGGCCTAGTAGGGAATAGGGGTTAGAATGAGGTCATGGAAGATTTGTCTGAAGAACATATTCCAAAGTATTACAGTACCCAGTACCAAAGAAGTCCACATGGCAGACTTCATTATTGAACCAGTTGTTTTTGCTCTGTTCTATGACTCTAACTCCAGGCAGCGAAATCAAAATCCTCACTATTAGTCCAAAATGGACTTGGGCTAGAACAAGTAGATGGATCAGGGAAAACCACTGTTTATGAACAGAAACAAAATTCAGAGACCACATTATGTCATAGCATTGGAGGGACCTTTTGTATGCCAGGGTTAATATGAATGCATACTTATTTTACATTTTCCACAAGGAGCATAAGATATATTATAATCTTATGGATGCTTGTGAACTGACCCCAGGAGTTATGATCTGTGTTCAAATCTCGTTATTTAACCTTTCTGGAAAATATGAGAAGTAAATGAGGTAATCCATGGGAAGGGTTTAGCACAGTGCCTGAACCTAGTAAAACTCAATAAATTTTTCTATTGTTGTTCCTGTTAGTATTTAACAAAACAGCAATCACCCCCATCTCTCTCTTTCTGAGTAATACATAAGAAAGTTACCAGTTTCCAAATAACCATTCTTCCTTATACTTCCTATCCTGAATAATGTAAGTTAGCTTGATCAAGGAAAAACAGGGGTTGAAGCTTCTAGGGCTTCCTGGAAAATTTCTATGGGATGGGGGCAATTCTTGCTATGGTTTTGTGCAGAAAGAGGCTGAAGGTAATTCAGAGGGAGGTTATAAACTAACTTTAAAGGCACTGGAGTTGCTTACCATTTAAAATAATGTTGTTTTGGTGGTGGTGGTAATGTTGGCGTGAGAGTGTGTGTGTGTGTGTGTGTGAGAGAGAGAGAGGCTCTAATTGATTTTGAAAAATTATAAAATGTATATTCAATTATCATTTCTTGGATTTTGAAAAATTACAAAATATATATTTGATTATAATTTCTTGGAGTTCATAATAAATAGGGTTCACTTATTGTGACAAGGGCCCCACTATCCTTCTTTGAAATTATGGCTATAATTTAGTTTCCTAGTACAAGCTTTGCTCATGTTACCTTCTCAGTATGTAATCACTCATGATGGCAATCATCTATTTGAGTCATGTCACATGGTTTAGTGGTGATTGTTACTGTCTGAGAAAATATTTAGCATTTAGCTAAGTATAGTTCTTTCTAGGTATACTATGGGCCTTTGTTAGGTATACTATGGAGCAAGTAAATGTAACTTAATTGAGTTTTCTCCCTCAAAGCAGGTGTGGGTGCGTTTTCTTGGTGTAGGCTCATGATCACCTTCGTTATCTGCAGCTTTGCTACCAAATACTTCTCTTTAGTTCTTGGTTGAACATGGTTCTGTATTCCATTGTGAAACAGGGGATCTTTTTTTGTGGGGGGAATGCTTGTGTTCTAGCCCTTCAGAATTGTGTTTCTCCTGCACAGACCCCTTGACCAGGTCATGGTCTTTTCACATGGATTATGGTTATAACTTTGCTCATGTGCCCTGTATACATAAAATGATTTCCCACCCAAACTCTTCTAGCCTAGATACATTCATCCTAGATGCTTTTACTCTATCATTCAAGTTCCCTTCCTGGCCAGAGTCCTTATCAATAATTCTTAGGCTATACTGGGCTTGTCTACTTGAGTGTAAGTTTCTAAAAAGGAGGCCCCACAATATCTTTTTTTTTTTTTTGGAGAGCCCCCATTCTCCAGTCCTAGCACATAGCTGAGCTCTAAGAAGATGCTCAACAAGTACTTAATGACTTAAATCCTATCCTCTGAGACATTTCAACATAACTCAATGAAAGATCAGAAGAAACAATCTACACGAGGATTTGTATCATAATCTCTTCACAGTTATATATATATTTGGGGAGAGGAAGAAGAGCACATTATAGATCCTTATCAGCCATATCCAGAGAAAGCTGTTACTTTCTTCTGATCACCAAACCAAGTATGGGACCTCAGACAGAGCTGGGTTTGAGGTACTCTAAGGTAATGGAATCAGTGTAAACACTATCTAAAACATCCGAGTATTTTTCTTTGGTCCTCACACCTCAGGATTCCTGAATAACTTATGTACTAAAAATCAGAAGGCCAGAAAAATTGATTTGAATTTATTGTCCAGTGAACTTGCTTTTTGTTAATTTAAGGGCAGTAGTTTGAAGGGTAAGTTTTCCTGAAGACTCTGCATTCCTTGACCTAAAGTCTCCATTAGGAACATAAACAATACGACTGTATGTACTGTGTTTTGAAACCACTATAAATGGCTCTAATGTGTGAATCAGGTTATAGTTTAATTTTTCTTTGCTGGATCAGAGGCACTTGAGAATAAAACATATGCAGCTGCAGGATATTGAAATATTTCATATGCATATATATGCAGCATATTTTCTAGGGAATTTTACCCCTTAGCAAATCTAGCCAATTCTTTTTCAATTCTATGACTTAACATTACCTTTTCTTTTTGTTTTTATTAGCGTTCAGGTTTTAGACTATTTGTTTCCACAAATTGTATTTTATTTTGGCTTAATAAATAAAGAAATTGAGTTACTTCAAAGTACGTTGTGGATGTCATTTGGTAGCAGTGGATAAATGGAAAGTTAAATGACTTGCTCAAGGTCCAAAAGAAAGTCAGCAGCAGGGCAGAGACAAAATTTCTGTCCTTTTTGCCAATTGCCTGTCAGATTCACTCTGCTAATGAAACTTTTTGCAACAGAACAGTCTTCCAATGTTTCCAAGGAGCCAGTTAATTAACCAAATAAAGAGAATGATCATAGCGATTTTTAAAATGTCCATCTCTCTCACATTTTTCCCCCAAATTTCATTTTGAGTGTGGATCAAGGAGGTGGTTTTTACAATTTAAATATGATTGGCACCATTGCTGTTAAATGAAAATGTGGCTACTGGGTATTGAAATATATTTTTTAAAATTGGTAATCAAAAACCTTGTTAGCATTTGTGCCCATCTCATGAGAAGTTCATAGTGCTTTAAAATTAACATTGATTAAATAATGAACTGACTGGAGAGAGACCATTTATAAAATTGGAGATAGGGATTAGAGGCAGTTGTGGCAATTTCTCTGCCAGGCTAGGAACGCTCATTAATGAGCTAAGAGGGCTGGAGAATTCATGAAGGGCAGTATCACAGATGATTACTCCCATTACGATGAAATTGGTAGGCCAATGGATATGACAATATGATATTTATGATTATATCTGGTTATATTATTGTAGAAGTTAAATCTTTCTGTATGGAAACAGTTTAGCACTTATAATGTGTTTTTAATAAAATACTCGTGTGCAATGGCATTTTATAGGAATTGTAAATGTTAACCAGTAGACTGAATTGGATAAGAAATGCAAAGGCAGATTACTTTCAAATAAAAAGGGGTAGAGTGTCAAATATGAGTTTCATTAGCTAATTGGTAATATAACATGCTTGTTTCCCTTGAGCACCTGAAGGCCAGACCAAGCTGCAGAAATGTTGAGGTTTAAACAAGCATTGAGCATACTATGCTTTACAGCCTGAGTGATCACAAGGGTTAGGAAACCAGGACACAATCTATAGTCTCAACAAATCATTTAAAGTATCATTGCTTAAAAGCTCACCTAATGTTTGATTTTTCCTTCCCACAATTTATGTGTTTATTCCAAATCTAACCAAATCTCTGAAATGATCAACAATATCATACTCACGGTATCTTGTAATAGATGCAATATTCTGGGCAGAGAGTATCACAATAATCTCTTCTATCTGGAATTACAAGGGAAAGTTATGGACTGCTTTCCCAGAGGTTGCTTTTTTCACTGATCTTGTGGCAACCCTATGATACAGGCAAGGGCTATTATCACCATTTTGTAGGCTAGGACACTGAGGCTCCAAGAGGTGGGAAGTAAATGACAGAGTCAAAATGTGAACCTATCATAAAAACAAAAAAAAATCCCCAAACTCGTCAGGTACTATGCTTAGTACCTGAGTGACGAGATAATCTGTACACCAAATCCACGAGTCCTGAGTTTACCTATATAACAAACATGCACATGTACCCCTGAACCTAAAATTAAGAAGTTAAAGTTTTTGAGAAATGTGAACCTAGATGCTCTGCCCCCAAGTTCAGTGTCCATTCTATGATCCATGAATGACACAAATAACAGAATTGTAGTTAAAATTCTCAAGTGAAAGTTGTGTCAGAACTTCAATTTAGAGTCCTTTTAGATTTTTGTTTTCAAATGTTTGAAAAAGGCACGGTCTGAAAAATAATATTGGTCCCCCTAAGTCCCCCCAAAACTGCCCCAGTAGGACTATTATAAGGCCAGATTACTAGACTAGAATTTACTGGGATTACTTTGTATTAAACCCAGAGCAGGTAGAACTTGATTTAAGTAAATGCAATGTAACAAAACCCAAATTTACAACCTAGATAATATACCAAAGATTTGCTTTAAGTGACAATTTCACTTGTATGTTTTAATCAGTTTACAAAAATGGATAATCCATCTCTGGGGACTTTGAGGGAAACACACATGTTATGTAAAGCGGAATTAACCTATACTATGCAAGAGTCATGTGAAAGTGACAGGTTGTTGTTCAAACTAAATCTTACCTCCTGCTTGTGTGATTTTTTTTGGTATATCTAGAGTAATATAGCACTCTTCCCTAATATTCATCCACTGGCATTTGGCATCTAGTTAATTACAAATGATTGTAGATTTTTATTATTGAAACAGCATCTAACAGATTTACTTGTGTGTGTTTGTATTGGGATGTACAAGGAAATGTGTTGTTTCGAAGGAATGTAATGTGAGGTGTCAGGTGACAAAGATGCTTTCTAGGGCTTTTCACCCAACTTGTTCCTTGTTCAAGATAACTTTTATTTAACTTGCCTCCAAATCAAGCCCTGAATATCATGCAACACAACAGAGAGATCTTCTCATAAAGTAGTTGTCTTTTAGACTCATCTTGAAGTGTATGGAGTCATTTTAATAGCCATAGGGAGTTGGGCCTAGTCCCAGCAAATGCCCAGTTGAAAATTTTATGGAAGATGGAGTAAGTCTTTTTTTGTTCATTGTACTAATATTTACTGAGCACTCATATCAGACACTGTTCTAGGTATTGGGCACATAAAAGTTTAAAAGCTTGGAAAAAAAATTCTGCCCTCATGTCACTTACATTTTAGTGGAAGAAACAGACCATTACCAAGATAAATATGTAGAATATATAAAACCTGTACAGAGTGGGAATGATCAAAAGAAAAAAGTGAAGGAAGGAGATTGAAGTGTATGGATAAAGTTTTAGTTAAAGGGGCCAGGGAAGACTTCACTGAGGAGGACTCACATGAAGGAAGTGAAGGAACTAGCCATGTGGATATTTGGGGGAAGAATATTTCAAGCAGTGGAAGCATCAAGTGCAAAGGCCCTGAGACGAGAGCATGCCTGGGGTATTAGAGGAGAAGCAATGAGGCCAGTGTATTCAGAGGGGAATGAATGTAAACAAGAAGAAAAGATGAGGTCAGAGAGGTAATCGGGTAACTGGGTAGGTCCTGGTAAAAATCTTGGTCTTCTATCCAAGAGAAAGAGAGAGAGAGAGAGTGAAGCTCTGACTTATGTTTTAACAAGAGCATTCACATTGCAATGATTGCAATAGACTAAAGAGGACAAGAGAAGAAGCAGAGAGAACAGTTAGGAGGCTACTGCAGTAATGCTAGTGAAAGAAGATGATGGTTCTAGATGGTAATAATCAGAGTAGAGCTCTTAAGATTTTCTGACAGACTGAATGTGGGATATGAGAGAACAAAAGGAATCAAAGTTTTGGGGCTGAATGCCTACAAGGATGGCATTTATGTGTTAGTGAAATGGGGAAAGCTGCAGGAGGAGATTTGGGATGTGACAAACATCAGAGCTCTGTTTGGAGTATGTTTGGTTTGAGTTGCCTATTAAACGTCTAAGAGAATTGTTGTATAGGCTTTAAATGTATGAGTCTGGATTCAAGGGAGACATTCTGGGTGGATATGTAAATTGGAGACATAATCACATAGATGGTATTTAAAGCCATAAGATTGGGTGAATTCACCTAGAAATTACTACATATAGACAAAAGGAAGATGTCTGGTGACATGAGAAAAAGATTTTAAAGTAGTATGCATATAATGTTCTCTTTTCTTGGGAAAAAGTGCTTATAGAAAGAAGAATGGAAATATGTTTACCAAAATCATCTCTGGGTACTAGGAATATTGGTGATTTTCATTTTATTATTTTATGTTTTTCCATATTTCCCATATTTTCTTTAATGAAAATGGATTGCCTTTATAACCAGAAAGCAGAATAAAACAATAAATACCATTAAGAAAAGAAGATTTTTATCTAGAGTTGTTCTCCAATGTCTAAAATAAAACATTTGTTTGTGTACAGTCCCTTCCACATGCTTACATCCTCAGATACCCACAGTGAACATGCTGAAAAAAAGGTTATTTGAATCAAATTACACATGACATGATTGGGACTTGCCATCAAGGACTGACAATACAGATGTTTCTGTCCTTACATGGAGTTGAATTAATAGAACTAGATAAAATGTGCCTGGACGGTAAAGAATATGAAGACCTGGGGACAGTTAAACCCAACAGGACTACATCCAGCCAGAATAGATTGGGACCCTTGGGGCTGAGTCAAAAATCACATCCTTTGGGAAAAGAGAATTAATTGAATGCTTGTTCTACTCTCTTGTGACATTCTTTTCCCTGAAGGCCTTTTGCCTTCTTTTTCTAGTAGCTCCCATTCAGGGAACAGGGTATCTGCTAGTTCAGCAAGCTACTCTTAAATGTTAATAACTTATTCTTGGCCAATTTTTCACACATAGGAAAGTGTATCATCTTATCATGTTGAGTTTTAAAGATCATATAATTTTTTTCTTTTGAACATAGAAGCTCTAACACTTCTCTTTGCATTCTCTTCATCTCCCCATTTGATTATAATAAGGATTACCCTCCCCCTTCTCTGGTGGTGACTCAGACATAGCTAAAGGGGGCTTTTCTCAAACTTCTTTTGGAAAAGAGAAAACCGTCAGTGTTTGGCTTGAGGACAAACCGAGAATATTTTAGCTAAGATGTAGGACGGTTGATACAGTTATGAGTGACTGAAAAGGGAATTGTAGTGGAAAAGCCATTTGCGTTTTGAGCTATGGCATTTGCTACTGTGTTAGCACTTTGTTAAAAGTGTGTAAATGCATGGTAAGTTTTTTAAGCAGAAACTTGGAAAATTGGTACAGAAATTTATTTTTGCATATGCTTGCCTTTCCATTAAGCAGTAAGTGTAATCCTCTCCCTGATGATCTGATGATCTACTTTACTTTTTCCTTTTCTTCCTAAGAATGCCGTGACCCAATTCCAAATGTTTTGTTGCACAAATGAGCTATGTTACTCCCTCTTCTGGACTCCAAATGTCAGACCAGGCTCCCTCCAATATTCTATGAATTTTGGCGATTTTTGAAATCAAAGTTAGAACAGTAGATATAATCTATATTCACCCCCAGCCTCCTGCTGAGACATACATACCACATACACACGTGTGTACACACAGAACACATGTTGAAAGAAAGAAACTTCTACCTTTGTCTTCTACTCTTAATAGCAAAGATTGAGTCCTAAGACGGCCCACACTTATATATGAATTTAGATCAACAATGTAATCAAAGGCATCAAATTGTAAACATTCTGCCTAGAACTGGACTTGAGATCTTACAGAATGAATACAGGTCTTGGAGTTCTGAGATCTGAGTGTAAATCTTGCATCTGCTACTTGCTAGCAGAGCAACCACTGACAAACTACTTAAGCATTTATTTAATTCTAAGGCCTTACATACTTGTTCTGATGGCAACCAGTATCATGGGGGTTGAAGTTAGACCTGATTCAAATCTACTACTTGGACAATTTGGGTTAAGTGATTTATTGCTTTAGACTCTGTTTCATTGCCTATGGAATTAGGATAATACCTGCTTTTTCAGGGCTTTTGTGAGGATTAAACAAGAAAATGTATACAATATGTCTAGGAGCAGCATTTGGGACATATGGTATATTAAAAATTCTCTCATTATTATTGTTGTTGTTATTTCTCTTCTTAGTAGCACAAATATTTTCTTACCTGTGAAAACCAGAGGCTTTCACTAAGTCAAGCCAATAGCAGGAGAAAAAAGGTAGAATTTCTCATTTTTCAATTTTTGTGGATACATAGTAGATGTATATATTTATGGAATACATGAGATGTTGTGATACAGGCATGCAGTGTGAAATACTCAACTCATGGAAAATGGGGTATCCATCCTGCCAAGCATTTTTCCATTGAGTAACAAACAATTCAGTTACACTCTTTATTTTAAAATGTACAGTTATTGTTATTGACTATAGTAATACTGTTGTGCTATCAAATAGCAGGTCTTACTCAATCTTTCTAACTTTTTTTGTGCCCATTAACCATCTCCACCTCCCTCCTATCCCCCACAACACTTCCTTGCTTCTGGTAACCACCTTTCTATGTCCATGAGGACAATGGTTTTGATTTTTAGATCCCACAAATAAGTGAGAACCTGCTAAGTTTGTCTTTCTGTGCCTGCTTATTTCATTTAACATAATGATCTCCGGTTCCATCCATGTTGTTGCAAATGATGGAATCTCATTCTTTTTATATTCCATTGTGTATATGTGCCATATATTCTTTATCCATTCATCTGTTGATGGATACAGATCCCTTCCAAATATTAGCTATTGTAAACAGTGCTGCAACAAACATGGAGGTGTAGATACTTCTTGGATATACTTATTTCATTTCATGTAGGTATATACCCAGCAGTGGGATTGCTGGATCATATGGTAGCTCAATTTTTAGTTTTTTGAGGAATCTTCAAACTGTTCTCCATAATGGTTGTACTAATTTACATTCCCACTAACAGTGCAGAAGGGTTCCCTTTTCTCCACATCTTCACCAGCATTTGTTATTGCCTGTCTTTTGGGTATAAGCCATTTTAACTGGGGTGAGGTGATATCTCATTGCAGTTTTGATTTGCATTTCTCTGATTATCAGTAATGTTGAGCACATTTTTATGTCCCTACTTGCCATTTGTACGTCTTCTTTTGAGAAATGTCTATTCAAATATTTTACCCATCTTTTGATTGGATTTTTAGATTTTTTTCCTATAGCATAGTTTGAACTCCTTCTATTTTCTGGTTATTAATTGCTTGTCAGATGGATAGTTTGAAAATATTTTCTCTCATGATGCGGGTCGTATCTTTGTTGATTGTATCCTTTGTTGTGCTGAAGCTTTTTACTGCAATGTGATCCCATTTGTCCCTATTTGATTTGGTTGCCTATGCTTGTGGGGTATTACTCCAGAAATTTTTGCCCATACCAATGTCCTGGAGAGTTTTCCCTAAGTTTTCTTGTAGTAGTTTCATCGTTTGAAGGCTTAGATTTAAGTCTTTAATCCATTTTGATTTGATTTTTGTATACAGTGAGAGATGGGGTCTACTTTCATTCTTCTCCATATGGATATCCAGTTTTCCCAGCAGAATTTATCGAAGAGATTGCCTTTTCCCCAGTATGTGTTCTTGGCATCTTTGTCAAAAATGAGTTTGCTGTAGGTGTGTGGATTTGTTTCTGGGTGTATTAGTCTGTTCTCACACTGCTAATAAAGACATACCTGAGACTAGGTAATTTATAAAAGAAAGAGATTTGATTGACTCACATTTCCACAGGGCTGGGGAGGCCTCAGGAAACTTACAGTCATGGTGGAAGGGGAAGCAAACATATCCTTCTTCACATGGTGGCAGGAAGGAGAAGTGCAAAGCAAAGAGGGAAATGCCCCTTACAAAACCATCAGTCTCAGAAGAACTCATTCACTATCACAAGAACAGCAGCATGGGGGTAACAGCCCCCATGATTTAATTACCTCCCCCCAGGTCCCTCCCATGACACATGGGGATTATGGGAGATAAAATTCAAGGTGAGATTTGGGTGGGGACAGAGCCAAACCATATCATTCTCCTCCGGCCCCTCCCAAATCTCATGTCCTTTCATTTCAAAACACAATCATGCCTGCCCAACAGTCCCCCAAAGTCTTAACTCATTCCAGGATTAACCCAAAAGTCCATGTCCAAAGTCTC
The DNA here is from genome assembly GCF_000001405.40 of Homo sapiens. Lineage (NCBI taxonomy): Eukaryota > Metazoa > Chordata > Mammalia > Primates > Hominidae > Homo > Homo sapiens. Next base: position 104,761,613 of record NC_000023.11, read on the forward strand.
ATCTGACACAAGGCAAGTCCCTTCCACCTATGAGCCTGTAAAATCAAAGGCAAAGTTAATTACTTCGTAGATACAATGGGGGTACAGGCGTTAGATAAATATACCCATTCCAAATGGGAGAAATTTTGGCCAAAATGAAAGGGGCTATAGGCCCCATGCAAGTCCAAAATCCAGCAGGGCAGTCAAATCATCTCCTTCTCTTTCTCCTCCTTCTCCTTCTTCTCCTTCTCCTTCTTCTCCTTCTCCTTCTCCTTCTCCTTCTCCTTCTCCTTCTCCTTCTCCTTCTCCTTCTCCTTCTCCTTCTCCTTCTCCTTCTTCTTCTTCTTCTTCTTCTTCTTCTTCTTCTTCTTCTTCTTCTTCTTCTTCTTCTTCCTCCTCCTCCTCTTCTTCTTCTTCTTTTTTTGAGACAGAGTCTCACTCTGTCACCCAGGCTGGAGTGCAATGGTGCAATCTCAGCTCACTGCAACCTCTGCCTCCTGGGTTCAAGCAATTGTCCTGCCTGAGCCTCCCAAGTAGCTGGGATTACAGGTGCCCACCACCACGCCTGGCCAATTTTTTGTATTTTTAGTGGTGACAGGGTTTTGCTGTGTTGGCCAGGCTGGTCTCAAACTCCTGACCTCAGGTGATCCACCTGCCTCGGCCTCCCAAAGTGCTAGGATTACAGGCATGAGCCATCACACCTGGCCAGGGAGGTCAAATCCTAAAGCTCCAAAATGATCTCCTTTGATTCCATGTCTCACCTTCATGTCATGATGATGCAAGAGGTGGGCTCCCATGGCCTTGGACAGCTCCTGTGGCTTTGCAGGGTACAGCCCCTCTCCTGGCTGCCTTCATGGGCTGGCATTGAGTGTCTGTGGCTTTTCCAGACCTACGGTGCAAGCTGTCAGTGGATCTACCATTCTGGTGCCTGGAGGACAGTGGCCCTCTTCTCACAGCTCCACTAGGCAGTACCCCAGTGGGAACTCTGTGGCAGCTCTGACCCCACATTTCCCTTCTGCACTTCCCTAGCAGAGGTTCTCTATGGGGGCTCCACCCCTGAAGAAAACTTCTGTCTGGCCATCTAGGCATTTCCATACATCCTCTGAAATTTAGCCAGAGGTTCCCAAACCCTTCCTGATTTCTGGTCAAGAAGGTTTGAGACTTGCACCCTCTGAAGCAACAGCCTGAGCTCTGCATTGGCCCCTTTTAGTCTTGGTGGGATGCAGGACACCAAGTCCTGAGACTACACAAAGCAGCAAGGCCCTGGGCCTAGCCCAGGAAACCATTTTTTCCTCCTAGGCCTCTGGGCCTGTGATGGGAGCAGCTGCCATGAAGACCTCTAACATGCCCTGGAGGCATCTTCCCCATTGTTTTGGCAATTAGCATTTGGCTTCTTGTTACTTATGCAAATTTCTGCATCTGGCTTGAATTTCTCCCCAGAAAATTGGGTTTTCTTTTCTCCTGCATTATCAGGCCTGCAGATCTTCCAAACTATTCTCTGTCACCTTTTGAATGCTTTTCTGCTTAGAGATTTCTTCCACCAGATACCCTAAATCATCTCTCTCAAGTTCAAAGTTCCACAGATCTCTAGGGCAGGGGCAAAAAGCCACCAGTCTCTTTACTAAAGCATAGCAAGGGCTACTTTTGCTCCAGTTCCCAATAAGTTCCTCATCTCCATGTGAGACCACCTCAGCCTGGACTTCAATGTCCATATCACTATCAACATTTTGTTCGAAACCATTCAACAAGTCTCTAGGAAGTTCCAAACTTTCCCACATCTGTTTTCTGAGACCTCCAAGTCTCTAGGAAGTTCAAACTTTCCCACATTTTTCTGTCTTCTTCTTAGCTCTTCAAATTGTTCCAACCTCTGCCTGTTACCCAGTTCTAAAGTCGCTTCCACATTTGAGGGTATCTTTACAGCAGCACCCCACTCTCTGCAATACCAAATTACTGTATTAATCTGTTCTTGCATTGCTAATAAAGACATGTCCCAGATTGGGTAATTTATAAAAGAGGAGGCCTCAGGCAACTTACAAACATGGTAGAAGAGGAAGCAAACATGCTCTTCTTCACATGGCAGCAGGAAGGAGAAGTGCCAAGCAAAGAGGGAAAAGCCACTTATAAAACCATCATATCTCAGGAGAACTCACTCACTATCATAAGAAAAGCAGCATGGGGGTAACTGCCCCCATGATTCAATTACCTCCCCCTGGGTCCCTCCTCCCATGACACGTGGGGATTATGAGAACTACAATTCAAGATGAGATTTGAGTGGGGACACAGTCAAACCATATCACTGGGTTCTCTCTTCTGTTCCATTGGTCTATGTATGTATGTTTATGCCAGTATCATGCTGTTTTGGTTACTATTGCTCTGTAGTATAATTTGAAGTCAGGTAATATGATTCCTCCAGTTTTGTTCTTTTTGCTTAGAATAGCTTTGGCTATTATGGGTCTTCTCTGGTTCCATATAAATTTTAGGATTTTTTTTTCTATTTCTGTGAAGAATGTCATTGGTATTTTGATAGGGATGGCATTGAATCTGTAGATTGCTTTGGGCTGTATGGACATTTTGACACTACTGATTTTTCCAATCTATGAACATGGAATTTTTTTTCATTTTTTGGTGTCTTCTGCAATTTCTTTCATTAGTGTTTTATAATTTTCATTATAGAGATTTTTTACTTCTTTGGTTAATTTCTAGGTATTTAATTTTATGTGTGGTTATTGTAAATGGGACTACATTTTTATTTCTTTTTCACATTGTTCACTGTTGGCATACAGAAATGCTACTGATTTTTGTATATTGATTTTGTATCCTGAAATTTTACTTAATTTGTTTATAAGTTCTAATAATTTTCTTGTGGAGTCTTTAGGTTTTTCCAAATGTAAGATGATATCATCTGCAAACAAGGATAATTTGACTTCTTCCTTTCCAATTTGGATGCCCTTTATATCTTCCTCTTGTCTGATTGCTCTATCATGGACTTCCAGTACTATGTTGAATAACAGTGGTGATAGTGGGCATCCTTGTCATGTTCCAGATCTTAGAGGAAAGGCTTTCAGCTTTTTCTCATTCAGTATGATACTAGCTGTGGGTCTGTCATATATAACTTTTATTATGTTGAGGTATGTTCCTTCTATCCCCATTTTTTTGGGGGTTTTTATCATGAAGCAATGTTTAATTTTATCAAATGCTTTTACATCATCAATTGAAATGATCACTAGGTTTTTATCCTTCATTCTGTCGATATGTTGTATCACATTCATTCATTTGCATATGTTGAACCATCCTTGCATCCCAGGGATAAATCCCACTTGGTCAGGATGATTAATTTTTCTAATGTATTGTTGAATTCAGTTTGATAGTATTCTGTTGAGGATTTTTGCATAAATGTTCATCAGAGATATTGGTCTGTAGTTTTTTTATATGTTTTTGTCTGGTTTTGGTATCAGGGTAATAATGGTCTCATAGAATGAATTTGGAAGTATTCCCTCTTCCTGTATTTTTTGTAATAGTTTGAGTAGAATTGGTATTAGTTCTTTAAATGTTTGATAGAATTTAGCAGTGAAGCCATCAGGTCCTGAGCTTTTTTTGTTTTGTTTTGTTTTTTACTGGGAGACTTTTTATTATGGATTCAATCTTGTTACTTGTTATTGGTGTGTTGATGTTTTGGGTTTCTTCCTGGTTCAATCTTGGTAGGTTGTATGTATCTAGGGATTTGTCCATTTCTTCTAGATTTTCCAATTTATCCAAAAAACGTTTGAATCTTCTATATTGGTCTGAATTTTAAAAGAAATATCCTGCTGAGCTTTTGTCTAAATAAGAATTAATATGTTAGTATTTCTAAAATGTTCCACTTTGTGCTTTTCTTGGTATGGATTCAAGTTTATAGTGGTAAACACATATAAATAAAGGCTGCTGCCTCCTACTCTCCTTTATAGAGCCATTGTGAATGGTTAATAAGGGTGATTAACCCTTAAAGACACACACAATGCCCCAGCATTTTAAAAATAACTTGTATTTTAGATTTATCTCTGGTCTTTGTGGGAGAACCCTATGACTCTCTCATGAAATACATTTTGGGAGTGACCATTTACTTGCACTAGTGAGAATTAGAGACCATACTTTGTTTTGTGGACCTTTTCAGCTGTAGTCAAAGTAAAATGACTGCAGTGTCTTGAGTAGAACTGAAAATTGAAAGTACCTGCATCAGTGGTATTGATCCTGGAGGACTTCATTCCTCATACTTCCCTAAAATATTTGTCCTCTGTTTCTGAATGACAGTCAGGGATACCCCCTGAAAAATGCTGCCCATTGAGCATGGGATATCATCTTGATGAATTATTTCAAAACTCTATCAAAGTGTTTTCCAAATATCTAGTGATCTAATGAGGCCATTCAGGTCCTGATTTTCATCCAGGCCTTGTTTTTAGATATTAGCTGGGAAAAGTACAGAGTGAAGACTGACTGTCTGCATTGGCACAGTCAGAGGGATCTTGTGGCTCAGCAGTTATTGGCTACCTAACTGGAAATCAAACCAATATAGCACTTTATCAAGTATATGTAGTAGTAACCACAAATAAGTCAACATTTTATTAAGAGGAAAGGGGTTGGGGAAACAATTGGCTCAATTTGCCTTACTGAGATATAGAAAGCCTGTCATAGAGGACCTCTTCTAAAATATCAAGGATTCAAAGCCATCACTTCAAAGCTTAAAAGATTTAAGGGAAAAGATAAAAATCCTATGACTTCCCATTGGAATAATTCCTGGCTGGCCTGCCTGCCTGCCTGCCTGCCTGCCTGCCTGCCTGCCTTTCTTCCCTCCTTCCCTCCTTCCTCCCTCCCTCTCTTCTTCCTTTCCTTCCTATTTATATCAGATATAGAAATTTTCCTTGCAGGTTCTATCTTCATTGATTTCTGTACACTTTTCCCATAGTATGACACCATCATCATGATTAACATCATTGGATACTTATTATGTCCTAGACACTGTTCTAAGTAATTTGCACATATTGACTGACTTATTCTTAGAAACCTAAGGAAGGTACTATTCTTGTGGAGGCACAGAGACACAATGTGCCCAAAGCTTCCCAGCTAGTAAATGGTGTAGCCAAGATTCAAAGATAAGGAATCTGGTTTCAGACTCTGTGATGATAACTACTGTGCTATTAACTACCAACCTCAAAAGTACACATGAAAAGATGATGCAAATAAGCCGTTATTGTTAGGCCAAGGTTCGTTTCTATTTTTGCTTTGTTTTTTAGTAGTGCACTGAACAATCAACAGTCTCTCAGATGGCATTTAGCTGTCCCAGTTTACACATTTGCAGGGTGGCTGGCCAGTGCTTAAGGTGTGACTTGGAACTGATGTGGCTGGATGTCAAATCAGTGACCTTGGCAGATATTTGGATGGAGAATATTTGCTTGTCAGGTGTACCCTGTTTGCTTTTCCTCCACAGGGTTCATGTAGAAGTTTCCATAGTGTAAGACACATTCTCCACTTTTTTCCTGAAAACCTAGTACATTTCAGGAAATTAGAACCAGTGAGTTTCTGGGGGCCATCCATCAGGTGCAATATCAGGTGCTGATTTGTCACTGACTGGCAGGCTCTTTCCCAATTCAAAGCATGAGAGGACTCCAAACTTCTTTTTGTGGTTGGAGTGCCCCTGGAAGTTGATTCATGTTCTCATTGCAATTTATTTTACATTGCATCTTGGCATAATGACTTTGACTAAAAGGGATATTTTCTGATGTCTCTGCTTTAATTTAGAAATAACCAAACTGATTTTTCCAACATATCTCCAAAACTGAAGACACATGTGCCTAGGAAAACAGGGGTTTCTAATGAAAATGCTGACACAATCTCATGAATGCTGAGGTTTTTAACAGTCTGCCATTCAGTAAACTAGTATTTTTGTGTCCTATGAAAATACCAAACATCTGCTTGCAATGAGCGTACTTAACACCTTTTGGGTTTCTTTTTAGCTAAGCTGAATGCACTTGGGAATGAGTGAAACTTCAGATAACACCGGCAAAAAGTTTGAAATAAGGAATTTTTATTTGAAAACCATTTTGTAAGCATAATGGTACCCATAGTACAAATTACAAACACCATTCAAAACAACATGGTAGCAAGATGTTTTCAAATGGTGCAAAGTCCCTGCTCACAGGTGTGAACGCCAGCAATGGGCCTGTCAGCTAAGGCTGGTTAGTAGAATAAGTGGCAAGAAGGTAAAATATAATTGAAACTAAGAGGCAAAACTTTATATTCCAGGGTTCAAAATAAAGGACAGGAATCAGAAGCTAAAGTGAATGTCAAAGCCTAGGTAGACACAGTGGGACAGTTGGCAAAAGAAAACTTAAAGTATGTATTTTTTAATTTTAAAATTCTTTATTTTTAATTGACATAAAATTGTATTTTACATGTCAATTAAACAATTTTATATGTCAATTAAAAGTAACACGTACAACATGATGTTTTGAAATAGGTATACATCATGGAATGTCTCAATTTAGCTAATTAATACATGCATCACCTCACATATTATTTTTTGTGGTGAGAACACTTAAAATCCACTCAGTGATTTTCAAGATACAATATATTGTTATAAAGTATACATACCTGGTTGTACAATATATCTCTTGAATGCTTTCCTCCTATCTAATTGAGAAAAGCATGTGTGATTATTAGAGTTGCCTAACTAGTCTTCCTGCCTCAACCCTTTCCCCCACCCTAATTATTTTCTACATTGCTACCAGAATCTTTCCTGAAGAACATATCAAATGATGCCTCTCCCCTATAGTAATCACCTGGAAACATTCAGTGATTCCCTATAGTATACTGAAAAAGGTTTAAACTTCTTTAAGGGTTTTCATGATTGGGACCCAAACTATTCTTTCAGCCTTCTCAAACACTGTTTATATCCCTGGACATCTGATACTTATGCTCAGTGGTTCTAAATTGGGACTGGTGGCATTTGGAATTCCGTTGAGGTGTTTTGGGTTGCCAAAACAGGTGAAGAATAATATGGGTATTTAGTGATCTGGAGCAAGGGATGTCAAGCATCTTGTGTTGAGCAAAACAGACCCTTACCATTTTAGACTTGCCCGATCAAAATGACAATAGCACTCTTGTTGAGAAGCTGCAAGTTTCTAGCTAAACTGGATTGTTTTCAGATCTTCAGAGATAGTGCATGCTTTCCTAGTAATGTACCTTTGCTTCTGCTCTTCCTTCTCCTTGCTATGCTTGCCTCTTTATTCATTGTTACCTGTTGCATTCCCATCGATCCTCAGGGTCTAGCTTTCCCGAGGAATTCATTCTTCTTTCCTACCAGAGTTGCTGAGCATACTGTGGTATAGTAGAAAAAGTAGTAACATGAGAATCAAGACACCCAAATCTTTGCCCTGGTACTGCCACTCACCAATTGTGTGACATTGGCAAGTGGTTTTTCTTCTCTGAGCCTTAGTTTATTCATCCATAAAATGAGCAGGTTAAAAAAATTAGGGGATTGAACTAGATATTCCCTAACATTCCTTCCAGGACTAGTTTTCTATGGGCCCCTTATCACCTATCTCATTTTATTTTAATCACAGTCTAGGATGTCTTTAGATCTCTCAACATAGCGTCTTGTACATTGTGTACCTCAAATAGTTGACCTGATTGGTTCAGAGGGCTTTATATTCCTTGCCTTTTGTTGAAGATGACACTGGCCATTGATGTTGTAACATTGTTGTGCTCAATCCAGTAAATATATATGTATGGGCTAAAAGAATGGCAGGGACCAGTTTTCTAAGGTCACTTAATAAGACAAGGAAGAGCCATGTTGGGTAATTAATTTGTTGGGAAATTACTAACATTACCTAACCTCTACAGAAAAGATCATACACATTTAATGAATGTAAAAGAATATAGTAAATTTTAGGTTTTTGTTACATGTAGAAAAGTCTTCTCTGACAAAGTAGCAGTAATTATGAAATATATATCATGTAGGTTTATATTCCTGTGGCCTGCAACAGGCTATTTGTCTTAAAATTAGAAGTTTTGTAGGCTTCAAACGTGTTCAACTGGCACTTGCCTTGATATAATAGTTCCCTTAGAGATTGGTTGGAATCACATTTATGTTGTCCAGTTGTGTATTCACAACTGTGAGTCTGCATTATGATGTATGGGCACAATGCTCAGTACCTAGTTTGCATAATCTTTCCCAGATGCGGGGTTTTTCTTAAGCCTTCTTAAAGGGCTGTCACTAAACCTAAGCATCATGGCTTGGTTTCTATTTGAATCTGAGAACTGCCTCAGCTGTTAACTTGGTGAAGCCAATCATGTTTTCAGCTGGTATTTCTCTAGTGTTACCACTTTCACAGAAAGGTTTGGACACATGCTGTGTCATTAATGCCCAGTTTTTTCCTTTCTTTTTAGTAAGTCACATAAATGTATTACCTGATTGTCATGACATCTAGGATTTTTTTTTGTCCTAGGCCTATCTACCTTGAAGCAAAAAAGGTGAATTAGGCTTTGATCACCTCCTCCTCCAGCCTAGGTTTAATTAGTGACCTTTGAATTCACGGGGCCCCTGTTTTCTCCATTGCTGCCTGCTCCCAGAATAATCTTAGCCCTTTTTTCCACATTCCAAGCCATGTTTTAGAAAGTTAATAATAGCACAACAAACATTTCCATAGCATGGTATGATTCTGTGTACAGGTTGCTACATATTATATTCAGTGAATGATAAGTGCTAAGTAAGAATAACTCAAAAGAATGAGAGATGTAAGTCATCCTATGTTCTAGTTTGCAACATAAATCCCCAGGAAGCTTGATGTAATGTTCATCACCACCACCACAACCACCACCCCCATCATCATCATAGCAACTACAATTTATTAAGTATTTGCTCTTTGTCAGGCAACATCTATAATATAATTTAAATATCAAGGCAACTATATTAGTTAGATTCTATTATGATCTCCATTTTATGGATACGGAAACTGAGATTTAGAGAACTTAACTAATTTGTCTAAAGTAATACAACTAGTAAGTGTCAGAGCCATGATTTAAAGCGAGAGTCTGACTCCAAAACCTGTGCCTTAACTATTATGCTGGACTGCATTCTGTTATAGAGAGGAATTCGTTGAAGAGACTCACTTATTTTTTAACTTTTATGTTAAGTTCAGGTGTATATGTGCAGGTTTGTTGCATAGGTAAACTTGTGTCATGGGGGTTTCTTGTACAGATTATTTCATCACCCAAGTATGAAGCCTAGTACCCATTAGTTATTTTTCCTGATCTTCTCCTTCCTCCCACCTTCCACCTTCCAATAGGCCCCAGTGGAGATTCACTTATTTTGATGACCATCCAAGGGAGTGAATACTTCTAAAATGCCCAGATAACTCATTCAAAGATGGTCTATTTCCCATAAATTCCAAGGAAAATGTTCTGAAAAGGATCATGTGTATTTTGAGCTTCTTTTTAAAACCTAGGGAGAAAATACAATATCCCCATGATCCCTGCTTCTTTCTACTCTGTCTTTAGGTTTTTTCATATCAAAAATGCTGCAACCTGAAGGAACTCTGGGCTGTCGGATCTCCTAAATTTAACTTTTAAACCTAAGTTGTAATCAGCATAGCTTTACTCCCACATACCTTCTATTTTACCAGCCATATCTCCCCTCCAGCAGAGTATCAGCACCAGGGATGTTGGGCAGAAGCCCAGTAGGGGGTGGCCCCAGTGTTATTTATTGTTTTATAGGCTGCAGAATAAAGTATATGTGATAATTGATTTACTCTTCGTCAGCCTTTGAGGCTGATAACTCAATTAGCCTGTCAGATACTGACTGTGTATCTTTTTCAAAAAAATCCTCAAAGGTGATTTTGTATTTTGTATTAGATAAGGTGTGAGAGGTATTTTTTGCTTATATTGTATTAAAAGTTCTTATTTTCTCTGACGATCAGCAGCAGAACAAGCAGTGTTACCATAATAGTTGGGTTTTTTTCTTCTTTTTAATCTGTGTGCTTCAAGAGAGAATGATGATATTTTGAAGCAGGCACATAAGGAAATAAAAATTTAACAATCTCAGGTGAAATAATTTTGATTTCCAGTCCCCAGCTGAGAGAGAGAGAATATGTATTCAGCTGATTGGCAGGGCTGCTTGTGCTCAGTAGCACAAATTGCTGGATTAGAGAAAGGGCCAGAAGGGTGGTGAGGGAAAGTCTGGTCCATGGCTGAGTTATGATTTTAAGACAGTAGATTTTGATTGGGCATAATGATCAGAAAAAAACTTTTGAGTGCACAAACCTCTGCATACATATTATGTACATAATAAAACACAAAAATGTTATGGACACTAAATATTTTCTTTCTATACTCTATGGATGTCCTTTTATAACCACAGGGTACATATATCCCCATTTTGAAGACTACTGACCTAGGAGTTATACTTTGTGTGACCCTAGAAGAGTCTATTAGATGGTCTGGACCTCAGTTTCCCATATATAATATAAGAGGGATGGGCTAAAATACAGTTTCAAGTTTCATTTTATGCACGGGTATTCCTATGGACTTTAGCCTTTCTTTCAGGATGAGGTTTTAACTGCTGTTTTGGAGGCATTATGAGCCAGATTATTACTGAAGAATAAGGATAATATTAATTGTTGCAATTAGTAGCCCTCCTATTGCATTTGTACATTCACATTTATATGCATGATTATTTCAATGTGGCAAAAATACAATTTACTAAGTTAAGGCAGTATCACAATTTGTTTTCCCTATGTGCTTTACGTATTTCCACCCTATCTTTTAACAAGTGATGTTTTGTTAAACCACTCAGATATATTCATTGATACAGTGGTTTTAACAATGGAAATTTATTTGGCTCAGACCTAAAGCCTTTATATAAAAGTTAGTACCAAAATTCAATAAATAAAGCTATCGGTTATTTGGTTGTTTATTGGATAGAGATCAATATTGCCTTGTTAAAGGTAATCTGAGTGTTAGACCAGTTTGTATGATCCATCTTTGCTACAATTTCCACATGTTTAAAGCACAGAGATGTATAATTGTTAGTTTGTCTATAAAATCCTATGTATATATTAAATTGTCTAAAGTCATATAAAATCATACCCTCTAGACCATAGACAAATGGGAAATCTTCTGTGTATTTTGATATTTAAGCCAAGTTCATTCCACTTGTGTTATTGGGTAAGTTAATAGATCATTTCTTATTAGAGTTTTTGAGTTAGGGAGACTTAACCCTGCCTTTCACACATCCATTATGAAGACATTGTAAAAATACTTCAGGGTACCACAGGAAGTACAATTTTTTCTTTTTCTTTTTTTTTGAGACAAGGTCTTGCTCTGTTGCCCAGGCTGGAGTTCAGTGGCACACACACAGCTCACTGCAGCCTCAACTTCCTGGGCTCCAGTGATCCTCCCACCTCAGCCTCCCAAGTAGCTGGGGCTACAGGTATGTGTCACCACACCTGGTTGACTTTTAAATTTTTGTAGAGACAGGGTCTCACTGTGTTGCCCAGGCTAATCTTGAACTCTTGGGCTCAAGTAGTCCTTCTGCCTCAGCTTCCCAAAGTGCTGGGATTACAGGCATGAGTCACCACACCTGGCTAAAGTACAACTTTTTAGTCTTTGAAAAGTAAAACATATTTGGATCTATGAAATCAAGAAAACAACTTAATGTGTGTACCTCTCCCCTTCTATATCTATATAATAATATTGTTATAGTGTAGTTCCATTCAGTTATTTTAGTTTGGAATCATGCTTTTTATTGAAATTGTTGGTAATTTTATTTGTATGTATTAACTGAACATTGATTATTTTGCTACCCAGAATCTATTCACCTTTCTTTTTGAAACCACACTTTTATTTCCTTTGTAGATCACCCCTCCCCACACCCAGCCCACGTGCTTACCATAGGCATATGAGGTAGGCCTAAGCCAATTAGAGCCTTACATTTCCATAGGCTTCAATGATTAATTTAAGGGTGGGCACATTACCCAGTTAGAGCAAAAGAGATACAATGAAACTTCAGTGGACACACCTGGGAAAGAAGTTCGTGCTGTTGTCAATAAACTTGGAGTTATGTAAATATAACTTCTGGAGTTGCTACAGCCATCATGTGACCATGAAAGACAAATCTGAAATGGATGAGAGCAGAGGTTAAATTGAAAGAATGAGGGATGAGATCTTTAGCCATCCAATCAGACCTATTTAACTGGAATTTTTCATTATGTGATCCAATAACTTATCGTTTTGCTTAAGCCACTTAAGGGTTCTGTTTTCTGTCACTTGGAACTGGAAGAATCCATTTGATCATCCCTGTGCAATCTTAGGGGAAGGCATGGGCTTTGTATAACTACCCGTAGTGCCAAATCTTTCAACATGGAAGGAGAGAAAGAGACAGAGTGAACAAACATATTCAGGCGCTTTGGCCTGAATTAACGGAATGGGTAGAAGTGAGGCATATTTTTTCTCTTTAAATGGTAGTTTATTTCACGTTTGTTTAGTGATGCATTATGCCACGCTCTGTGCCAGACACGACATTCAGAGGTGAATGATAATTCAACTCTGAAGTTCACAATGAAGTGGGAGATTATTCCAATACAAGGAACACTTTCCAGGGTAACGGGAACATATCCAAGAGACATCTAACTAGGATATGAGACTTGAACTCTGCTCTATTGTGTCAATAGTAGGCAGCGAAGTGGAGAAGGCCATTGCAGGCAAAGGAAATAACATGAGATATATTCTTTAAGAGTCCCTGAGTTTTGAGTGCCTTATGTAGCTACTGGCAATTGTAGTAGGGATTTATAGTGGAAGAAAGTTTTGTGCATGACTAAGTAGTAGTACTTGGGTCACTGAGACAGCAATTAAAGGGCTGATACTCCTATTTATAAATGATACCAGTGCCTAGATCTATGTCTGAATGATAGAATGTGGATTTAGCTTCTCCCTAGAATCCAAACCATATTATCTGAATGCATGTTTGTGCCTCCTGCAGAGTGCCAGTGCAGCACAAATGATATACCAGAGACGTGATCTCTATCCTCAAGGAGGGCAAAATCTGAAATGCGCCACTTTGATAGGAAGCAGAAGAGTGGTGGGATCGAGGCTGCAAAATTTACATATTCATTGATATGTGACTGGGTATTTACTTCATTTGCAAATAATAGGTAAGTGCATTGTGCAGAATAGAAGGCACATGAAATTATGTAATTTGAATGGGAAATGGGGAAAATATCTGTAAATTACTAAGATGTGTGGTGTAGTAATCAGCTTTCTCTTCTGACAAAATATGGCACATCAACCCTCTCATTTATTATGCTCTATTACGTTCTTTTACCAGTCACGCTACAAGTTTCACACACTCCCACCATGAAACTGCCAGTCTTCCTACTCCATCACTGCATTGCTAGTGAAATGACTTTTAATGTGCACCGAGTGTCAGCAGTCTTCTAGGTGCCCTGGAGGAAGAAGACCTCTGCCTGGGCATTCATTCTAAATTAAGCATAAAAGTTAGTGCTCAATTGTGAAGATGTGCAAATTATAATTTCAAAATACCTTACCATCTTAAAGCTACGTTCCAACAGCTGGGTATTAATACTACCCAGATACTTGTTTACTTCAGTTATCTTACAAGCTGTCTACAATCAGGGTGGATGGTGTTTTAGAATAGAAAAAGAGCTTATAGCTGTAGATGATCAAATAATCAGTGGCCATTAAAACACACAGGGGAGTTGCGTTTTGGAATTTTAAAATGTTTGAATCAAAGGGAACATAAAAATAGTAATAGGGAAATACAGTCTGTTATGGTTCGCAGACTATAGATGTGCCTACATTTTGAAAAATCGGCCATTTAAAATCCAAATTTAATAAAACAAATGGGGTGATTAGTTGCATTTCTGAAGGGTTTTGTTGAGGGAGATTTGTTAAAATATGTATTGCATCTGCTGCTTTTAAATGTTGGCTTTAATAGATTATGAACTCTCTGGTGAGATGAATAGCAAGGAAACAAAGGTCAAGTATTTAATGTCAATTGAAAAATGAAGATGAACCATCTCTGCAATTATAATGTGTTAATGGGGAAAAAATTCAATTTACAATTAGCAAAGCACTGCATTCGAAGAAGCACTTGTGTTTTGAAGGCCATACAAGGGAATCCTGGCATGTGTAATAGCAAAAACATAACATGTTTAAACAGCTCATATAGTTAGTTAAGCCACGTTTTCCAAGACATGCCATAAGTAAAAGGGTTTATGAAAAAAAAAAGAGAGGGAGAGGGTAAGTGGGGTGGGAAGGCAAGAAGTGGGGAGAGATAATGCTTAGAAAATAATTTGGTTGATCACAGTAATGGGTATATGAGGGAGGATTGGGATCCTGAGAGAAGAGGTATTCTACCATTTGTCTGGCTGTCATGTGGACTTGGGAGCAAGAGTCATTCCCAGTGGAGTCCATTGATGTCCCTTTCCCTTGACAACTTACTAATTTATTTATTCTTACATATACATATTCCCTTATTCATTTGATGGACACATTTTGTGAGCAATTATGATATATAGGAACATAATAACTGGGGAACAAAGAATGTTGGGGGTAGGCAAAATATCAGGGCACAAATTTGGAGGATCCTTGCAGTAGTGCATAGAAGGAGCAATTGCATCTTCACTATTTACAGAGATATAGCTAAGCTTGGGCCACATTACTGAAGTCTTGAAGACATCCAATTGTACTTGCGCATCATGAAAGTCTCATTAGGGAAAAAATGCCTTTGGATGCTAAGCTGGAAAATGAAGACAATGTTGCTCTCTTGGCTTTGACACTAAGTTAGATGTTTGACCTTGGACCAACACTTAAGCTTTCTGTGCCTCAGTCTCCTTGTCTAAAAAAGAGGATAATTCTGTAATGCTGCTTGCCATGGCCTCACATGGATGAACTCAGGATTAATTAGATTAAAGAAGTGATCAGTGAAGCACATGAAAGCTCCTCAGAGGTACTAAGTGAGCAGGACGAATAACAATTGGAATGTTAGCTATAGAGCTGTAATTGGAGTTTGTTTTAAATAGGTCACTTCCTGAAAACCAGGGCAAATGGTACTTAAAAAAATAAACTTTGTTTTACAATAGTTTTAGATTTATAGAACGATTAAGATAGTACAGAGTTCCCATATACCCTACACCCACTTTTTCCTGTTGTTAATATCTTACATAATATGGTATATTTGTAGAATATATTAATGAACCAATATTTATGCATTATCATTGAGCAAATTCTGCATATCATTTAGATTTCCTTAGTTTTTACCTAACGCTCTTTTTCTGTTCCAGGATTACATCCAGGATAATACATTTCATTTAACCATCGTGTCTATGTAGGATCCTCTTGCTGTGCTGACTTCTCAGACTTTTCTTATTTTTTTATGACCTTGACATTTTAAAGATTATGGTAAAATACACATAACATAAAATGTACCATCTTAACTGTTTTTAAGGATACAGTTCATTGGCAGTAAGTACATTCACACTGTTGTACAACCATCACCGCCATCCATCTCCAGAACTCTTTTAATCTTGCTAAACTGAAACTCTATATCCACTAAGCAATAAGTCACTATCCACCCTCCCCCTACCCACTGGTAGCTACCATTCTACTGTTTCTATAAATATGACTACTCTAGGTACGTCATATAAGTGGGATCATACAATATTTATCCTTTTGTGACTAACTTATTTCACTTAACACCATCAAGGTTTATCAATATTGTACCAGGTGTCCAAATTTCTTCCTTTTTAAAGCTAAGTAATATTTCGTTGCATTTATATACCACATTTTGTTCATTCATTCATCTGTGGATGAACACTTGGGTTGCTTCCACTCCTTGGTTATTGTGAACAGTACTGCTATGAATATGGGTGTACAAATATCTCTTTGAGACTCTGCTTTCAATTATTATTATTATTATTATTATTATTATTATTATTATTATTATTATTATTTTGAGACAGAGTCTCCCTCTGTCACCCAGGCTGGAATGCAGTAGTGTAATCTCACCTCACTGCAACCTCGGCCTCCCCGGTTCAAGCAATTCTTGTGCCTCAGCCTCCTGAGTAGCTGGGATTACAGGCTCCCGCCACCATGCCCAGCTAATTTTTTTTTTGTATTTTTAGTAGAGACGGCGTTTCACCATGTTGGCCAGGCTGGCCTCAAACTCGTGGCCTCAAGTGATCCGTGTACCTTGGCCTCCCAACTTACTGGTCTGCTTTCAATTCTTTTGGAGCTATACCAAGAAGTGGAGTTGCTGCATCATATGGTAATTCTACTTTTAATATTTTGAGAAACCACCATACTATTTTCTATAGCAGCTGTACCATTTTACATTCTTACCAACAATGCACAAGGTTGTACATATTGTTGCCAACACTTGTTTTTTTTTTATTTTTGATAGTAACTATCCTAATGGGTATGAGGTATTATATCACTAGCATTTCCCTAATGATTAGTAATATTAAGCATCTTTTCATGTGCATTTTGGCCATTTGTATATCTTCTTTGGAGATATGTTTATTTAAGTTGTTTGCCCATTTTATAATCAAGTTGTTTGATTTTTGTTGTTGAGTTAGATGAGTTCTTTACACATTCTAGGTGTTAGCCCCTCGGAGATCTTTAATTCAGAAAAGAATTTCTATGCAATGAAAAGAGAGAAAAGTAAAGAGTAAGTAAATGAATGAATTCATATTGGCTTCCCATCGAGCAGATCTCTGATTCATAAGAATTATCTCCAATATACTTCCTAAATATTTAATTTTTTCTTTTTTAAAATATAAAACTTTGCACACACCTGTAGTCCCAGCTACTAGGGAGGTTGAGGCAGGAGGATCGCTTGAGTCTGGGATGTCAAGGCTGCAGTGAGCTGTGATCCTGCCACTGCATTCCAGCCTGGATGACAGAGTGAGACTCCGTCTCAAATAATATATATATATATATATAAATATATATGTTATTGTGAACAGTAGTGCTATGAATATGGGTGTACAGATATCTCTTTGAGACTCTGCTTTCAATTATTATTTATTATTATTTATATATATAAAATTTGAGATATATAGATTATTATTTGAGATATATATATAATTTTTACCAGCCAATTAAAATGGATTTTTACTTACTAAGCAGGTAGACTGGGGCTACCTTGGATTTTTACTTACTAAGCAGGTAGACTGGGGCTACCTTTCCTAAAAATCACTTCCTTATCCATGAACTCAAGTGACCAGATGCCTTCAAACCAAGTTTCAAATTGCCCAAATGTCTTCTCAGGAGAGAAAAATTTGTCCCTGTGAAGCAGGCAGGCAGCTCAGGGGACAGATGGATGCCAGGGAGTGTCCCTAGAGATGATAATTGTAACCCATCCTAACATAACCCTTCTCTTCCTTTATGCCCTCTCTCAAACCACTTATCTTCTAATTTCCATTGACTTCTTCTCCCTTTTTAAAGGATGAAACCACCCAACTGATGCATCTAAAGTACTAGTGGCAGAACTGGGCTTAGGCATATAGCTCATAACTTGTTATTAGGAAGATATAATAGATAGAAATGTGTTTTTTGACAGAATTTGAAGATGAGGAAGAAAATTATAGGGAGGCTTTAAGTGTTCCTAGCTTTCAGCTTCCCTTCTAGGAACCATCTGATGGTCTGGGTTCATGTGCTTGGAAGCACTAAGTGCAGCATCTCCACACTGAGCAGGCTGATGTTTGCATCGTCTTCCAGGTACAAACAGTCTCCTCACCACTGAGGGGCACTATCAGATGTAATTGGGTCTAGCAGGAATAAGACCTAGGAAGAAAGAACAGATAGAAAAGAGGTACACAAGATGAAACATAGCATTCTACCACTAATGGGGATTAGGGGTTTGAATAGTGCCTAGGGCATCCTGCTTTTTCAGAATATTTACAAAGAATGGAATGTCTAGAATAATGAAGCCTGACATAGTGCTTGGTGCTGTATACATAATGTCTCACTTAATACTCTCAACCCAATGAAGTATGTACTGTTATTATCATCTCCATTTTAAAAAGGAAGGAACTAGGCACAAGGAAGTTACATAGCTTGTCCAAGATAATACAGGAAAAATTAGGGACCAGGTCACATTTGTCTTATTCCATAACTCTTGCTTCTAACCCAACCATTTGTTTGGCTTAATGAGTGGTGAGTTAAAAATGTGAGCAATGATGTGAAGGCAGAAAAATGTGGTCTGCAACATGGGAGGTACAAAGTGGGGGTGGGGAAGTATAGTACCAGAAAAAAAAATAACTAAAGTTGGTTCAGAGAGAGAAGAGTTAGATGGTTATTAAGGAAACCCCTGGAAGAAAATATTTGGCCCCTGATGTCTCAGTAACTCCTATATCTTCAATGTGAAAGAAGACTAAATGAAATTGATAAAAATGATTTTTTCATTTCAAAATGAGCATAAAGGTGTTCTTCTCCCTCTAATTAGTACAGATTAATTAGATGTAAACTATAGTCCACAGGCCAAGAAACAAATTCAGGTAGGGATATATAGGTGGATTAAAAAAACACCAAAATATGAATATCAAACAAATCCTAAGAAAAACAGTACTTACACATTGCAGAATTGCTTACCTTATGTTATTTCTGGGGATACCTAAGCCATATCTGTTTATTCAGCCACTGATAGCCTCTGAAAAGTAAAAGCCACTTTTACAAATCCGGGGTAACACTGGTGTCTCTGTAATCACAGGACACAGATCAAGCTAGAGTTTGTTACTCTGATATCTCTCTGTCACAGAAATATGGCCCCATATGCAAGGACTGAGTAAGCTAGTTGCCAGAATGGCTAGGAAGGGGGTGTCAGTTTCAGCCATGGTATTCTTGTAGTATTATTTAGGCTCTGTGGGCTGCCACGTTCCAACAGGTCTCACTAGGCAGTGGTTGTGTATTTTTGTTGCAGGATTACTTGTAACACCATTTCATTTCTAAGACTTGATGTTCTCCCTCTCTATTTCTATAGAGCATTGGAAATTGGCAAAAATAAAAAATAATAATATAGCCAATTCGATCCAAGCTGACAACATGTTCCTATTTTTCTCCATCTGCCATGAATTTTATATTCTGACAAGGGCTTGACCTTTGGAGAAGCAGACCTCTGTTGGGTTACTTCTTTGGTACATTTTTATCTTCCAGGTATTTTGGAAACTATTTACCTGTGCTAATAATTTGCCATCCAAATAGGTCAGTGCTTCACTGACTTATTATTATTTGTGTATTCTAAGGAAGCCTATTTGGTATGAACAGACTCATTCTTACTTTTAGAGTTTCTTATTCTATCAGAATTCAAATTAACAGAACTTCTATATCATTTGCAATGTGTCAAAATGAAATGGAGTCCCTTGAGAAGTTTCCCAAAAATGGTATAGTAGGAAACCTCAAAGCAAAGCTTTCTACTTTACTTAGTTTTATTTTTTTTTTTGTTAGTCAGAGAGACTCCTATTTACTGCTTTAATTGACTTTTTTCATTTTTTTAAACCTCATTGAGCCACACCTTATAGAGCTACAGGTAACATTATTAAACACTTAATGTGAGACAGACATTGTATTACAGTGTTTTGCATGCACTATCTTTATAATATCCCTAGTATATTTTTAGCTCCACTTTACAGATGAGGAAATTGGGGTTCACGGTACTTAAGAAACTCTCCTGAAGGCCTGCAGCTAGTGATATGGAAGCTAAGATTCAAAACCTGTCCATCTGACTTTGAAGCAGATGTTTTTAAACAGTTGACTGATATTAGCTAGTGTATTGGCTAAGTTACTGTAACTTGGAGACCCCAAAATATAGTGGTTTAAATAATATAGAAATTTCTTTCTCTTTGATTTCACAGTCTGTATAGAGTAGCTCTGATCTATGAGATCATTTAGGGGCCCAGATGCCTTCCATCTTATGACTCCACCATGATTTAGGAATGCCCCTCATCTGCATAGTTAAAACTGGATCACTGTTGCATCTGCATTCCAGCCCATGGGAAGGAAAGAAGAAAGAGAGGTTATGGAGGTCAAGTATTTTCATTTCTAAGAATGTGAAGCAGAAGATGCTCACATCAATTCTGCTTATATCCTTTTGGCTAGTCACATAGTCACACCTAGCTGCAAGAAAAGCTGGCAAATGTAGTCTCTAAATAGGCAGGCGTGTGTCTAGCCAGAATGCTGTGGTCCAAATGTTGGTTTTCCCCCGAAATTCACATGTTGGAACCTAATACCAAATAAGATAGTATTAAGAAGTGGGGGCATTTGAGAATTGATTAAGTCATGAGGGCTCCAACCTCACAAGTGGGATTAGTGCCCTTATAAAAGAGGTTCAAGGGAGCACCCTTGCCCCTTCTGCCATGTGAGGATACAGCAAGAAGGCTCCATCTCTGAAGCGGAGAGCAAGCCCTCACCAGACACTGAATCTGCTGGCACCTTGATCTTGGATTTCTCAGCCTTCAGAACTGTGAGCAATAAATTTCGACTGTGTATACATTACCCTGTCTGTGGTATTTTGTTATGGCAGCTCGGATGAATGAAGACACAGAACTTGGGAGGGGCTTCTATTACTAAAAGGAAGGAGGAGAGAACAAATTTTAAGGGGCAACTGGTAGTCCACCATACCACCATAGTGTCTGGTGTTATTTATCATCATCCCCTTCCAGAATACAAAAAGTCAAGTAGAGGGCATCAGTAGGAGACTATCTTCTGTAGAAAAGAGAATGATCTGGTGTCAGATACTCTGGACATTGCAGGTAATGTTATAAAGGTTCAGGGATGGAAGCTTTAAATAGCACCTGTGTTGACTTAAATATTCATGCTAATATTCACTTAGTTTTATATCCCTTCCTGAGAAGTTAGGTTTAGGGGACATTTATTATTTTAGTATTTATACAGTAGTCAAACTTTTGTTCTGTCTACAGCCATTTTTTCAGTTGTTACCATTATAATATTGATAACCTGAACCATCAAGTTAATCCTTTTCTTTAGGCTTTTATTCTTGTAAATATTCATCAGCTCAGCATTTTCTTTGCTGAGCACCTTATTCAACTAGAAAGGAGAATGTTGCCCCCTGGAAATATCAGCAATGATTTAGATGTGATCGTTCTCAGATTTCCTCATGTCTGTGTCTCAGTGTGCATAAATATACAGGCTAACTGTTGCTGAGGCAAAGGGTTGGAGATAGATTCCATGGTTTATAGCAACCCTATTTGAGTTGCAAATATAAATGTTGTATAGATGCTCTCCCATAGTGGTGTTAGAGTCTGTGGATTTACAGAAGAGAGTTCTTGACCTCACAGGAGAATATGCGGTAAAGAGTGTTCTAGGAGTAGTTAGTAGTAGCTTTTCTGGGCTTTCTTTAGGAAAATTTAATGCTGGGATTTGGGCATTAAAAGTTCCTCCACAGTTTGGTGCAAGTGCAAATACTTCTTTAAGGGAATTTTTAAAAGCCACCCAAAGAATTGGATTGTGGAGGAAATCAAAGAATGTTAACATAGAAGCAGTAGAAAATGTTTCTCTATGTGAGTTCTCATTTGAATGTAGATGTGAGTGGGTGGGCAGGTAGGTACTTTATGTAATCTGATAGGAGGAGAAATTTAGAGGTGGTAGACTTGACAAGTATCCCTCTGGTTCTCCAGAACTTTAGGATGACATGTTAGACATTTTCTTGAAAGTTAGTGAGAGGTGTTTCCTCTGCAAACAGATCGCTGAAAGTGACCAGTTTCTAGATGTAGAAACCATCCCAGTTGCCCAGGTTTATCTCTATAAACCAGAATCAACACCAACCGACTCTTGTCTTAGCCCAAGGGAACAAGAAGGTATTCTGCTTACCTGTTTCCCACCACAAGACCAATTTTAGAATTCATTTTTATTTATCTCAATACAGCTGCCTTTTTAATTGGCAATGATCTCTATTGAATTTCTAACTTATGCTGAAACGGTGGCTGCTGGTGGCTGTTTGTATGAGGTATTTGGTATTTTATTTTGGCTTAAATCTGTTTTTATTGCTCAAATATTGTCAGCAGATGCATTATTTCTACCGGAATTTCCACTGCTCAGTGTACAGGTTATCTCCACTTTGACAGCTCTGTATCTTCAATGTCAGGTACACTGCTCCCAAGTCATACTAGATTTACACATTCTATTATACTTCTATTGAACAGCTCTTAATCTGCTCAGAAGAAAACATGCTACAACCAGCAAATTTTATCCTCTTGCATTTAATGGGAACCTTTCTTGGCAAGGATGGACAGTTGTATTTGAACCGTTCCAACAAGATCTGGCCAGTTTTGGAAAGATTTTGAAGGAGTTAACCCTGTAACAGCCAAACTCTGGTTGATACTTTAATATTGCCTGAACACCCAAGTTCTAACCCTGCTCTATTTACTGAGTTACTCCCTCCCCCAGCTGCCAATAATTCCTAGGAACCTTGCCTAATATAATCCCTGTTTTAGTCACTATAAGTTAGGTTTGATTTACAATGGAATTTCATGCTGAAATTGGGTGGCAAGATGCACATGTATTTCTTGGGATAACTTTACTGCATAATCTTATATTGATTGTATTTCAAAGGAAGTGTTTTCAATTGTGCTACTCTTAGCTTCATGCAGCAGTGGGTTGTGTTATAATGGGGTTATTCCACATTTATTGGCTGAGTTTGTCTCTGGAGAGATGTGTTTGAAATTAAGAGGAGGTGGGGCAGAGTTTTCTTCTACAGTTTGCATTCTGAGGTAGGTAATATCTGATATTCAGGCCAGTTCATTTTTCTTATTGTTTCTTCTCTCCTAAGACACTGTGAATATAAAGTAACAAGAGACAGGACAGAGGCTATTGCTAGTCTCCTCATTTGTATGATGGGAATAATAATGCTTACCTTGCAGAGATGTGATGATGATAAAATGAATATAAAGATTGTAAACATGTTCAATATATAGTTAATGCTGGTGGAAGCTTCTGAGTAGAAGGTAGACTCTAGGATTATCCACACATAACCCTTCATGTATTTTCTGATCTCCTCCACTGAGATCTGTCCTTTGAATACTATCTCTTTAAGTATGTATGCTGGGGTATTAAGTCTTTTTCTTTACTGTAGAGTTATCTAGTGTGTCTTTTTATATCTTCTTTGACATCTTTATCTACTGAAAAATCTCTAAACATCTGTAACTGTGCTCAGAAACCTCTTATCCCTGAAGACCCCCAGAAGGGCTAAGCGGTAACCAGAGCAGAGGCAGGAGAAGAAGTTGTAAGAAAGAGGAAGAGGACAAAAAAAGGAAACTCAATGTTTATGTTGACAAATCAGCTTATTTATCAAGCATCTTTTTTATGTCCAGCACTATGCTAGAGGTGGAGGAGGTGCTCTGGACTTCAAGGATTATCGCTCTTTCTTTTGTTTTTTTGAAACAGTCTGACTCTGTTGCCCAGGCTGGAGTCAGTGGTGCAATCACAGCTCACTGCAACCTCAACCTCCCGGGCTCAAGTGATCCTCCCACCTCAGCCTCCCAAGTAGCTGGGACCACAGGCGTGCACTACCACACCTGGGTAATTAAAAAAAAAATTTGGTAGAGACACGGGATTTCTCTATTTTGCCCAGACTGGTCTCAAACTCCTGGACTCAAGCAATCCTTGTGCCTTGGCCTCCCAAAGTGCTGGGATTATAGGCTTGAGTTGCCATGCCGTGCCTGGCCTCTCTTTTTTGAAGTGTTAAGTATTTTAGACTTGAAAATAATCAGATAATAGCCATCAAGTAATATAAAAACAAGTCCTAAGGCAGGCCATTTTTGCTTCAATTATAATTTCCAGGTATAACACCCCCATGTTAATTTAGCCTATGTTGGTGTTTTCTCTGGTGTGGGAAGGTTATTTCAAGTATTGTAAGATAGTTGGGCACTGTCTATCTTCTCCCTCCTTATTCAGAGTCTTCCTTCTGCCCTCAGTTTTCTGACCTTGCATCTGCCTTCAGTTTTGCAGTCCTAACTCCTTTTTTCCCCTTATCAACCCCCACTGCTAGCATTTTAAATGCCATTGACTTTATAAGGTGTCCCTTCCTATAGCTCAGCAGTTCTACCTTGTTGCAGCTGCTATATAGCACTGACCTCTTATCTCTTTCAAAAGGAAAGATGAATCTAAGAAGCGACTGTGGCAAAGCAAACTATTCAGAAACTGGCTTGATGCTATCTCTGAGAGAGGTTTGCTTAGTTTGCAGAAGCAAATGTCGTGCATGCTTCCATGTTGCTTAGTGTGATTTGTCACTTGGGATTCTCAAGCATTTGATATGAGGCCCTGACTGGCTTAGCTCCTCATCAGAATGCACTACAATTTGTTCACTTCAAACCCACCAGGAATAGAGGGCATTCACTTTGACATCTGCTCTTCAGAAGCAGCCCATTAATACTGTACTTGATGTGTCAGGTTCTTAAAGAAATACTTTTAGTTCTTTTATCCACAATCAGATGACCTGGTTCAAGGTCAGTGCCAACCCTAAGCTGTTTTTCTTTTTGCTTTTCCCTTTTGACAGTCATTATATGCCTTTGCCTGTTTGTAATCCTCAGAGCCTCTCAGCTCAGGCACTGGTAAGTGTGGTGCAAAGATTGAGGTGGGACCAACATTATTGGCATCCCCGGATTTTGGCCACTCTCAGAGGTACCTCAGTAAGCTACCCAGTGATCTCATATCCTCTCTTCCTTCCTCAATCTGTATCTGTTCCAAACTGCTTCATTCCCACTGCTGTACATGGCTTCTAATATAGAAATTATCATATAGTTAAAACCTATCATATGCCAGGTGCTAAGCCAAATATTGTGCATGTATTATATGTACATATATTATCTCATTGAATTCCTGTAGAACCTCTGCGAGGAAGGTGGAAACTCAGGCTCTGAGAGACTAAGCAACCTGCCCAAGGTCATATAGCTGGGCAATGTAGAATGCAGGGCTGCTAATAGCTTAACAACTTAACCCCTTCTGGACTAGTACTCTTTATAAAGATAATCACTTGTTTATTATTTTCAGGCAACAAACACTTATTGCACATTATTTTGTGACTGCCACTATGCTAGGCATTTTGGATATATTAATAGATTAAAAATACAGTAGCTACTCTCATAGGTATCAAATAAGCTAGGGGAACGAGACAAACAGACAAATGAAATGCCATAAAAATATAAGATTTGAGGTGCTAAGGAAACCCAGAGGGGAACTTAACCCAGACCATGAAGGTTATGTACCCTATGTTGCCTCGCAGGATGAGTAAGAATTCCCTCTCTCATTCTCATTCTCATTCATATTCTCTCTCTCTCTCTCTCTCTCTCTCTCTCTCTCTCTCTCTCTCTCTCTCTCTCTCTCTCTCTCGTATCCCTATGTTGGATAGGTCCTTCTCCTTCCTTTGTACTTTTTTGTGTATCTCAGTAATAGCACTTATTTATTCTTTTCATTCACTTAACAATAGTTTGAGTACCCACTTTGTGCCAGGCAACGTTTTCAGCACTGGGAACAGAGCAGTGAACAAAACAAAGTTCTGCCCCTCTTGGATTTTACTTTCTAGTATGGAGATAGACAGGAAACTAATAGATAAATGGATATGGAATAAAATGTCAGGTTGTTAAAAGTAACATGAAGGAAAATAGATTGAGAAGCTGGAGAATGACAGAAGGTGCTATCTTATAGGGAAGACTTCTTTGAGAGGTGACGCTTCCCATGCAGTACTGTGATTATGTGTTTACATTTCTGGCTCGCCCTTGATACTCCGTACCTCTGGAGGTAATGGGCTAAGTCTTTACTTTGTAGCCCCAGACAAGAGAATGTAGGAGTTTGGGGGTATCAGCCAAGGCATAGTTGAAATGATGAGTCAGTGAGTCTACAGATGTCAAGAATGAAGAACAGATGATGGGGGAGGTAAGGGAGTGAGGGAGCTAGAATGCTGGGAGATTATTGTCAGAGAAGAGGAGATTTACATTTCAGATTTAAAAGATTGAACAATTCCTGATGATTCTGTGGTACACTTACATGTGGGAATGACTGGGTACAGTAAGGGGAAGCCCACTGAGTCATGTAGCTCAAGAACCTGTGAGGCTAGCACAGTTGTTCTTAAACTTGGGCATACATTAAAATCAACTAGAGAGCTTTCAAAATTGCAGCATGAGATCTTGCCTTAGGAGATTCTGATTCAGGAGCTCTGAATAGGTTTCAGAAAAGGGATATATATATATTTTTAAATAAGTTCCAAAGGAGTTTTAGATGCACAGAGCCAAGGTTCAGAATCACTGGACAAGGATGTTAGAAGTTTGATTCATGTGGGTTTTAAAGCCATGAAAGATTATGTCAGGACTGAGTGGAAAGGAGGCCTATAAGCCAGGTGTAATGGTCCTCAATGCATCTTGGAACTGACCAGAAATCAGTAGATGGCTGTGACAAGGAGGGAGAGAGTGTGGTGGAACACAGGGGATGATTTTGGAAAAAGAAGAGTTTTACACAAGGATGGAGAAGTGATTAAAGGCTTTCACCAATTCAGGGCTATGTAGAAATTTAGGCATCAGTATGCAGTTTGGGGTACTTTGCATGGAAGAAAAGTTCTGGCATTAGTCTGCTTAGCAGATCTGACATCATAACAGTTAGGCATGATCTGCTCCACCTAGATGTGCTGTCAGCCTTGGGCTTAGGAGACAAAGTCCTCAGCTGCATTTATGAATTTCAGAGAGACACTGGACAAGTAACTTGAGCAAACTTCTCTAAAGTGGGCCTGCCTTTAGGGAAGAATATATAGGTAAAGCCTAGAGCATTTCTCTGAGAGTTTTTGGAACTAGTACTATACATAACAACTAACTAGAATCATTGGTTCAGCGTCAATTATATGCAAAGTATTAATCAACTATATGCAAAGTACTCATCAACTATATGCAAAGTACTGAGAAAGAAGTTACTTTCTCCTGAAAGCAGGTTGTGGGGCAAATAGCGGCTATTTGATAATAATACTGGTTCATTGGGTTCTGAATATTTGAAGTTTCTGATATATCGAATCATTTTGGTTTTGAAGTAAAGATTACCAAGAGCTTTCACTCAGCCTGTGATTTTCCCTAGGCAGGTGAGACTTCCAATCTTAATAGGGCTTACTTAAATGATGCAAAAGGCATGCACATGAACCAGTAATTTTTATTAATAACATTATCATCATTGTAATTACTTGCAATCTTGGAAAGATCCTGGGGTTATAATGTAAGAAAAGCCTGTATTTGATTTCTGGCTCTTGATTCTTAGTGTTGTGCCCCATTAGGCAGCATAGGGAATGCCTCTGAGTTCTAATCCCCTCCTCTGTTAAACTGAAAATAATAATAATAGTTTCTTTATGCTATTGTGAGAAGTAAATTAGATAATATATGTAAATGCATGAAGCATATATTAAGTGGCTCAATAAAAGCCGCCTTTCTTCTCAGCTTTTCTTTAGACACCTTTTCCAATCTCACTGTAGCAAGTAAAAATTATTAAAATTGGAACCACAAATCTTTTTAAAAAATCATTTCAACTTTTAAGATTCAGGGGGTACATGTACAGGTTTGTTACTTGGGGCGTATTGCATGATGCTGAAGTTTGGAATACAAATGATCCCATTACCATTGTAGTGAGCATAGTATCCAATAGTTAGTTTTTCAACTCTTGCCCTCATCCCTCCCTCTTCCTTCAAGTAGTCTCCAGTGTCTATTTTGCCATCTTTATGCCCATGAGCACCCAATATTTAGTTCCCACTTATAAATGAGAACATGAGGTAGTTGGTTTTCTGTGGAAATATAAATCTGACTCTGCTTGATGTGTTTAGAAATTGTTATCCCCTGTCAATGGGATAAGTTAGTCTCTAGCTTATACAGTATATGCATTTGTTACTTGCCTGCAGTGGAATATATTTGAAAATGGATCACCAATTGATAGTTAGACTGTTGACTTCTGGAATGAAATGTGAGAAAATATAACCACTCAAGCTACATTCTTCTATTATTTGCTAAATATCCAAATTGTTACCATAAGGGAGAAATATGCCTCATGAATTGCCATGTGACTTTGGCATATGACTGTGGTAATCTCATTTTTAAGAACTGCATGTAAATTTGAAGTAAGAAATTCTAGTTTCAATTAAAAACAAACTGAGCTGAAATATCCAAAATTCACTGGCTATGAGCTTATCTTTAACAGTTACTAATTTATATGGCCAAGAGGGGTTGTATTTGCAAGGCCATCCCCTTAAGAGCTGAGGTTAAACAAGTGAGTGGCATGGGCTATAAATGAATTGAAAATTGCCTTCTGTTCCAGCCCAGTGCAATGGTTTGTGTTTTGTAATAAGCCCTAGTTGGTGAGGTAACTCATGTCACCAGGAGGAGCTGTCCACAGACTGCTTGATTTGTCACTGCTGTCTGAAGGACACAACAGGCTGGGGAAGCTGGCACTCTGCAGAATTTTTATGGTGCTGCATGCATGCATTGGTCTCCCTTATCAAGCTGTAATTCAATAATAAATACAAAAAAATTTTTGTTTAAATAAATCTAGGGTTGTGACACAACCTGACCAAAGCTAGGAGAGTTAATGCTGATGCTGGGATATTAACTTAGCCAGGGAGCAGTTTGGGTGAGGGGAAGAAAAAGATGGATGCTGGGAGAGAGTCTCTATTTGTGATAGAGTATTCATCTGCATGGCTGTTTTTCTGGAATGCTTTGGTCTGTGCCATTGGCTCAATGTAGTCATTTTTCAACTTGGTGTCTTTTTGTTCTTCACGCCCTCACCCTCCTTTTTAAAGAGAGACCAAAGAGCATGAAGGGTGACGAGAACCACTACAAGAATTTTGTTGCGATAAGCAGAAGCCAGCCTTATAGAGTGGGTTCTGCCATTTTCTCCCAGAATGGTGAATGGTTACAAGAAAATTACTGGGACAGGTAATTTGGGGAATGGATGGATTTGTGAAACATTTTTTTTTTTCACAAAGAAAACTGCTTTTTATTTTTTGTTATTATAAAAGTAATATGTGTTCACTCAAAAAAAACCTTCAAGCAGTACAGAAAAGTATAAAGAAACCATAAAAATCACCTATTATAATTTTCCCCCTCATATCAGAGATAACATCTGTTAACATTTTGGTATATCTCCTTTTGTCTCTTCCTGTTACCTTTTTCACAGTGGTTTATTAGGAGAAATTTCTAGAAATGTAATTCACATTTTAGGAACTTGTGATTCCTATATAAAAGTGATCCTCCACAAGACAGTGCTGATTTCCACTCCAGCACCACTGTGTGAAAGTACAGAAGGAAGCCCATGGTCACAATTTATTGCATAATGACCACGTGCCAGTCACTGCTCTAAGTACTTTGTAAATATTAACTCATATCATCCTCATAACAACCCTATGAGATGGGTACTACTAGCATTCCCATTTTACAGTCAGGGAAACTGAGGTTTAGAAAGGCTACACAGCTAGTCATGAGACTGAACCAGAAGGTTGATCAGGCTTTGGTATAGGAGAAAGAAATAGCTTCTCTCTCTCTCCCTCTGCCTTGCCTGCCCTGCCTTGCCCTGCCCTTCCCTTCCCTGCCCTTCCCTTCCCTCTCCCTCCTCTCTCCACCCCCACCCCTCCCCCATCTGTTTACCTCAAGGCCCAGGGAGAAACAACCAATGAAGGAAGAAGTAGCAGCCTAGTGGATAAGCAGAGAGCCAGAGGAGTCCCAAGCAGCTGTGAATCTTTAAATTTAGGAGTTCTGGGCAAAGATGTCCTTGCATTATTTTCGTTCCTAAATGAGCAGAACAGAACTTCCTCTCCAGTGCTGGGCTTTGTGAGCTGAATTTGAACCAACAATGAGAGGGAAAATAGCAACAGATATAGATACACTTATGTTTGTGTGCAAACACACACATATACCCATGGCAAGGAGTGTCCCTCTGTGGCTCTGATTTCTACTCAGAATCAGAACACCAGGAGAAATGATGATCTTTGTCAAATGAGGTGCTCCCTTAGTTTCCCAGCATTAAACTAGAGTGGGTATAGATAAATGTTCATAAATGCAGTGATGGAGAGAGAATTGAAAGTCTCTTATTATATTCCAGAATAATTTTGTATGAAGTAGCAGAACATGTGAATAACTTTCTGTGTGACCTTAGGCTACTCCCTTCCTCTTACTGAACCTCAGTTTCCTCCCCTCTAAAAGAGACCATAGAACTAATGTATTTGAGTGTTAAGAACCCTATCTCTACTTTAAACAGTTCCTAACTGATTTGACTTTGGGTTTTCTTCTCCTGGACCACTCTTATTTTTTATTTTTTTATGCCTTTTCGGGGCTACTTGATCTGTTATTGGTCTGCTGTTGCTAGAAATTGTTCTGTGGATGCTAAGAAGGTGAGTTGCTTCATATAGTCTATCAAGTGAGAACAATTAGGAAGGCCCCTATGGTCCTAGAAGACAGCTTATCATAGTATCTTTGAGATTTTACTCAAACCTTTACTTTAGAACTATTGCCTCTTTTAGAGGGGAGGAAACTGAGGTTCAGAAAGAGGAAGGGACTAGCCTAACAGAAAGTTATTCACATGCTCTGCTACTTCATAAGTAGCAGATCTTACTCTAGTAAGATGATTCAAGTGTCTCATTTTTATAAAAATGATTGGGGCACAACGATATTATGTGATTTTTCCCCAAAGTAACATATCTAATTAGTAGCAAGGGCAGGATAGACCCCAGATCGCTTCACTGTCTAGTAAGGTTTCCCAAAGTGTATTCCACTTAACACAAGTCCCTCAATATACTCTGGGTGGAGATCGGGGCATGAGGAAGAGGATTCTGAGGTCAAATAAGTTTGGGAAATGCCGCCCTGTCTAAGGAAGCCACAATGTGCATTGAAGACTCTGAGAAATATAGAGTAAGGGAACATATCACTAATATTGTTATAGCATTTATGGCTTTCAGAGCACTTTCATAGCCATTTTTAGTTGTGTACTAGAAGAGACAAAGCAAAAATGCATATAAAGTAGATCATGGGATTGAAAAGGGGATAAGTGTAGCCATATAAACAAAGGGTGGCTGACAGTTGTGGAGGTTCAGCAAAGAGTCCTGCAGTTATTAGAATAAAACTGATGATTTTGGGCCTGGTCACAGTAATCAGATTGCTGAATCTTCATTTTATTTGAATTTATTTAAAGGATAACTCCAAAATCCTGCAAAGAGAAAGGAAAAAAAATTCTTAAGATATTTATAGTATTAGGGGCTTTTAAAATGGATTTCCATCCATTGATAAAGAAATAAATACCCAAAAGAAGCAAGACCAGAAAGTAACTATTACTAAGCTGTCTTGTATTATTTCTCTTGGTCAAAATTTATTAAAAGTTTGAAAGCTCATTGTCCCATTAAATGTTGGTGTTAAGACTTCAGTTCTTTATTCAGAATGATTGGAGGTTATATTTTACACTTAACATTTTCCAGCTGGGGAACTGAGGTCACGACAAGAATGGCCACTCAAGAATTCTGTTGGTCCAGCAGTTAAGGTCATATATGGGCTTCTTTTGTGGCTCAGGCAGTAGACTGCCATTGTTTTCATATTTCAATTTGATTTTCTTGTTCATAATTCAAGTTGGGAGTGAACTAAGTGGTATATTTTCTCCATAAGCCCATTGAGAGGCTGAGAATCTGCTTTTCTGCCTCTAGATTCTAAGTTAAGAAGAACAAGGGCAGGGTGCATGTCATTCCTCTTCACCATTATATCACCAGTGGATAGCATGGGACCTGGAACACCATATATGTTTAGGATATAATTATTGAATAAATAAGTGTTCTGTAGAGAAAGGAAAGTGGATCAAGGTGGAAATCATGTACCTATTTGTAGTCTACTCAAAGTATACAAGCAATGTTTGTTGTTGATGATGTGTTTTTCTCATGATAATTGGGTTGTATTTGCAAGACCTCACTTATGGAAGCAAATTAATTGCTATTTAGGTTCTCTGACTGCTATTTGGGTAGGTGGCACAGTTGGATGATAGAAATTATAGTTTTTCTAACCAGAATCTCTTAGTGACAACGTATATTAGATCAGTGGGTTTCTAGTGAATTGGAGTAGAGGTAAAGTAATATCCTATATTTGGATTTTCGAAACAACACCTATTAATTATCCTCCTGCACCATCACCATTATAAAGATGTGGAAACTCAGTGTCAGTAACTTACCATGAGCACCTTACTGGTTAATGGTACCACCGTAACTCTGAGGTAAATCTACTGTTTTACAGTTTGGTGTTCTTGGCCACCCCTCCTGCTACCACTAATCAACAACATGGGGATTTGTCTTGGAGCTGCTACTTGGTTTCAGTACTGAAAAATATTTCAGGGACTCTGTAAAATTCTTGATGGGTCATCAGCCATTGACTAACTCACCTGAATTCCAACTGTGTCTGGTAAAGTTCTACCAAGGATGAATGTATTAACTTCTTTACAAGCTCAAAAAGTATTAGAGGAGGAATATGATATTACCAAGTGTTTACTGCCCACTTCTCATGTAGCATAGGGGATATGTGAAAGCATACAGAAACATTCTGTACTTTTCAGGAGTTTGCAGCTCTGTACAGGAGGTCACATGGAAGTGCCTGGTATCTTCAGAGAATAACGCACTATGATACAGACATGTTGCAAGTATGGCAAGCATTTAAGTGGTGCTGGAGGTCGGAGGAGGGAGGGATCAAGAAGTAAACTTCTTGTGATGACAAGATAGTGGCTTTTGGGAGCAGACTTCAGTATTCTCTTTTTGCTCTAACTCTCCCTTTCTGATTCATTTTTTTTTTCTACCAGTTTGGTGGTTAATTAGATAAGCAGTGCCCCTACATCTACCACTAACTCACTTTGTTGATTTCCTATTCCACAGTGACTCCTCAGGGAGGAAGATAGGTGGTGGAGTTCATAATAATGGTAAATATGTAGATGCCTACACCTTGGGGATACAGATTTTGGTACATGATATTATGGAAATAGGTGAACTTAGTTGGAGAACAGTTTTCAAAAGAACAAGCTATGTTTTGATACGTGTGGAGGGATTTATGCTGTCCTTGATATCAAAATTTTATGTTTCCATAAATATGTGCCTATTTGTAAGTAGTATTTCATGAGGGAATTAGGTGGATGGAAGCGTTGATAGTACAAAAGATTTTCCCAGTAGTAACAGTTAATGCATGCTTTCCCTTATAGCTTAAAACAGGTGAAGGGACTTGAAGTGAGATGCTTTTACTTGCATTAGAGTAGTTTCTCTGTAACCATGTTCCCCTTCCTCTTTATTCAGGTTTTCAGCATATACAATATGTGTATTAATTATTAGGCTTTGCTGTGGGGCCATTTTTTATGAACCTCCAAATGTTGCTGAGTGTGGAATAGCTCTGGGGCTTGATAAAAACATGGCCTTTATTTTCCCACCAGTCTTTCCAAATAAACCTACCTCATAGGAAAGTATAAAGTGGTTTACAGAAGAAGATTTGGAAGCCAAGTTCCCATCTTTGGAGTCAAATGGTTCAGCATTCTGGCCTGGAGAATGGTGGGTAGAGGGGAAAATATGCTCCTTTGTGCCTTTATGCCTTCTCAGACTGGCTAACATCAGAGCTGCATAGCACATATTCTGAGCTGATGGAATTGGGTAAAAGCAGGTTTAATTTGATCTCAGCACTAGATTTAGGAGCAAGTCAACTCTGAGGAAAGATTCAGTTTCAGCAGAGTGGAGCTGAGAAGAAACCATTTGTTTTCATGAAGGAAAAATAATCTTTGAAGCAAGACTTCTATCCCTCTCTCCCTTCCTTTTTTTTTTTTAACTTCAGCTTCATTTTCTTGATCTGCAAATCTCAATTCCTCAAAATCTCAAGCTATTTTTATGTGTCTTTTTTTCCTTTCATAATGTATAAACATTAGCAATAAAAAGTGATGGATCAAGTTGTTAGAAAAGGGGGCAACTGTAGCTTTTTAGGACCCCACCTTGAGGAAATATTCTGTTATTTGAATCCCTCCTGGAGTGTAAATTCCCTCCTTAGGTGATGAGGTATGTATAAGTTTGCCGTAAAATTATTTTTGTTACACTGGGGACTCAGATACACTTCTACTCCTACTGCTGGGACTTGGTCTGCATGAATAATTTGTGTGAACAAGTTGCTCCTGTCTGTAAGGAAACTGTTAAATCCTTGACTTTCCAGACACAAGGATGTCATCTTCAGGATCCTCACTGACTTATATGGACAAATAGTATTGAAACAGATGACAATCTGAAGTTCCTACAGTAGGTTCAAAATCCAGGCAGATATCCCCAACAAAAGACTAATGAAAAAGTCTACTCCGTATGAGAACCATGCCAGGGAAGGTCTTTGAATTCCTACTTCTCTCTGTTATGCTAAGCTCAGCTATAGATCTCACTTCCATGAGAACAAGGCTAGTCCTTGTGGCATTTGCAAGGAATTAGGCTGGGAATTTGTGGACTATGGTTCTAATTTCATCCCTGACATTAACTGACTAACCTTGAGAAACTTGTTTCACTTTTTTGTTTTATTTTCTCTGTCTATAAAATGAGGGTGTAACTACATCTGCCCTAGCTGTTTCACAGAGATATTGTAAGAATGCAACATAAAAATGGGGTGTTTTAAAACCTGTTGAAAGATGTAAACAAAAGAGACATACAAACTAAAGGTATTGTCAGGTATCATTATTGTTAAATATTTTTGGAGCTCTTCAGGAGCAAGTTCTTTGGCATTGTCTCCCTAAGGAGACAATGGATATGAGACGCTATGAGGAAAAAGTAGGTAATAATACAAAACAGGAGGGTTGGCGGTGGTAGAGAGACTCTGGACCTTTCTGGAAGGGCTCAAGTGGCTGAAGGGAAAACAAACATTCATGGGCTGGCCCAAAGGGTAAAGAAAGTTCCTGCACCCCTAATCTATGCATTGTGCGGTGATGGGGAAAATGGTACTCCCATTCTTTCAGTAAAAATGGTTGATATCTGAACCCAGCTTTGGTGACTCCTTTGCCAGTCCTAAGCTAGCACTGCTATGCAAAAAGAGACAACAAGGGGAAGAAGTCCTCACAAAGAAATTCCTGGGTTAGGGTAAAGCCAGGAATGCAAAAGCCTAAGGGAAAAGAGTGTTTTTTGGTTCTTTTTTTGTTTGTTTGTTTGTTTGTTTTGAGATGGAGTTTCGCTCTTGTTGCCCAGGCTAGAGTGCAATGGCATGATCTCAGCTCACTGCAACCTCCACCTCCCAGGTTCAAGTGATTCTCCTACCTCAGCCCCCTGAGTAGCTGAGAGTACAGGCACCTGCCACCACCCCCAGCTAAATTTTGTATTTTTTGTAAAGATGGGGTTTCACCATTTTGGTCAAGTTGGTCTTGAACTCCTGACCTCAGGTGATCCCGCCCGCCTCGGCCTCCCAAAGTGCTGGGATTAATAGGTGTGAGCCACCACGTCTGGCATTGTTCTTCCCATTTCTTCTCTCCCCTACAGATAACTTAAAATCCTTTATCTCTCCAAAAGACCAAGTACCATTTAGCAAATCCTGCTACCTAAGTTGTAATGATCTCTTCAGCCCCCCCCCCCCCCCCGCAAAGTAATGTTTGCTATGACAGAATTACAGTATGTCTGGAAGAGTTTGTACTTCTCTGTGATTTGGTACGAGGCAATTTAATCTACGTGACAAAGGGAGATATCTGATTTGTGGGAGCGCTGCCTCTTTTGATTTCCCTCTGTGCTACTGAAAGAATGGTTGGAATGATAAGAACAGTATTTTTAAAGTGTGTTCTGGGCAATACTAATCTCTAGGTGTTTTTTGTTTGTTTTCAGAAAAGGGCTTCTATGGTCAAATAAATTGGGAAATGATTCATGCTATGATTCCCTCTAGGAAATGTGTTGTGCATGTTAGGATACCAAAAGCTTTGAGCAGTTTAACAGTAAAGGAATCTGTTTAACTTTGTTTAATCTAGCATTTCATAAACTTATTTCCTTTTGGAAGCCCCCTTTTCATATAATACCAATCACTATTACCCTTTAAGGCCTTTAAGAGGTAGATTCATTCTCAAATACCTGCATAGTTCAGATTGCTATGCCAGACAACAAAGCCTCAAGTTAGAGAATTCAGTATTGCTGGTTAGCCTTCTCCAAAATTAAAATTGCTGTGCTAAGACAAAGATAGAATCAGGGCGGTGATGTTTTCTGTCCAAAAAACTATTAAAATGTTACAGTGATTCAACAACATCTTCATTATGAGATAGGCAAACAATGAAAGCGGTCCACACTTATTGCACGCTCAGTATGGGCCAGCCACTGTGCTAAGCGCTTTCTCTTGTTACTTCTAGGCATAAAAATGACCCAGCAAGATAGATTGAATGAGTCTTCATTTTAGAGCCCAGGGAACTGAGAGCTAGAGATTATGTAAATCACCCAAGGCCGCAGACCTAGTAAGAGGCAGATCTGGGATATGAATTTCGGTCTGTTCAACTCCAGAGTCGATGATTTAGATTTAAAATATTTAAAGTCAGACTCTGTTTTCTAAGTGGAAAATGGCATTTCAAGAAATCTCAAAATTCTGTATCTGAATAATGTATCAGCTAAGACTCTAAGGCATTCAGGAGGCTGTCTTTTGGTTAAGGGGGGCTCCACCTGCATCGCCAGAGTCAGTCTAAGTATAATTATAGGTATCAGCAACCTAGAGAACAGCTGGTTCAATTTAAAGTGCCCTAAGGATCACAAGCATGGTCCTGTTTACATTTACAAGCTGATAGGCCAGTTGCTGTGGCTCATGCCTGTAATCCCAGCACTTTGGGAGGCCGAGGCGGGCGGATCACAAGGTCAGGAGATGGAGACCATCCTGGCTAACACAGTGAAACCCTGTCTCTACTAAAAATAAAAAAAAAAAAAAAATTAGCCAGGCGTGGTGGCAGGTGCCTGTAGTCCCAGCTACTCGGGAGGCTGAGGCAGGAGAATGGTGTGAACCCGGGAGGCGGAGCTTGCAGTGAGCCGAGATCGTGCCACTGCACTCCAGCCTGGGTGACAGAGAGAGACTCCGTCTCAAAAAAAAATTTACAAGCTCATTTTTTTGCCCACTTACTAAGTTTCAAGCCCATTTCCATCTTCTTTCACTGCTGTTCCTTGAGGCCACCTCTTTAAGCCACTTGCTTGGGTGCTTATAAATACAATGTCCCTCAGATGGGTACCTTTAATTGTCCCTCCTAATATCACTAGGTCCCTATCCATTCCTTTTTCATTGCTCTGGAGGGGTGGCTTAAAGCCTTATTTTGTGGACATAATGAAAACATGTCCACATGCCTCTAGACTAAGCTGTCTACAACTGAAGAAATATGACATCCAACTAATTATAACTTAATTTTATCATACATTTATTATTATATATATGTTCTAAGTATTTTACATGGATCAACTTATTTAATCCTCATGGCAACTCTATGAAGGAGGTACTGTTGTTATCCTCATTTTACAGATGAGAGAACTGAGGTTCGGAGAAGTTAAGTTACTCGCCTAAGATTACACAGCTAGCAAGCTAAGTCTCAAACCCAGGTCTATATGACCTGGTTTGATGAATAATTAATGGTATTATGTGCTATTACTTATTTTATTATACTAGTCTTGCTGCGCCTGGATTAGCCTTCCTCCAACCAGAATCTTGCCTTTATTGTTAGTATGCTCATTGCCTCCTCCCGGCTCTGCCACTTTGGTAAATAGCTGTCTAGTTTGATGGTTCTCCAATGAGCATCAATGTGTATCAGAATTACCTGGAGGCCTTGTGAAAACCTGGATTGCTGGGACCCATCCCTAGAACTTCTGACTTAGGAGGTTATGGAGCTTGGCAGGGGGAGGAGCAGTGAATTTGTATTCCTGACAAATTCCCAGGTGATGGTCCAGAGACCACATTTCGAGAACCATTGATCTCCTGTTACCACTCAATTAACCAACTCTTCTTAGAAACTGGTTTTCTCTTGAGCAACTCACTGTTTATTAAAACAGAACTAAATGTTTCCATTTTGACTTATTTAAAACATCACCTAAACATGTATATCTCCAAGTGATTTTTAAATTATTTTTAATTGACAATAATTGTGTATATTTATGGGGTACAATGTGATGTTTTGATCTATCTATACACTGAAGAAAGATTCAGTCAAGCTAATTAACATATCCATCACCTCACCAACTTATCATTTTTTCAGGGCAAGGATGTTAAAAATCTATTCTTTCAGCTATTTGGAAATATATATTATTATTAACTGTGGTCACCATGAAGTGCAATAGATCACTTAACTTATCCAAGTGATTTTTTAAGAGCAGTTTCACTGTACTGTGTCTTGATCGTATTCTTGAACCTAAGTAGTTTGGCATGCAAATGTGATTTCAGGGATTTACCTCCAATTAATTCCCCCAATGGCTTATAGCCACCCCCACCACCATTCACATCATACCTGAAAGACTTTATGTGCTATTTAACTTGATTAAGGAAATGGTAAATTGAAGCTTATTTACTACAAGAATACTTAGTGACAGGCAATATGGCTTGGGGATTAAGTACAGGGACATTGTAATTAGACTTGGGTTTGAATCTCAACTTTGCCTAATAACTAGCTGTGTAACTGTGCTCAAGTGAAGTAACTTCTCTGAGCTCTATTTCTTGTACAGTGGGAGATGATAATGAAATCACCCTCATGAGGCTATAAATAAGATTATATATGTATAGCATACCCTATCATGCCAGGTATTTAAAAAAAAAACTAAAGAAATAGCTGGTTTATGTTAGTGATTGCAAACCTCTAATCTTCAGGCCTGTGATATTCCAAAAATTGTTGCAAGAGATCAGTGACACTGTGTGCATACCAAAATAAAATCTCAAAGATAGAATTAATAAGAAGTAGCATGTATAGATGTACAATTCATTTCCAATCTAATCTATGTAGATGCTGATTTAATTAGTAAAATACAAATTCACTTAGAGGTATGACTAATGATATGATAACTTTCTGTCATTATGTAGTACATTTTCATCAACAGATATTAAAAGACCAACTTTTTTGATATTTAAGAAAAATCTTCACACTTTAAAAAGTTGTGAAGCACTGGTTTATCTGAATAGTCTGTTAATGCACTATCCCCCAGCAGAGAGCAGGCCTCTGAAAGAGGGGAGGCCAGGTCAGCTTTGATGAGCAAAGGAGACAGAGGACATTCTAGAGCATGGGGTGTTGCTTAAGGAGAGCATGATGTGGAGGGCTGGCTGCTGTAGTGGGGGCAATCTGAGAAACCCAGGGCCAGTGGGAGGATATTAGTCAGGGAAGAGCAGGGGCAATAATGCCAAGATGTCCAGGGAATCTACCAACCAGCTAATCTGTTCCTAGGTGACTAAGGATTTCAAGTGAACAACCAGCCACACCAATAGTGTATCTAGCTTTAGAGAAGGACTATGCGAATTCATTAGGATAGCAGAGTGTGTCTTCCTGAAGGACTTGGGTGCCTAAAGTGGAAAAATGCATTGTTGCTTTATTCTAATTGCATTATTCAGTCAAATCCCTTCAAAATGATCAGCAAACAGCCCCTGAAATAGGAAAGTATTGGTGGCAGGAGTGAAATTTAGAGTTGTTTTGATAGAATAATTTTCTTCAGGGGTTTGGGCTCTGATTGCTACTTAGACTGAGTAAAAGTATTGCTGAATAAGGTGCTGAGTAAATGCAAGTTGTCATTAAGAGGACCGTGGCTAGTCTCTTAAATTATATCCACTATTCAGATAAATGTTGCATGCCTTCCTAATAGTCTGCTTCCTTATCGACTTGAGCATTTAGTTGTTGTTGTTTTTTTTTTGTTTGTTTTGCTTTTTTATTTGTATTTATGTAAGAGAAAAAGGGCAAGTGGTACTCATAACATCTTGCCAGAGCTTCATAGATGACATGAGTATTTGTAAATAGGGTTGGAGTTATATATATTTTCCTAGTCTAGAAGTGCAAGCTTAAGTTTGCATTCATTATTTGACACAGTTTGGTTATGGTAATAGTATATGGTTTGGTAGCAGTTTAGGCTTGATTTAGATGAGAAAGGAACAATTGTGTTTCATGTTTTTATTTCTAGGAATAGCTGAATTCAGTTTCATGTAATTGGTACTCAGAACACAGCTATCCAAGCCTTTCTTTATAGTTTCTCTTCCATGTTTCCATTTTTATTTCCACCCACTCCTATATAGGGCATTAAAAAATGTATCTCTATAACCATTTAAAAACATGTCTGTAAATTTTCCACCCAGTAGATTTTACAACAAATATTTTTTCTCAAAATAGCTTCGCCCTGCAACCCAAAACACTCCTGAATTATTTTGCACTCATATCTACCCTTCCTACCATCCCTTAATAAGGGCTCAGAGAATGCAGACTCATTAACATCAGCCTAAGGAAAACAGCATCACAAAAATCAGTCCAAGGCCAGGCGCGGTGGTTCACCCCTGTAATCCCAGCACTTTGGGAGGCTGAGGCAGGCGGATCACCTGAGGTCAGGAGTTCGAGACCAGCCTGGCCAACTTGGTGAAACCCTGTCTCTACTAAAAATACAAAATTTAGCCGGGCATGGTAGCACATGACTGTAATCTCAGCTACTCAGGAAGCTGAGGCAGGAGAATTGCTTGAACCTAGGAGGCAGAGGTTGCAGTGAGCTGAGATTGCGCCACTGCACTCCAGCCTGGGTGACAGAACAAGACTACATTTCAAAAAAAAAAAAAAACAAAACAAATAAAAAAAAAAGAAGAAAGAAAATCAGTCCACTTTCAAAGAAAAGTTAAAATATGCATTGTAAAACTGGATAGAACTGATTTGTACGCTTTTTTTGTAGTTAATACTTCTATGAAATAATATATTTAATAAATTTTATATGACTATCACCATTTCACATAATTGTTTTCATTGGTGTGACGGCCCGCACAATTTTAAATCATTTCAGCCGCTGTATGCACAGTTTTGTATTTTGCTTTTTCAACTAACACAGCAGTATTTTTCTATGTTTGTTCATAGTACAATTTTCTAATTTTTAATGTTTGATATTCCATCTTGTTTATTCAGCATAAGTTACTTAGCCATTCCCATTATCTGTTGTATTTTAATAATTTGTGAGGTTATTCATTTATTTTCTATTAAAGCAGCTAGGCAAAAGTTTGACTTTACAGTCACTGTCCTCTAGAATATCAATCCCTAAGTGTTTCTGCTTGACTGTTCTAACTCTCCCATTTCTACCTGGGTCAATCTGAATTCTGCCACGTAAAACATGGTTACCCAGTGAAAGATCTTTACACACAGTATATTAGGTTGCTAGGGGAAACTTACAGTAGCAAGCTTTCTGTTTGCTTATTTCACATACATTCTCTCATTAATTCTTCTCAATGTGTCTATAAGAAGGTATTGAATTATTTACAAACACTTGGGATAAAGAAGGAGGATAGGAAGAGTTGCCTGCTGTTGGGGAGGAAGAAAGGAAAGAATAATCGAGGTGATGGATTCATTAAGTTCATAACAAGCTGTCCTTGCAGGAGGTAAGTCTGTTAGGATATCTTCTTTTCCTTTCCTACCCTAACTCTAAAATTTCGTCTGGACCAACTCTTCTGCCTGAACTATAAACCTCCACCCTGTGAACAATGTATTAATTTTCAAATATTTCTTGTGTAGGTGAATACAACCACCTTCATATCCACACATGTCTGTGCTCAGTTTGGCAATGAATCACCTTCTAAACATCCAGAACAATCAGTCAGATAAGGATCACCTTTGATTAAGATCTTCTCTGCCAGGCTCTATTGGAATAGGTGCCAGCTTCTCACTACTTAGAGCTTACGATTGTGCACAATGACAGCTAAGATTTGTCTGGGCAGGAACATATTTTTCCCACTCTTAAAGTCAACATTTGAGGTGTTTCTAAGTGGAAGAAATTCCCTTTGCTCATTCTGACTTTTCATTCAGTTCAAGCTCTCCATCTTTTGTAAGAAATGTTGTTCTCCATCGTGCTGAAGCATTAGGTTGCTGTTTCCCCAGGCCAATCAGTCTGAAGATAACTTTATGATGCTGCTAGAGCATGACACCATAGTTTATCCATTCTTCCTGATTTCATCAGGGTGCCTGACGCTTGTTAGACAACTTTGGGGATGCAGACTGTTTGGTCCAGCCTTGTTGCAATCAGCAGTTTTTAGCAAGGATTACCTAGACTTATCTTTGAGATCCTTGATAATTTAATCAGTAAAAACACGACATGGCCTTTTGTAGGCTGCAGTGAGTGCAGATAGAGTGCCACAAAGGCCTCTGGCACGCTGCAAGAGTAAAAGGTGGCAGGGCACTA
Organism: Homo sapiens; assembly: GCF_000001405.40. Lineage (NCBI taxonomy): Eukaryota > Metazoa > Chordata > Mammalia > Primates > Hominidae > Homo > Homo sapiens. The sequence continues at coordinate 104,803,959 of NC_000023.11, forward strand.
CCTGCCCACTCCCAAATGCTACATGCTTCCCCTCTACCACATGCAAATCTTTGCACTTAATCATGTCATTGCCAAGTCCCGCTTCTGGTACTTTGTATCTCAGCTAAAGAAGATGAAGAAGTCTTTGGGGGAAATTGTCTTGTGTGGGTAGGTATTTGAGCAATTCTGCCTGCAGGTGAAGAACTTCAGCTTGTGGCTGCACCACAACTCATGCAGTGGCACCCACAACATGTACCAGGAATACCTGGACTCAGCCACTGGGGGTGCTGTCACCCAGTACTACAGAGAAATGGGTGCCCAGCAATGTGGTTGGGCCCACTGGATCCAGATTGTGAAGGTAGAAGGGATCTTGGCCAGCAGGTGCCAGCAATCAAACAGTTCCACAACTCCAAGATCAAGTTTGTGCTGTCCCACCGCATCCTGCATTGTCAACACAAGCCACACTTCACCACCAAGATGCCCAGCCCAACACCTTCTTTTAGGTGCAGGGCCCTCTCACTCCTGGTCTGCCCAAATAAGCCCAAAAACTCCCAGGCGCTAAAGAAAATGCCCAGGACATGGTGTTGAAATATGCAAAGAGTTGATACCATGTGGGACATCTGATAACGTTAGTATACCACAATAGTCTTTATTGTTGTGGACACAGAGAAGGAACTCAAAGACTCTTTTTGATGATCCTGACATAATCAGGAGGAGACAGTGAACAAACTTTATTTCACAGGAGGCTCTGATGATGAGTGGTAAATTTAGGATATGTTCAAGATTATTCTGCTTTCCTCCCTTTACAATAAGTCAAGTATTCATTAAGCAACCACTCTATTTAAGACCTTGTGCAAAGCACTGTGGGAGACATGATGATCTATTAAATTGGGTTTTCTTCTTTCAAACTTAAATTCTAGTTGGAGTGACAAGATCTGAAAAATTAGGTAACACAGGAGATAAATAGTTCAAGGCAATAATAGAAGAGGTGTCATGAGACAAAACATTATTATTTGACAAATGAATGGCACAGACAAGTGTTCTAGAGGTTGCAAGAAGATAGAGCTGAGAGGCATGCTAATATAGTGCCTTTTTCTCCTGCTGTTTTCTCTGCCTAAAACGTCCAGTGTATACATCCCTCTCCACCTGTAAAATTCCTATTTCTCTTTTGAGATACAGTCATTGCCTATTCAGTGCAATCGTCATCAGCCCACCCAGAGTTAATCACATTACCTCTCATAAGCCCATAGAATCTTAGACTCACTGAGAGTATAAAAGCACATGTTAATGCCTAGTGTTCCATTATTGGAACGCTAAGCATGTGGGAATTATTTATATCCTACTGCTCAAGGTCATCACCACGGTCTGATTGAAAAATTAAATTGCAACCTCAGGTATAAATGGGTTTATTATTCACTGTAATTATTCACTTACACATTGGATTCCTCTACCAGACTGAGACCTTCAAGGGTAGGGGCAATTTGATAGTAATTTATCTTTCTGTCCCAAGAACCTACCTTAGAATTGGACACATAGTGTTCAGTACATTTATTGAAATGAAATGAGTGTAGTGGAAAGAGTACTGGACTTGGAATCAGAATTAAAACTGTCCTGGGCTTGGTAAATGTTTGTTTTTCTGAAATGTGTGTCATGTCACCTCTCTGCACTGAATAAAATGATCTCTAAAGTTCTTATAGCACTGAAAACTGTGCAATCCTAGCCTGGGAGTAGTTATCAAAGGTTTTCCATAATTGCTGTTGATAATAAATAATAATCACAACAGTTAACATTTACTGCATACTTACTATGTGCTAGGCATAGAACATGAATTATGTCCTTCAACCCTCAAAATAACCCTATGTGGTAGGTACTATTACACTCATTTTCCAGATGAAGCCAAGACTCCAAGAGGTTAATTTACTAGAAGTCACACAGCTAGAAACTGTTGAAACAGAGACTCTAGTTCAAATCTTTTTGAACCTAGAGGCCTTTGCTCTTAATAGCCACACTAGTCATTCTCAACCCTGGCTGCATATGAGAATCACCAGGGAGTTTTTAAAAAATAGTGATAGCCAGGCCCAACTCTGCAGAGATTCTGGTTCAATTGATCTGGGATGAGGACTAAACATTGGCAGCTTTTAAAAGCTCCCCAGGAGATTCTAATATGCCACCAGGTTTGAGAACTATTTCATTACATTTTTCAGCCTTTGAGAGTACACCTGGGCCTTGTAAAAGTTTGCAGTTTAGATGGACAAGAGAAAGAAGGACATTCTGGGTGGGAATTCTGTTTAAGCTTTAAGGTGATACACAACTATCTGAATGTGTCTTATTTCTCTGAAGCAGGTGCCCTTTGTTGTATCAAAGCTACTTACAGCTGAGTATATATAGGCCAGACTTAGTTCCTGATGCAATTGCATTTGGAAACAGTTTCAAGAGTTTCCTCAGTTCAGAAAGGGATGGCTTCTGCACTGGCTGCTATTAGGTCATCTGCCACTCTTCTGACAGAGGTCAACGGGAAAAACTACTTCCTTGTGTAGGGACAGCAGGTTGGTTCTCTTTGCCCCATACAGTAGACTGAAAACCTGTCAGTTTCTAAGCAACCGTTTAAATCTGGAATTCATGAATCAGATTACCTTACTGAGAAAGCTGGAATGAAGAGAATTTTGAAAAAGTCATGGAATGGCTTCCCCCTCCTTTGTGGTACAACACTTGCCATGGGGCTGGCTTTACAGCATTCTTGAAGACATTGTTCTCTGGTCACTGCAGTAAAAGAAGCAGCTTATTTGGGGTTTTGTTGGCTGCTGCTGCTGAGGTTGGGGATAGTTTCCTGAGAATGGTATACCTGAGAGGATCGAGAACAGCAAAGAAGTTGGTAGTAAAATGATATTACCTTCTGCATGTGGCCATTGAGAGGATTTACTGAGATAATCCACGTAAAGGGGTTAGCATAGTGCCTGGTCCGGGGGTAGTCCTCTGTAAATGCTGTTGGCTGCTTGTATTTCTGTGTATTTGTCAAAACAGGATAGTGATAAGATGGCAGAAAGATGCCAACAGATACAGTTTGAGGTGATGTTTCTTTTATGACAAAGGATTAGAAACTAGAGGGATGGTATGAATAGCAGCAGATAGGGCACCATGCTTCCTGGTGAAAGCATGGTGCTCAGGTTTCTGCAAATTTCCTTGGGGGTATGCAGCTGTGGGTGACACCACTTGCTTGAAATAAGGATTTTGTCAGGATCTAGAAGGTCCTTTTGCCATTTTTACTATATTTTATTTTAATCCTTTCCTGTTACTTCCCGACTATTTTGCAGACTCTGACTACAAATCTACCTACTCACCAAGGTCAAATAAATGACCACAACTCTTTCACATTCTTAAGTATTTACGGGAATAATAGGTGAGGGGAAGCTCACTTTGCAGGAAACATCATTTAGTGGGATAGGCCTGTTTGAGGTCTACCCCTGCAGGGCTCTGGTGATGCTTTGGAATAGGGTTTATCTTTATTTGGAAGTAGTAAGACCTTGGCTTCAAATGAGAACAAAACATCTCTTAGGAGAGTTTTTTCCTTTGAAAATGCTCAATATACAATAATGCAAACTTGTAAAAATTTTAATTAGTACAGCAATGTATAAGAATTAAAAATCCATGTTCTATTTTCCACAAGCCCACCATCAGTCTCAACCCCCCAGACGATCACGGTTAACTCTTCATCATGCATCCTTCCAGATCTTTACCCATCCATCTATAAATAAATATATGTACAAAAATAGGATTCCACTATAGTATATAGTATCCGTTTTCCCTCTCACATAACAATATGTCTTGGAGATTTTTTCTATGTTAATACATTGGTCTCTGTATCTTTTTTTTTAAAGCAACTATGTAATATAAATGGACTTTTCATTTTGTTCCATTTTTTTCTTTATGAACAAAACATTTTTAAATAAAAACAGCACTTATGTGTTAATTCAATTATCTAACTTCATACAGCCAATAAGTGGGGAAGTCAAGATTTGGACCAATGTTGGCCGATTCCAGAACTCATGGTATTAACTGCTAGGCATTGCTGTCATTTCCACAAATTATTTTCACTCTAGTTTTCTAATGTAAGCAGTAGTTATGAGGCAACAATTAAATCTCAGAGTTGAAAGGAACCTTTAAGACAGGTTATTTAGTTTAACATCTCACTCTGCAAGCAAATTATTAGATGTTTACTTATTAGGAAAAATCATTCCTGAAACTTTATTTTGGCCAAATAAAACTCCATTAATTTATTTGCATTTGCAGTGGTAGAAACTGTGGGTTGCTTAAACAATAGTTTGTCTTGCCTCCTTTATATTTTATATCACCATTTTTTCATATTATCATAACCCTCTGACATAGGTAGAGTAAGCTATTATTATGCCCATTTCATAAATGGGGACACTAAACATCAGGGAAATTAAGAGACTTAGATTTATACAGTCAGTTGTGGAAGGCCACTTGAATGGCAGGCAAAGGACCTTAGACTTTCCCCTGAAGGGAGTGAGGAGTTATTGAAGACTTTTGAGCAGGATTGAGGTTATGGGTTTAGGTGGATGGAGGTCAGTAGGTGGTAACATGACAACTGGAAAACATTAGGAATAGGAGTCGCAAGAGCCAAGTTAGCAAGCCAAGTCAGCCATTCAAGTGCAAGTAGATAAGGAGCATGATTAATCTTGATAGTTATCAGGCTTGAAAGGAGAGGATAGATATAAGAAAAAGTAAGAAGACAATCTTGCGGGAGATGGGGGACTGGAGAGAGAAAAGAGGTAAAGATGATTCCAGAGATATTGGCCAGAAGAAAATCAATGTTGGAGGGAAGAGTAGTTTGGATTAGTTGTTGAACGCTGGCAGTTAGATATTTAAGTAGAAATGCGAAGCAATCTTTGGAAAATGTAGGACTGGGACTTGGGTGAGAGCAGTTCTGAGGTTCAGCATCAAGAGTGGTCTACCTTCACAGAGCTTTTCACACACTCAGCACATTAAGTCTGAAAAGGGATCTTAAAAGTCGTGTACTTGAGGTCCCTCATTTTACAGATAAGACCAATAGATGATATAAATTGCCTAGGGCTTCACACAGTTCCTGAGAGGTGATGATAAATCAGATCTTTTGAGTCTTAGTTGTTTACTTTTACCTGAAAACGAGAAGTTGCAAACTGGTAATGGACCACTGATAGTTATGTTTGGCCAGTAGGGTTATATTACTGTTCACAAACACTTGATGCCTCTCTCTGCTCCGCCTTCCCCTTAACATCAACCTTAGCCACATGGCTTACTTTGGTCAATGAAATGTGAGCTGGGTCAAATGGTATTTCTAGTTCTAGATCCCTGAGGAATTGCCACACTGACTTCCACAAGGGTTGAACTAGTTTACAGTCCCACCAACAGTGTAAAAGTGTTCCTATTTCTCCACATCCTCTCCAGCACCTGTTGTTTCCTGAGTTTTTAATGATTGCCATTCTAACTGGTGTGAGATGGTATCTCACTGTGGTTTTGATTTGCATTTCTCTGATGGCCAGTGATGGTGAGCATTTTTTCATGTGTTTTTTGGCTGCATAAATGTCTTCTTTTGAGAAGTGTCTGTTCATGTCCTTCACCCACTTTTTGATGGGGTTGTTTGTTTTTTTTCTTGTAAATTTGTTTGAGTTCATTGTAGATTCTGGATATTAGCCCTTTGTCAGATGAGTAGGTTGCGAAAATTTTCTCCCATTTTGTAGGTTGCCTGTTCACTCTGATGGTAGTTTCTTTTGCTGTGCAGAAGCTCTTTAGTTTAGTTAGATCCCATTTGTCAATTTTGTCTTTTGTTGCTATTGCTTTTGGTGTTTTAGACGTGAAGTCCTTGCCCATGCCTATGTCCTGAATGGTAATGCCTAGGTTTTCTTCTAGGGTTTTTATGGCGATTCCTCAGGGATCTAGAACTAGAAATACCATTTGACCCAGCCATCCCATTACTGGGTATATACCCAAAGGACTATAAATCATGCTGCTATAAAGACACATGCACACATATGTTTATTGCAGCACTATTCACAATAGCAAAGACTTGGAACCAACACAAATGTCCAACAATGATAGACTGGATTAAGAAAATGTGGCATATATACACCTTGGAATACTATGCAGCCATAAAAAATGATGAGTTCATGTCCTTTGTAGGGACATGGATGAAATTGGAAATCATCATTCTCAGTAAACTATCACAAGAACAAAAAACCAAACACCGCATATTCTCACTCATAGGTGGGAATTGAACAATGAGAGCACATGGACACAGGAAGGGGAACATCACACTCTGGGGACTGTTGTGGGGTGAGGGGAAGGGGGAGGGATAGCTTTAGGAGACATACCTAATGCTAAATGACAAGTTAATGGGTGCAGCACACCAGCATGTCACATGTATACATATGTAACTAACCTGCACATTGTGCACATGTACCCTAAAACTTAAAGTATAATAATAATAAAAGAAAAGAAAAGAAATGTGAGCAGAAATAATATGCATTATTTTTGAGATGAGCATTAAGGCAAAATTTAAGTGTATAATCCACCAGATTTTCTTTTCCTTCTATCATGAGGTCATCAATATTCTAGATAGAAGTAGCTCTGTCAGCTTGAACATGATATGGAACAGAGACACAACTTACCTATGATGGGAGATGATATGCGTAACAAAAAAAACTTGTTGTAAGCTAAGATCTCAGGGTCATGTGTCAATGCAGCATAACCTAGCCTGTCCTAACTGATACAGCCTACAACATTCTGAAAAACTGAATCAGTGGCTAACATTAAAAAATTTGGAGAGTTAACAGAAAAATCCAGACTTCGGGTTTCTGATGAGAAATTGGAAGAGGTGGCAACATTTAGCCAACTTACATACACATGGCATGATTTGTCTGAGGCTGCATAGCAGTTCTTCCCTTAGAAATTTGTGTTGAGTGTAGTTATACCCAGTATCCACTATTCCTAATTGTATCTTATACCCACCCATTTTTTCTTTATTTACATTTACATATTTACATATTACATTTATTTACATTATCTGCCTGGGCCTTGCAAGCATTTGAATCTGCCACTCTGGCTTTATTATAGCTTTCCACTCCTCAGGGAGAAAATGCTAGAGACAAAAACAACAGAGGACTGGAGACAGAAATTTAGATAGTACCTACCTGTAAGTGTGAGAAAAAGAATCAGTAGAGAGACAAATAATAACTGCCTAGAAAAGTAACAGAAAAAAAACCCTGAATTGCATAGTGACCAAAACAAACAAAAAAACAAGGAAGAGTCAGGAAAGAGGGGATGATCAACATCAGGTAAAACTACAGAGTTCAAGAATAAAGACAGTGAAAAAAAAGCAGGTCACATGTAACCCATTAAGGAATAATTGCAGTGCTTTGGTGATTACGGAAGCCAGAGGATAAGAGATTAAGGGGAAAGTGCTGCTGAGAGGATGGAGGCATTGAGATAATTTCTTTTTTAATGTTTGCTATTGAATGGAAGGAGAAAAGTAATTGGTCTCTAAAATGGCAGCAGAATCAAGCCAAAGAGGATTTTTCCCCCTCTTTTTTTTTCTGTTTTTGAAAGAGGGACAAATTTTTGCAAAGCAGAGTAAGGAGGAACCAGGTGATTGAGGGAGCAAAGTGTGGGAGATGTCTGGGAGGTGTGGATGGAGAACACATCTGATGCAGTTATTTTAGAAATAAGGGATAATAGACTTTCATCTAAGTCTGCTGACATAGTGTATGGGGTCTTAGCGAATCATCAGAAGTGACTCAAAAGAAGCAGTGTCTGGGTCCCACAATGGGTATTGGGTAAGGGAAGAATGATGACCTTGTCTAGAAGTTCATTGAAGGTCTGCTGTCTCTGGTTACAGTTTTGAATGAAGAGCAGACAGGCAGTGAAGGATCTGATCACTGAGAGACTGAACGCTGTTTGTGGCAGGAACCTGAGCCCTGTGCTCAGATATATTCTTGGTGCTATTCTGGCCCTCTTTTCTGTCAGTTCTGCAATTGTACTAATAAGAAATGTCTCTTGTCTCCCATAGGTTAATGAGTTTGGGGAGGAAAAATGCAGAGTTTACTATGATGGCAGGAAGGGCAATGCAAATGGCCTGCTGAGAAACTTGAAATGCACCGCAGGGCTTTGAATTTCATTTCAACCGACAAACATTCTGCTCATCAAACAGCACCCCCTGAAGAAGCAATACAGAATTACTAAATATACTATCAGTAGTTTCCAGCCTGTGATCCTAGACCCCTGGAAACCCTGCTGATGGTCTGCATACAGAGTCCTACACTATTAGTGCTTACAATATGATAGTGTCTATATTTCTGTCAATGACATAAAATGGGGACTTACTAATGCTATATTACCATCTCATGATTATGCTTGGGTTTGGAAAAAAATGCAACTGACCCATAGACCTTCCCTGTAATGCAACAAAAAGAGAGCCACTCTGTGTCATGATGTTTATGGAGACCATGCTGTCATTCCTACTATGACCACAATGAGAGTATTACCAGGGACTTCCTGATGGGGTCTTAGTGAAGAATGAAGACAAGATTGTTCTGTTTTTTTTTCTGCCTTAACAAGAGCAGCAGCACTTATCTCACTACATCCAGTAAAGTCTGTTTTGTGGAGGCATACAGGTGGAGAGGGGACTTGGAGATGAAAGCTGGTAATAGGTGGCCCATAGGATCATTTGCCTATGGAAGGGATTGAAGAATAGAAACAAAATTATAGTCACTATTTAAGTGTTATGGGGTTTGAGTTATGTGTCCATTCTGTCAGCAGATTCATTTTTCTGAGTGTTGAATGGGGCCACAATATAGAAGAGGAGGGTAGTGTGGTGGTGGGAAATGTCCTGCCTCGGGAGGGAGGGAAGGATGTGTAGAGAAGGAGGGGCCTGATTTTTGGACTGTAGAGTAAAAGCAAAGAGAGAATGACTGGTTTTCAACTGTGTTTGACTTTATTGTTCTTATGTCACTGGACTATGCTAGGCACAAAAATTAAGAATTAGCAAAATGAGCAAGGCCCATGTTCTCTTCAGCTTATTCACTCAACTATAACAGTGACACTTGGTGATATTCTATTAGCGAACTAGATTACTTCTCAGAATAGCAACTGTTTTCCTTGATTACGTGAATGTTGTAAGTGACGTACTGATTCATACTTTTATGGCTGGCCTCATATGGGAGATTGAAAAATCCTTTCTGAGGAAGTGGTATTTATACAGGGACCTCAAGGATGAGTAGGAGCTAGTCAGCAGTGGTGGGATGGGGAGAAGGGATTGCTTTAGGAAACAGTATGCATGTACAATTGCCTTGGGAAGGGAAAGAGCAAGGAATGCCTAAGGATTTCAGAGAAGATCAGTGGAGCATGGTGAACAAATAGGAGAGTGGTATCAGATGGGGCTGAAAAGGTAGACAAACACCAGAAGCATAAAGATTTTTTTTTGTGGGACTCAGCTTTGAGCATTCATTGAAAGCAAGTTTATGAATATTGTTAGATACATTGTACTAGAAAATCTTCATATTCTCGGGCTTGTGTTGTATGTACAGTCACTCATTTGATCATTCATTCCAACAAGCTTATGTTAAATATCTGCTATATGCCGAGTTTTTTGTGCCACAGAGTTGTATACCTCCCAGATCTGTGTAAATTTCAGCTGCCACCAACAATGTGGTCACTTTTTCAGTCCTTTCCTTAGGATAGCATCAGACTCAGCTTCTTTTCATTATTATTATCTTAGGTATAACATTGCTGGTTTGAAGAACAGGGCCCAATGCCAGTGACCTCTGCTGCCAGCTATCCAGAAAATGTTTTCCAAGACTCTCCTGGTAGGCAAGAGCAGGAGAGAGAAAGGAAACTGCAGCTGTGTCTTCATGCCAGTAAAGCAGCATTTGGGGAGTTATTAGGCTTAGTTCTTACAGCTCTTTTCAACTATGAGCTTTGACAAAGAGTCTGTAATTGTCATTTTGAAGGTCGGTGGATGTCACTTCCTTCCTCCTTGGTCTTTCTAGTTTTTCTTTATTTAGACTCTGTTTTTTTCCCTGCTGCCTTTTTAAATTTGTTCCATCTCTTTTATTCAGTTATCCTAGCCATCTCTCTGAGCATGGGTACCAGGGGTAAGGACCCTGTTCTCAGTAACAGGGAAAGAGGAGCTGTACTCAGATAGGCTAGCACTGACCCAGGAATGCACCTCTGCAGACATCTTTATCCTCCTTCACAAATAGTATTTGTGCTGAAGGAATCAAGTCAATGGCAAAGAAAAACTGGCTTTCTTACCTGGATACCTATTTAAGAAGTTTTCTCCACTTACTCTGGCCATTACTAATCTGACCTTTCTCTGAACTGTATCGTACATCCCCACTGTGAATAATAACCATATGATTTGCCTCTTGATGATTTATTGCATTGAATTAGTTTCTGAATATTTAGTATTTATTGATTTTGTTTCCCTAACAGGATTTGAAACTCCCTTGGGAAAGGGACTATAACCATACTTATATTTTATCATCTTAGAGATGAGCAAAATTGCAGGCATGCAGTTTAGCCACTCAATGGATATTTGACTGATTTAACGAGACCTGCCACCTTATTGTACAAAGCAATCTAACATAGAGGAAGACCTTTAGATTCCCACTACCATTTCTTTGATTATTAAAAGACAGTAGAATTTTTGACAATGATTCTATTGTCAACCTCCCTCAGTTGTCTTTCTACTGGTAGACCTGTATGGAGGCATGGATTTAGATGAAACATCTATTTCTTTGTGTCAAATTCTGCTCCTTTGTGTGGCAGTCTGCATTATACAAGAATGCGCTTGCCTTATTTCTACATCAAAGAAAGTGAGAGCCAAGAAATGTTCTTAATGAGTTCTTTTTGGTTCTTATGCCCTCTGAAGCAGCCCAGGAGGAAGAGAGGACAATAATAGGGGAGGACAGCAATATAGGAAAGTAGGAAGATGGTATAAATGAAAGGGACAGATGTCACTTGAGGCCTCAAATTAACTTCATCAGATCTTTGAATTGCTGCAAATAAATGGCAAGTGCGGAGCAAGGAGCAGTATGTGAAGAAGACATTCTTTGGTCTTGGCAGCCTGTGCTTGTATAACAAAGATGAGAGATGGAGTTGCTAGTATTCTCTGTTGAAGATGTAGGAGTTCAATAGTGGAGAAAAAAGAAAAATCTAAGAAAGCAAATAATTGGGATAGGGAAAGGGGATTATGTTTGTTTCCTATTGCTGCTGTAACAAATTACAACAATCTTGGTGGTTAACACAACACACATTTATTATTTTACAGCACTGGAAACCAGGAGTCCAAAATGGGTATCACTGAGAAAAAAACAAGATGTGGGCAGGGCTGCATTCTTTTCTGGAAACTCTAGGGGAGAATTAGTTTCTTTGTCTTTTTCACCTTCTTGAGGGTGCCTGAATTCCTTGGACTGTGGTACCCTTCCATCTTCAAAGAACCAACTAACTCTGGACAAACTCTGGTGAAGAGTATGTAGATGACATAGGAGATACAGGGCAGGAAACACTGAGTGAAAGCCAATGACCTTCTGAAGATATAAAATAATTTGTAAATTTTATGAGAGACAAATGGCTTGAGAGCCTAGTCATGCTGCTTTAAAATAATTTTATGTTTTTTAATGCATATGAATACATTTATACATGTAATGTGTGTCTGTTAGAGTGAAAGTTGATACTGTTTAGTTCTGTGATTTAAGACATAGTATAAGATAAAGTCCATGGACACAATTTTGTGAATAATCTTAAACTTACCCTTCTTTTCCCAGAGCTAATTGTTTAATGCTTTCTTCACCCTCTGCTTTATAGCCTTCTGTTTCATTCTGGGACACATTCCACCCCCCTCATTTTTTTTTTTTTTTTTGGTTCCTAGCCTTTTCCCTTTGTTCCTCTGCTGACATCATACGTGTTTTTGATAATTTAATAAAATACATAGAGTCAATCACAGCATATGTACATTTTTGGGGCAAAAATTCTGTTTAGGAAGACTTCTAAAATATTTCATTCCATGCTAGTTAAAATTTAAGTTTAAAGATAATATTTTTACAGTCCCTGTAGCCAATTCCCTAGAACCTCTTTAATTTATATTCTGTTTCTAATTCTACTTCTGATGCTTCAGTGCTCTGACATGTGGCCTGCTTAGAAAAAAAATAACTTTGTTGAGGATACTATATGACTTGTGACTTTTCCCTAACTTGCTTTGGTCAGAGCCATGGATTTAATTTTTATGTGGGCTACAGTGTAATTCTAATTCATGACTATAGTCTGTACTCCTTATCCTGGGTTATTTTACAAAAGGAGTTTAGATTAACCACCCCAAAGTGACTAGATATATGCAAGGTTTCTATTTCTATTATTGGAGAAAGAACTCCTGAGTTTCTGCCCTACTGATAGTGAGTCAATACTCCAATAATTGTACATAGAGGAAGGCACGCAGTGAGCCCTTCAGACAAAATGCTTTCATCAGTCTCCTTAGTCTTTGATTAGTCCTTCCTTCCTTCCTAGAATGACCTCATCTCTCTCAGAATGACTTAAAAAGAAGCATGGCTTTAAAAAATGAGAATAACTGCTAATGACTTTATGATCCTGAGGCAAAGTTTTCTTTGCACAATAAATGCTTAGTTATGATTTGATAGTCAAATGTCGTGATGGAAAAATGTATGATAGGCAGTTTGAATCAGTGTAGAAAACTCAGAAAAGAGGAGGTATAGCCCAATGGTTAAATTTGGGGGCTCTGGAATCATTAAGAGTTGGTTTGGGTTCTAAGCTCAACACTTAATGGCTTTATGACCCTAAACAGTTACTTAACCTTTCTCAACTTAACTTTCAATATGTGTAGTATTGCCTATCTTAGAGGGTTAATTGCATCACAGGGAGATTTTCATTGAAGGTTGTTTCCCTAAGTAACTTGGTAGCTGCTTTGAAGTTTCACTAAGAAATCAACTTGCAAAAGGCAGATAATAGGAGAAAAGACATATACATTTATTTAACGTATGTACATGGGATCCTTTAGAATGAAGACCAAAAGATACAGGGGGAACTCTTAATTTTTATGCTTAGGTTCAACAAAGTATGGACAGCTATGTAGAAACATGATTGGACAAAAAGTGTATGATCTAATGAATAGGTTGAGTGGGGAAACCCAGCAAGTCCTGTCTGTCTAGATTCTTCTTGGCCTCTCTGAGCACACAGTTCTTCCTTCTGGGCATGGGGCAGGACCCTCTCTGGAATGGAAGGGTCTTATGAGCTACAGCCAAACAAGGTAGGCCAGATAATTTCTTTATGGCTGGTTTTGCCACAGAAAGTCAGAGGGAAAGTTAAAGTAATATTTTTAGGTTTTATGGCTGGCTTGGGGGAACATGGGTTCTGGTTTCCATGACCTGCCTTGAAGAAGGGTGATTCTAGTTTCTATGGCAAGCCTCGAGGGAGAATGGAACTGTGAGAAAGGAGGATAGCAGAAGGTTAAAGAAAAACTTGTATCTGAGGCTGATCCTGAGGCCTTAATTTTGGGGCATTGTTCTCTGAGCCCCAACACTGCCCATCCAAGAAATTTAAGTGCAGAGACACACTAGAAATGAAACAGAAATAAGGCAGCCTAATGTAGTTGCTCAGTGGATGGGCTCTGGAGCTGGATTCAACCCCATGCTTTACCATTTAGTAGATGTATGACTTCAGGCAAGTTACTTTACCTTCTGTACTTCAATTTTCTTATCTATAAAATGGGAACAATAATAGTGCCTACCTCAAAGCCTTGGTATGAAGATTAAATGAATACAGATAAAATAATAAGCACAGTGTCTGACATTTAATTGATGTTTAAGAAAGACTATCTCTTCTTATTACTGAAACTAATGCTGTTAGTACTATTAATAAAAAGATGATATATATAGAGATACAAGGAAGGATCAAGGATGACTCCTATTTTTCAAGCTTGAGCAACTGGTCCTGTGGTAGTGCCATTCATTGAGATGGGGAAAAGTGAAGGAGGAATAGATTCGGGCGTGTGTTTAGTGAATAACAAGTTTTGTTTTTTGACATGTTGAGTGTGAGATGCCTGTGGAATATCAGTATATAGTTAGTCAGTTTTGGCCGTGCGCGGTGGCTCACAGCTGTAATCCCAGCACTTTGGGAGGCCGAGGCGGGAGGATCATGAGGTCAGGAGATCGAGACCACGGTGAAACCCCGTCTCTACTAAAAATACAAAAAATTAGCCGGGCACAGTGGCGGGTGCCTATAGTCCCAGCTACTCGGGAGGCTGAGGCAGGAGAATGGAGTGAACCCGGGAGGCAGAGCTTGCAGTGAGCCAAGATCGCGCCACTGCACTCCAGCCTGGGCGACAGAGAGAGACTCCGTCTCAAAAAAAAAAAAAAAAAAAAAGGTCAGTTTTTCTGTGTCTGGAGATCACAGAATTGTGATCCAGGAATGTAATCTTGGGAGAAGTAGGTATTCTGATTTTTAAGATTATGATAGTGGATGACATAACCAAGAAACATAATTTAGAAAGAGAAGGGAGGAGAGCCCAGGATCAATCTCGGGGCCATAGAGGGTGAGGAATCAGTAAAGAAAATGAATAGATATGGAAAGAAGGTAGGAAGGAAATCTACCTTTCATGACAGTTGAGACAGAAGAGTGTTTCAAGAAGAGAGTAATCAACTGTGTAAAATCAGGACATAGAAACATCAATTGAATTTGACTCCTTTGAGAAGCTTGGTTATGAAGATGCATAGAAAAATTGAATGGTGGCCTGGATGAGTCATCAAGGAAGGATCTATTTTTTATAATATAGAAAGTTATAGTGGATGTTTATATTGCAATAGAGACATACACTAGAAAAGGAGAAATTAAAGAAGAGAAAACAGGAGGGAATGGGATCCAGAGTACAATAGAGGGGCAGGGATACTTCCTATATTTCTATGAGATAAAGTACATAGCACAATGCCTGGCATATAGTAAGTGTTCAATGAATAGTATCTGTCATGTTTATTGTTGTTGTTGTTACTGTATTAACTCAAGAGCCCAAGCTGGCTTGCATGTGGAAAAGACAGTTGGAGCATGCACAGAGCCAATAGCCTTCATGGAATGAAAGGCCTTGGTGAGCAGATAGCATTTAGAGTGCCGTATCCTAAACAAAGGCAAAAAAATGTGGTTCCAACATACACAGATGCTTCTCAATTTACAATAGGATTACGTCCAGATAAACCAATCGTAAATTGAAAATATAAAGTCAAAAATGTGTTTAATACTACAACACAGCAGATAGTTCCCAACTTATGATGGTTCAATTTATGACTTTTTCACTTTATGATGGTGGGAAAGCAATACACATTCAGTAGAAGCTGTAACCCCATCCTAAGTCATAAGGAGCTCCTTGACTTATGATGGGTTTACATCCTAATATACTCATTGTAATGTCAAACAATTGTTAAGACAAACTATCCTGAATCAGAAACTGTCCGGAAAAGCATTTGGTTAGGTTGGCCTATCTACCCTAACCAATTTTTTTTATATCATGGGAGGATGGGAGGTTTCTTTGATTATCATATGGATGAAAAGATAAGGTACTTTTATTTTAGCAACTGTACTTCAAAGAAATGACTCTAAGAAATGGGTAGATCTAGTTCTGTTGAGATTCACTGATCAGCACATCCCTGGAGAGGTAGCCAACACTCTCCTAGTACACGTTGTCCCTATAACATGTGTGCTTAAAGGAGAAATGAAGTGTACCCATTGATTATATTTACCTTAGCAAAATGTGCTTCCATATGATAACATTATGCGGTAAAAATGCTTTGTGATTTACACTGTTTGTGTGATGTTATGTTCTCAATACAATGAGCTGAAGGCTTTTGGCTATTATTCCTTTAGAAACAAGCACCTCTTGTTGAGGGCTGATTTTGTCCATATTATCTTGAAATGCTTTTTGCCTATTCATCTCTAAGTATAAATATGAGGGTTTTTTTTTAATCCTGCAAAATTTCCCATAAACGTGTGTTTTTAAATCTTTCCTAAAGTGGTCTTTATGCAACCAATAGAAATCTTAAATATATGATCAGTTTTCCACCCTGTGTTCTCTAGATAAAGAAAAGTTTGACTGGTATTAGATATGAAAAATGGAATGTGCTTTAAAATTTTCAATCTGTCATTTGAGATCAATATCAGAGACAGATACCTATTAGACTCTTTCCACAACTGTCTCTTATCGTTGTTAAAGTTTATAAGAAGTTACCTGGCCAGGAAATGGGTTTCACTGGTTTTAAACATCCGTTGTTATTGGTATCATGTATCTGCTCTCCTGAGTACTGAGCCCAGCCATTTGGTTTATGTGAGTTTCTAGACTCCTGTGTATTTGCCTTACTCTCTAGGATTTAGGCTTTTTTGGTTCCCATATTTTGCTTGGTCTAGCCTGTCACACTTTGTTCTTTGTACCTTTAGACCTGTGTGTGCTTGCTTGATTTAATTTATTATCTTGTCTCAACTGCTGATTCAGCTTTGCCTTCTGACTCTTGAGCCCTGGGCTAATTCTCATCCTAAAGCAGCAGGTTTTGAGCCTTGCCTCCATGCTACATTGTGACCTCAGCACCAGCATTGAGAGCTGGTCTAACTCATAGGTCTAACTCAGTACAACATTTCTGATTTTCATAGCAGTTGCGGTAGAATAAAAAGAATACTGTGCTTAATGTTTGAATCTCTGGGTTTAAGCTGTAGCACTGCCAGAAACTCACTAAATGCCTATAGACAAATATCTTAGCGTCTCTGAATTTCAGTTTTCTCCTTTGTAAGATAGGAATAATATTCTCCTTACTCATTTTTGTGATTAAATAAGATATCTTATGTAAAAATGCCTAATGTGATAACTGGCAAATGTTTGTAAAATATTTAATCTCAGTTTTGGACACTGTGATACTCTCATATGTTTCTTTGTTTCCATTATTAGCCTGTTTCTTTTTATAAGCAATTACTTAATTTATTTCCATGACAAATAATCATAAGTAAAATGTATCAGTCCAAAAGTTTTCTGGTAAAAAATCAAAGTGAAATTACAACACAAACTTATTTTAACAAGGTCCCAAGTTTCCCAATTAACTTGTCTCCAATTCTTATGTATTCTGTTCACCAATTGCATTATATCTCTTCTGAAAACAATTAATATGACAACTTGTAAATTTCTGGCAAAGAAACTGAGTATCTAGAACTGAGCAGAAATATCACAGTGATTACAACAAATTATTTTTGTCTATTTGCTTGTAAATCTGTTTTTTTTTTAATTTTTTATTATACCTTAAGTTCCGCGATACATGCGCAGAACATGCAGGTTTGTTACAGAGGTATACGTGTGCCATGGTGGTTTGCTGAACCCATCAACCTGTCATCTACGTTAGGTATTTCTCCTAATGCTGTCCCTCCCCTTGCCCCCCACCTGTTGACAGGCCCTGATGTGTGATGTTTCCTTCCCTGTGCCCATATGTTGTCATTGTTCAACTCCCACTTATGAGTGAGAAAATGTGGTGTTTGGTTTTCTATTCCTGTGTTAGTTTGTTGAGAATGATAGTTTCCAGCTTCATCCATGTCTCTGCAAAGGACATGAACTCATTCTTTATCATGGGTGAATAGTATTCCATGGTGTATATGTACCACATTTTCTTTATCCGGTCTATCATTGATGAGCATTTGGGTTGGTTCCAAGTCTGTGCTATTGTGAATAGTGTTACAACAAAAATACATGTGCATGTGTCTTTGTAGTAGAATGATTTACAATCTTTGGTTATATACCCAGTAATGGGATTGCTGGGTCAAATGGTATTTCTAGTTCTAGATCCTTGAGGAATCACCACACTGTCTTCCACAATGGTTGAACTAATTTGCACTCCCACCAACAGTGTAAAAGCATTCCTATTTCTCCACACCCTCTCCAGCATCTGTTGTTTCCTGACTTTTTAATGATCACCATTCTATCTCGCGTGAGATGGTATCTCATTGTGGCTTTGATTTGCATTTCTCTAATGACCAGTGATGATGAGCTTCTTTTCATATATTTGTTGGACACTTATATGTCTTCTTTTAAAAAGTGTTTGTTCATATCCTTTGCCCAGTTTCTGATGGGGTGTTTTTTTGTTGTTGTTGTTGTTGTAAATTTAAGTTCCTTGTAGATTCTGGATATTAGCCCTTTGTCAGATGGATAGATTGTAAAAATTTTCTCCCATTCTGTAGGTTGCCTGTTCACTCTGATGCTAGTTTCTTTTGCTGTGCAGAAGCTCTTTAGTTTAATTAGATCCCATTTGTCAATTTTGACTTTTGTTGCAATTGCTTTTGGTATTTTAGTCATGAAGTCTTTGCCCATGCCTATGTCCTGAATGGTATTGCCTAGGTTTTCTTCTAGGGTTTTTATGGTTTTAGGTCTTACAGTTAAATCTTCAATCCATCTTGAGTTGATTTTTGTATAAGGTGTAAGGAAGGGATCCACTTTCAGTTTTCTGCATATGGCTAGCCAGTTTTCCCAACACCATTTAATAAATAGGGAATCCTCTCCCCATTGCTTGTTTTTGTCAGGTTTGTCAAAGATCAGGTGGTTGTAGATGTGTGGTGTTATTTCTGAGGACTCAGTTCTGTTTCATTTGGTCTATATATCTGTTTTGGTACAAGTACCAGTACCATGCTGTTTTTGTTAATGTAGCCTGGTAGTATAGTTTGAAGTCAGTTAGTGTTATGCCTCCAGCTTTGTTCTTTTTGCTTAGAATTGTCTTGTCTATATGGGATCTTTTTTGGTTCCATGTGAAATTTAAAGTCGTTTTTTTCAAATTTTGTGCAGAAAGTCAGTGTTAGCTTGATGGGGATAGCACTGAATCTATAAATTACTTTGGGCAGTATGGCCATTTTCACAATATTGATTTTTCCTATCCATGAGCATGGAATGTTTTTCCATTTGTTTGTGTCCTCTCTTATTTCCTTGAGCAGTGGTTTGCAGTTCTCCTTGAAGAGTTCCATCACATTCCTTGTAATTTGTATTCCTAGGTATTTTATTCTCTTTGTAGCGATTTTGAATGGGAGTTCATTCATGATTTCACTCTCTGTTTGTCTATTACTGGTGTATAGGGATGCTTGTGATTTTTGCACATTGATTTTTTTTTTATTATACTTTAAGTTTTAGGGTACATGTGCACATTGTGCAGGTTAGTTACATATGTATACATGTGCCATGCTGGTGCACTGCACCCACTAACTCGTCATCTAGCATTAGGTATATCTCCCAGTGCTATCCCTTCCCCCTCAACCCACCCCACAACAGTCCCCAGTGTGATATTCCCCTTCCTGTGTCCATGTGTTCTCATTGTTCAGTTCCCACCTATGAGTGACAATATGCGGTGTTTGGTTTTTTGTTCTTGTGATAGTTTACTGAGAATGATGTTTTCCAATTTCATCCATGTCCATACAAAGGACATGAACTCATCATTTTTTATGGCTGCATAGTATTCCATGGTGTATATGTGCCACATTTTCTTAATCCAGTCTATCATCGTTGGACATTTGGGTTGGTTCCAAGTCTTTGCTATTGTGAATAATGCCGCAATAAACATACGTGTGCATGTGTCTTTATAGCAGCATGATTTATAGTCCTTTGGGTATATACCCAGTAATGGGATGGCTGGGTCAAATGGTATTTCCAGTTCTAGATCCCTGAGGAATCGCCACACTGACTTCCACAATGGTTGAACTAGTTTACAGTCCCACCAACAGTATAAAAGTGTTCCTATTTCTCCACGAGACTTTGCTGAAGTTGCTAGTCAGCTTAAGGATTTTTTGGGCTGAGACAATGGTGTTTTCTAAATATACAATCATGTCATCTGCAAACAGGGATAATTTGAATTCCTCTCTTCCTATTTGCATACCGTTTATTTCTTTCTCTTGCCTGATTGCCCTAGCCAGAACTTCCAATACTATGTTGAATAGGAGTGGTGAGAGAGGTCATCCTTTCCTTGTGCTATTTTTCAAAGGGAATGCTTCCAGTTTTTGCCCATTCAGTATGATATTGGCGGTGGGTTTGTCATAAATAGCTCTTATTATTTTGAGATATGTTCCATCAATACCTAGTTTATTGATAGTTTTTAGCGGGAAGGGATTTGAATTTTATCAAAGGCCTTTTCTGCATCAATTGAGATAATCATGTGGTTTTTGTCATTGTTTCTGTTTATGTGATGGATTACATTTATTGATTTGCATATGTTGAATCAGCCTTGCATCCCAGGGATGAAGCTGACTTGATTGTGGTGGATAAGCTTTTTGATCTGCTGCTGGATTCAGTTTGCCAGTATTTTACTGAGGATTTTTGCATCGATGTTCATCAGGGATATTGGCCTGAAATTTTGTTTTGTTTTGTTGTGTCTCTGCCAGGTTTTGGTAACAATATGATGCTGACCTCATAAAATGAGTTAAGGAGGAGTCCCTCTTTTTCAATTGTTTGGAATACTTTCAAGGAATAGTACCAGCTCCTCTTTGTACCTCTGGTAGAATTGGGCTCTGAATTAGTCTGGTCCTGGGCTTTTTTGGTTGGTAGGCTATTAATTACTGCCTGAATTTCAGAACTTGTTATTGGTCTATTCAGGGTTTTGACTTCTTCCTGGTTTAGTCTTGGGAGGGTGTATGTTTCCAGGAATTTATCCATTTCTTCTAGATTTTCTAGTTTATTTGCACAGAGGTGTTTATAGTATTTTCTGATGGTAGTTTATATTTCTGTGGAATCAGTGGTGATCTCCCCTTTATACTTTTTTATTGTGTCTATTTGATTCTTCTCTCTTTTCTTCTTTATTAGTCTGGCTAGTGGTCTATTTTGTTAATATTTTCACAAAACCAGCTCCTGGATTAATTTATTTTTTGAAGGGTTTTTCATATCTCTACCTCATTCAGTTCTGCTTTGATCTTAGTTATTTCTTTTTTTCAAATCACACTATTTATTGCCATACAGTTTGTTTCTCTTTTCTTTTGGTTCACAATGCTTAAATGGGGAGGATAATGAAAACAAATCTCATAGGGAATATACCCTATAGACGAAATACATTAACTACATAGTGAGTTCCGAAATTATTAAAGTCTAGTTGCTCAGTTAGGATGGAAGCAGGCCTCTGTGGAAAGTATAGTCTAATTAAAGTTTGAGGTGTGCCTTATACCAGGGGTTCTCAGGGGAGATGATCTGACCTGACACAGCAGAGGTTCCTAGATGCTAAAGGGTTGTTCTGGTGTTGGTGGGCAAAGCTTTGGGGGTTAGCTCAAAGGCAAATAAGGTATGGCCCTGATAGCATGAGCTCTCCCTCTTTGAGAGGCCGCTAACAGTGCAGCCCTGCTAGGGCCTAAGTTCTCAAACTGTCTGTGAAACTTTTAGGATTATATGTATTTTGGATTCCAGTAGTTGAGGTCAATAGCTCAGATATGGGGCCTGATAAGGTATGGCCTAACATTCTTGAGGGGAGAGGGCTTATCACAGCAAAACATGTCACTCATTTAGCAAATCATATAAGTGCTTGGAATTATTTTAAGGCTACAAAACAATAACACAACATGAATTTCTCCAAGTGCTCTGGAATATATCATTGTTAGATGCACCATAATTTGATCATAATTTAAGCTGATCACATAATGTTTTTAAATTTAGTTGGTCAAATGAAAGTCATTCAATAAACATAACTGGTGAAGTGGAGGTCATATTCGTTAGTTTTAGTAATTTCCTATTACAAAATATATTATCAGTTGCAGATATCAGTTGCTCCAGTAATCCTGCATAACAAACCACCTGAAACCCAAAGGCTTAAAACAATGATCATTTAATATTGCTCATGAAAGTAGAGTTTAGGTAGGTCATTCTTATGGTCTTGGCTAAACTCATCTGTCTGCAATCAACTGCAAATTGAGGAGGCTGCTTTGTTGATCTTGTCTGAGTTCTTTGACATGTTTATGCATGCTTGAGGGTTGAATGGATTTTGTCTAACCTAAAATGGTCCTTGACTGAAACAGCTGGGATGACTGAAAATAAGGAAGCCTCAACTCTCCTCCATATCTCTTACAGCCTTTTATATATTACCCAGTTTTAGTTTAATGAGGAAAATGTCTTTGGAATATTTCTGAGGATACTATTTAGAATTTGTTTTTATGTTTTTTTATTAGTTATTTCTTGTCTTCTGCTAGCTTTTGAATTTGTTTGCTCTTGCTTCTCTAGTTCTTTTGTGATGTTAGGGTGTCGATTTTAGATCTTTCCTGCTTTCTCCTGTAGGAATTTAGTGCTATGAATTTTCCTCTAAACACTACTTTAGCTATGTCCCAAAGATTCTGGTACATTGTGTCTTTGTTCTCATTGGTTTCAAAGAACTTATTTATTTCTGCCTTTATTTCATTATTTACCCGGTAGTCATTCAGGAGCAGGTTGTTCAGTTTCCAACTAGTTGTGTGGTGTTGAGTGAGTTTTTTAATCCTGAGTTCTAATTTGATTGCACTGTGGTCTCAGAGACTGTTTGTTATGATTTCCATTCTTTTGCATTTGCGAGGAGTGTTTTACTTCTAATTATATGGTCAATTTTAGAATAAGTGCTATGTGGTGCTGAGAAGAATGTATATTCTGTTGATTTGGGGTGGAGAGTACTGTAGATGTCTATTAGGTCGGCTTGGTCCAGAGCTGAGTTCAATTCCTGAATATCCTTGTTAATTTTGTTTCATTGATCTGTCTAATATTGACAGTGGGGTGTTAAATTCTCCCACTATTATTGTGTGGGAGTCTAAGTCTCTTTGTAGGTCTTGAAGAACTTGCTTTATGAATTTGGCTGCTCCTGTACTGGGTGCATATATATTTAGGATGGTTAGCTCTTCTTGTTGCATTGATCCCTTTACCATTATGGAATGCCTTTCTTTGTCTTTTTTGATCTTTGTTGGTTGAAAGTCTGTTTTATCAGAGACTAGAATTGCAACCCCTGCTTTTTTTTTTTTTTTTTTTTTTTGCTTTCCATTTGCTTGGTAAATCTTCCTCCATCCCTTTATTTTGAGCCTATGTGTGTCTTTGCACATGAGATGGGTCTCCTGAGTACAGCACACCGATTGGTCTTGACTCTTTATCCAATTTGCCAGTCTTTGACTTTTAATTGGGGCATTTAGCCTGTTTCCATTTAAGGTTAATATTGTTATGTGTGAATTTGATCCTGTCATTATGATGCTAGCTGATTATTTCACCCAATAGTTGATGCAGTTTCTTCATAGTACTGATGGTCTTTACATTTTGGTTTGTTTTGCAGTGGCTGGTAGTGATTTTTCCTTTCCATATTTAGTGGTTCCTTCAGGAGTTCTTCTAAGGCAGGCCTGGTGGTGACAAAATCCCTCAGCAATTGCTTGTCTGTAAAGGAGTTTATTTCTCCTTCCCTTATGAAGCTTAGTTTGGCTTCATATGAAATTCGTGGTTGAAAATACTTTTCTTTAAGAATATTAAATATTGTCCCCCACTCTCTTCTGGCTTGTAGCATTTCCACAGAGAGATCCACTGTTAGTCTGATGGCCTTCCCTTTGTGGGTAACCATACCTTTCTCTCTGGCTGCTCTTAACATTTTTTCCTTCATTTCGACCTTGGTGAATCTGACAATTATGTGTCTTGGAGTTGCTCTTCTCGAGGAGTATCTTTGTGGTGTTCTCTGTATTTCCTGAATTTGAATATTGGCCTGTCTTGTTAGGTTGGGGAAGTTCTCCAGGATAATATCCTGAAGTGTGTTTTCCAACTTGGTTGCATTCTCCCTGTCACTTTCAAGTATACCAATCAAACGTAGGTTTGGTCTTTTCACATAGTCCCTTATTTGTTGGAGGCTTTGTTCATTCCATTTCATTATTTTTCCTCTAATCTTGTCTTCAAACTTTATTTCATTAAGTTGATCTTCAATCTCTGGTACCTTTTTTCCACTTGATCAGTTTGGCTATTGATACTTGTGTATGCTTCACGAAGTTCTCGTGCTGTGTTTTTCAGCTCCACTGGGTCATTTATGTTCTTCTCTAAACTGTTTATTCTAGTTAGCAATTCCTCTAACCTTTTTTCAAGGTTCTTAGCTTTCTTGCATTGGGTTAGAACATGCTCCTTTACCTCAGAGGAGTTTGTTATTACCCACCTTCTGAAGCGTACTTCTGTCAATTTGTCAAACTAATTTTTCCTCCAGTTTTGTTCCCTTGCTGGCAAGGAGTTGTGATCCTTTGGAGGACAAGAGGCATTTTGGTTTTTTGAATTTTCAGCCTTTTTGTGCTGGCTTTTCCTCTTCTTCGTGGATTTATCTACCTTTCATCTTTGCTGTTGGTGACCTTCGGATGGATTTTTTGCATGGTTGTCTTTTTTATTAATATTGATGGTATTGCTTTCTGTTTATTAGTTTTCTTCTAACAGTTAGGCTCCTCTTCTGCAAGTCTGCTGGAGTTTGCTGGGGGTCCACTCCAGACCCTGTTTGCCTGGATATCACCAGCGGAGGCTGCAGAACAGCAAAGGTTGCTGCCTCCTCCTTCCTCTGGAAGCTTTGTCCCAGAGGGGCACCTGCCAGATGTCAACTAGAACTCTCCTGCATGAGGTGTCTGTCGACCCCTGTTGGGAAGTGTCTCACCATCTGGAGACAAGGGGTCAGGGACCCACTTGAGGAGGCAGTCTGTCCCTTAGCAGAGCTCGAGCGTTGTGCTGGGAGATCTGCTGTTCTCTTCAGAGCCAGCAGGCAGGAATGTTTAAGTCTGCTGAAGCTGTGCCCACAGCCGCCCCCTCCCCCAGGTGCTCTGTCTCAGGGAGATGGGAGTTTTATCTATAAGCCCCTGACTGGGGCTGTTGCCTTTCTTTCAGAGATGCCCTGCCCAGAGAGGAGGAATCTAGAGAGGTAGTCTGACTACAGCGGCTTTGCAGCACTGCAGTGAGCTCTGCCTAGTCCGAACTTCCTGGCGGCTTTGTTTACCCTGTTAGGGGAGAACGGCCTACTCAAGTCTCAGTAATGGCAGACGCCCCTCCCCCAACCAAGCTTGAGCATCCAGAGTCAACTTCAGACTGCTGTGCTGGCAGTGAGAATTTCAAGCCAGTGGATCTTACCTTGCTGGGCTCTGTGGGGTTGGGATCTGCTGAGCAAGACCACTTGGCTCCCTGGCTTCAGCCCCCTTTCCAGGGGAGTGAACGTTTCTGTCTTGCTGATGTTCCAGGTGCAACTGGGGTATGAAAAAAAAACTCTTGCAGCTAGCTCAGTGTCTGCCCAAATGGCTGCCCAATTTTGTGCTTGAAACCCAGGGCTCTTGTGGTATAGGCACCCAAGGGAATCTCCTGTTCTGTGGGTTGCAAAGACCATGGGAAAAGCATAGTATCTGGGCTGGATAGCAGCATCCCTCACTGCAGGGTCACCCACGGCTTCCCTTGGCTAGGGGAGGGAGTTCCACCACCCCTTGCAAATCCCAGTTTAGGTGACACCCCACCCTGCTTCTGCTCGCTCTCCATGGGCTGCACTCACTGTCTAACCAGTCCCAATGAAATGAACTGGGTACTTTAGTTGGAAATGCAGAAATCACCCACCTTCTGTGTTGGTCTCACTGAGAGCTGCAGCCAGAGCTGTTCGTATTCGGCCATCTTGGTAAATCTGTTTTTATCCAAGAAATAATCTGATTCAACCTTTGTCCATTTATAAAATGTGATTGTTTCTTCCATTCAATGGATTCATAAGAACAGCATCATAACACGACGCGACGTTTTAATGTATAGCATTTTGGATATGCAATGGGTGAAGTCATGTTCTTGAAATACAGCTCTATATGATTAAAAGTACCTGTTGTCACATGGTCTAATCATAAAGAAGATGAAAGAGTGAATCAGTTCTTATTGACACTTAGTGCATGGACAGGTACTCTGTACATAGCGTTCTGTTAAATGCTTAGGACAACCCAGTGAGGCAAACATAGTTATTACTGATTTAGAGATGGAAAAACTGAACCTCACACAGGTTAAGGAATCTGCCTATAGTCATGCAGCTGGTTAAGAGTAGAGCTGGGATTCAAACTCTGGTCTTCCTTATTCTAGCTCCCTGTGCTGTTTTTACTACATGAAGCAAACTAGGCCTGTCTCCTGATAACAGAATGATAGAGGAGATCCTCTACATTTACAGGCTGTTAAAGTGGTTTATCCAACTCTTGGCAGTAAACAGATGTAACCAAGTGTGAAAGGACAGGGTAATCAGGGGACACAGAACGGGCAAAGACTGAGTAGGACATATTCAGAGGTATGTTTTATTCAGCTAATTCATGGCTACTGAATCTTAGACCTGAAGGTAGGTACAACTCAACTCTTTTTGCCTTCCTCAAAAAAGAGGAAGAAAAAAGAGAAAGATCAGTGTTGAGGAAATATATCACTATGGTATGTAGAATGGTATCTGTTAATTATTTTGGTGTTGTGTCACTCCTGTCACTATCTTACTAGGTGACAGCAGCAGTGTTTTTATTCAAGATATATGTGTGTAATATTGTTTTCACTGGAAAATAAATAATGGATGCTATAGTCTTATGTCCCCAAGAAAATTTTATAAGTTTTTAATGCATTTATCATGCATCCCTACAGATAACTTTCCCCAGGAAAATTCAGCCATCAGTTTTGTCCATGTTGTTAATATATATGACATCCATAATGTTACAGTGTAGAGTCAGAAAGAGTTCATATTTAAGCTCTTCCATTTATTATTTAGGTGACCATCGTCAATTTACTTAATCTCTCTGAATTTCAACTCCTTCTGTCAAATGGATCCTAAGAATATTTTATGGGTCTATAATAAAGAGGAAATTAGGAAAAATACATGTACAGATTCTTTTATGTCCTGTTACAGTGTCACATGGCAATTAATAAAAGCTAATTCCATTGCTGATAATGACAACACTCCTATAGTAACTTAAGTTACATTAGTTCTGCACTGCTCATATCCAGTTTGGCAGGGCAGCTATTATTGTGTATGCATGTGTGTATTGTTTTCACATCTAGAATGTTTATCTCTTGAGGATGGGAAGTGTCAGAAACTGTTTTTGTATCTCTAGGGCCTTCTCATTGCTTTATTTACTAGCATAGTTACTTGTAATGACTATCACAGGAAAGTTATGTAGCACTTTGAACTAATTTTCAAGATAATTATTAAACAATAACTATGTTTCTTCTTAGGTATTTTGTCTGTAAGTAGTGAAAGCTATAGGTAGGAGTGTTTATTTCATTATGCCATTTGGTTTGATTAATAGCCTTTTTCTGCAAGAGTATTTCTTCAAAGATTTTTTTCAAATATGGGACTATTTAAATCACTAAATTTAAAGATTTTAAGGAAATATAATATTTTAAAACTAGCTAGCAAACATTTACTGAGTGCTAATAATTTGTCAGATTCTATTCTAAGTCCTTTGGACATATTAAATAATTTAATCCTTACAAACACTGTATGAGGTAGAATATCATTATGATTTCCATTTTACAGATAAAGAAACTAAAGCACAGGGAGGTTAAGTAACTTGCCCATGGTCACACAGCTAACATGTAGCAGGGCAGGGAGTCACACATAGTTAATCCAACTCTAGAATCTCCTATGAGTTTCAGCATTATATTGCCTCTTAGTGTATGTTGGTGCTAAATTTTTAAGTAAAATGAACTTTGGCTACAGCTATCATTATTACTGATTCTTAAATATTATGCATTTATTCTGATAACTGATCTCTTTCACACACCCTGATTAGGATTTTCCAACTGTGATTTGTCCTGCTTCTCTTAGTTGGGAGTCCATATAGTTTTTACCAACTTTTCATCAAAAGCCATTGCGGGTAGCTTTCTTCATGTATCATCTAATTAAAATATCACTCTGAGACTGTTCCTACATTTAAAAAACCTTTACTTTTATCTCTCCACATTTTCCGATCTCTTCTTACTATTCTGCTTACATGTAACTGAAGCCCGCAGGAGTCTATTAGCCTTGTGTAAGCATACCGTTGGCTTGTAATTAGATATGCAGTTGAAACAAAGCAGTTTTTAATTTTTTTTTCAAGAGTATCTCTTTTCCTTTGTCTGCCTATGTAGGAATCCATCTACTCTGTTCAGGGTTACTTGAAATTTCTATATCATGCATTAGCAAGTGAACCTCAGCTTTTATACTCTTGGATACATACTGCTTTAGAAATGTTTTTGTCATACTAATGTAAAAATCAACAGATATGTATTCCTGCCAGGCAAAAAAGGTTTTGAGGATAAATGTAAAGTATTTTCGCTACAGCCATTTAATTTTTTTGTTTTTGCTTTATTTTTATTTTATTTTTTGATAAATAATCATATATAATTATGGGGCACACAGTGATTGTGATGTTTCAGAAATATTATTAAAAGTAGCTAATATCTGATATTTCAAACTCCAGTTGTTCATTGTGGGAGATTTCATTCTATCTGCTTTCACATTGGTTTTCCTTACAAACTTGAGGCTCTGTTCTTGCCTGTATCTTTCTGAGAAGGAAGATTGAAAAAAAATGGAAGTATTTCCTGAGGAGGTGGCATAATTTCTTTTGAGAATATGATGTATAGAATGGACAGCTTTCTTCTCTCTACCTTAGACAGATTTTCATGAAGCAAATTGCTTATTTCCCGGGAATAGGTTAGAATTTCCGTTCCTTAGGTGTTCTGACTATAGTGCAACTTCAAACTGGAACATTTGAGTTTGAAATTAATTCTTAGGGAAGAATTTCTTCTTGAGGTTCACCAGAAAAAAGGACAGTTTTCCCTTTCCTTTAAAAACATAGAAACAATGCATTTTCTTATTACCTCAGTCTAATTTCTGTTTTGCTAATTTGGTTCTGCTTTGGATTTCATTGCTTTAAAGGTATATCTATTTATATACATGGGCTCAACATCAGTTGAAAAAAAGTTGATTTTGGCTCCCCTGACAGTTTCATCTTACTCCGTTTTTGTTCTTTTGAATTTCATAAATTTACACTTAGGATATTTTAATATATAAAATGAAAATTATAAGAATGATAATTTGTGTAGAAAATATACATCAGATATTCTTTATGAGTAGAAGACTACTTCTGCACATTTTTTTCTGTCATTTCTATGAATTGTTCATCGTCATCTGCATTAAAATACACTCACTTGCATTTTAATATACAGTGTAAGTGTTGTTTGTTTGTTTGTTTGTTTTTGAAACAGAGTCTCATTCTGCTGCCCAGACTGGAGTGCAGTGATGTGATCACAGCTCATTGCAGCCTCAATCTCCTGGGCTCAAGTGATCCTCCCACCTCAGCCTCCCATGTAGGTGGGACTAGAGTCATGCACCACTCTGCCTGGCTAATTTTGACAATTTTTTTGTAGAAACGGGGTCTTACTATGTTGCCAAAGGTATTGCTGTTTATTTTTGAATGCTGAAACTAATTTTCAGGGAGATCACAAAGAAATCTTTTCATATTTAAATTATAATCATTTTATGAAATTGCTTAACTGTATTAAATCTGAATTTGTCTCGTGTAAAGTCATTTGGTTATTTTTTTTAAAGCGAGCCTTCTGAATCATCCACTCAGAGCCAGACTGGCTGGGTTAATTAGAAGCAGCTGGTGTGCATATGGTTCTACCAGAAACCTGTAAGAGGTCCACAGAAGAGGTTTGCCCTAGGAGACTCATGAGCAGTGGCTAGTTGTGCCAAGAGTGTAGCAAGAATTGGTTGAGGACAATTCAGGGAAGTTATTAAATAGTTGGAGCATAAAGACTTCTGTTACTAAAAAAGATTGTAAGTCAGGTTTTCACACACTGGGTTTTGGCTTATCTACTGAGGATAAGTGACTATTGGGAGAGCCAAATCAATGTAAAAAGGAGAAGAAATCTATGAAGTTAAGAATCAACATTGCTATGTTTTCTTTGAAATATTTTCCTCTTTGTTCTTTAGACTCTTTAATATTATACAAATATATTCATTATGTTTTGTTGGTTGGTTGGTTGGTTTTGGTAATCCATTTGGTTTTCTTTATTCATAATCTACAACTCTTTTTATTGGAATCTCAGTTTGCTAACCCAAACAAAGGAACCACTAATCTTTTGGTGACAACAACTAAACCAAAGTCACTATCTCTGGAACTAAATAGTTCATTTAAGGCACAGCCTGACCACTCCCTAATGCTAATCCCAACTCCTAAGTAATTACTGAAGTATTGAAAAGTGTTCTGATTCTATCTTGGTGTATAAAAACTTTCTATTTTCTTCTGCTTATTTGTGATGCCACTCCTCCTTGTTATTCAATACATTGCTGAAACTTACTTCTGTAAAATTTTTGTGATTTGAT
The DNA here is from genome assembly GCF_000001405.40 of Homo sapiens. NCBI lineage: Eukaryota > Metazoa > Chordata > Mammalia > Primates > Hominidae > Homo > Homo sapiens. The sequence goes on from NC_000023.11 coordinate 104,834,288, forward strand.
TGAATGAGGACTCCCATGTTACTCAGTCCCTTTTCTATTCTATTCAGACTCCTTGTCCACGCCGCACCCTTTCTGGTCATTTATCTCTGGGACAGTTTTAATATTCTATTATCTAGCTTGTCCTTTGGCTCTTTGTCTACATTATTATTGGCTTGATAAAGTCAATTTGCATTCCCTGAACACCCACTACAAAACTTCAGAGAAAAATGGTCCCAAAACTGTGTGGGAAAGACAAGAGGAAATCAGTTATAAATATTTTACACACAAACAAATGATTCACTTGCAGTCACTGAGAGTTGCTATTCTCATTCATAGCCTCTGATATAAACATTCACAAAGACTTGTTGATGAATAAACATATAAAGAATGCAAAGAGTTGGTAGAATTTCTTATTGATTATTGATTTCCATTTTGCTCTTGGATCTACAACATGGAGGGTAATGCAACCTGTACTCTTCTTGAGCACCACGACTATGTCACTGTGCCTAGTCAGGCATTAAATTAAGTCTGTGTAGTCAAGGGTGGTTATTGCTGCAACTCCCTTCCCTCACCCAACAAGAAAAAGCAAGCTGCTTCTTTGGGTGTTTCCCCTCACTCCTTTTGAAACATTTATCCTCTGGTCCTTTTCTCATCTTTTAATTCCATGAAAACTTACCTGTCTTCAGTCTCATTCTGACAAGGCTCTAGTATTTGCTGTTGAAAATGGGAAATTAAGTCGAAAATCAATCCCTGTCAATGTTTGCCTTCTTTGAAAACAGAAAAAAAATGTTGTTAGATTGATCATTGATCACATTAGCTTTATCTTACTCCTACTCCTTCATTCTATAAATATACTTTTCCTAAACCCTAAGAATCACTTTTTAACAAATCTATTGTTTTCATTACTGAGGCATTGAATTAGAGTATGACTTTGGGCTTTGATTGAATACTGACTCTCAAAAACCTGTGTAATAACACTAAATTGGAGACACAGAGAGGGTCAGTGATTCTCTGTGTTACCTGTTTTATATAACAACTATGTTTGAGCATTGTGATTTTCTTTGTAAAACATATCTCCAGGCTAACTAAATGGATTTTAAAAACTGATACTATCAGGAAAAAAAAAAAACATTTAACTTTGGTGTTTAAGTCTCTACAACTTGGCTCCGCCCTATGTGGCCAAGTTTATGTCTTCACTATATGTCCTACATTGGTCTTATTCATTACTTCCTAATTGCTTGATGTATTTTTGTAATGACATTTCATTTAGATTTGAATTTTTTTGACTATGTGTTACATTTTTCCTAATACTCCCAGTTCCTCAAAACTTTGTACAGAGCTAAGCATACTAACAAAATTAAATAAAAAGTTCAATATCCCCCACTTAGATGTAATAGAAATTTATGCCACTAATACTGGCACCACTGATACAAAGGTATTATTAAAACTGTTTATTTTCTTCTCTCCCTCACCTGTCCCAGTTGAAGCCTTACCTAAAATGTTAACAGTGCATTAGAAAAAGTTCTTCTGTGGGTAAAATTTTAGCCACGTTTTCAAAACAAAATAACTTTCTTAAGTTCCACTGACTTTGATCTCGTCTTCTACAGCCAGACATAACATTGTAGTTGCAGTCATGCTTGGCCTGCTTGTGATGGTGATTAAATTGGATCTATGTTACTGTTTATCAAGATGTGACATTAAAGGGTCAGCTGAAAGGGGCTAATGGGATGATCCATTCTGTTTGATAGTGTTTATTATCCACATCAAGAAACAACCACATTCTACATGTGCACAATGGAGTGCTATTCAGCCATAAAAATAAAGTAATTCTGTCATTTGCAACAACATAGATGGAACTGGAGGTCATTACGTTAAGTGAAATAAGCCAGGCACAGAAAGACAAACACAGCATGTTCTCACTCATCTGTGGGAGCTAAAAATTGAAACAATTAAACTCATGGAGACAGAGAGTAGAATGATGGTTACCAGAGGCTGGGTAGGATAGTGGGGGGCTGTGGAGGAGATGGGGATGTTTAATGGGTAAAAAAAAACCCAGAAAGAGTGAATAATATCTAGTATTTGATAGCATAACAGGGTGACTATAGTCGATAATAATATAATTATACATTTTAAAGTAACAAAGAATATAATTGGATTGTTTGAAACACAAAGGATAAATGCTTGAGGTGATGGACACCCCATTTACCCTGATGTTATTATTACACATTGTATGCCTACATCAAAATATCTCATGTACCCCATAAATATACATACCTACTATGTACCCACAAAAATTAAAAATTAAAAAAGAAAACAACCACATTGACCTATGGGCTATGTTTAAACAGAAATAATGTATCCTATATATGCTGGCTATGAATATTATTGATTCTATTATTATTTATATACAAGTGAATTAAAATAACTTTTTCAAATATACACAATTCTTTATTTTTTATTTATTTATTTTTTTACTTTAAGTTCTGGGATACACGTGCAAAGTGTGCAGGTTTGCTACATAGGTATACGTGTTCCATGGTGATTTGCTGCACATATCAACCCATCATGTAGGTTTTAAGCCCCACATGCATTAGGTATTTGTCCTAATGCTCTCCATCCTCTTACCCCCTATCCCTAATAATGGCCCCAGTATGTGATGTTCCCCTCCCTGTGTCCATGTGTTCTAATTGTTCATCTGCCACTTATGAGTGAGAACATGCGGTGTTTGGTTTTCTGTTCCTGTGGGATTATGGCTTCCAGTTTCATTCATGTCCCTGCAAAGGACATTATCTCATTCTTTTTTATGGGTGCATAGTATTCCATGGTGTATATGTACCACATTTTCTTTATCCAGTCTATCATTGATGGGCATTTGGGTTGGTTTCATGTCTTTGCTATTGTAAATAATGCTGCAATAAACACATGTGTACATGTGACTTTATACTAGAATGATTTATATTCCTTTGGGTACATAGCCAGTAATGGGATTTCTGGGTTGAGTGGTATTTCTGGTTCTAGATCCTTGAGGAATCACCACACTGTCTTCCACAATGGTTGAACTAATTTACACTCCCACTAGCAGTGTAAAAGCATTCCTATTTTTCCACAGCCTCACCAGCATCTATTGTTTCCTGATTTTTAATGATCACCATTCTGACTGGGGTGAGATGGTATCTCACTGTGGTTTTGATTTGCATTTCTCTAATGATCACTGATGATGAGCTTTCTTCATATGTTTGTTGGCTGCATAAATGTCTTCTTTTGAGAAGTGTCTGTTCATATCCTTTGCCCACTTTTTGATGGGGTTGTTTGTTTTTTTCTTGTAAACTTGTTTAAGTTTCTTATAGATTCTGGATATTAGACCTTTGTCCAATGGGTAGATTGCAAAAATTTTCTCCCATTCTGTAGGTTGCTTGTTCACCCTGATGCTAGTTTCTTTTGCTGTGCAGAAGCTCTTTAGTTTAATTAGATCCCATTTGTCAATTTTGGCTTTTGTTGCCATTGCTTTTGGTGTTTTAGTTATGATGTCTTTGCCCATACCTATGTCCTGAATGGTATTGCCTAGGTTTTCTTCTAGGGTTTTTATGGTTTTGGGTTTTACATTCAAGTCCTTAACCCATCTTGAGTTAATTTTTGTATAAGGTGTAAGGAAGGGGTCCAGTTTTAGTTTTCTACATATGGCTAACCAGTTTTCCCAGGACCATTTATTAAATAGGCAGTCATTTAACCATTGCTTGTTTTTGTCAGGTTTGTTGAAGACCAGTTGGTTGTAAGTGTATCATGTTATTTCTGAGGTCTCTGTTCTGTTCCATTGGTCTAGATGTCTGTTTTGGTACCACTACTTGCTGTTTTGGTTACTGTAGCCTTGTAGTATAGCTTGAAGTCAGGTAGTGTGATGCCTCCAGCTTTGTTCTTTTTGCTTAGAATTTTCTTGGCTATACAAGCTCTTTTTTTGTTCCATATTAAATTTAAAGTAGTTTTTCTTATTCTGAGAAGAAAGTCAGTGGTAGTTTGATGGGAATAGCATTGAATCTATAAATTACTTTGGGCAGTATGGTCATTTTCACGATATTGATTTTTCCTATCCATGAGCATGGAATGTTTTTCCATTTGTTTGTGTCCTCCTTTATTTCCTTGAGCAGCAGTTTGTAGTTCTTGATGAGGTCCTTCATTTCCCTTGTAAGCTGTATGCCTATGTATTTCATTCTCTTTGTAACAATTGTGAATGGGAGTTCATTCATGATTTGGCTCTCCACTTGTTTATTGTTGGTGTGTAGGAATGCTTGTGATTTTTGCATATTGATTTTGTATCCTGAGACTTTGCTGAAGTTGCTTATCAGCTTATGGTGTTTTGGGGCTGAGACGATGGGGTTTTCTAAATATACAATCATGTCATCAGTAAACAGAGACAATTTGATTTCCCCTCTTCCTATTCGCATACCCTTTATTTCTTTCTGTTGCTTGATTGTCCTGGCCAGAACTTCCAATACTATGTTGAATAGGAGTAGTGAGAGAGGGCATCCTTGTCTTCTGCCTCTTTTCTCTTTTCTTTTCTTCTTTCTTTCTTTCTTTCTTTCTTTCTTTTTTTTTTTTTTTTTTTTGAGGCAGAGTCTCTCTCTGTGGCCCAGGCTGGAGTGCAGTGGCGTGATCTTGACTCACTGCAATCTCTGCCTCCTAGGTTCAAGTGATTCTCCTGCCTCTGCCTCCTGAGTGGCTGGAATTACAGGTGCCCACCACCACACCTGGCTCATTTTTTATTTTTATTAGAGATGGGCTTTCATCATCTTGGCCAGGCTAATCTCGAACTCCTGATCTCAGGTGATCCACCTGCCTCAGCCTCCCAAAGTGCTGGGATTACAAGCATGAGCCACTGTGCCCGGCCCTCTTGTGCCTGAAAGGGAATGCTACTAGATTTTGTTCATTCAGTATGATATTGGCTATGGATTTATCATAAATAGCTCTTATTATTTTGAGATATGTTCCATCAATACCTAGTTTATTGAGAGTTTTTAGTATGAAGGGATTTGAATTTGAATGGATTTTTATTGAAGGCCTTTTCTGCATCTATTGAGATAATCACGTGTTTTTGTCATTGGTTCTGTTTATATGATGGATTACGTTTATTGATTTGCGTATATTGAACCAGCCTTGCATCCCAGGGATGAAGTTGACTTGATTGTGGTGGATAAGCTTTTTGATATGCTGCTGGACTCAGTTTGCCAGTATTTTTTATTGAGGATATTTGCGTCAATGTTCATCATGGACATTTGCCTGAAATTTTCTTTTTTTGTTGTGTCTCTGCCAGGTTTTGGTATCAGGATGATGCTGGCCTCATAAAATGAGTTAGGGAGGAGTCCCTCTTTTTCAATTGTTTGGAGTAGTTTTAGAAGAAATGGCACTAGTTCGTCTTTGTACGTCTGGTAGAATTCAACTGTGAACCTATCTGGTCCTGGGCTTTTTTTGTTTCGTAGGCTACTAATTACTACCTCAATTTCCGAACTTGTTATTGGTCTATTCAGGGATTTGACTTCTTCCTGGTTTAGTTTTGGGAGGGTGTATGTGTCTGGGAATTTATCCATTTCTTCTGGATTTTCTATAGTATTCTCTGATGGTACTTTGTATTTCTGTGAGATCAGTGGTGATATGTCCTTTATCATTTTTTATTGTGTCTCTTTATTCTTCTCTCTTTTCTTCTTTATTAGTCTAGCTAGCAGTGTATCTATTTTGTTAATTTTTTCTAACAAGCAGCTCCTGGATTCGTTGATTTTTTGGAATACTTTTTGTGTCTCTGTCCCCTTCACTTCTGCTCTAATGTTAGTTATTTTTTGTTTTCTGCTAGCTTTTGAATTTGTTTGCTCTTGCTTCTCTAGTTCTTTTAATTGTGATGTTATGGTGTTGATTTGTGATCTTTTCAAGTTTCTGATGTGGGTATTTAGTGCTATAAATTTCCCTCTTAAAACTGCTTTAGCTGTGTCCCAGAGATTCTGCTATATTGTCTCTTTGTTCTCATTGGTTTCAAATTACTTCTTGATTTCTGCCTTAATTTTGTTATTTACCTCAGAGTCATTCAGGAGCAGGTTGTTCAATTTCCATGTAGTCGTGTGGTTTTGGGTGAGTTTCTTAATCCTGTGTTCTAATTTGATTGCACTGTGGTCTGAGAGACTGTTTGTTATGATTTCAGTTCTTTTGCATTTGCTGAGGAGTGTTTTACTTCCAATAATGTGGTCAGTTTTACAATAAGTGCCATGCAACACTGAGAAGAATGTGTATTCTGTCAATTTGGGGTGGACAGTTGTGTAGATGTCTACTAGGCCCACTTGATCCACACCTGAGTTCAAGTACTGAATATCCTTGTTGATTATCTGTCTCATTGATCTAATATTGACAGTGGGATGTTAAAGTCTCTCACTTTTTTTTTTTTTTTTGAGACAGAGTTTCACTCTTGTTGCCCAGGCTGGAGTGCAATGGTGTGATCTTGGCTCACTGCAACCTCCACCTCCTGGGTTCAAGCGATTTTCCTGCCTCAGCCTCCCGAGTAGCTGGGATTACCGGCACATGCTACCACACCCAGTTATTATTTATTTATTTTTTTTTTGTATTTTTAGTAGAGATAGTGTTTTTCCATGTTGGTCAGGCTGGTCTTGAACTCCTGACATCTGGTGATCTGCCCACCTCAGCCTCCCAAAGTGCTGGGATTACAGGCATGAGCCACCACGCCCAGCCTAAAGTCTCCCACTGTTATTGTGTGAGAGTCTAAGTCTCTTTGTAGGTCTCTAAGAACTTGTTTTATGAATCTGGGTGCTCCAGTATTGAGTGCATATATATTTAGGATAGTTAGCTCTTTTTGTTGCATTGATGCCTTTACAATTATGGAATGCCCTTCTTTGTCTTTTTTGATCTTTGTTGGTTTAAAGTCTGTTTTATCAGAGACGGAGATTGCAACCCCTGCTTCTTTTTGCTTTCCATTTGCTTGGTAAATATTCCCCCACCCCTTTATTTTGAGCCTATGTGTGTCTTTGCACGTGAGATGTGTCTCCTGAATACAGAACACTGATGGGTCTTGACTCTTTATATAATTTGCCAGTCTGTGTCTTTTAATTGGGGCTTTTAGCCCATTTACATTTAAGGTTAATATTGTTATGTATGAATTTGATCCTGTCATCATGATGCTAGCTGGTTATTTTGCACATTAGCTGATGCAGTTTCTTCGTAGTGTCATTGGTCTTTATATTTTGGTGTGTTTTTGCAGTGGCTGTTATTGGTTTTTTCCTGTCCATATTTAGTGCTTCCTTCAGGAGCTCTTGAAAGGCAGGCCTGGTGGTGACAAAATCCCTCAGCATTTGCTTGTCTGTAAAGGATTTTATTTCTCCTTCCCTTATGAAGCTTAGTTTGGCTGGATGTGAAATTCTGGGTTGAAAATTCTGTTATTTAAGTATGTTGAATATTGTCCCCCACTCTCTTCTGGCTTGTAGGTTTTCTGCTGAGAGACCCACTGTTAGTCTGATGGACTTGCCTTTGTGGGTGACCTGACCTTTCTCTCTGGCTGCCCTTAACATTTTTTCCTTCATTTCAAACTTGGAGAATCTAATGATTATGTGTCTTGGGCTTGATCTTCTCATGAGTATCTTGGTGGTGTTCTCTGTGTTTCCTGAATTTGAATGTTGGCCTGTCTTGCTAGGTTGGGGAAGGTCTCCTGGATAATATCCTGAAGCATGTTTTCCAACTTGCTTCAATTCCCCCCCTTAATTTCAGGTACATCTGTCAATCGCAGGTTTGGTTTTTTCACATAGTCCCATATTTGTTGGAGGCTTTGTTCATTCCTTTTCATTTTTTTTCTTTAATCTTGTCTACATGCCTTATTTCAGCAAGGTGGTCTTCAATCTCTGATATCTTTTCTTCTGCTTGATCGATTCAGCTATTGATACCTGTGTATGCTTCACGAAGTTCTCGTGCTGTGTTTTACAGCTTCATCAGGTCATTTATGTTCCTCTCTAAACTGGTTATTCTAGTTAGTAGTTCCTATCACTTTTTATGAAGGTTCTTAGCTTCCTTGCATTGGGTTAGAACATGCTCCTTTAGCTCAGAGGAGTTTATTATTACCCACCATCTGAAGCCTACTTCTGTCAATTCGTCAATCTCATTCTCCTTCCAGTTTTGAGCTCTTGCTTGAGAGGTGTTGCAATCATTTGGAGGAGAAGCAGCATTCTCGCTTTTGGAATTTTCAGCATTTTTGCACTGTTTTTCCCTCATCTTCGTGGATTTATCTACATTTGATCTTGAGGCTGATGACCTTTGGATGCGGTATTTGTGGGAGGGTCTTTTCTTTTGATGTCGTTGTTGTTGTCATTGCTTTCTGTTTGTTTTTCTTCTAACAGTCAGGCCCCTCTTCTGTAGGTCTATTGCAGTGCTGGAGGTCCATTCCAGACCCTTTTCACCTGGATATCACCAGTGGAGGCTGTAGAACAGCAAAGATTGCTGCCTGCTCCTTCCCCTGGAAGCTCCCTCCCAGAGGGGCACTGGCCTGATGCCAGCTGGAGCTCTCCTGTATGAGGTGTCTGTCCACCCCTGTTGGGAGGTCTCTCCCAGTCAGGAGGCACGGGGGTCAGGTACACACTCGAGGAGGCAGTCTGTCCCTTAGCGGAGCTGGTGCACTGTGCTGGTAGAATCTCCTTGTCAGGATCAGCTGCTGTCTTCAGTGCTGGCAGGCAGAAACAATTAAATCCACTGAAGCTGCCACAGCAGTCGGCCTTCCCCCTAGGTGCTCTGTCCCAGGGAGATGAGAGTTTTATCTATAAGCACCTGACTGGGGCTGCTGCATTTCCTATAGAGATGCCCTGCCCAGTGAGGAGGAATCTAGAGAAGCAGTCTGGCCACAGCTGCTTTGCTGTGCTATGGTGAATTCTGCCCAGTCCAAACCTCCCAGTCTCCTTAGCACTGTCCGGGGAAAACCACTTACTAAAGTCTCAGTAATGGTGGATGCCCTTCACCCTACCAAACTCAATCATCCCAGGTCGACTCCAGACTTCTGCACTGGCTGTGAGAATTTCAAGCCAGTGGTTCTTAGCTTGCTGGGCTCTGTGGGAGCGGGACCCACTGAGCAACACTGCTTGGCTCCCTGGCTTCAGCCCCCTTTCCAGGGGAGTGGATGGTTCTCCTGTCTCGCTGGAGTTCCAGGTGCCACTGGAGTATGAAAAAACTCCTGTGGCTACCTCGGTGCCTGCTCAAACAGCCACCCAGTTTTGTGCTTGAAACCCAGGGCCCTGGTTGTATATGCTCACAAGGGACTCTGCTGATCTGCAGATTGCAAAAATCCATGGGAAAAGCGTAGTACTCAGGGCTGGCAGCACAGTCCCTCACTGTTTCCCTTGCCTGGGGGAGGGAGGTACCCCAGCTCCTTGCGCTTCCTGGGTGAAGTGACACCCCATCCTGCTTCTGCTTGCTCTCCATGAGTTGCACCCACTGCCTAACCAGTCCCATTGAGATGAACTGGGTACCTCAGTTGGAAATGTAGAAATTACCTACCTTCTGTGTTGGTTTTGCTGGGAGCTGCAGACCAGAGCTGTTTCTATTCGGCCATCTTGGCTCCTTCCAAACATACACAATTCATAAACATACTTATGAGTTAGAGCTCCTTCTGATCTTGGTCTATCTGAGAGAATGTGTGAGATTTAATTTCTCTGTTTAGATTTCTTAAGCTATAATCTGGCTTTGACCATGTGGAACTGAGCAACATTTCTGTATAGCTTTTATTCCCACTATAAATGTTCTTGAGGCTTTTAACTTCTGATGATCTAGTCTTTACAAAGTTTCTGTAGTGCCCAAGTGTTGCTGTTTTTTTTTTAATGATTAAGATGAAGTGATTGGCAAACTTTTATAATCCTTCCTATTTCTTCTTAATTCCTTTCTTTTCTGGAAGTTAAACCAATGTGCTACACTTTTCTGTCCTTCTTTAAACATTAAAAATAGAATAATTGCACCAAGTGGTACAGATCAATGTTCGTAGTACCAAGCAGCAACCTAGGATAATCAATTAGGTCAACCTTTTCCAAGTAAGTACCATGGGTCATTAGTTCTGAGGGAGGTTGGGTAATAGGTGCTGCATGGAAAAAGAGGAAGTAGCTATGATTAAATGATATTTGAAAACTGATATTTTACTGCATTTTTCTCAGAGCCTTTAATATACTGATGTTTCATGTGAATTTCCAGGAAAGAAATATAGTAGGCAGTATTTACAGGGTTATCCAATTTTTTTGCTTCCCTGGACCACATTGGAAGAAGAAGGATTATCTTGGGCCACACATATAAGACACTAATAGGAACAATAGATCATGAGCTAAAACAAACAAACAAAAACAGAAAACAAAAACACAAAAACATCTCATAATGTTTTAAGAGAGTTTATGAATTTGTGATGAGCTTCATTCATAACCATCTTGGGCTGCATGTGGTCCACGGGTCGCAAGTTGGACAACCTTGATTTAAAACTTTTTCCAAATGAAATGTCTCAGAGAGCTAGTGACAAGTATTCCACATAGCATATTTTGTGAAATGCTACATTAGATGAATCCTGCACCAAGTGTGTGGAGACATGTGTCCTGATTCCTCTTCTGCCACAGAGTAGTTCTGCGACTTTGGAGAAGTTGCCTTTATGGCTTTTGCATTTCCTATTTGTAAAAAAATAGGAAGTTGAATTAGAACAGAGCTAGGGGTAGGGGATCACTTCTCAGAAAAAACTCTGAGACTTTTTCAGCCCTTCCAACAAAGTTTTGACATAATCTTCTAATCTCTTCAAACTTTAAAGCTACTGTTGCTTTGGGAGCACAGAGTGTCCCTTATCTGTGTTGAGATGGAGAGTAGAAGTTGAGAACCACTGGGCTGAAATCCTCTTTGAGCTCACTTCCATCTCATACTTATCATGTGTATTACAGATAGCCAGTCAAACCCAAAGTTTGTTTTGGCTACCTGAAAAAATGTTAATGTTTTTGTTGATGTGATATTTCCTCATAACAGTTTGTCAAAAATATTCTGCTACTTAGAAGCAGTTATAACCATTCCCTTTCATCTGTTTCAGGAATACTTATGTCATCAGTGGTATCAAACTAAATAACAGAGAGAGAGGATCTCTAAGAAAAAATGTTTATTTGGGAATAGAAATTGCAGTGGGAATACAAGTGCCATAGTAAACTATTCAGGAAGGTAAAAGAAGATAAAGATTTTTAAAGAAAAAATGAGGATTACATAAATATTTTGAGATAATTATCTTGGCTACAAGGATCAATAACAAGGGTGGCACAATGTGTGAAGTTGGACAGGCAGCTTCTGGGCAGATTGTCTCATGGAAAATTGAAATGGTCTTTGTGTAAGGTTGTGGCTTTCGCAGTCTTTTGTGATAATTATTGTTATTGGGGATTTATGCCTGAGAACCCTCCCTTCATGGCCTTCCTTGACTCTATTTGTCATGGTTTTTAGCACAAATGACTCCATTTTGATTATGACAATTTTCACATTTTTCCCTTTTGATGAAGATATTTTTCTGAAAGACTTACTCATTGATTATCCTATAGTTAGGTTTTCATTGTCCCTCCATGCCAAGATGGATCTGTCCTGATTTCCTCTAGTCTGGTCTGGTCTCCAGTGTGAAGGAAGTGATTGATGACTAAGAGTCAGTGTCAAAACTCTTTTAGCCATATTTGAGCAACAAGAGAGACTGGGGTGAGTTGCTCTTGAGCTAAATCTACCTAGAGTCCATTATTAAGTTCAAATTTGTCTGTTTAGTAGATATTTGTTATTATCTCAAAGTATTGGGCCGATATCATTTTGTTAGGAGTTATACTTTTGTAGAAATGTAACAACTAGCTAGCTGGTACAAAGTTTAAAAAGGAAACTATGAAGTAAAATTAATAGTAATATAATAATCATAGTTTGTAGGATAGTTTTTTTTTAATTATCCTTTAAGTTCTAGGGTACATGTGCACAACACACAGGTTTGTTACATATGTATACATGTGCCATGTTGGTGTGCCGCACCCATTAACTCATCATTTACATTAGGCATATCTCCTAATGCTATCCCTCCCCCCTCTCCCCACCCCACGACAGGCCCCGGTGTGTGATGTTCCCCTTCCTGTGTCCAGGTGTTTTCATTGTTCAATTCCCACCTATGAGTGAGAACATGGGGTGTTTGGTTTTTTGTCCTTGTGCTAGTTTGCTGAGAATGCTGGTTTCCAGCTTCATCCATGTCCCTACAAAGGACATGAACTCATCCTTTTTTATGGCTGCATAGTAATCCATGGTGTATATGTGCCACATTTTCTTAATCCAGTCTATCATTGATGGACATTCGGGTTGGTTCCAAGTCTTTGCTATTGTGAATGGTGCCTCAGTAAACATACGTGTGCATGTGTCTTTATAGAAGCATGATTTATAATCCTTTGGGTATATACCCAGTAATGGGATGGCTGGGTCAAATGGTATTTGTAGTTCTGGATCCTTGAGGATTCACCACACTGTCTTCCACAATGGTTGAACTAGTTTACAGTCCCACCAACAGTGTAAAAGTGTTCCTATTTCTCCACAACCTCTCCAGCACCTGTTGTTTCCTGACTTTTTAATAGTCGCCATTCTAACTGGTGTGAGATGGTATCTCATTGTGTTTTTGATTTGCATTTCTCTGATGGCCAGTGATGATGAGCGTTTTTTCACATGTCTGTTGGCTGCATAAATGTCTTCTTTTGAGAAGTGTCTGTTCATATCCTTTGCCCACTTTTTGATGGGGTTGTTTTTTTCTTGTAAATTTGTTTGAGTTCTTTGTAGATTCTGGATATTAGCCTTTTGTCAGATGAGTATATTGCAAAAATTTTCTCCCATTCTGTAGGTTGCCTGTTCACTCTGATGATAGTTCCTTTTGCTTTGCAGAAGCTCTTTAGTTTAATTAGATCCCATTTGTTAATTTTGGCTTTTGTTGCCATTGCTTTTGGTGTTTTAATCATGAAGTCCTTGCCCATGCCTATGTCCTGAATGGTAATGCCTAGGTTTTCTCTAGGGTTTTTATGGTTTTAGGTCTAACATTTAAGTCTTTAATCCATCTTGAATTAATTTTTGTATAAGGTGTAAGGAAGGGATCCAGTTTCAGCTTTCTACATATGGCTAGCCAGTTTTCCCAGCACCATTTGTTAAATAGGGAATCCTTTCCCCATTTCTTGTTTTTGTCAGGTTTGTCAAAGATCAGATGGTTGTAGATGTGTGGTATTATTTCTGAGGGGTCTGTTCTGTTCCACTCGTCTATATCTCTGTTTTGGTACCAGTACCATGCTGTTTTGGTTACTGTAGCCTTGTAGTATAGCTTGAAGTCAGGTAGCTTGACGCCTCCAGCTTTATTCTTTTGGCTTAGGATTGTCTTGGAAATGCGGGTTCTTTTTTGGTTTCATATGAACTTTAAAGTAGTTTTTTCCAATTCTGTGAAGAAAGTCATTGGTAGCTTGATGGGGATGGCATTGAATCTATAAATTAGCTTGGGCAGTATTGCCATTTTCACGATGTTGATTCTTCCTATCCATGAGCATGGAATGTTCTTCCATTTGTTTGTATCCTCTTTTATTTCATTGAGCATTGGTTTGTAGTTCTCCTTGAAGAGGTCCTTCACATCCCTTGTAAGTTGGATTCCTAGGTATTTTATTCTCTTTGAAGCAATTGTGAATGGGAGTTCACTCATGATTTGGCTCTCTGTTTGTCTGTTATTGGTGTATAAGAATGCTTGTGATTTTTGCACATTGATTTTGTATCCTGAGACTTTGCTGAAGTTGCTTATCAGCTTAAGGAGATTTTGGGCTGAGGCGATGGGGTTTTCTAAATATACAATCATGTCATCTGCAAACAGGGACCATTTGACTTCCTCTTTTCCTAATTGAATACCCTTTATTTCTTTCTCCTGCCTGATTGCCCTGGCCAGAACTTCCAACGCTATGTTGAATAGTAGTTTTAAAAATAAATTAATCCTTTATAAAACTGTTAAGACCGTCACAGACATTTACAATATGTTTAAACTTTTAGTTTTGTCCTATATTTAAAAAATAGTCATCTTATTTTAGGACAAAAATTTAGCATATAAGTTTTTTATACAAATTTTTAAAAAGATTTTTATCTGTATATATATATATATATATATATATATATATATATATATATAACTTAAACAATCTCTCTTTGGTTTCTTTAAATCTTGTTTTTATTGTTCTAAACCTATATTTAAAAACAAACTTTAAATAACCTGAATTTAGACAAAATTACTTTCTAAATAAATAACCCATTTTCAATGCACTTTCAATAATTGGTTTTGTTAGAAATACATCTTTTGTGGTTCACTTTGTATATAAAATTATACATATTAATTAGAATTTTTAACTTTTAGTAACCTTAATTTTTAGTGATAATCTAGGAAGAACTTTTGAGCTGTCTATCATATATCAGTATTTTATAGATGAGAACTATTTTATAATTTTTAAAAACATGTTTTCTCCTAACATAATTTTATGTATATTAATAGATGTAAATTATTTAGTTTTTTAAATAAAATTTAAGTATTCAAGAACAAACTTATGGTTAGTAATTTATGTTTTAGTATTTTATCTTATTTGAAAATGAACCAGATAATTAATGAGTGTTTAATATTTAAGATAACTTTAGATTTTTCAATTATATGAAAAGTTTATTTATAAATGTTAATCCCATTTATATTTAACTGTTTTATTATTTATTTATTTGAGACAGGGTCTCAGTCTGTTACCCAGGCTGGAGTGCAGTGGCACAATCACAGGGAATTTAACTGAGTAATTGTTTTGAGGTCAGCCTCCATCTCCTGGGCTCAGGTGATGCTCCCACCTCAGACTCCTGAGTAGCTAGAAGTACAGGTTCCCGCCACCACACCCAGTCAATTTTTGTATTTTTTGTAGAGATGGGATTTCTCTACATGTTGCCCAGGCTGGCCACGTTGCCCAGGCTGGTCTCAAACTCCCAGGCTCAAGTGATCTGCCTGCCTCAGCCTCCCAAAGTGCTGGTATTACAGGTGTGAGCCACCATGCTTGAACTATATAATATATATATATGGATTACTTACGGAAACTAAGATATTAGACAAAGCTGGTTGTCATTTTGAGTTATTTTCTTGTTAACCACTTTTTTTCCTTATGAACTTCATTTGTAAATTGTTAATCATTTTTATAGCCTGTGAATATCTGGGTGTTTACCTAAGTAATAGCCTTAAATATATGAGCGTTTTGTCAATAACACAGAAAAGATAGCTGTTTTTACTAAAGTAGCAATATTAAATTAGTCTTATCAATGAGTTTTACAAACAAAGATTATTATGTTTTTAGGTTGGATTTATAGTTTTATTACCTCAAATCATCTAGTAGAGATAAGTATAATCTTGTCTAAAAAGTAAACCCAAAAATAATATGTTGACAATTTTGAATATATTTTAATTTTTATTTTATTAACAAATGTAAAACTGATTATTTATCAAAGATTTACTTAAGTCATGTGAACTAAAAAGCATTTGGGTTAATTACTATATTTTAACAATTTTTATGAGTGCTCATTTACCTAAGCCAATCTAAACAGAATTTTTAAAAGGGAATTCTGGTTAACTCTGCCAGGTTTTTCCAACTAGATACAATACATGTACCTACATGTAAATATACCTAGACATGTGTGTATATATACACAAAAGATCCTATAGGTTTTATTTTAAAATTTTAATTATGAAACAGTAAAACATGATAATACAAACTTACCAGTTTATAAAATGATAGTTGCTTTTAAATTATGTTTTTGACAAAATGGGACTAGTTTACATGGGTAAATTTTATTTGTCCCAGTAGGTAATCTAATGAAGGCTATAGACCTAAATTTTGGATAAAGAATTTTTAATGTGGTAGTTGGATTTTTTTTTTAAAAAAACCTCTTTTTATTTTTATTTGTTTTAAGTGAGTTTAAGTATTTAAATGTTGACATTTTAACTAGGACTGGCTGAATTGTATAAGGAAAACAAAATTTCCAGATGACCTTGAATTTTAGTAACAAATTTATTTTTTGTTAGTCTGGTTTGACTAGTTAACGTGGGAAGGGAACATTTTAGAAAATGTTATTATTTCTTTTCAGCTCTTTTTCATCCCTTTTGGGCACAGAAAGCAATTTTTATGTCAGACAGAGATATATTATGGTTTTGAACTGAAGATTTTGATCTATTTGATCTGAGTCTTTCATAAACATTTATCTAGGTTTTAAGACTATTAATCCTTTAATTAACTATTTCATTGCCCTTTGTAATTATTAGTTAGGCAAACCTAAGTTCACATTTTAAAAGTTGTCTAGGTTGGTTGTTGCCATGGAGCTGTTGTAATTTGTAGTATCATTAATTTGAAAGTCCTTTGAGACTCTTTTTAAAAAATCTTGGCTGAAATCTCATAAGAAATGAGTATATTTTAATACTAGCAGAAAAGTCAGCAGATTTAAAGTGGGTAGAAAAAATAGAGAGACAAAGAACTTAGAAGGCTCTCCATGTTAACTCTATAGTTGGTTGTAGTTTTTTTTAATAAGCTTAGAGAGTTTGAATAATTGCCATTTAAGTTCTGAGTTTTTTATATGGTTTGCCTACCAGTTGAAAAATGTGTATGAGAATAGACTATAAATTTTGAATGTATAGTTGTCTAGAATTCCAGAGGGCTTGGCATGCTTTAGAATTTTGAGAATCCTGTTCTTTTTTTTCTTGAGACCAGAGAAAATCTTATCAGTACTGTCAGGGAATGTCAGGAGTTTGGACTGGTATTTTCGATGGCGTCGACTACCCTACTAGCTTTTAATTGGCTGTCTTGCACTCACCATTTAGAATGGTTATTTTTGCTCTTGGAAGATGTTTAGAAACAAATAAGGTAAAAAAGAGCCAAATCATTTACAGACACATGTAACCAAACCAAAATGACACCAAAATCAGAATATTCACAAAAATTTTTAGCCAGGTTTATACATCAAACAAAATATTAAAACAGGCACAAAGAAACAAAAGTGAATTTACCAGAAAATAAATGTCTCACAGACAGAATATAAACTAGAGTTCTCAAACCAGAAGGATCCTTGTCTTTATATCAGAAAGTGCTTGTCAAAAAAGACTTATGGTCCCAGAAGGGATGTAAGATTCTTTATTTAAAGTGGTCTTTTAACTAAATCAGATCTGGAATAAAGTAAAAAAGGACTCACCAAAGGGAGGGAGTCTGAGAATCTGAGAGAAGATTCGCCAGGGCAGAAAAGGAACTCACGAAAATAGAGAGTACAAAGGACTCAGTCATTGCTGCATTCAATTCCAGAGGTCAAGATTTGTCTGAGGTGAGTTCATTTTGAACTCATTTCTAACACTGTCTTGGTCTGTTGTGTTGCTGTAACAGAATACCTGAGACTGGGTAATTTACAAGAAAACAGACTTATTTAGTTCACAGTTCTGCAGGCTGGCTTCTGTTGAGAGCTTTCATGTTGTATCACAACATGACAGAGAAGGTCAAACAGGATTCTGATGCATGCAAAGAAGGAACCAAACAGGAGGAGGAACCTCACTTTATGACAACCTGCTCTCATGGGAATTAATCCAGTCTTTTGAGAATGAAAATTCTCTTAATACTCCAAGAATGGCACCAAGGTATTTATGAGGAATTTGCCCCCATGACCCAAACACCTCCCACTAGGCCCCACTTTCCAACACTGCCACATTGGGGATCAAATTTCAACCTGAGTTTTGGTGGAGAAAAATGGAACACATCCAAACCATAGCAACACCATTAAATAACAGAAAGGGAGACTCTCTAAAAAGAAAACCAAATAATGAACTGGGAGACTCTTCAAAATAAAATGATTTCATATTTAGGAATAGGCATTGTAATGGGAATAAGTGGGCCATAGTAAACAATATGCATATTCAGGAAGGTGTAAAGGAAGGCAAAGGTTTTAAAAGACAGAATGAGGAGGATTACATAATTGTCTTTAAGATAATTATCTTTGGCTACAAGGATCAATAACAAAGGTGGCACCAGTCTGAAGTTGGACAGGCAGTTTCTGGGCAGATGTCCTCACAGAAGTATTTTTTGTGTATGTAAGGTCTTTGTCCGAGGTTTTGGTTTTTGCAGTCTTTTGTAATAGTTCTCATTATCAGATGTTTTTGCATGAGAATCCTCCCTTTATAGCCTCCTCCAGTTCTATTTGTCATGGTTTTTAACACAAGCAACTCCATTTTGATTCTAACAACTTTCACAATAGTGTTTCCTACAAGCTATGCCTGAGATTAGGATGCTTGTGTAAATGGTTTATTAAGGGAGTGACCTGAAGAAAAACTTGTAATGAAGCAAAGGAAGCAGGAGAAGGCAAGATAAGAAGCTAAGTAAGGACATGGCATCAGGAGAAGCATAGCCTGATCCCGTGGGGGCCATTAAAACACGAATTACATCACTGATTGTCTTGCTCAGTGGTAAGGAGGATGGACTTTTGTGCTACTGCATCTGCCATTTATTGATGAATTGCTTCTGGGATGAGGGACATAACCTTCCTGACTTATGAAGGTGAGGCAGCTCCTATCAGCTTCTGAGAAGGATGCAGCTGTGAATCATTAGAAGCCAACCCTCAGAAAACCTGGATGATGGGTGCATTGGCCCAGAAAAAGGGGTATGAGCAGGGTACAAACATCATCTGCTACAACCAACTTACTTGTGGGAAATCAAAATCCCCTTTGGTTTAAAGTCTGCCTGTAAGCATTTAACAGATACATTCCTAAAGACAGTAGTTAAATGTAATTTAAGTCAAATATTAAAGTGCCTACTGTTAGCCAAGCTGCACAATGCTAGGTACTGTGGAGAATATTAAGGGAATTGATCATTATATTCACTCTTGAAAAGCTTAACGTTTGGTTGGTGTGAAGAATAATATGTACATAATATTGTGAAATATCAACGATAAGGATGTAATCATATGTTATAGAAATGGTACCCAATGGAATCAGTGGCAGCATGCTTAGGTGATCAGAGATGGACAACTTTGGGCTAGGATACAAGGATACAAAGCCCTAGGCAATCTTTAATATTAGTAAGGATGGTGAGTCTTTATGGTGGGCAAGTGTAAAGAAAAGCATCATGGAGGAAAGTGGGACTTGAGTTTAGCCGATAAGGAATGATGAAGGGGAATGTGGGAGGTTTATGGTGGAGCAGGAGGTTACAGGATGAAAAACCTGAGTAAACTTTGGAGCATTACACAATGCATGTGTTGTGAGGGAGCAATGAAGAGCATGACTTAGTTTGTCCAGAGGATTTGTGTTGCAGGGTAGTGGAAAGAGTATAGCCAGTACTGTAATCCCAGCACTTTGGGAGGCCGAGGCGGGCGGATCACGAGGTCAGGAGATCGAGACCATCCTGGCTAACACGGTGAAACCCCGTCTCTACTAAAAATACAAAACATTAGCCAGGCGTGGTAGCGGGCGCCTGTAGTCCCAGCTACTCGGGAGGCTGAGGCAGGAGAATGGCGTGAACCCGGGAGGCGGAGCTTGCAGTGAGCCGAGATCGCGCCACTGCACTCCAGCCTGGGCGACAGAGCGAGACTCCGTCTCAAAAAAAAAAAAAAAAAAAAAGAGTATAGCAGTATAGGATGGTACTGGAGTGTGTGAAAAAAGTATAGAACCAGGCAGAAGAATATGAATTCATGTCTTAGATAGTGACAAGCTCCTGAATGTTTTTGAGCATGAGAATGATCTGATGAAATGATGCTTTAGGAAGGGTTGTCTGGGCAAAACAAAGAAGTTGTTGGAGCTGTCTTTATGCACAACTTTTAAAATGGATTAATTGACTTTAAGATGTCAGAAACTTGTTTATTTAAATCTTTCATGTTAGTGACTTGTATTTGGAATGCAGTTACTTAACTCAGGTCTTATGCTTGACTACATTCAGCTTTTCAGAAACAGCTGTATTAGGTCATCCAGAAACCCTGATTTTTTTTTTAAAGGTATCATTAAGTGGTGAGAAAGAAAAGACTCATTCAAAACTTTCAATTTACCTTTCAAACCAAAGCCCAGGGATAATTATTCATAATCATTTCTAAGTCTGAAATGTGACATTGTTCCATGAGTCATCATCTAGGTTTTAACCACACATGCACAAAAAAGCACAACATAATACCACACAGGCTATTTGAGAAAGCATTCAGAGAAATGTTCTGCCTTTTTATGTTGACTTCCTGTGTATAAATCTGGAATCATAAAAGTCCAAGGACACTCTTCAGTAGGAGTACATTCAGTAAACAGCATGTGTGGAGCAACAACTGTATGCAGAACTGGAGTAGAAGCTGGTTACAAGAGAAAGAATTTTTTTTTTTTTTTGCCTTTGGAGATGCTATAGTAGAAATAGAATACAATGTTTGAAAAATAGAATGTTTGAAAAATGTATGAGAACATGTGTAAAGCAATATCTAAAAGGGGACACATGAGATATAAACTGAGAATTAATGCCAAAGGGCTAGGAGAAGTCACAAAAGAGGACTCAGACATGAGGGAGTCACAAAACTAATTTTCTGACCTGGGCCAATTTTTCCTTAAATTGGCGTGGTTTACCAGAAGAAGAGAACATTGTGTTTCCCTTCCTGGCAAGTACTTTTGGTTGCCGAAGACTATATTATCAGATGGTGAAAATGTTCATTCTATTGATGTGGTTCCTCAGTGGAAAGTCATCACATCTTTCTAGAAGAGCCAAAATCTTTTGTGAATGAGCTGTGTTTTATGGCAAGCTTTTATAAATGATTCTAGAATTACAGAGTTTCTCATGCCAGAATATCTATTTGCTCTGGGCTAGCTAGCTAAAGGACTGACCTCTGCCCTGGACTATATAGTAAATACCTATCTTCTTAACTCACAAATGAAGGTTCTTAGACTAAAGTTTGGACATGGGTCCAGAGAATATGACAGGAATCAGGATTCCAGGGCGATAGATGAGGCAGCAAAGTTTGGAGCTACTGAGTCAGACTCAGCTGGAGTTGGCTACTACTAATTCAAATGAGCTAGGGATCAAGAACATGGAATCTAAAAGGAAGGAATGGGGTAAGGGAATGGCAATCTGGACCAGAATGGGCCAGAAGCCAAGGCCAATATACAGTGGGAAAATGGTTATTCAAACTGGGGGAAGCTAGGTCAGTATAGCAAAGGTGAAGCCAAGGCTAAGGACAACAGTCCAGATTCTTCCTAGCAAAGTGTCTCACAGAAATAGAGAGCCTGAATCCTTGAGTATACAATTAACAGCACAGGTTTTGAAATCAGTCTAAATACAAATCTCAACTCTGCCACCTACCACTATGGTACCTTGAGTAAAAGTTCCTTAACTGTGCTAAGGATCTGGATCCGTTTTTTTTTTTTTTTTTACTGTATCTCTCTCTGTTGCCCAGGCTAGAGTGCAATGACACTGTAGCCTCGACCTGCTGGACCCAAGCGATCCTCCTGCCTCAGCCTTCCAAATAGCTGGAACTGCAGGCATGCACCACCACACCTGGCTAATTTTTTATTTTTATTTTTAGCACAGAGGACGTCTCACCATGTTGCCCATGCTGATCTCAAACTCCTGGGCTCAAGTGATCCTCCTGCTTTGGCCTCCCAAAGTGCTGGGATTATAGGCATGAGTAACTGCTGCTGGCCTAAGACCTAATTATTGATAATGAGGACAGTATAGCATCTTACCACATAAATTTGTGGTGTGAGTTAAATGAGGTAACACATGTTAAATATCTGATCAAGTGCCTTCCATGTAGTAAGCACTCAGCATGGTAATGTAATTAGTGTTAGTATTGCTGCTGCTTCTGTTCCTCCACCACATCATCATTCACACGATTTTGGAATAGCAAAACAACAGTATGTGGTATTCCAAGAAGACTGAAGCAAATAATTTGAGAAATCTTTTTTCTTATGGAAAAGTTCTCTAAGGATTGTGAAATATTTGAAACAGAAAATTTCAGTTACCTTGTATTCAAATATTTATTATCTTAAAGCCCAAAGCCTTCTAAATGCTAAAACTCTACTGTGTATCAGATATGTCAGCAAGACAATATTCACATTAACAACAGGAAAATGAATCGGGACAAAATCTGCAGAAGTGCACATGAAAAATGGATGACAGAAATTAGTTTCTAACCAAAAGGGAATGGCTTGATATGAAATTGGTAAGAAATTGTTTTCCCCATGACCTTGAAAGGTCATGAATAATTAAAATGCCATTAAAGGTCTACATTTGTTGTGAATTCATGCATGTTTAGAGCATATGTATACTTAATCCTGGAACAATTTCTTATACCTCTTTAACTACTCCCACTCCTGCCATACTTAGTACCAGTGTCTTATACATAATGATAATGGACACTCATACACTGATTGATTCAGCTTATGGAGATTGGTAGCTTTTATTGGCCTTTGCAAAACTTACCTTCAAAAACTAAATTAATATATGCATTTTGTAGCTTATCAAGAATAAAACATTTTAATAGCTTTGATTCATAGATAAAATTTATAGAGGAAATGATTTCTGTAATATGCATAAAGACATAATCTGTGATTTAATTTATTCTAATCAGAAAGTGAGATTTCCTAATAAATCTGCTTTTAACTATTCTGGTTATTTCTAAACAATTCTGCCAATTTGTTACCTTTGCCCTCAAACTTTACTTTCTCTGTTTGAATGAAGTTGGCTGCCTTTTATGGTTTACAAAGCAATTGAAGACATTCCCACAATGCCATATTACTTATTAGAATTTTTATGTGTGACAAGCCACTCTTTCTTCACTTTAGCACTTCTCAAAACTTACAGAATAATATTGGTTATCTTATGGGTCACAGAACAAATACCTATTGGACTCTGGAGGCCAGAACCCCTACTTTCAACTTGACTGCTAAGTATCTTAATGGTAAGACAGGCAGGTTGAGGCTTATAGGTTTAGGACATAAGATGTTAAAGCTGCAGGTGGCAGAGTGTTGAGAAATGACATTATTCTCTTTGTGTGTACATTTATTTGTCCTTTCTTAATGCTCCAAGGGCTGTAGGGTGAAGCATTGTAAAGATGTACCAGATCCCAGAAGGTTAGCAGTTAAACATTTTTCAGTTTGCAAATGCAACAAACCATCTCCCATAGTGTATTTACTATTTCAAAAATTGACCCTCTAAAAAGAACATGCAATCCCTGGAATTCATGGAAAGACTGGGACCACTTTAATGAGATTCCCATAAAGTGAAAACTGTTTATTAAATGTTGCTAGGATGTTTTCTTGCTGGAAAGTAGTATTGTGTGTTCATATTATAAACATTAAATTTAAGGGCCAAGATGGATTGCCTATGGAAGACTCTTGTAGTCTATCAGCAGTCCTCAGGTCACATTTTAAGAACTGAGAATAAGTGGAGAATGGCTCACTTGTACAACACTATTGCCTGTGTAGCACCTCTGAAAGTCCTCCTACTACTCAGATTAATCAGCGCTGCCATATGGAATGTCATTGCCTTCCTTTCCCTCCAACCTGTTTTTTGTCCCTATAGTACCTGCTGCCAATAGAATCATAGATTCATACATACTAAAAAAAATCTTCACTTTTTAAAGCTAATTGTTAGAATCCTGCAGTTTTAGGGGAAAATCAGGTACACTATATTTAGAATACCCTCACCTTGATATTGCAGGAAGCAAAATTCTCAATTTTTTTTCAGTCCGCCAGTACTCAGTCTTCCCTCACTTGGGTCCTAAGACTGAAAGAGGAGAATCTAGATTTTAATACAGTTAATAATAATGATAACAAGGCCATGTGTTGGTATGATGATGAAAATATAAATCAAAATGGTCTTTGATTTAAGTGATAAATACTACAGTGTCCAAGATTTGAGATTCCTTTGTTCCTTGAAGATAGAAACTATTCATTCTTGGTACCCTAATATTTAGCAGAGAGTTTTAAACATGATGACTGCTCAGAGGAAGTTTAAAAATGATTGTAACTTATAGGAATTAAACATTTTATCTACAGTAAAGAGTTTACAGGATTTTCAGAAATCAGAGAAGGGCTTGACCTCAAATGTAAACCTGCTATTGGTATGAACTTCACTAATTTCCTAATTCAGACCCAAATGTTAATTTTCTTAGAGAATCATAAACCACACCAAAGTTAAAAACAAACAAACTTGTAAACAAATTCTAAACAAAATCCAACTTCTTTCATTAAAACTAGTAATTAAAGGAGAATAAAATTGATATGCATTTACTCAAAGTTTTAGGAGCATTTACCTCTTCAAAAGAATTCATGGATCAACTGAAACTTAAACTTTTAAAGATTTTAAACCACTATCTGTGTCACTTGCTTATCTGTTTGGTCTTGGTTTAGTATGAAACATGTCTCTGGTCTGAAATAAAAGACGATTGCATTTCAAAAAAGACCAATTTATAACAAAAAACTCAAATCAGGATAATATGAATGAAGTGGTATTACACATAAAGACAAGAGCAGAAGTCAAGTTTTTCCCCAAAGGATCTGAAAATATCATCAAGAGTCAATGACCTCTCATTTAGCCTTTGAATAAGAAGAGTCATTCTTTAGCTAGACAGCTGGCTGGAAATAAATAAAAATGGGATTGCAAGTAAGATCAGATATTAATCTCTTTCCCATATTGCTGAGACTCTGAAACAGTAATATGGTACTAAATTTATACAGATAATGGCTTGATTGACCTACCCTATTCAGCTCTTCTTCCATTGAGGTTTTGTTCAAATAGCTTTTAAATTTATTTCTGATGAGGCTACTAGGGTGTATGCTATATTGCTAATATGTTTTTTCACCACCTTGAATACTACATCAACCCTAAAGAGTTCATTGTTCTAGCTGTTCTACTCAAATATCCATGGGTCTCTCTACTCATGGCCATTTATCTACCTATGAATTTTCTGGGTACAGGAAGACCAAGAGTAAAAGGAGACGATGAAGATTTTTAGTTTGCTGAAAGGGACATAAAACAACCTGAAAATGACACAGAAACACCTTTAATAGAGTGCTAAATTGTGTGCTAAAGCAAGGTCAGAGTGGAACAACAAGGTACAGTGGGAAGAGCAAAGGCTTTGTAATCTTACCGACTTAGTTCACACCCATGCCCATCACATAATGTCTCTGAGTCTCACAGTCTCCTCATCTGCAGAAAGCACTTAATATAATGAGACTTACCTGACAGGATTTTTGTGTATCCAATGTGAAACATACTAAAGTACTTAGTACAATCCCTGGATCCCAATTAATGGTAGGTGCTATGATTATCACAGACAGATATGAGAGAATTGGCCATGAAGCTGTAATTTAGGGAAAACATAAATTATTTGATCTGGGTGAGAAAGTAATTTTTTCTAACTGGTATAAATGTAGCCACCTTTTCTATAATGAACATAATGGACTTCAGAAAACCATATCCTATTACTTGCCTGTTTGGCACAACATATGTAATATAGTTTAATGACTGTAACTTCAGGCATGAACCTAAAACTACTTGGAGGTAATATTGCTTTGCGTTGCAGTTTCAGTGAAGTGGACAGGCAGAATAGAGTTCAATTTTACAGTCTGACCTCTTAGTCATTACTTAAAGCCACCACAGAGCCATTTTTAATCTTTGCATTTTCCTCTTTGCAAGTAGTTTCTAAGACAGACAGCGTGTCATACTCTAACTAAATTTCAGATTTTAAAAAGGCATTTAGCTCTGTAACTTCAGATGATAAAAATCCATTTAATGGAGAATGTTCTTTTGCTGTCTGCTTGGTCGATAAATTAAACAGATTAATTAAGTCAGGCTGTCAGGACCAAGGACTGTCACTAATGTTAGCCTATGGAGCTGACCCATTTATCAGAGACTGAGGCTGAATAAAGGCAGTCTTTGTCCTGTAATTCTGTAATGAATACAAAGAAATAGCTTATGGAGAGAAAATTCTGTCACCTGACTGTATCTCAAGGCAGAGTAGATGTGGTGGGAAGAAACCCTATCATTGTTATTTTCACTTACTTAATTGATTTGCTTTTTCCCTATGTTTCTCTGTATCTACCTTTGTCCTTTGCATGTCATAGGAGGCTCCTTCTCAATTTGAAACATAATCAATAATGATTTCCTTTGCTTATCTGAATTGGAGCTATGTGTGACACAGTACACACCAAAGATGTATAAAACATCATCCTTACCTTCGTAGAACATGCACAGAAATAATACAGGTTAAAGTATCCCTTATCTGAAGTGCTTGAGGTCAGAAGTGTAGATTTTTTTTTATTTTGGAATATTTGTATATACATAACCAGTTGAGCATCCCTAATTCAAAAATCTAACTCCAAAATACTCCAATGAGTATTTCCTTTTAGACTCATGTCAGCACTGAAAAAAATTTTTGGAATTTGGAGCATTTTAGATTTAGAATTTTAGGATTAGGGATGCTCAACTTGTATATGACTACGAAATAAAGAATCTTGGTGGGGAACCAGACCAGCAAAGTGGAAAAAAGTTAGGTTAAATTGGAATCCAGGATTGTAATAATGTGATACCATTACCAACTTCATCAAGCACTTAAGACTTCCAGGTAGTCTTTCCAGAGGTCCTGATTCTTGGACCCTAGCTATCTTACTCCTTTTCTTTACCCCTCCTTTGACTTTGTCCTTGGTGCATATGATCTGGCAAATATGAACTTGACTTCTGCCTAGTATTTTCCGCCATTACTCCCAGAGCCTTCCTATTAACTGTATTACCTGAATTTCTAAATTTAGAAAAACTTGCTAACCACTACCCCTTGATAGAATGCCAATGCAGATCAGATCAGTGGTCTGTATGCCCAGCATTCTGACTGGAAAAGGTTCCAAAAATGCTTTATAAAAATTGTTTTTGTTGTCCTTTTTAGCATCAGTCTCATAAGGCTAAGGGGTGACCCTTTAAAAAGTCTACTTTTCTTTAACAATCCAATTATTTATCTGCTTACTAACAAATGTTTATTAAATGCCCACTATGTGGCCAGGCACATGCGAGCACTGGGGACATTAAATATGTAAATAAAATACATTCAGTGCCCTCAAAGAACTCCCTTTATAGTGGAAGACAGACATACTGAAAAATAAAATATAGACTATCCTCAACTTATGAGGGTTCAAATTAGTATTTTTCAACTTTATGATAGTGTGAAAGCAATACACGCCTCTACTTATACTCCTCTACTTACTATGGAGTCAAGCCATAACCCCATTGTAAATTGAGGAGTATCTGTGTATATGGTGTGGTAGGTTCTATAAAACATATGTATAGTCATCCTTTGATATCCATGAGGGATTGATTGATTTGGTACCCTCGAGAGTACCAAAATCCACCGATGCTCAGGTCCCTTATGTAAAATTGCATAGTATTTGCATATAACCCATGTATATCTCCCTGTGTACTTTAAGTCATCTTGAGATTACTTTCAATACCTAATAAAATATAAATGCTATGTAAATGGCTGTTATACTGTGTTTATTCACGTTTTAAAATTGTTGTATTGTTATTTTTTCTAAATATTTTTTATCTGAGGTTGATTGAATCTGTGGATGCAGAATCCACAAATACAGAGGGTCAACTGTAAAAGGTAAAGGGTAGTCAGAGAAAGGTTTTAAAAAGAGAAGTTTGAGCTGGGTCTAAAGGATAAATAGGAGTTTGTTAGGCAGACAAACGGAAGGGGGAGGCATTCTAGGCATAGAGCAGCCTACATAAACACCCAGTAGCATGAAATGACAAGGTACAATTTGAAAGTAGTTTGATGAGGCTGAAAAGGAGTCTAAGAAGGAGAAGTCTTAGGAGAAGTAAAAGATGTCCCTGAAAAGGCTGACATAGGCTTGAACATGGGGGTCCTTTTATGTCACATTAAAGATCTGAACTTCATTTTGAAGTATATTGCTGAGCTGCAGTTTATGAGCTTCTTGCCTTAAATAAGTCATTGGTTACTGTTATGTGCTGAATTGTGTCCCATCCCCATCTTCCTCCCTCCCCTGCCCCCCATTCATATGTTGAAGTCCTCATACCCAGTAACTCAGAATGTGACTGTATTTCTAGATCAAGCCTTCAAAGAAGTGATTAAGGTAAAATGTGGTCATTAGTGTGGGCCCTAATCTAGTTGGCCTGGTGTCCTTATAAGAAGAGAAGATTAGGACACAAACGCAGAAGACCATGTGAAAACATAGGAAAAAGACTTCTACCAACAAACCAAAAAAAGAAGCCCCTAGAAGAAACCAATCCTGTGGACACACTGATCTCAGATTTCTATCCTCCAGAGCTATGAGAAAATAATTTTCTGTTGATTAAGCCACTCAGTTATCAGTACTTCGTTATGGTGACCCTAACAAATTAGTACGATTACTAATAATATAGTTCCAAACTTTATAAATGTTACCTTTTAAAATAAATAAATAAAAACATTCAAGTTTATTCCTAAAATAATAACAGGGTGTTCATTTACTTAGAGTTTAATATGCTTCTTTGAGTATAAGAGAAATCGGTGATGCCACCTTAATATTTTGGTTAATGAAGAGACAAGTTCAGATGTATGTTAGGAAGATTATTCTAGGAGCATTGTGGAGGGAGTATCAGAGGACACTGTGACTAGAAACAGGAAGACCAGTTAGGAAAGTGTTGGGGGTCTTTATGGGGCTTAATAAATATCATAGTGCCCCTCTTCTCTGCCTAAGTTCTAAACCAATTGAGAAATAAAACACAATGTTGGCAGTTTGAGATGGAAATAACACCTTTAATTCTATGAAGGCTAGACAGTTGGAGGATGTAGCTGAGCATGAGGACCAAATACACTTATTAATTTTCTGTACCCCAGACTGGAACTTGGAACAGCCCAGTCAAGAAAAATTTGAATCTGAGTATACTTGCTCAGACCACTGCCATCCACTGGGCTGGGTAGAGAGGGAGAAAGACACTAAAGCCCAGATCCAGCCAGTTGATAAATGTGGATCATTTAATCACTCATACATTTATGTAAAAGCTTTTTTCTCTTGTGGCAGGTTGGAGAGGGATATAGTCATTCAGATTTATTATAGTACCCCAAGGTATAACAAATTCCATTATGTTATATCTGCTATGTAACATAAGACCTTTCATATGAAAAGCTAAATTAAAAAGTTGCTACTACCAATGCCCTTTCCCTTTTTCTCCACCTCAGAAGCTTCCAATGACAGATTATAGAACTAAATTTTGGGAATAAGTTAAGAACCAGGGTAAATTCCTTGCAGACAACGGTGGCCAAGTGTTCTGTGAAATTGTTTCACTGTCTCAAACAGCTTTGCTGTAGTCAAAAGCTCATGGAACAGCTGTTAATTCCTAAAGTATTCTTCTAAGCTGTAAAGAATGGTTGACTTTTGCCACCTGGCCCAGCTAATCAGAAGCTGATTTCAAGGACTAAGACATAGCTTCTATCACCGTATTTATGATGAAAATGGTGTAAGACTAAATACTATTTCATGAGCTCCTTTGGTCCTTCAATAGTTTAACTCCTCAGTTGAAGAGAAGCACAGTTCATATTTTGAGTTGAATGATGATGTCACTTCAATTCCAACTCTGAAATGTGAAATGATTATTGTCTTCAGCCATTTTCTCATCCTGGGAGGCAGAGCTTGTCTAAATATTGAAAGCCATTGTTCATGAATAGTATAAGACTTCCTTTAGCTTTAGGGTCCCTAAAGGCTCCCACACTTGGGGGAAGCTTGTTGTGGAACTGACACTGAGAACTCTTGTCATAATACAGAGGGCATGTGAGCCAAATAACCAACTTTCTTGAATTCTGGATGTTGCCTTGCAAACTGGCATTCACTTAACCTATAGGCTGTGTTATAAAGAGCCCTTGGATTCCCACATTGCATCTTTTCCTTTCAATTTTATAGATTGATCAACAAACTTCAGAGGCCAAGCAAAAAGTAAAAGAGCCCCTCAGGCTAAAGATAGTCCTTATTTGGGAACAATTATTAGGTATCACATTCATTGTTTCTGAGCTCTGAAAACTTCAAGGAAACTCACTATGTTTCTCGAACATATCCTAAGATAGCAAGGCAGGAGGAAAGTGGCAGAGAAACTGTTTAAGTTGGGAAAAGATACAAAGTCAAAACATTCCAAGTGGCATATTTGAGCACTTACTCAGAGTACTTCTGGACTGTTTACTCAGTTGGATTCGGAACATGTCGTGATGGTTAATATTGAGTGTCAACTTGATTGGATTGAAAACTGCAAAGTATTGTTCCTGGGTGTGTCTGTGAGGGTGTTGCCAAAGGAGATTTACATTTGAGTTGGTGGACTGGGAGAGGCAGATCCTCCCCCAATCTGGGTGGGCACCATCTAAATCAGTTGCCAGCGTGGCTAGAATAAAGCAGGCAGAAGAAAGTGGAATGCAAAGACTTGCTGAGTTTTCTGGCATGCATCTTTCTCCCATCCTTCCCCAGGAAGACCTCTGGCCTTTTACCAGGATAGATGTGCAGTGGGGAAAGGAGAATGATCAGACCTTTTGTGGACTACTGGACACTGGCTCTGAGCTGACATTGATTCCAGAGGGACCCAGAATGTCACTGTGGTCCTCCAGTTAAAGTAAGGGCTTATGGAGGTCAGGTAATTAATTTAGCTCAGGTCCGACTTACAGTGGGCCCAATGGATGCCTAGACTCATCCTGTGGTCATCTCCCCAGTGCCAGAATGCATAATTGGCATAGACATACTTAGCAGCTTAAGACATACTTACCCCCACATTGGCTCCCTGACTGGTAGGGTGACAGTTATTATGGTGGGAAAGGCCAAATAGAAGCCATTAGAGCTGCCTCTACCTAGAAAAATAGGAAATCAAAAACAATATCGCATCCCTGGAGGGACTGCAGAGGTTAGTGCCACCAACAAGGACTTGAAAGATGCAAGTCTTGATACCTTTATCATATGACATAAGATTTATTTACTTCAGATCAGCATTTAAGTGTTATTAACTTTATGTGATAGCTTTTAGGTTAAAGATTAGTGTGCTTCTGGTTGTGTGAAGGATAGCTATATTATGTTAGGCATAATTATGACCTTATTGTTGTTATTTGAAGATTATGTATGATTTTGGGAGATGTGTATGGGTTCAAGTTGACAAGGGGTGAACTTGGGATGGTTAATATTGAGTGTCAACTTAATTGGACTAAAGGATGCAAAGTATTGTTCCTGGGTGTGTCTGTGAGGGTGTTGCCAAAGGAGATTAACATTTGAGTCAGTGGACTGGAAGAAGCAGACACACCCTCAGTCTGGGTGGGCACCATCCAATCAGCTGCCAGCATGGCTGGAATAAAGCAGGCAGAAGAAAATGGAATGAGAAGACTTGCTGAGTGTTCCGCACTTCATCTTTCTTTTGTGCTGGATGCTTCCTACCCTCAAACATCAAACTCCAAGTTCTTCAGCTTTTGGACTCCTGGACTTAACACCAGTGATTTGTCAGGTGCTCTCAGGCCTTCGGCCACAGACTGAAGGCTGCACTGTCAGCTTCCCTACTCTTGAGGTTTTGGGACTCAGACTGGCTTCCTTGCTCCTCTTGCAGATGGCCTATTGTGGGATTTCACCTTGTGATCCTGTCAGTCAATTCTCCTAATAAACTCCCCTTCATATATACATATATCCTATTAGTTCTGTCCCTTTAGAGAACCCTGAGTAATATACATGTACTGGCAGTTGCTTTCCTTCTATAGTGACCACACAATCTGTCTGTTATTTATAATGGTACCTTTCCAGTGGCTATTGAATGGATTAATTAATTAAGAGATGAGTATTCAAATGCTAGTTATGCAAATATAAAGTCACTTCTGACCTATGGTTCAGACAATGAATAAAACAGTGAAATCCATGGGAACACTGTTTTGCAAGTTTTGGGTCACAACTCATAGTGTGTTGTAGAGTCAATTCAGTAGGTTACAACTAGCATTTAAAAGAGATAGGATTGAAGGAAATAGAAAGTATTGGAGTACGTTGCTCATATGAAGGATAATTTTTTCTTTGTTAAATTTTAAAATTCTATACATGTAAGTATATGCTAGATCAAGAGTAAAGTACTTTTTTTATATGAGCCACAGTCAAAATAGTTTGAGATTGGCAAACTCTGGCCCACAAGTCAAATTTGGCATACCACCTCTTTTTGTAAATAAAGTTTTATTGAAACATATTTATGCTCATTTATTCAAGTATTCCTAGGGCTTCTTTTGAAATACAGTGGCAAAGGAGAGTAGTTGCCACAGGACCTTACAGTCTGGAAAGCCTAAAATATTTTCTCTCTGACTTTTCATGGGAAAAGTTTGTGGATGCCGGTATTAGAAAATACTGGAGACCTTTAGGCATAGAGAGACTAGTTTTGGTGATTTAGAAACAAATGAAAGTGAATATAATCGATTTCTATGTAGTTGGGAGTTCATCTTATTTCTTTTGGCTCATAGCAAGCATTGTTAGGGTTTTAACACTTCAAAATGCATTTGAATTGAGCTAATGACAGATAATTTAAAAATTGGGGCCAAAAATGAATGTGTGTTTCTTGAACACAGTCATGTTCTTAAGTAGTGGGTTGAGGCTATCTATCCTAGTATATAGCAAAGATTCCTCACTTTTTGTAAACTTTGTAAACACTACCCAAGAAGATTCTAGAAGCCAACATGACTGGCTTAAAACCTTTATATATGCTTTCAAAATTGTATAGCCATGCATCCTGGCTAACATGGTGAAACCCCGTCTTTACTAAAAATACAAAAAAAATTAGCCGGGCACAGTGGTGGGCGCCTGTAGTCCCAGCTACTCGGGAGGCTGAGGCAGGAGAATGGCATGAACCCGGGAGGCGGAGCTTGCAGTGAGCCGAGATAGCACCACTGCAGTCTGGCCTGGGCAAAAGAGCAAGTCTCTGTCTCAAAAAAAAAAAAAAAAAAAAAAAATTGTATAGCCATGTAACAACAACAACAAAAACAAAGACAGGATTGGGGAACTAAAAATGGTATCACAAGGCGGTAGATACGATGCAAGCTATGTACAAGAAATAAAGCAGAATGAGTAGCATCTAATTGCCTCTTCTCTTTCCCTACTAAATATTGGCTGCTTAAGTTACTTACCAGCAAGAAGGATTGCTTCTTATACTCATCTGCATTAGTTTAAACCATGCTTATTGAGCCATACATACAAGAACTGCGACGGATGCTGATGACTGTAACAATCCACATGGCTACAGAGGGTATGTGGATGTGACAGTGAGGGGTTGAGTCTGGAGATATTGGTAATGCCCAAATACTGTGTGAGAGGGACCCTCTGAACCAAGCTAAAGAGAAACTGGCCTTTATCCTGAAGGAAATGGGGAGCCATGGGAGGTTTTTAACCAGGGAGGTAGATAATCAACTATGTGTTTCAGATACACTCTTTGCAGTATGACTGATGGATTGGAGGGAGTAGAAACTGGAGGAAGGAAAACCAGGTAGAAGATTATTTTAGCAATCCAATTGAGAAATAATGAGGGCCTGCAGTGAGTGCAGTGACCTGTGGACTGTTTCCATGGGTATAGATGTGAAATGTGTTTAGGAATAAGAAGCACAAAATTTGTGGAGAGGAATGTTAACAGATTAATCTGGAAGTTAAGTAGGGACCTCTTAATGGAAGGCCTTTTACACCATATCAAGGGATTCAGTCTTTATTGTAAAGGCACTAGGTAGGGGGTACTGATGGAAAATCACTTTGCTGCAGTGTAAAAAATGGATTGAAAATAGACAAGCTCAGAGGTAGAGAGATCTCTTAGGAGACTATTTCCAGAAGACTTGCTTGGAAAGTAGTTTTAAGTGAGACTATGAGCATATTAAGTTCCTCCTATTGCCTCTCAGACACAAGTAGAACAATGGAACAATGCAGTCACAAAAGTATACAATTTAGCTATATTGCAAGATTGAGAATATATTCTTGATATGCTAGTAGCAAGATATTGGACTGCTCCCTCATGCAAAGCTCTGAAGTTCTATATGTAGACATGTGTTTGTGAGATATTAACTCTTCTGATGGGATAGGTTATTCTTTAGGGCCACTCTCCCTCTTTAGGGTATTAAATTACCTGTATCTGCTCTGAAAAATACCGACGAAAACAACGGACCCATTCCTTCGTTTTCATTTTTGTTTGAAATCCAGTGCCAAGGATATTTGCAACAACAGTAGATGACTGCAGAAAAGAACTTGATAACTTGTCCCCAATGGGGCGTCTGACATCATGACATCATCTCACATATGTAATTGTTATTTATTTGATCCCCAAAGAAACATAAGTGCTGCTTCTGTGGCAGTAGAAATTTGCATAAATCCAAGATCTCCTGTGAAGCTGTACCCTTCCAATTAATCTTTGCAAGGGGAAGGGATTATAGTCTTCTGTGAATTACACTGCTAATTAATTTCTACACAAATCAATTTTATTTTGCCAAATACACAAGTCAACCTTGCACAGCTCTGAATACTACATATATCCATCGTCTTAAAAAGACTCCAGTCAAATCATCATTCCATTCTTTCTCAGGAAGGAAAGCAAACACACTGGATTGAGACATTTTCTTCCCCTTTCGTGTTAACTTTGATGTTTGAAGGTGCCTTGAATAATCGTTTCTTTTTTTCTGAGCATATGTTAATGTCAAATATTCATTTGTTTTAATATCAATGATTCTGCCTTGTAAAACACTGTTGCCTGGGATGAAAATGTCAACTTTTCTTGGGCCTCGGTATAACTTTCTGGCCAATTCTTGAAGTTCTTTTAATGCAAGTTTTTTGTTTTTGTAAGGGGAAAAGTATCTTGTGTATCCTTAGTGTTATTCACTCAAGGCTCTGAGAAACTGCTGTAAATACCTTTTACTTTTATTTTTTATTTTTTATTATTTTAATGGACAAATTATACTTGTATACATTTATAGTATACAATGTGATGTTTGATATATGTATACAATGTAGAATGATTAAGTCAAGCTAGTGATAACATATCCATCACCTTACTTATCATTTTTTGTAGTGAAATATTTGACTTACTCCCATAGCTATTTTGACATATAAAATGTATTATTGTTAACTATAGTCATCTTCCTGTCTTAATATATATTTTAATAAAAACTTCTTCCTTTTAAAATAATTTTTTCCCCAAAATTCATATGCCACTTCATGGTTCCCTGTATAATTCTTTTTTTGCTTTGTCTCTTCCTAGAGTGGGAAAGACTATTTCTTTTTTTTCATTATTATACTTTAAGTTTTAGGGCACATGTGCACAACGTGCAGGTTTGTTACATATGTATGCATATGCCATGTTGGTGTGCTGTACCCATTAACTCATCATTTAACATTAGGTATATCTCCTATTTCTAACAGAACTATATCCATGAACAGTTTTATCCAGAAGGAGCTATAGCCAAGCTGTATTACAAAAGCTATAAGAATGTCAGTCACATGCAGATATTCAAACATAGAAAAGGGGAGAGGCTGTGTTTGTGAGGCCCAGTTCCCACTCTTCTGATTTCATTTCTTCTTTAGGATCTTTTCACCACCACCACCACGCTGGTGCACATTTCTGGTAATTGTTGGAAAAACATCTGGGTGGATGTAGTGTGACTACTATTTTTTATTTATCTCTGTTTAGATGGAATTATTCCAAAAGATCTCTTATATGTATCCCCTGGAGACCCCATGCTAACACATGCCTCTGGGATGTTGTGGTTTTTCCACTATCACTACAATAAAAATATTACCATTGCAACCATTTTACAATAGCTTATCTGAAGAACATTACAAATTAAATGAGCTTAGAGACAGAAGTCAGTGCTATGTATAAGAATAGTAGCTATTTATTTAGTGCTTACAGTGTGCCAGGTTCTGGGCTAAGCAAAATCTATGTATTTTCTCATTTTATCCTCACAACAACTCTATGAGGAGATTACTAAGAAAGCTTGCTGTGTTGAAAAACATAATAAGCTTGTGATTACTCTTGCTTTTGAAGAAAAGTGGTAGTAGGGTCACTCTATTGCTTTGAAACATATTCCTATATTTAACTATGAATAGCAGTAATGACTAACATGTATTGAGTGCTTACTATGTGCCAGGCACTATACTAAGCACTTTATCTGGATTGCTCCAAAGTAGATACTAGGAATTTATGGATGAGGCAACCAAGAATCAGAGATGTTAAGTAACTGGCTCAAATCCGCAGCATAAATCAGGCAAGTGGGATCTAATTCAGGTTTTGGGTGACTCTGAAGTTTGTGTTCTCAACTCATACCTCCTATTACTAGTTGTCCTATTTGTCTCCCCACCATACCCTGCATTCTTTGTAACTTTCTCTTACACTATTATGGAAAATTGTCAGGGTGGCATTATATTTTCTATCTCCGTGATTTTTCTCAGGATACCTTGTCTTACTGGCTCTTCTGGAACTGTTCTATTCTGTCCTCCTAAAAGAAAATTGTCTTCAGGAAAACATAAGTTTCTTTTATTTTGTTTTTTGTTATTTCTAAATTGTTAGTTGTGAGTAAGGGAGCTATTTGTATATCTTATGGAATGCTTTCTGTCTGTCACTTATCTCTTATTGGTAAGTGACACCAGGGTCCTGAGTTCTCTGTGAAAATGTTCTAACTGTAAAAATTACCCCAATTATGTAACCAGCTTCTTTGTAAACTTTCCCCTGAGACTCTGAAAGCATTTTCAGATCTCCCCAAAAGACAAACATATAAAGAAAAAGTCAAATTAAATAACGACTTATATAAGTTCTTAAATGTCTATAATGGAAATAAATATGATTTTTTAAAGTTCCAGAGTATGAAAAGATCCCCTGAAAAAGTATGTTTCTATTCATATAAATCTCACCAAATCGGACTAATTGGTCAAAAAGTCAGTTTGTTTAAAAATATTTTATATTCGAGTTGTCTACTAAAGGAAATTTTCTTTTATAATAAAGTTTCCTTTACAACTGTTTTAAAATGTAGAAAGAAACCTGCAGAAAGCCTTTCCATTGTTCCAAATGACATATTTTTCTATTGTCACATGATAATACAAATCTGGGACACCACAGTAGAAATATAGAACAAGGTGCTGCTATTGAATCTCCCTGGTCCTTAATTTATTCATTTATCCAATAAAGGAATTATCTTGTTGATGTTTAAGTTCCTTTCCAACTCTGACATTGTTTTTTTCCTTACCATGGGTTCTGAATTACCTTTCCATTGTTCTAAAATTCTAAGAAATGATAGTTATCCTGTATTTTTTTTCTGAATTCTTTTCATACCTTGTAGTAATGTAATGTACCTAATTCTAAAATCCCCTGGGTAAGAGGGACAGGAAGATCTTGGAAGGATTCAAATATGACACACAAAGGGGATTAGAATGCAAACTGAGATATCTTCAATATTAACAAAATATTGATGTGGATGATTCCTTCTCTCCTAATTAATCCCCATTATACATCAAAACTTCCTGAACACTTATGAAAATCAGCATCTTGAAGGAACACTTTCATACATTTGATTAAATTATTTTAAAAGTGGAGGTTAGATTTATAATCTCAATTAAGTTATAAGTTCCTTAAGTGCAGAGATCATGGTTTTGTCTTACTATCCACAGTGCCTAGCATCCTAAAGGACTCATGGTAGTCATTCAGATTTATTGTTAAATTGTATCTGTTGTTGAGAAGCCTTGTATAGTGTTGTGTATAAATTCTGGCCAAGATGATGGACAAAGCAGAAGGGAAATATTATACCACAACAGATGCATAAAATGCTAAAGAAAATAAATTTTAACATGCATAGCCAAGCCTGAAAGTATGAAAGGGGTATCTCCAGATGTTGGAAATGAAGAAGAAAATAATAGCTAAAGTGGCGGATAATAATTGAAGCTTTACAAAATGTGAAGGACCTGGACTCTAAACACAACTTATCTTAGGTGATGAGGATCTAATGCCTCGTATGTTGGGAGCATGAGCAGTTTCAACCTTTCTGGGACCTGAAAGTCATACAATTTGGAAAGCTCTCCTTAAAAATTATCTTACTTTTCAATTTCACTAAAACCCATGAACATGTGCACACATATGTAGGGCCATTCCTTGGGCCATGAAGGGAGCCCATGGACATGAGGCCCTGAAACCTAAGCTTCATTAGCTACATGGTAAATCTGCCTCTGACTTTTGTCAAGGTCACAAGCTTGGTAAAAACCAAGGAGCTTGACTTAGGTTACCTATGTGGAAGCCAGAACCAGAAAAGCAATGCATCATGTTTGAATAGCTACCAGAAAACCTCTGCTAGCTGGCTTAGGGTCTTGTAGGTAATTCACTGCTGGACCCAGGCTTTAGGTCACCTGAGAGTGACTAGAACCTTTGAGTTGTAGAAACTACAGCCAATTAATAGATATAAAATCTAGTTTGAATATGGTGACTCGTCTAATATTCAGGCAAAGGCATCTGTGAAACCACTCCAGAGGAGGCCATCACAACCCATGACCTATTTATATCTTCTACAGAAAATATTCTCATATATCCATGGAAGATGAACCCATAAATAAAAAGTATAAAATACATGAGAAACCTTAACACCAAGAAATATACTTCACAGAACCTAGAGATGAGAGAATTCACATCCAAGCAACCAGAGATAGCAGAGCAATAAAAGGTGACTTCAAATTAAGAAATTTATAATTGCGTATGTGTATATAGACACACACACATAGAAGTGCATATATGATTTTTAATAAAGTCTCATTCCTTTGTATTAGTCAGTTTGGGCTGCTTTAACAAAGTACCATAGATAGGGCAGTTTATAAATAACAGAAATCCAAGATCAGTGTACTGGCATAGTTGGGTTCTGGTGAGGGCTCTCTTCTGGGTTGCAGAAAAGTGCAAGAGAGCTCTGTGAGGTAACTATTATTAATACAATGGCATTTATCTCATTTTTGAGGACTCCACATTCGTCACTGAGTTACCTCCAAAAAAGCCCTACCACAAAATACTGTCACATTGGGATTAGAATTTCAACATAAGAATTTTTGAGGGACACAAACATTCAGTCCATTGTAATCTTCAAGTGTATATATCATTTTGCTTCATGTAAGTTATATTAGCTTTGGTTAAGTTATGTTGCAGTAATAAACAACCCCATGATCTCACCGGCTTACCAATAGAAGGTTGATTTCTCACTTTTGTTAGGAGTTTTCTGGAGGTTGACTGCAGCTCTGCTCCATGTTTTCTTCACTAACAGGGAAGCCTCTATCTGGGACCTTGACACTTTCAATTCAGAGGAGGAAGAGCAAGGCGGTAAATCACTCGATGGCTCTTAAAAGTTCTAGGAAGCAGCACATATCACTTCCACCCATGTTGCATTGGTCAAGGCAAGTCACATATCCAGACATGATGAAAAAGAGGTAGAAGTATATAATCCTCCTGTAGGAAGGGACAGTGAATATTTTGAACAAAGGATACAAAATTTGATTTGACAAATAAGAAATATTTGATATTAGCAAATGAGTCCTTCTGATATGTATATAGAGGCTTGAAAATCATTATTTTATGTATTAATAGTTTTTCCTTGTAATTCTACAGGCTCTTAGCAATTCTTCATTGATATGATAAGGATTATCATAATCTGATATTCATTAACCTTGCTATGAATGCCAGAACAGGTTAGTTCCAATGGCAACACTCATCTTCTACCCACAAATCACGTCCACTTCTTGGACTGATCTTTGATGCTGCCAGGATACAGGAAAGTGAATAGCCGTGTTAATCTTGACACTCATATGATAAGGATTATCATCATTATCATATCACTTTCAAATTAGCTGGATCCAAATATACAGACATGAATGTTTTTCCCCCAACTCTGCTTCTAAATCAAAGTTCTTTCCCAATCTTTATCTTGTCTATTTACAGACCTCTAAAGTATGATTTGATTATTTTTAACTGTCTGTATTCCTCTCTCTCTCTCTCTCTCTCTCTCTCTCTCTCTCTCTGAAACTTAGGATATGCATAGATAGGATCATGGGCAGGGTAGATGGGGTGGAACATGTTTTTCTTTCCTCACCAGGGAAATTTGATATTCACTAACCTTGCTATGAATGGCAGAAGAGATTAGTTCCAATGGCAATGCTCGTCCTCTACCCACAATCAGGTCTACTTCTTG
The DNA here is from genome assembly GCF_000001405.40 of Homo sapiens. NCBI lineage: Eukaryota > Metazoa > Chordata > Mammalia > Primates > Hominidae > Homo > Homo sapiens. Next base: position 104,874,488 of record NC_000023.11, read on the forward strand.
GACTGATTATTGATGCTGCCAGGATACAGGAAAGTGAATAAAAAGAAAAGCCATGTTAATTTCAAGCTCCATTTAGAAACACACTAGAAAAATCAATGGCTGGTAAGTAGAAATCGGCAAAATTGGCAGGAAGAATTTTTACATTCAAGCATAGAAGGGGCTGGAATATAAATCTGCACACTGACCAGATAATAACCAGATAAAATGATGATGATACTAGAAAGGCACTTGACAAGGCTTTTTCCTAATGTTTTAGTGCACTGAGGAATGTTCACCTCTTAGATTCACTGAACCAAGATTCTGTCATTTAAAATTTGGGGATTAAAGTTTGTCATTAGTTTTCTCAAGCCTTACTGATTTCACAGAACTGAAGTAGGCAGATACTGGCTCCTGGAAGGAGTGATTAACCAGCAACTTTAGTGCTAAAGGAATTTAGGAAATCTGGATTTTAGTGGGGTATACTTATGGGAGGCCCTCTTCTTCAGGTTTAAAGATCATTTTCTATGGTGAATTTAATCTCACTCAGTGTTACATCTGAAAAATGGGATATTATTCTGAGATCTTCCTCACTTATTATAAAAGAAGAGGTTTTCTAACTTTGTGATGCTGAGAGAATTACTTCTCTCATCCCCATGTTTACCAATTCTCAGCACCAACCTGAAGTACATTTTTCTCCATGAAGCCTGCCCTGGCAATTCCAGCCTTCACTTCTTTTTGTTTCTTCTTGTGAACTTCTAGGGAAATGTATGGCTTAGAGACACTACAATCCTATGGTCTTCAGTATTGTTCCTTAAATTGACTCATACTTATTGGTTTATTGAGTATCTATTCTGTTGGGTATTGTACTTAACACTGAGGATACCAAAAATAGATATGGCCCCTACCTCAAGATGCTTACAGTCTAGTGGGAAGAAGAGAGAGAAGTAACTGGGATAATTAAAATACAATATGAAAAAGAAACCATGTGAAAAGCACCAAGACATAAGCACAGGGTGCTGTGGGAGTGCTCAGTTGTGTATGTTGTTGTTCTATCCAACCAGAGATTAAGTTTCTCTAGGACAAGATCCACATCTTCCACTTTTCTCCCATTCCCCGTAGTGCCTGACTTATACTATCCTTGGTCTGGAACTCTTTTCCCCCCACAGATATATGCATTCCTTGATCACTGTATTCTTTTAAGTCTTTGCTCAAAGATCAACTTCTCAGAGACAGTTGAGCTATGTTATTCAAAATTGTTTCTCTCTCCCATCCACCTTACACACATACAGTCACATTCTAGAAGCACATATTTTCTTCTTTCCTTGCTTTATTTTTCTACTTAGCACATATCACCATCTGACATACCATATCATCTACCTATTTAATTTTGTTTATTATCTATCTTGCCTGCTAGAATATAAGCTCTATGAGAACAGGGATTATATCTGTCTTGTTACTATTTTTTTTTTTCTCTAGAGAGGCCTGTAACAGTACATAACAGTTACTTACAGTAACTTTAAAGATATTGGCTTAAGTTATGGATGGGTGGTAACAGTGCAAGTTGGCTCGCAATTAGTAATTCTTTAGTGGGTTGAATGATTTCTCTTTTAATCATTTAATAGAGAAACTACCACTACTGCCTCTACTACTACCTCTACTTTTAATTTGGCTTGATAATGAAGGGCCTGTTCTGCAATTCTTAGACCCTGAGAAGTTGCTCTTCTGGATACATGTCAGATCCCCCATAACTATGTAGCAACAGTCACACTTGCTGCCTTAAGCCTCTTTCACCCTCTGAAGGCATTTAGCACATGGACCATGCTTTGAGAATTACAGACACAGTTCATGAAATCTCTCTTCTTAAATTTATATTTAACAGTTACCATATGTTCATGACCATGATAATTTTGCCCCATACATTTGTTTTTATTTGGGGTCTTGCATGGTAGGAAGACTTTAAGAAGTCAAAGATTATTTTTTCGTCTTTTCCCACTTAACAAAATCAAAATGTTTCTTAATGCTGACGTAGTTACTAAAACCTATCTATACAAAATAGTTTGCTACTTCTAAGGTAAAGATTGAAAAAATAGTGTCAATTTCTGTTTAGAAGATTTCTATTATTGTTCCTAGTGGAGGTACAAAAACTGGTTCACACACACAACCAAATCACTGTTATATAGCTTTCTTTTTTTTTTTTTTTTTCAAGGGACATGCTGAATTTTATTTTATTTTTTTCTCTGTAACAATTTCTTTTATTATTATTATTATTATTATTATTATACTTTAAGTTTTAGGGTACATGTGCACAATGTGCAGGTTAGTTACATATGTATACATGTGCCATGCTGGTGCGCTGCACCCACTAACTCGTCATCTAGCATTAGGTATATCTCCCAATGCTATCCCTCCCCGCTCCGCCCACCCCACAACAGTCCCCAGAGTGTAATGTTCCCCTTCCTGTGTCCATGTGTTCTCATTGTTCAATTCCCACCGATGAGTGAGAACATCCAGTGTTTGGTTTTTTGTTCTTGCGATAGTTTGCTGAGAATGATGGTTTCCAGTTTCATACATGTCCCTACAAAGGACATGAACTCATCATTTTTTATGGCTGCACAGTATTCCATGGTGTATATGTGCCACATTTTCTTAATCCAGTCTATCATTGTTGGACATTTGGGTTGGTTCCAAGTCTTTGCTATTGTGAATAATGCTGCAATAAACATACGGGTGCATGTGTCTTTATAGCAGCATGATTTACAGTCCTTTGGGTATATACCCAGTAATGGGATGGCTGGGTCAAATGGTATTTCTAGTTCTAGATCCCTGAGGAATCGCCACACTGACTTCCACAATGGTTGAACTAGTTTACAGTCCCACCAACAGTGTAAAAGTGTTCCTATTTCTCCACATCCTCTACCATTCCTTCTGAAACTATTCCAATCAATAGAAAAAGAGGGAATCCTCCCTAACTCATTTTATGAGGCCAGCATCATCCTGATACCAAAGCCGGGCAGAGACACAATCAAAAAAGAGAATTTTATATCTTTCTTTTGCTTTTTATAGCATCTAACTTCAGGTAAAGTTTTTGTTAAGATTTTTGCATGTCACTTTTTGGAAAACATTTAAAATCAGCATTAGTGTAGAACTTACACATGTAACTATTCAAGAGAATGCAAGATGAATTTAGGAATAATTTCTGAGTCAGATTTACAATGCAAACATCAAACATGAGCAATAGAGCTATTAACCTTGAATCAATTGAGCTGTCTGTACATACAGGGCATTTTTTTTTTCTTGAGACATACCCAGGGGTAAAGGAGATAACGTAAACTCAGTCTGTGAATAAACAATATTGTTTACTGGAAGAGATGGCAAACAAGCTCATAGAGAAGTAATGGACATGCAGAAGATCTGGAAAAACTGAAGTAAGGCTTCAAATAAATTTGGGAAAGATTTAGTAAAAATCTAAGCCTCCACACAGTAGCACATTATTGGCTAGTGTTGGAGATGGCTTATAGGAATCTTTATGGACTAAGATTCTTCTGGCTTTTATTCCACAGATATCTCTCTGCCAAGTGGCTTTATACTTCCCTTACTGATACTTCACATATCTTTGTGTACATTGTTAGACTGCATGGACTAAGTGTGGTACCTTGCGTCTGTACCATGATACCAGTTAGCATGGACCCCGGCACATTGGATCATTCAGAAATGTAGTTTCACCACACTCTGTGCCAGGTCATAATGATCTTCCCTTTGATCTGGCTTTCCACTAATATTATACCATCCCTGATGTGACAATTCAATGGTTATCTGAATTTCTTATATATGAGTAAAATAATAATAACAATGATGATTTGTCAAGCACTTTATATCCAGCAGGCACTGTGCTCTGTGCTTTATATATTACTGTCTGTTTTAATCCTCACAACAACCCAATAAGGTATGTATTCTTATTCTACACATTTCAAAGATACAGAAACTGAGGCACAGGAAAGTTAAATAGATTGCTCAACCTCACTTATGCATTTGTCTACTCTATTAGCTTTGCTGTGATTTCCACAAAGGTAGATATCAGAAGGTGTGAATTCTCTTTTGAAGTTGGTTCTAAACACAGTGTTATGTATATTTAGATGGCTAATCATAGTTAAACTTATAAGTGTGTCAAGTAATTTTAGGGCCTCCTGGGAGGTCTCTTTGTTCTCCCAGATATCTTTCCTACTGAATTGCTGATGCCTAAAATCTTGCAATTCAGAAATACCTTATGTTGGCTTGAAGCTTCTTGTTCCCTGTTTAAAGGGCAGATATTTCTGGAAGGATAATTCTAAAAAATATTACTGGGCATTCATGTAAGTATATTTTATTAGCTTCCTTTTTTTTTGAATGAACAAATTTTGATGGGAGCAAGTTTCGAAAACGTGAGGACCCAGGATACCTGAAGTTGGCAAGAAAAATATAGTATCAAGGGAAATATGGAAGAGGAAGACATTAAAGGTACAAAAAGTTCAACTTCATCTTGATTTCCAACCGAGCCAACCTCAGTTAATAAACAGTTTTCAATGACTCTTTTGGTAGGAATTATTACAAAGTTATATAAAATATTTTATCATAGGGAAAGAATCGGATTCTTTGTAAATCAGGCTCTGGTTTGATTTTAGACTTTTATATTTTTATTAATTTGTGCATATTTAATGTAAATGACTAAATAATTATGTAGCGATCCATTGCTAGTTGAAATTTAGAATGGGGCATTGCCCTAAGGCAATATCTCCAGATCAGTGAAAATTCTCCTTAGTCCTAACCTTTCTTTTTATGTTTTTAATTGCAAAACTAAAAAGCAAGCAAACAAACAAAAAACCCAAACACGTTAATTTGTAAAAGAGACCAAGCAAAACTAGTAAAAAAAAAAAAAAAAAAAGAGTGCAGAAAACATAGCCTTGCTCTATGAAATTGACAGCACTTTGGTGTCTGCATTTTCTTGCAATATTAATGAGAAAGTCAAGCATCATGTTTGTGCCAAATGGCAACTTGTTTGACACACAACAGTTTCATTTTCAAGTGTAATATGTTGATTCTTTATTGGATTATTTCAGGTTTTCTTTTTGAGTAAACTTTATATTTCCTTTGCTGTAGTATATACAACATTAAATTCTTGCCCTAAACCAATTCCTTCCAGATATGTCAAGCTCTCCAAGTCTGGTGCAAATTATCACAGTAGTTTCTGCTGGAATTTTATGTTGTATTTTGTAAATGTAGCAAATTGACTTCATCCTCTACATAGGTATGAGGTTAGCTATCATGAGTTGTTTCAGGACAGGATCTCATATTTTCTGGTTCACAGTCATATGATTTGTTTGGGTCCTTTTCAGTGAGATGGGAGGAAAGTGGAGACTTACAGTGAGAAGTACTCTAAATTACAAGAGATTATCAAGACAGACTAAGTCTGGACTGAGGATTGATTTTCAGGTAGCCAAGTAGGATGGCCAACTTGACAATTAATTAGGGTAATGTGAAAAGTGGGGGAGTGTGTAGAGTGAGTTGATTGCTTGGTAATCAAATGATAGTACTTCTCATTTTCTCCTGCTGAGTACGCTAAATCTGTTTTGCAATTTTTTTTTATCTGCTACTCTTTACTTCTCCTTTAAGTAATTGCAGTAAGTCACAATTACGCTAGTCATCTCCTCTGACAATTATCAAGTTTCACCTCAAAGAATGCCTGGAACAAATTATGAAGGAAAAATCTTAGAATTGGGGACATATGGCCTTAGCAGAGTAAGCTAGTAAAATTCTCCCATGGCAAACTACTGAGTAAAGCTTCTATAAGACAGCCCTGCCAGAGATTGGCACCCTTCCTAACCCCCAAGATGTTAGTAGAGGATAGTACTTCTTCAGAGAAAAAGCGTACAGTAGTCCCATAAGCATATAGCCTCTGCAGTGGTCTACCATACCATAGACCTTCCAGGAATCAGATAACATTTATTTTTCCACTAACTTTTCACAAGAACATAGAATACATTTTCTTGTAGAAGATTTAGACAAGTAAGGCTGTTTCTTACATCCATTATTTTCCAGGAGGATGGCCTGTCCCCCAGATCCTTACTTGTTTATTTCCATCATCCAAGTTCATCACTTAGAACCCTCTCCTAAGCAAGGACACAGCTTCATGATTCATTTTGCATATAATAAACTAATTAACAAGTACATCACAAAAATCAAAATTTGCTACAGTTCAAATAGGTCTATGTGATTCTTATCACGCAAACTGTTCGAAGTAATGCATTTTGATAGAATTGTAGTATCTTACAAATTAAAATTTCTGTCACAAAACTATACCTTTCTGTTTTCCAAAATCAAAGGTGCAATAGAATAAGCAATCCTTCAACACGCCATCAACTTTTGAGTCCCATGATTGATTTTTGTAGGCTATTAATGATTTATGTTTCACAGCATTAGGTGACATAGATTGATTTTGAGTCCTAAATGTTTCAATAACGACCTCATTTTGCGGAGTGGTTATTAATGTGGTAGTATAGTTTAACAGCACTACACCCTTTTAAAAGCAGTTTAATATTTTTTTAAGCAAAACTAAGATTTTACACAAGGTCATTCTAGGCTCTCAAACTTTATTTTACATAACGTAAAATTTTTATAAAAATGTAAGATTATCATCTCATTTTAAGATGGCATTTTATTAATTAAGAGTGAAAATGTTAATTTTGTAGATATTTTTCATGCACCTAGAGAATATTTTAAACACATAAAAAATGAGATATACCTTTCTTTACAATTACGTTCTTTGCTAGTGAACATGGGAGTCTTCATTTCCCTTCTTACAAATATTGCTGAATTTAATTCAGTAAAAGTGGTCATTTTTCATATTTATCTGTAAATTGCACTGAATTTTGTTGTAGTCACATTAGGAAGTAATGATTTATATGCTTTCTAATTATTTATCTGCTTATATAAGCATAGTCTCATTTTAGAAATGTTATTGAATTAATGTTGTAATACCTGGAACAAAGAAAAATAATTTCCATAGACTAAGCTCTGCTTTTCAGAAATCTGATCTTGTTTTGCATGCTGTACTCTGTAATATAGGTAAATGCAGGTGCCAATCAGGCAATTTATTATAAAATTTAAATAGACGCTGGGAAAAGTGCATAGAAAATGCTTATCTACTGAAAAGTGGCTGTTTTCCTGAATATAAACTCTAAGAGGCTGAAACCAAATAGTTAAAGTATCTGTCCTATTGCAGAACTAGGGACACAATACAACCTGAGGAGTTACTGGTTGCTCTCTTTTATTCCCATGTGAGGATATTGGAATGAGAAGGTGCATGGCAGTTGTATGTTCTGGAAAGCTTGTAATATAGACAAGAGAAGGTGGTGAGAATTTTTTGAGAACTTTTCCCTAAGTCTTCTGTTAAACTGAAGCTTAGAGTAACTCACAAATAAGTGAACTAAAAAAAGGAGATAAAATAAATGTTTAGTTTTTAAAAATGCTACTTTTATGAAAAATCCAAGCTTACCACTAAAGAAAAAATATTCTACCATGTTCAAAGTCATATTTGGTCAACAGGCATATATGCTTCTCTTTATGGAATACTTGTTTCCTGAAACAACATGAAAATCTCATTTTATAATAGACTGGAAATTATTGTTTACAACATGTAAATATGCTTACAGAAATGTGCAGATATGATATACAAATGCTGAAAAAACACGGAAGAATAACAAAAAGTTGGGGCCTGGCTTCAGGTATATTTTTAAAGCCTTTTAAGAAGAATTCAAATGATGGAAGGGGCATAAGTTGGTGTGGGGACTATGAGCAAAAGAAATTCATGAGGTGATATTTTTCTTTCTAAATAAGTACCCATTTTCAATGATTAATGTAGAAAATTAGTTGCCTTGTTGGAAGCTGTTATTTATTGCTGAATAACATACCATCCCAAAGCCTATGCCTTTTAACAATAACTTTCAACATCCATGGTAATGAGAGGTGAAGCCGGCTGGGCTTCTGGGTCGGGTGGGGACTTGGAGAACTTTTCTGTCTAGCTAAAGGATTGTAAACACACCAATCAGTGCTCTGTCTAGCTAAAGGTTTGTAAATGCACCAATCAGCACTCTGTAAAATGGACCAATCAGCACTCTGTAAAAGTGGACCAATCAGCACTCTGTAAAATGGACCAATCAGCAGGACGTGGATGGGGCCAAATAAGGGAATAAAAGCTGGCCACCCAAGCCAGCAGTGGCAACCTGCTTGGGTCCCCTTCCATGCTGTAGAAGCTTTGTTCTTTCGCTCTTCTCAGTAAATCTTGCTGCTGCTCACTCTTTGGGTCCGCACTACCTTTATGAGCTGTAACACTCACTGAGAAGGTCTGTGGCTTCACTCCTGAAGTCAGCAAGACCACAAACCCACTGGGAGGAACAAACAACTCCGGACGCCCCACCTTTAAAAGCTGTAACACACACTGCGAAGGTCTGCGGCTTCACTCCTGGTCAAGCGAGATCAAGAACCCACTGGAAGGAAGAAACTCCAGACACATCTGAAGATCTGAAGGAACAAACTCCGGACACACCATCTTTAAGAACTGTAACACTCACTGTGAGGGTCCGCGGCTTCATTCTTGAAGTCAGCGAGACCAAGAACCCACCAGAAGGAACCAATTCCAGACACATTTTGGTGACCACAAAGGGACTATCACCTATCGCCAAGCGGTGAGTACCATTGGACCCCTTTTGCTTGCTATTCTGTCCTATTTTTCCTTAGAATTCGGGAGCTAAATACTGGGCACCTGTCGGCCAGTTAAAAGCGACTAGTGCGGCCACCAGACTAAAGACACGGGTGTCAGGCTTTCTGGGAAAGGGCTCTCTAACAACCCCCGACTCTTCGGAGTTGGGAGCGTTGGTTTGCCTGGAACAAGCTTCTGCTTTTCCTGTACTTCTGGGCTGAGTCAAGGTCAACAGAGAGGAAAGCCATTCAGCTCCAGGGTCCCGACAACAAGTTGGTTGACCCTGTGACCATGAGCGGAACTCTCGAAGTCATGTTGCCCAAGCGAGACTCGCCCATCTATTCTATCTATCTTGACCCTTGCCTCTTGGGTCCTAATGCCTGCCAGACAAACTTCCTCTTGCCTCTTCTTTGAGGCTAGTCCCACTTCTAAAAACCACTCCCTATCTCTGGTGCTTTTCTAGTTTCTCCTATAAGAATGATTTCTAGTGTAAACTCCAGGACTCTGTTACCTTCTTTAGGCACCCAGGCTCACCAATCAGAAAGACATAATTTTTACCCAAAGCCCCATCACAGGGGGGACTGCCTGGAATTTTAGGATCCCTCCTCAGACTAGCAGGCCTAACAAAAGCTATTCCTGAAGCTAGGATATGGGGAACCTCAGAAATTGTATCCTTCCTATTCATATAAGTGAGGACAAAAAACATCACTCTTCCAACTCTGGAGATCCCTCCCCTCCCTCAGGGTATGGCCCTCCACTTCATTTTTGGGGCATAACATCTTTATAGGACAGGGGTAAAGTCCCAATACTAATAGGAGAATGCTTAGGACTCTAACAGATTTTCGAGAATGCATCAGTAAGGGCCGCTAAATCCGATTTTTCTCAGTCCTCTTTGTGGTCTAGGAGGACAGGCAAGGGTGCAGGTTTTTGAGAATGCATTGGTAAGGGCCACTAAATCTGATTTTTCTCGGTCCTCTTTGTGGTCTAGGAGGACAGGCAAGGGTGCAAGTTTTTGAGAATGCATCAGTAAGGGCCACTAAATCAGACCTTCCTCAGTCCTCCTTGTGGTCTAGGAGGAAAACTAGTGTTTCTGCTGCTGCGTTGATGAGTGCAACTATTCCAATCAGCAGGGTCCAGGGACCGTTGCGGGTTCTTGGGCAAGAGGTGTTTCTGCTGCTGCGTCAGTGAGTGCAACTATTCTGATCAGCAGGGTCCAGGGACTGTTGCAGGTTCTTGGGCAGGGGAAGAAACAAACAAAGCAAAACCATGGGCAATTTTGTCTTTCAGATGGAAAACACTCAGGCATCAACAGGCTCACCTTTGAAATGCATCCTAAGCCATTGGGACCAATTTGACCCGCAAACCCTGAAAAAGAGGTGGCTCATTTTTTTCTGCACTATGGCCTGGCCCCAATATTCTCTCTCTGATGGGGAAAAATGGCCACCTAAGGGAAGTATAAATTACAATACTGTCCTGCAGCTTGACCTTTTCTGTAAGAGCTAAGGCAAATGGAGTGAAATACCTTATATCCAAGCTTTCTTTTCATTGAAGGAGAATACACAACTATGCAAAGCTTGCAATTTACATCCCACAGGAGGACATCTCAGCTTACCCCCATATCCTAGCCTCCCTATAGCTCCCCTTCCTATTAATGATAAGCCTCCTCTAATCTCCCCTGCCCAGAAGGAAATAAGCAAAGAAATCTCCAAAGGACCACAAAAACCCCCAGGCTATCGGTTATGTCCCCTTCAAGCTGTAGGGGGAATGGAATTTGGCCCAACCCAAGTAGATGTCCCCTTCTCCCTCTCTGATTTAAAGCAGATCAAGGAGACCTGGGGAAGTTTTCAGATGATCCTGATAGGTACATAGATGTCCTACAGGGTCTAGGGCAAACCTTCAACCTCACTTGGAGAGATGTCATGCTATTGTAAGATCAAACCCTGGCCTTTAATGAAAAGAATGTAGCTTCAGCTGCAGCCTGAGAGTTTGGAGATACCTGGTATCTTAGTCAAGTAAATGATAGAATGACAGCCGAAGAAAGGGACAAATTCCCTACTGGTCAGCAAGCCATCCCCAGTATGGATCCCCACTGGGACCTTGACTCAGATCATGGGGACTGGAGTCGTAAACATCTATTGACCTGTGTTCTAGAAGGACTAAGAAGAATTAGGAAAAAGCCCATGAATTATTCAATGATGTCCACCATAACTCAGGGAAAGGAAGAAAATCCTTCTGCCTTCCTCGAGTGGCTATGGGAGGCCTTAAGAAAATATACTCCCCTGTCACCCAACTCACTAGAGGGTCAACTGATTCTAAAAGAAAAGTTTATTACCCAATCAGCCGCAGATATCAGGAGAAAGCTCCAAAAGCAAGCCCTGGGTCCTGAACAAAATCTGGAGGCATTATTAAACCTGGCAACCTCGGTGTTCTATAATAGGGACCAAGAGGAACAGGCCCAAAAGGAAAAAGCTAGATCAGAGAAAGGCCATAGCCTTAGTCATGGCCCTCAGACAAACAAACCTTGGTGGCTCAGAGAGGACAGAAAATGGAGCAGGCCAATCACCTGGTAGGGCTTGTTATCAATGTGGTTTATAAGGACACTTTAAAAAAGATTGTCCAATGAGAAACAAGCCACCCTCTCATCCATGTCTGCTATGCTGAGGCAATCACTGGAAGGTGCACTGCCCCAGAGTGCAATGGTTCTCTGGGCTGGAAGCCCCCAACCAGATGATCCAACAACAGGACCGAGGGTGCCCGGGCAAGCGCCAGCTCATGTCATCACCCTCACTGAGGCCTGGGTATGTTTAACCATTGAGGGCCAGGAAATTGACTTCCTCCTGGACACTGGCACAGCCTTCTCAGTGTTAATCTCCTGTCCCAGATGACTGTCCTCAAGGTCTGTTACCATCTGAATAATGCTGGGACAGCCTGTAACCAGGTATTTCTCCCACCTCCTCAGTTGTAATTGGGAGACTTTGCTCTTTTCACATGCCTTTTTTGTTATGCCTGAAAGTCCCACACCCTTATTAGGGAGGGATATATTAGCCAAAGCTGGAGCTATTATCTACGTGAATATGGGGAACAAGTTACCCATTTGTTGTCCCCTACTTGAGGAGGGAATCAAACCTGAAGTCTGGGCATTGGAAGGACAATTTGGAAGGGCAAAAAATGCCTGCCCAGTCCAAATCAGGCTAAAAGACCCCACCACTTTTCCTTATCAAAAGAAATATCCCTTAAGGCCTGAAGCTGATAAAGGATTACAGGATATTGTTAAACATTTAAAAGCCTTAGGCTTAGTAAGGAAATGCAGCAGTCCCTGCAACACCCCAATTCTAGGAGTACAAAAACTAAATGGTCAGTGGAGACTAGTGCAAGATCTTAGACTCATCAGTGAGGCAGTAATTCCTGTATATCCAGTTGTACCCAACCCCTATACTCTGCTCTCTCAAATACCAGAGGAAGCAGAATGGTTCACTGTTCTGGACCTCAAGGATGCCTTCTTCTGTATTCCCCTGCACTCTGACTCCCAGTTTCTCTTTGCCTTTGAGGATCCCACAGACCACACATCCCAACTTATGTGGACGGTCTTGCCCCAAAGGTTTAGGGATAGCCCTCATCCGTTTGGTCAGGCACTGGCCCAGGATCTAGGCCACTTCTCAAGTCCAGGCACTCTGGCCCTTCAGTATGTGGATGAATTACTTTTGGCTACCAGTTTGGAAACCTCATGCAAGCAGGCTACTCTAGATCTGCTGAACTTTCTAGCTAATCAAGGGTACAAGGTGTCTAGGTTGAAGGCCCAGCTTTTCCTACAGCAGGTCAAATATCTAGGCCTAATCTTAGCCAGAGAGACCAGGGCCCTCAGCAAGGAATGAATACAGCCATAATGGCTTATCCTTGCCCTAAGACATTAAAACAGTTGTGGGGGTTCCTTGGAATCACCGGCTTTTGCCAACTATGGATCCCCAGATATAGTGAGATGACTAGACCACTCTACACTCTAATCAAGGAGACCCAGAGGGCAAATACTCATCTAGTAGAATGGGAACCAGGGACAGAAACAGCCTTCAAAACCTTAAAGCAGGCCTTAGTACAAGCTCCAGCTTTAAGCCTTCCCACACGGCAAAACTTCTCTTTATACGTCACAGAGAGAGCAGAGATAGCTCTTGGAGTCCTTACTTAGACTCGTGGGACAACCCCACAACCAGTGGCATACCTAAGTAGGGAAATTGATGTAGTAGCAAAAAGCTGGCCTCACTGTTTAAGAGTAGTTGCAGCAGTGGCCATCTTAGTGTCAGAGGCTATCAAAATAATACAAGGAAAGGATCTCACTGTCTGGACTACTCATGACGTAAATGGCATACTAGGTGCCAAAGAAAGTTTATGGCTATCAGACACCACCTACTTAGATACCAGGCACTACTCCTTGAGGGACCAGTGCTTCAAATACATACTTGTGTGGCCCTCAACCCTGCCACTTTTCTCCCAGAGGATGGGGAACCAATCGAGCATGACTGCCACAAATTATAGTCCAGACTTATGCTGCCCAAAATGATTTCTTCAAAGTCCCCTTAGCTAATCCTGACCTTAACCTATATACCGATGGAAGTTCATTTGTGGAGAATGGGATATTAAGGGCAGGTTATGCCATAGTTAGTGATGTAACCATACTTGAAAATAAGCCTCTTCCCCCAGGGACCAGCGCCCAGTTAGCAGAACTAGTGGCACTTACCCGAGCCTTAGAACTGCGAAAGGGAAAAAGAATAAATGTGTATACAAATAGCAAGTATGCTTATCTAATCCTACATGCCCATGCTGCAATATGGAAATAAAGGGAGTTCCTAACCTCTAGGAGAAAGCCCATTAAATACCACAAGGAAATTATGGAGTTATTGCACTCAGTGAAAAAACCCAAGGAGGTGGCAGTCTTACACCGCCAAAGCCATCAAAAAGGGGAAGCAGAAGGGAGAACAGCAGCATAAGTGGTTGGCAGAGGCAAGGAAAGACCAGAAGAAAGAAAAGAGAGAAAGAGACAGAAAGTCAGAGAGAGAGAGAGAGAGAGAGAGGAAGAGACAGAGACAAGGAAGGAGAGAGAGAGGAGAAGAGACAGAGACAAAGAGGGAGTCAGAGAGAGAGAGAGAGAGAGAGAAAGTCAGAGAAAGGAAGAGACAGACAAAAAGGGAGTCAGAAAGAGAGAGACGAAGAAGTCAAAGAGAAAGAAAGACCTTCTTTCTATCTTCCTTCTTTCTGACAGCAATTTACTCCTACCTTTAATTCAGCCTGGATAAAATGATCTCATCTTCCAGAGCACCAGTTTTACCTTCCTATTTACTCTTTGCCTATCTATCCTTCCTGCTTCCTTGGATACCTCATACAATCACCCCTCACCTTCCACTAGCTCCTAATTACCTCTACAAGACTCTCAACCTAACCCACGCTCTGTTAAACCAGTCCAATCCTTCCCTGGCAAATGACTGTTGGCTTTGTATCTCTCTATCAACTTCTGCTTACGTTGCCACTCCCATTCCTGCAAAAAAACTGGGTCTTTACCAACTTAACCTACTACCCTAGTTATGAAGGAAAAGACCCTTTCCAACTTCTAAATATGCAATCATTAGCCAAATTCCCCATTTCTGATAGGACCAAGAATACCCTAACAGGACATGCAATCCAACTTTTACATTCTTACATTTCCCACCTCACCTATTACACAAGCAATGAAAAGCCCATACACGGCACTGTAACTATGAATACCATCTTAACTTTCTAAGTTCCTTTATGCATCCAGTGCAACCTGTTATCAGGCCTGCCTCTGGGGCACCTACTACCCCATCAGCGTAATTACACCCCACAACTTCAAGCCCCAACTGATCATAGTAACTTCCGAGTCACCCAAACAGCTCCATTCAGATGGCTTGTCCGCTTCTCAGGGCCCCCAAAAGTCATCATCTCCTCCCTACTTAACAAACAGTCCAGGTTCTGTAATGGCAAACATACTCCCTGCATGACCATTCACCCCTGGACTCCCTGCAGCAGTGCCCCCACCACTAGTGAATGCCTGCTCATCCCCTCTTTCAACCACTCTCTCAAAAGGTTCCTAGTCGATACAAAACGGTGTTTTCTCCAATGGGAAAATAGAACACAGGGAGCCACTCAGTTTGATCCCAACACCCTTCCACCCGCTCACCAGAGCTACCTTGGCAAGTAGTCTAGGAGTATGGGAAAATGAAAACAACAAACTCACACACCTTTTTAACATACACAAACAGTTCTGTCTACCCAGCCAAGGTATATTCTTATGTGGAACATCGACCTATATCTGCATTCCTACTAACTGGACAGGCACCTGCACCTTAGTCTTTCTAAGTCCCAACATTAACATTGCCCCAGGAAATCAGACATTATCAGTACCCCTCAAAGTTAAGTCTGTCAGCACAGAGCCATACAACTAATACCCCTATTAATAGGGTTAGGAATGGCTACTGCTACAGGAACCGGAATAGCCAGTTTATCTACTTCATTATCCTACTACCACACACTCTCAAAGGATTTCTCAGACAGTTTGCAATAAATAATGAAATCTATCTTTATTTTACAATCCCAAATAGACTTTTTTTTATTGTACTTTAAGTTCTAGGGTACATGTGCACAAAGTGCAGGTTTGTTACATAGGTATACATGTGTCATGTTGGTGTGCTGCACCTATTAAGTCGTCATTTACATTAGGTGTATCTCCTAATGCTATCCCTCCCCCCTACCCCCAACCCAAGACAGGTCCTGGTGTGTGATGTTCCCCTTCCTGTGTCCAAGTGTTCTCAATGTTCAATTCCCACCTATGAGTGAGAACATGCAGTGTTTGGTTTTTTGTCCTTGCGATAGTTTGCTGAGAATGATGGTTTCCAGCTTCATCCATGTCCCTACAAAGGACATGAACTCATCTTTTTTATGGCTGCATAGTATACTGTGGTGTATATGTCCCACATTTTCTTAATCCAGTCTATCATTGTTGGACACTTGGGTTGGTCCAAGTTTTTGCTATCGTGAATAGTGCCGCAATAAACATACGTGTGCATGTATCTTTATAGCAGCATGATTTATAGTCCTTTGGGTATATACCCAGTAATGGGATGGCTGGGTCAAATGGTATTTCTAGTTCTAGCTCTTTGAGGAATTGCCACACTGTCTTCCACAATGATAGAACTAGTTTACAGTCCCACCAACAGTGTAAAAGTGTTCCTATTTCTCCACATCCTCTCCAGCACCTGTTGTTTCCTGACTTTTTAATAGTTGCCATTCTAACTGGTGTGAGATGGTATCTCATTGTGGTTTTGATTTGCATTTCTCTGATGGCCAGTGATGATGAGCATGTTTTCATGGGTCTGTTGGATGCATAAATGTCTTCTTTTGAGAAATATCTGTTCATATGCTTTGTCTGCTTTTTGATGGGATTGTCTGTTTTTTTCTTGTAAATTTGTTTGAGTTCTTTGTAAATTCTGGATATTAGCCCTTTGTCAGATGAGTAGATTGCAAAAATTTTATTCCATTCTATAGGTTGCCTGTTCACTCTGATGGTAGTTTCTTTTGCCGTGCAGAAGCTCTTTAGTTTAATTAGATCCCATTTGTCAATTTTGTCTTTTGTTGCCATTGCTTCTGGTGTTTTAGACATGAAGTCCTTGCCCATGCCTATGTCCTGAATGGTATTGCCTAAGTTTTCTTCTAGGGTTTTTATGGTTTTAGGTCTAACATTTAATTCTTTACTCCCTCTTGAATTAATTTTTGTATAAGGTGTAAGGAAGGGATCCAGTTTCAGCTTTCTACATATGGCTAACCAGTTTTCCCAGCACCGTTTGTTAAATAGGGAATCCTTTCCCCATTTCTTGTTTTTGTCAGGTTTGTCAAAGATCAGATGGTTGTATATGTGTGGTATTATTTCTGAGGGCTCTGTTCTGTTCCACTTCTCTATATCTCTGTTTTGGTACCAGTACCATGCTGTTTTGGTTACTGTAGACTTGCAGTATAGTTTGAAGTCAGGCAGCATGATGCCTCCAGCTTTGTTCTTTTGGCTTGGGATTGTCTTGGAAATGCGGGTTCTTTTTTGGTTCCATATGAACTTTAAAGTAGTTTTTTCCAATTTTGTGAAGAAAGTCATTGGTAGTTTGATGGGGATCGCATTGAATCTATAAATTACCTTGGGCAGTATTGCCATTTTCACAATATTGATTCTTCCTATCCATGAGCATGGAATGTTCTTCCATTTGTGTCCTCTTTTATTTCACTGAGCAGTGGTTTGTAGCTCTCCTTGAAGAGGTCCTTCACATCCCTTGTAAATTGGATTCCTAGGTACTTTATTCTCTTTGAAGCAATTGTAAATGGGAGTTAACTCATGATTTGGCTCCTGTTTGTCCATTATTGATGTATAAGAATGCTTGTGATTTTTGCACATTGATTTTGTATCCTGAGACTTTGCTGAAGTTGCTTATCAGCTTATGGAGATTTTGGGCTGAAATGATGGAGTTTTCTAAATATACAATCATATCATCTGCAAACAAGAACAACTTGACTTCCTCTTTTCCTAATTGAATACCCTTTATTTCTTTCTCCTGCCTGATTGTCCTGGCCAGAACTTCCAACACTATGTTGAATAGGAGTGGTGAGAGAGGGCATCCCTGTCTTGTGCCCGTTTTCAAAGGGAATGCTTCCAGTTTTTGCCCATTCAGTATGATATTGGCTGTGGGTTTGTCATAAATAGCTCTTATTATTTTGAGATATATCCCATCAATACCTAATTTATTGATAGTCTTTAGTATGAAGGGCTGTTGAATTTTGTGACAGGCCTTTTCTGCATCTATTGAGATAATCATGTGGTTTTCGTCTTTGGTTCTGTTTATATGGTGGACTACATTTATTGATTTGCATATGTTGAACCAGCCTTGCATCCCAGGGATGAAGCCCACTTGATCATGGTGGATAAGCTTTTTGATGTGCTGCTGGATTCGGTTTGCCAGTATTTTATTGAGGATTTTTGCATCAATGTTCATCAAGGATATTGGTCTAAAATTCTCTTTTTTTGTTGTGTCTCTGTCAGGCTTTGGTATCAGGATGATACTGGCCTCATAAAATGAGTTAGGGAAGATTCCCTCTTTTTCTATTGATTGGAATCATTTCAGAAGGAATGGTACCAGCTCCTCCTTGTACCTCTAGTAGAATTCGGCTGTGAATCTGTCTGCTCCTGGACTTTTTTTGGTTGGTAGTCTATTATTACCTCAATTTCAGAGACTGTTATTGGTCTATTCAGGGATTCAACTTCTTCCTGGTTTAGTCTTTGGAGGGTGTATGTGCACAGGAATTTATCCATTTCTTCTAGATTTTCTAGTTTATTTGTGTTAGAGGTGTTTATAGTATTCTCTGATGGTAGTTTGTATTTCTGTGGGATGGGTTGTGATATCCCCTTTATCATTTTTTATTGCATCTATCTGATTCTTCTCCCTTTTCTTCTTTATTAGTCTTGCTAGCGGTCTATCAGTTTTGTTGATCTTTTCAAAAAACCAGCTCCTGGATTCATTGATTTTTTGAAGGGTTTTTTGTATCTCTATCTCCTTCAGTTCTGCTCTTATCTTAGTTATTTCTTGCCTTCTGCTAGCTTTTGAATGTGTTTGCTCTTGCTTCTCTAGTTCTCTTAATTGTGATGTTAGGTTGTCAATTTTAGATCTTTTCTGCTTTCTCTTGTGGGCATTTAGTGCTATAAATTTCCCTCTACATACTGCTTTAAATGTGTCCCAGAGATTCTGGTATGTTGTGTCTTTTTTCTCATTGGTTTCAAATAACTTTATTTCTGCCTCCATTTCGTTACGTACCCAGTAGTCATTCAGGAGCAGGTTGTTCAGTTTCCATGTAGTTGAGTGGTTTTGAGTGAGTTTCTTAATCCTGAGTTCTAGTTTGATTGCACTGTGGTCTGAGAGACAGTTTGTTATAATTTCTGTTCTTTTACATTTTGCTGAGGAGTGCTTTAGTTCCAACTATTTGGTCAATTTTAGAATAAGTGTGGTGTGGTGCTGAGAATAATGTGTATTCTGTTGATTTGGGGTGGAGAGTTCTGTAGATGTCTATTAGGTCCACTTGGTGCAGAGCTGGGTTCAATTTCTGGATATCCTCATTAACTTTCTGTCTCATTGATCTAATATTGACAGTGGGGTGTTAAAGTCTCCCATTATTATTGTGTGGGAGTCTAAGTCTCTTTGTAGGTCACTCAGGACTTGCTTTATGAATCTGGGTGCTCCTGTATTAGGTGCATATATATTTAGGATAGTTAGCTCTTCTTGTTGAATTGATCCCTTTACCATTATGTAATGGTCTTCTTTGTCTCTTTTGATCTTTGTTGGTTTAAAGTCTGTTTTATCAGAGACTAGGATTGCAACCCCTGCCTTTTTTTGTTTTCCATTTGCTTGGTAGATCTTCCTCCATCCCTTTATGTTGAGTCTATGTGTGTTTCTGCACATGAGATGGGTCTCTGAATGCAGCACACTGATGGGTCTTGACTCTTTATCCAATTTGCCAGTCTGTGTCTTTTAATGGGAGCATTTAGCCCATTTACGTTTAAGGTTAATATTGTTATGTGTGAATTTGATCCTGTCATTATGATGTTAGCTGGTTATTTTGCTCATTAATTGATGCAGTTTCTTCCTAGCCTGGATGGTCTTTAAAATTTGGCATGTTTTTGCAGTGGCTGGTACCGGTTGTTCCTTTCCATGTTTAGTCCCTCCTTCAGGAGCTCTTTTAGGGCAGGTCTAGTGGTTATAAAATCTCTCAGCATTTGCTTGTCTGTAAAGTATTTTATTTCTCCTTCACTTATGAAGCTTGGTTTGGCTGGATATGAAATTCTGGGTTGGAAATTCTTTTCTTAAGTATGTTGGATATTGGCCACCACTCTCTTCTGGCTTATAGTTTCTGCCGAGACATCCGCTATTAGTTTGATGGGCTTCCCTTTGTGGGTAACCCGACCTTTCTCTCTGGCTGCCCTTAACATTTTTTCCTTCATTTCAACTTTGGTGAATCTGACAATTTTGTGTCTTGGAGTTGCTCTTCTCGAGGAGCATCTTTGTGGCATTCTCTGTATTTCCTGAATTTGAATGTTGGCCTGCCTTGCTAGGTTGGGGAACTTCTCCTGGATAATATCCTGCGGAGTATTTTTCAACTTGGTTCCATTCTCCTTGTCACTTTCTGGTACACCAATCAGATGTAGATTTGGTCTTTTCACGTAGTCCCATATTTCTTGGAGGCTTTATTTTGTTTCTTTTTACTCTTTTTTTCTCTAAACTTCTCTTCTCACTTCATTTCATTCATTTGATCTTCCATCACTGATATCTTTTCTTCCAGTTGATCGAATCGGCTACTGAATCTTGTGCATTCATCATGTAGTTCTTGTGCCATGTTTTTCAGCTCCATCAGGTCATTTAAGGACTTCTCTACATTGGTTATTCTAGTTAGCCATTCATCTAATCTTTTTTCCAGGTTTTTAGCTTCTTTGCAATGGTTTCAAACTTCCTCCTTTAGCTTTGAGAAGTTTGATCATCTGAAGCCTTCTTGTCTCAACTCATCAAAGTCATTCTCCATCCAGCTTTGTTCCATTGCTGGCAAGGAACTGTGTTCCTTTGGAGGGGGAGAGGCACTCTGATTTTTAGTATTTTCAGCTTTTCTGCTCCGTTTTTTCCCCATCTTTGTGGTTTTATCTACCTTTGGTCTTTGATGATGGTGATGTTCAGATGGGGATTCTGTGTGGATGTCCTTTCTGTTTGTTAGTTTTCTTTCTAACAGTCAGGACCCTCAGCTGCAGGTCTGTTGGAGTTTTCTGGAGGTCCACTCCAGACTGTGTTTTCCTGGGTATCAGCAGCGGAGGCTGCAGAACAGCGAATATTGCTGAACAGCAAATGTTGCTGCCTGATCGTTCCTCTGGAAGCTTCATCTCAGAGGGGTACCTGGCCATGGAGGTATCAGTCTGCCCCTACTGGGGGGTGCCTCCCAGTTAGACTACTCGGGGGTCAGGGACCCACTTGAGGAGGCAGTCTGTCCGTTCTCAGTTCTCAAACTCTGTGCTGGGAGAACCACTACTCACTTTAAAGCTGTCAGACAGGGATATTTAAGTCTGCAGAGGTTTCTGTTGCCTTTTGTTCGGCTATGCCCTGCCCCCAGAAGGGGAGTCTACAGAGGCAGGCAGGACTCCTTTAGCTGTGGTGGGCTCCACCCAGTTCAAGCTTCCTGGCCACTTTGTTTACCTACTCAAGCCTCAGCAATGGCGGGCGCCACTCTCCCAGCCTCGCTGCTGCCTTGCAGATCAATCTCAGACTGCTGTGCTAGCAATGAGTGAGGCTTCGTGGGCATGGGACCCTCTGAGCCAGGCATGGGATATAATGTCCTTGTGTGCCATTTGCTAAGACTGTTGGAATAGCACAGTATTAGGGTGGGAGTGGCCCGATTTTCCAGGTGCTGTCTGTCACCGCTTCCCTTGGCTAGGAAAGAGAATTCCCTGACCCCTTGTTCTTCCCAGGTAAGGCAGTGCCTCACCCTGCTTCAGCTCACACTCAGGTGACTGCACCCACTGTCCTGCCCCCACTGTCGGACAAGCCCCAGTGAGATGAACCTGGTACCTCAGTTGGAAATGCAGAAATCACCTGTCTTCTGCGTCACTCACACTGGGAGCTGTAGACTGGAGCTGTTCCTATTTGGCCATCTTGGAACCATCTCCCAAATAGACTCTTTGGCAGCAGTGACTCTCCAAAACCACCAAGGCCTAGACCTCCTCATTGCTGAGAAAGGAGGACTCTGCACCTTCTTAGGGGAGGAGTGTTGTTTTTATACTGACCAGTCAGGGATGGTACGAGATGCCACCCGATGTTTACAGGAAAAGGCTTCTGAAATCACACAACACCTTTCAAACTCTTATACCAACCTCTGGAGTTGGGCAACATGGCTTCTCCCCTTTCTCGGTCCCATTGCAGCCATCTTGCTATTACTCGCCTTCAGGCTGTGTATTTTTAACCTCCTTGTCAAATTTGTTTCCTCTAGAATTGAGGCCGTCAAGCTACAGATGGTCTTACAAATGGGACCCCAAATGAGCTCAACTAACAACTTCTGCCAAGGACCCCTGGACCAACCTGCTGGCCCTTTCACTGGCCTTAAGAGTTCCCCTCTGGAGGGCACTACAACTGCAGGGCCCCTTCTTTGCCCCTATCCAGCAGGAAGTAGCTAGAGCAGTCATCACCCAATTCCCAACAGCAGTTGGGGTGTCCTGTTTAGAGGGGAGATTGAGAGTTCAAGGCAGCTGGGCTTCTGGGTTGGGTGGAGACTTGGAGAGCTTTTCTGTCTAGCTAAAGGATTTTAAACACACCAATCAGTGCTCTATCTAGCTAAAGGTTTGTAAATGCACCAAGCAGCACTCTGTAAAATGGACCAATCAGCAGGATGTGGGTGGGGCCAGATAAGGGAATAAAAGCTGGCCACCTGAGCCAGCAGCAGCAACCCACTTTGGTCACCTTCCATGCTGTGGAAGCTTTGTTCTTTTGCTCTTCACAATAAATCTTGCTGCTCCTCACTCTTTGGGTCCACACTACCTTTATGAGCTGTAACACTCACTGCGAAGGTCTGCAGCTTCACTCCTGAAGTCAGTGAGACCACAAACCCACTGAGAGGAATAAACAACTCCGGATGCCCCACCTTTAAGAGCTGTAACACACCCTGCGAAAGTCTGCGGCTTCACTCCTGAAATCAAGAGATACCATGAACCCACCAGAAGGAAGAAACTGGACACATCTGAACATCTGAAGGAATGAACTCTGGACACACCATCTTTAAGAACTGTAACACTCACCATGAGAGTCCACAGCTTCGTTCTCGAAGTCAGCGAGACCAAGAACCCACTGGAAGGAACGAATTCTGGACACAGTAATATAGATGACTAGGCTCAGCTGGTCACTTATCAGGATCACAGGCAGTTATTATCAGATGGCTGTGGCTAGAATCATCTGAAGGCTCAAGAGAGCTGGATGTCAAGATAGATTCTTCACACATGCTCCTGGAGCCTAAAATAGGAGGAATGGCTGGGGAATAGCTGGACATTTCTCTTTTAATGTGGCCTTTCTACATGGTGACATGGTCTTTGTCGTATCATGATGGTCTAAGGGTAGACTTTGAAGTTACATGATAATTATTTCCTTTAGAGCCATTGTTCCCAGAGACAGAAAGTGAAAGCTGTGATTTTTAAAAATTTCTGGGCTCATAATCTGATAAAGAGTCACTTCATATTCTACTGGTCAAAATGCTCACAGAGTCTGCCAAAATTCAAGGAGAGAGGATATGAACCCCACCTCTCTGTGGGAAAATTATCAAACAATTTGTGACCATCATTAATCTACTATAAAAGTTATGCAGGATAGATTAGCAGGATGCTTCTTATGTTTTTGTTGTTGAAATAACAGGGACAAGGAATAAAAACCTGTGCAGAAATCAGAAGATCTACTTTTGCATATACAAAGTGAAGAGTTGCTTGTAAAGCAACACCAGGCATTATAGTGCCTGTGACCTTGATATTAGAATCACCTTGCCCTCCAAAAGTGCCATGGACATCACTTTTATAAGTCAGATTCTATTTATATGCTCTAGAGTTGCTGGCTACTTAAAGGAGAACCTTTTGTAAAGTGAAGAAAAGTTTAAAGGCATTGAACACACAGGAGGTGCAATGATAAATGTTACTTTACCCTCTCTCATTCCATTAGTGTTTTCTTAAAGGAATATTGGGTCCTACTCAAGACTTAACTGAGATGGCTGATCTTAAGTGTTGAATATAAGCCCCCGTTCTTGGTCTTGGAATGTGAACATTATTGGGTATCATTGACGGAGAGATTGGCAAAGGAAATCCTGCAAGAGATAGGAGACCTAAATTTTCAATAAGTGTTCTACTTGGTTTCCATGGAAACTGGGTTAGGTAGTGAATCTCACTTGATGTGCACTTCTGTGCCTTCTTGAACAGATCTTTAGGAGTCGGTAAAACAATAGTGGGATAGCATTAATAAAATCTGGAAAGACAAGTACAGGTCTGGTGGAACAAAAGGAATTGTTTGGGGACACTGGTGTTGATTTTATGCTACTGGAAGTACTTTGAGCTGCATACAACTCATGTAGCATGCTCAATGAGAGACAACTAAGTATAGGTATATTAGTATTCACAGTTGCAAGTGACACCAAGCTAAATTGAATTTAAAATAATATAAAATATCTAAGTTTTCTAATCCTTATTTCAAATAAGAATCAGAAAAACAAAAGGCTGGGGTTAACCTTTTTCTGCATTTCTGCATTGCATGGCTGTCCTGCCTAACATCAGCCTTCACTGATATCTCCTTAACTTAACTCTTAGCAAACCAGACATGTAGCCAGAACTCTTATTCCCTGCCAATTTTGTATAATGACACTGTAGAAATGAAAACTTAAAATAGCCATTTTTTCCCATGAAAGCTTTTAATAGCCATCCACAAAACTTTTCTTGGATTCTTTGTTTTAATCTCTGAGCTGAACATTTTCTTTTGTTTCTTTTATTTTTCCCAACAAGTCCTCCATTGATGATAATCTTAGGAAATACAGTTAAGAAAATGATACTCTTCCATTAGCACTGTAGTCAAAAAATCATTTTGCTTCTATTTCTGCTGTCAATTCCTTTTTTGTTGAGTTGTTTTTGTATGATAAAAGATTAATAATAAGAATATACTTTTTACTGCAAATATTTTTTTTCCCTCCAGTGGGAGTATAGGTATAAATACCAAGCAATTTGAATTAAACAGATTAAGTCGTAGTATTGCTATTCCAATTGCTTGTCATTACACAGGAGGTTATGGTTACAGCTGACTATACAGCACTACCTGAGCCATACATTTTACATTTGCAATCGGCCTATTATAGATGAACTGTGAAAATTGGAGAGAGCTTTTTATGATAATTGGAAGATGTTTTCCTTGAAGTATGTAAAGCCCTTGAGAGAACTTGAATTACTTGCTTGTAATTTTGTTATAAGCTTTAATCCTATTTATTTAACTTGAAGTTTATTGCTCCTGAATATATTTTCCTATGTCTTTCTATTGAGTGACATACATGCTATATTTTCAATATTTTTATTTGAATATCATTACAAATTTTATTTTGCTTTTTGTTTTCAAACTCAAAAAGTTGTTTTCCCTTGGGCATGATTCATAGATAAATGAAGTTACTTCTGGGTTTTAAATTAGGAATATCAATGGAAATACAAAGACAGCCTCTCTTTGATTGTACTTGGTTCTTTCTGTGTTCTGAGTAAACCTGACCTAACATTTCAGATACCAACTGGGAATCTGTAGGTGATGTGTGCAACATTTTATGCCACACATAATTGTGTGCTCTTTTCTTTTTCTTTCTTCCCCTTAACAATCTTTCTCTGGTTTGACTGGTCTCTTCCCTGTTTCTGAATACCTCATGCTCATTCCTACTTTTTGATCCCCATAAACCATTTCTGTGCCTAGAATGCCCTCTCTCCTCTTCAGAACCATCCAAGTCTTCTCATCTCTCCCCCTGACAAGATACTCCAACTTATGTTTTACTGTGTTCAAGAATATTTAATATAACTACTACAGCCTAAATTAATCTATCATCTATGTGCTCGTAGCACTTATTTGCTAGACCATTATGTTGGTACCCAACCATATGTAATGACACCTTGCTTCTCTAGAGATGAGAAGTGTGAGAAAGCCCACCTGAAATGATGATCACAGAGCTGCTGCATTATGGGTACAGATTTTACTAACAGCCATAATACACAATTTAATTTTAATTATTAGCGAACTTCATTATCTGTTTTATAAATCCTCAAGTGATAAGACACAGCCAATTCCCATTTTCCTCATCTGCTAGGTGATATCTCATCACATCTAAGATCCCATTGATTGTAAGACACATCACTCTTTTACGTACCACAAAGAAAAGACACTGCCCGTAAAACTGTTTCACAAGAGTTTGCTATCACTTTGAATTTGTATTTTGTACATATCAAAAGAGCTCTTTGTCATTTAAACATATTGTTTTGTTTATCACATCAATCTTTAATTTACCTGGCATACGGGATCAGATACATTAATGCATGTTTAAATAGTTTTTTTAATCTCTGGAATTTCTTCTTTAAAACATTCTAGACCAGAGGTTCTTAACATACAGTACACAGATTCTTGAAGGCGGAGAGTCTCTGAATAGATATAGTGGTCAACTATTACTGCAACAATGCTACATTAAAAACCAACCCCCAAACTCACTGGCTTAAAACAACAATTATTTATTTTCATCTGTACATTTGTAGGTCAGCTGGAGGTTAGCTGACCTAGGCTGGGCTCTAAGCTGGAGGTTGAGCTCAGGTCTACCATGCATGTCTCTCATCTTTCTTGGAATAAAAGGCTACGTGGAGCATTGTTTTTTCTCATGGTGATGGCAACATTGCAAGAAGAATGAGCAGAAACATACAATGCCTCTTAAAGACTAGAGTTAGAAATTGCATTATATCACTTATATTGGAAAAAGCAAATTAGGTGGCCAAAGCCAGCATCAGTGGAGCAAGGAAATATTCTCTGCCTCTGGTGGGAGGAGCTACAAAGACCTATGGCAAAGGTCATGAATTTAGGGAGAGACGAAGGAATGGGAACAATGGTGCAGCCTACTAAAATCAGTTTCAAGGAGACCAAAAAGCCTCTAAAATTCTTTGCTAAAATGTTGTATCATAAAGGGATATTTTTCTAGAGAACATGTTCTTACTATTCACCAGATTCTCAAGGAGTGAATGGGATTCCAACCATTTCCAAGTGAGAACCACTTACTTTAGGTCCTTCTATTATTCCTTTGTTTGTTCATTCAATATTAATATACCTCAGTTAATGACCCAGGATTGATTTCTGTGAACATTTTAAAATTTTCAGGTGATTGAGGAGTTGGTTGCTTTCTTTTGCTTCTTTTTTTTTTTTTTTTTTTTTTTTTTTTTGAGACGGACTCTCGCTCTGTTGCTCAGGCTGGAGTGCAGTGGTGTGATCTCCGCTCACTGCAAGCTCCGCCTCCCGGGTTCACACCATTCTCCTGCCTCAGCCTCGCGAGTAGCTGGGACTACAGGCGCCTGCCACCACGCCTGGCTAATTTTTTTGTATTTTTAGTAGAGACGGGGTTTCACCGTGTTAGCCAGGATGGTCTGGATCTCCTGACCTCGTGATCCGCCCGCCTCAGCCTCCCAGAGTGCTGGGATTACAGGGGTGAGCCACCGCACCCTACCGAGTTGGTTGCTTTCTACCAGGTCATGTATTTTAAGAGCCTGGCAGGCTCTAAAATTTGATTTGGCAGGGCTCTATCAGCACCAGGTAACCTTTCTGTGCTTGAAGCTTAGCTGGTACCCACTCCCATAGTGATGTGTTAGTGAATCCCATATGGAAGAAACATAGAGGGGGGACATTGAAACAAGAAAGACCTGGTTTCAAATTCCTGCCCTGCCGTTTACTACCTGTGTCATCTCAGGCAAGTAAATAAACCTCTATGCACCTCAGTTTCCTTTTCTGTAAAATGAGAGTGACAGTTCTTATGCTACAAGGTCATCGTCATTGTGAGGATTAAATGAGACAATGTGTGTATAGTATTTGTCACATGTTAGGTGCTCAACAAATGCTAGTCCCTCTCATTCCCATTATTGTTTACATTATGCTGACAATTTTATCCTCATTCTGTAATATAAATAGTATGTCCCTATCCTGTGAAATATTAATGAAGAAATTTCTGAATGCTATTCCTTTTTATTTTTTGTTTTTAAAAACAGTTATTAGCTGTTTGTTTCTATCAGCAGATTCTAGACCCAGAATAAAATCATATTTACACTTGGGCGTTTCTATGAGCTCTCTTTAGCCTTTCTCTCCTGGTATGAACGTTATGGAAGTAAAGTAGCTTCTTTTTCCCTCAAAGGGGACTGCCAAGGCCAAAAGGAAATTGAACTTTGTCTTCCTAGTCACCTCTGATCTTTGACATAACAGAGACTGAGGAGGTGAAAGCTAATTCTTACCAAGTACTTTTTGACACAGTAGATTGAGCAATAATGGAAAAAGTTCTGAGATGTTGTTTTTCACAAAATTACCACTGTTAACCTCCAAATTACATCAACCGAAACAATTTTTTGTTCTTTGAACTCTGACACAGATTGAACGAGCCCTCATCAAGAGTAAGAAAAAAAATTTCTCTAGGTTAGTAGGAATTGGCCTATTTTGAATTCTATTCCAGCCAGTAAACATGCTGTTAACTTTGAAAATTCTGTGTAGATTTAAAAAGAAATACTCTAATAGCTAGGTATTTTATTACCTTTTAAAATTATTTCAGCCTCAAGCCTAACAGATTATTTAGTAATGAGTGACATTTCCGTTGCAGAATAGCAGGTGGATAATTAATGAATAATGTGTTCTATTTTCCTGTCTATATGTATATATTCTAGAAATATAACTAGTGTTATAGGTAACAGTTCCCAGCTTGATCAATGTAAATAAATATAAGGCCCAGTTTTAAAAACATAAACATTTTAAATCTGCAATGCTTTTATATTTCATTCATCAAATTCTAGTGAGAAAGGCATTAGGCATGTAAAAAATAAAAGAAAAAAATTATAAATTGTGGTGTTCTGGGGGAGATAAGCTGATGATAAAGGATATATACTATCCAAAAAGGCTGAAAAGACTACTCTTTAAAAGAGTATCTTCAATGCATTTTAAAATTGATGTACATTAATTTAGCTAAATTAACAATGGGAAATTAAATACTGTTCAGCAAGCTTATTGTCCTATTAGAACTGTAGCTTTTTTGGCTGCAGAGGGGGCATTAAATGTTGATGATATTCAATACAATAGCCAAAACCTTTTTATTCCACTATGGATTTGCTACTAACGTGAATCTTTAAAAGGGAGAAAGCAAGCTATTTTGAGGGTTCTAATTTAGACAAGGCTAATGAATTGTGAAAAAAATACATTTTCATCAAATGTCATCAGCTGAATAAGCAAATGCATTAAGTTATCATTTTATATATGTTGGTCAGATATTATTCTCTCTCTTCTTCCCAACAATTCTGGTTTCACAGATGAGAAATTATTTTAAAAGAAAAAAACTTTCTAAGGAGAATCTTCATTAGGCTTTCAATAGAGATTCACCCTGGACACATCTAGAAATGTAAACACCATAGTAAAAAAAAAAATGTAAAGAATAAACTCTCTTGGGAGCTGTTTGAGCTGGCTTATAACAAAGGGAAAAGAATGGGTGTCCATTGGAGTTTCTGGACCCTTTGAGGTCAGTTGTAGTATTGCTATTTTATTTATTTATTTTTATTTTTTTGGAGACAGAGTCTGACTCTGTTGCCCAGGCTGGAGTGCAGTGGCATGATCTTGTCTCACTGCAACCTCTGCCTCCCAGGTTCAAGTGATTCTCCTGCCTCAGCCTCCCGAGTAGCTGGGACTACAGGCACGCATCACCATGCCTGGCTAATTTTTTGTATTTTTAGTAGAAGCGGGATTTTGCCGTGTTGCCCAGGCTGGTCATGAACTCCTGACCTCAGGCAATCCGCCAGCCTCAGCCTCCCAAAGTGCTAGGATTACAGATGTGAGCTACCACACCCAGCCTAATATTGTTATTTTATAGATAACGATGATAAATTACAGAAGGGATAAGTAGTGTTCTGTTCCAGGTCATACAACTAGCAAATGTCAAAGCAGGATTAAAACTCAGATCATTCTGGTTCTAAACTTTCACCTGTAGTTTGGATTGTTGAGTCCAAGGAGAGGAAGATTTTTGGGTCAGAAGATTCTGCAAAACTGCCTGCATATGCTTGCCTTCTATTCACAAATATCCCTCTCTCCTTATTTGTATATTGTAGTATCACCAACTAATGGCCATTTCTGATGGTCACTGGGTAAGTTGTTCCTCTCTTGATAGCTCTGCTCTAACATGGAAAGTACTTATCTTCTTTTATATATATATATATATATGCATACACACACACACATACACATATATACATATGTAGTTTTCTTTTTAAATTATTCTTTTTTTCTCATTATTATACTTTAAGTTTTAGGGTACATGTGCACATTGTGCAGGTTAGTTACATATGTATACATGTGCCATGCTGGTGCGCTGCACCCACTAACTTGTCATCTAGCATTAGGTATATCTCCCAATGCTATCCCTCCCCCCTCCCCCCACCCCACAACAGTCCCCAGAGTGTGATATTCCCCTTCCTGTGTCCATGTGATCTCATTGTTCAATTCCCATCTATGAGTGAGAATATGCGGTGTTTGGTTTTTTGTTCTTGTGATAGTTTACTGAGAATGATGCTTTCCAATTTCATCCATGTCCCTACAAAGGACATGAACTCATCCTTTTTTATGGCTGCATAGTATTCCATGGTGTATATGTGCCACATTTTCTCAATCCAGTCTATCATTGTTGGACATTTGGGTTGGTTCCAAGTCTTTGCTATTGTGAATAATGCTGCAATAAACATACATGTGCATGTGTCTTTATAGCAGCATGATTTATAGTCCTTTGGGTATATACCCAGTAATGGGATGGCTGTGTCAAATGGTATTTCTAGTTCTAGATCCCTGAGGAATCGCCACACTGACTTCCACAATGGTTGAACTAGTTTACACTCCCACCAACAGTGTAAAAGTGTTCCTATTTCTCCACATCCTCTCCAACACCTGTTGTTTCCTGACTTTTTAATGATTGCCATTCTAACTGGTGTGAGATGGTATCTCATTGTGGTTTTGATTTGCATTTCTCTGATGGCCAGTGATGATGAGCATTTTTTCATGTGTTTTTTGGCTGCATAAATGTCTTCTTTTGAGAAGTGTCTGTTCATGTCCTTCCCCCACTTTTTGATGGGGTTGTTTGTTTTTTTCTTGTAAATTTGTTGGAGTTCATTGTAGATTCTGGATATTAGTCCTTTGTCAGATGAGTAGGTTGCGAAAATTTTCTCCCATTTTGTAGGTTTCCTGTTCACTCTAATGGTAGTTTCTTTTGCTGTGCAGAAGCTCTTTAGTTTAATTAGATCCCATTTGTCAATTTTGGCTTTTGTTGTCATTGCTTTTGGTGTTTTAGACATGAAGTCCTTGCCCATGTCTATGTCCTGAATGGTAATGCCTAGGTTTTCTTCTAGGGTTTTTATGGTTTTAGGTCTAACATTTAAGTCTTTAATCCATCTTGAGTTGATTTTTGTATAAGGTGTAAAGAAGGGATCCAGTTTCAGCTTTCTACATATGGCTAGCCAATTTTCCCAGCACTATTTATTAAATAGGGAATCCTTTCCCCATTGCTTGTTTTTCTCAGGTTTGTCAAAGATCAGATAGTTGTAGATATGTGGTGTTATTTCTGAGGGCTCTGTTCTGTTCCACTGATCTATATCTCTGTTTTGGTACCAGTACCATGCTGTTTTGGTTACTGTAGCCTTGTAGTATAGTTTGAAGTCAGGTAGTGTGATGCCTCCAGCTTTGTTCTTTTGGCTTAGGATTGACTTGGCGATCTGGGCTCTTTTTTGGTTCCCTATGAACTTTAAAGTAGTTTTTTCCAATTCTGTGAAGAAAGTCATTGGTAGCTTGATGGGGATGGCATTGAATCTATAAATTACCTTGGGCAGTATGGCCATTTTCATGATATTGATTCTTCCTACCCGTGAACATGGAATATTCTTCCATTTGTTTGTATCCTCTTTTATTTCCTTGAGCAGTGGTTTGTAGTTCTCCTTGAAGAGGTCCTTCACATCCCTTGTAAATTGGATTCCTAGGTATTTTATTCTCTTTGAAGCAATTGTGAATGGGAGTTCACTCATGATTTGGCTCTCTGTTTGTCTGTTATTGGTGTATAAGAATGCTTGTGATTTTTGTACATTGATTTTGTATCCTGAGACTTTGCTGAAGTTGCTTATCAGCTTGAGGAGATTTTGGGCTGAGACAATGGGGTTTTGTAGATATACAATCATGTCATCTGCAAACGGGGACAATTTGACTTCCTCTTTTCCTAATTGAATACCCTTTATTTCCTTCTCCTGCCTAATTGCCCTGGCCAGAACTTCCAACACTATGTTGAATAGGAGTGGTGAGAGAGGGCATCCCTGTCTTGTGCCTGTTTTCAAAGGGAATGCTTCCAGTTTTTGCCCATTCAGTATGATATTGGCTGTGGGTTTGTCATAGATAGCTCTTATTATTTTGAAATAACGTCCCATCAATACCTAATTTCTTGAGAGTTTTTAGCATGAAGGGTTGTTGAATTTTGTCAAAGGCCTTTTCTGCATCTATTGAGATAATCATGTGGTTTTTGTCTTTGGCTCTGTTTATATGCTGGATTACATTTACTGATTTGCATATACTGAACCAGCCTTGCATCCCAGGGATGAAGCCCACTTGATCATGGTGGATAAGCTTTTTGATGTGCTGCTGGATTCGTTTTGCCAGTATGTTATTGAAGATTTTTGCATCAATGTTCATCAAGGATATTGGTCTAAAATTGTCTTTTTTGGTTGTGTCTCTGCCTGGCTTTGGTATCAGAATGATGCTGGCCTCATAAAATGAGTTAGGGAGGATTCCCTCTTTTTCTATTGATTGGAATAGTTTCAGAAGGAAACTAGTTCCTCCTTGTACCTCTCATAGAATTCGGCTGTGAATCCTTCTGGTCCTGGACTCTTTTTGGTTGGTAAGCTATTGATTATTGCCACAATTTCAGCTCCTGTTATTGGTCTATTCAGAGATTCAACTTCTTCCTGGTTTAGTCTTGGGAGAGTGTATGTGTTGAGGAATTTATCCATTTCTTCTAGATTTTCTAGTTTATTTGCGTAGAGGTGTTTGTAGTATTCTCTGATGGTAGTTTGTATTTCTGTGGGATCAGTGGTGATATCCCCTTTATCATTTTTTATTGCATCTATTTGATTCTTCTCTCTCTTTTTCTTTATTAGTCTTGCTAACAGTCTATCTATTTTGTTGATCCTTTCAAAAAACCAGCTCCTGGATTCATTAATTTTTTGAAGGGTTTTTTGTGTCTCTATTTCCTTCAGTTCTGCTTTGATTTCAGTTATTTCTTGCCTTCTGCTAGCTTTTGAATGTGTTTGCTCTTGCTTTTCTAGTTCTTTTAATTGTGATGTTAGGGTGTCAATTTTGGATCTTTCCTGCTTTCTCTTGTGGGCATTTAGTGCTATAAATTTCCCTCTACACACTGCCTTGAATGTGTCCCAGAGATTCTGGTATGTTGTGTCTTTGTTCTCGTTGGTTTCAAAGAACACCTTTATTTCTGCCTTCATTTCGTTATGTACCCAGTCGTCATTCAGGAGCAGGTTGTTCAGTTTCCATGTAGTTGAGTGGTTTTGAGTGAGATTCTTAATCCTGAGTTCTAGTTTGTTTGCACTGTGGTCTGAGAGATAGTTTGTTATAATTTCTGTTCTTTTACATTTGCTGAGGAGAGCTTTACTTCCAAGTATGTGGTCAATTTTGGAATAGGTGTGGTGTGGTGCTGAAAAAAATGTATATTCTGTTGATTTGGGGTGGAGAGTTCTGTAGATTTCTGTTATGTCTGCTTGGTGCAGAGCTGACTTCAATTCCTGGGTATCCTTGTTGACTTTCTGTCTCGTTGATCTGTCTAATGTTGACAGTGGGGTGTTAAAGTCTCCCATTATTAATGTGTGGGAGTCTAAGTCTCTTTGTAGGTCACTCAGGACTTGCTTTATGAATTTGGGTGCTCCTGTGTTGGGTGCATATATATTTAGGATAGTTAGCTCTTCTTGTTGAATTGATCCCTTTACCATTATGTAATGGCCTTCTTTGTCTCTTTTGATCTTTGTTGGTTTAAAGTCTGTTTTATCAGAGACTAGGATTGCAACCCCTGCCTTTTTATGTTTTCCATTTGCTTGGTAGATTTTCCTCCATCCTTTTATTTTGAGCCTATGTGTGTCTCTGCACGTGAGATGGGTTTCCTGAATACAGCACACTGATAGATCTTGACTCTTTATCCAATTTGTCAGTCCGTGTCTTTTAATTGGAGCATTTAGTCCATTTACATTTAAAGTTAATATTGTTATGTGTGAATTTGATCCTGTCATTATGATGTTAG
Source organism: Homo sapiens (assembly GCF_000001405.40). Classification (NCBI taxonomy): domain Eukaryota; kingdom Metazoa; phylum Chordata; class Mammalia; order Primates; family Hominidae; genus Homo; species Homo sapiens. Next base: position 104,908,356 of record NC_000023.11, read on the forward strand.
CTGGTTATTTTGCTCGTTAGTTGATGCAGTTTCTTCCTAGTCTCTATGGTCTTTACATTTTGGCGTGATTTTGCAGTGGCTGGTACCGGTTGTTCCTTTCCATGTTTAGCACTTCCTTCAGGAGCTCTTTTAGGGCAGGCCTGGTGGTGACAAAATCTCTCAGCATTTGCTCGTCTGTAAAGTATTTTATTTCTCCTTCACTTATGAAGCTTAGTTTGGCTGGATATGAAATTCTGGGTTGAAAATTCTTTTCTTTAAGAATGTTGAATATTGGCCCCCACTGTCTTCTGGCTTGTAGGGTTTCTGCTGAGAGATCCGCTGTTAGTCTGATGGGCTTCCCTTTGAGGGTAACCCGACCTTTCTCTCTGGCTGCCCTTAACATTTTTTCCTTCATTTCAACTTTGGTGAATCTGACAATTTTGTGTCTTGGAGTTGCTCTTCTCGAGGAGTATCTTTGTGGCGTTCACTGTATTTCCTGAATCTGAATGTTGGCCTGCCTTGCTAGATTGGGGAAGTTCTCCTGAAATGTTGGCCTGCCTTGCTAGATTGGGGAAGTTCTCCTGGATAATATCCTGCAGAGTGTTTTCCAACTTGGTTCCATTCTCCCCGTCACTTTCAGGTACACCAATCAGACGTAGATTTGGTCTTTTCACATAGTCCCATATTTCTTGGAGGCTTTGCTCATTTCTTTTTATTCTTTTTTCTCTAAACTTCCCTTCTCGCTTCATTTCATTCATTTCGTCTTCCATCACTGATACCCTTTCTTCCAGTTGATCGCATTGGCTCCTGAGGCTTCTGCATTATTCTCGTAGTTCTCGAGCCTTGGTTTTCAGCTCCATCAGCTCCTTTAAGCACTTCTCTGTATTGTTTATTCTAGTTATACATTCTTCTAAATTTTTTTCAAAGTTTTCAACATCTTTGCCTTTGGTTTGAATGTCCTCCCGTAGCTCAGAGTAATTTGATCGTCTGAAGCCTTCTTCTCTCAGCTCGTCAAAGTCATTCTCTGTCCAGCTTTGTTCCGTTGCTGGTGAGGAATTGCGTTCCTTTGGAGGAGGAGAGGTGCTCTGCTTTTTAGAGTTTCCAGTTTTTCTGTTCTGTTTTTTCCCCATCTTTGTGGTTTTATCTACTTTTGGTCTTCTATGATGGTGATGTACAGATGGGTTTTTGGTGTGGATGTCCTTTCTGTTTGTTAGTTTTCCTTCTAACAGACAGGACCCTCAGCTGCAGGTCTGTTGGAGTCCCCTTGCCGTGTGAGGTGTCAGTGTGCTCCTGTTGGGGGGTGCCTCCCAGTTAGGCTGCTCGGGGGTCAGGGGTCAGGCACCCACTTGAGGAGGCAGTCTGCCCCTTCTCAGATCTCCAGCTGCTTACTGGGAGAACCACTGCTCTCTTCAAAGCTGTCAGACAGGGACATTTAAGTCTGCAGAGGTTACTGCTGTCTTTTTGTTTGTCTGTGCCCTGCCCCTAGAGGTGGAGCCTACAGAGGCAGGCAGGCAGGCAGGCCTCCTTGAGCTGTGGTGGGCTCCACCCAGTTCGAGCTTCCTGGCTGCTTTGTTTACCTAAGCAAGCCTGGGTAATGGTGGGCGCCCCTCCGCCAGCCTCGCTGACGCCTTGCAGTTTGATCTCAGACTGCTGTGCTAGCAATCAGCGAGACTCCGTGGTTGTAGGACCCTCCGAGCCAGGTGGGGAATATAATCTCATGCTGCACCATTTTTTAAGCCTGTCGGAAAAGCGCAGTATTCGGTTGGGAGTGGCCTGATTTTCCAGGTGCCGTCCGTCACCCCTGTCTTTGACTAGGAAAGGGAACTCCCTGACCCCTTGCGCTTCCCGAGTGAGGCAATGCCTCGCCATGCTTCGGCTCGCTCACGGTGCGCGCACCCACTGACCTGCGCCCACTGTCTGGCACTCTCTTGTGAGACGAACCCGGTGCCTAGGATGGAAATGCAGAAATCACCTGTCTTCTGCGTTGCTCGTGCTGGGAACTGTAGACTGGAGCTGTTCCTATTCGTCCATCTTGGCTCCTCTCTAAATTATTCTTTAAGTTCTGTGGTACATGTGCAGAATGTGCAGGTTTATTACATAGGTATACACATGGCATGGTGGCTTGCTGCACCCATCAACCTATCATCTACATTAGGTATTTCTTCTAATGCTATCCCTCCCCTAGCCCCCTGTCCCCTGACAGGCACCAGTGTGTGATGTTCCCCTCCCTGTGTCCATGTGTTCTCTTCCTAATGTATTTTAAATACCTGAGTTTCCTTTTTGTGTATGGTCAGTACAGCAAACTTGAATTTCTAGAACCTGATATAGTGGTGTCTTGAGGTTTTTGTTTCTCTTTTGTTCCTAATAGTTTTTAAAAATTTTGTAGCTCTCTTCACTCCCACAGCACTCTACATATTCACGTGCACACCTAATTCATGAGCTCTCTATACAGAAAGAAATAATGGGAATGACTGGGAACATGCTATTAAATGGATATATTTTCAGATCTTCCTTAAATCATTTTCTTTGCAGCCTTCTACTTCTAAGACCGTATCATGAGGCTTATTGACACAAGGGAGAAAAAGACACATGCAAGTAATATTAGGAATGAAAAGGTAATATGATAGATATAACAGAGATTTGAATAAATCAGAAGAGATTAATATGAAGCAACCAACTTTATGCCAATAAAATAGAAAACAAATGATATGGACATATTAATAGAATGTATAATTGATCAACATTATCTCAAGAAAAATTAGAAAACCTTCATAAACCAATAAGCTTAAGCATATTGAATTGGTAATAAAAATTATCAACCTCCCATCTCCCGCCCAAAGACTCCAGGCTTATGTGATTAGATGATTTTATTGGAAAATTTTCTCTAACTGTCAAGAATTAAATGTTCCAAATTACATTAACAATTTCAGAAAAGGGAAAAAAGCTACTTAATTTACTTTATGAGACTAGCATAACCATCATAAAACCAGGAAAAGGCAGAATCTGAAAAGTATAGGCCAATCCTATTTATAACATAGGTGAAAATGTCTGAAACAAGAACCATTAGACAATTATTACTCAGGTACAAGCCCCAAGAGTCATCTTTCTTTCCTGTTTTCCTGCTTATACTCAATATCTAGTGAGTGAGGTCCTGTTGACTCTGCCTCTTAAACATATCTCAAATCTGTTCAATCTTCTTTGTCTTCACTACCACCATAGGCAAGTGAACAAATATCTCTTCCTGCAGTGGTCTCTGTTCACTCTCCACTCTTGCTCTTACTGCAGTACTTTTAAAATGTAAATCAGATGATGTCGTTCCTGCATCAAAATTCTCTAAATATTTTCCATGATGTATAGAATAGAATCCAAACCTCTCACCCTGGTCTACAAGTCCCTGCACTATCTGACATACAGCTTCATCACCATCTCTTGCTACTCTGCTCCTTGCTCACTGCACTGTAGACATACTGATCTTCTTCCTGTTATTTGAAGAGACCAAGCTTGTTGCCACCTCAGAGAATTTATATTTTCTGTTCCTTCTGTCTGAATTACTCTCCTGTAAGTGTTTGCAAATAAATCTTCTCCGTATTCAGGCCTTCACTCAAATATCGCTTTCTCAGAGAGGCCTTCCCTAGTACATCTCCCTGTTTCTTCATTTACTCTTCTTCCTACCTTTTACTCTGTATCCCATTAACCTTCTTATTTTGCTTCATAGTGCTTATCAGTATCCTCCAATAATCATTTTCAGATATTTTAGAAATGCATTGTCCTTCTATCTTTTATCAGCTGCAGGTGGACAGGGATTTTTTTTTTTCTTTTTTTCCTTTGTTTTGTTTTGTTTTGTTTTGTTTTGTTTTGCTGTATTTCTAACACCTAGAAGGCTGGGGAGGCACTAAATATATATTGCATGAATAAATCTAATGTAAACTTCCTTAAGTCACAGATGAGAAAACTGAAGCCCAGGGAAGGAATGTGACTTGATCAAGATTACTTGCCCACCTGGGAATAGAATCCTTTCTCCTGAGTTACAGTATGGTGCCCTTTCTGCTATACCACATGTTTTTATGTGCCTCTAGCCCCATAATTCTAGTTTCAAAAGGCAATCCCATCCTCTCCCTGGTGGACTAGTATAAGTATTAATTTATAGAGATGTTTATGAAGCATACTGCAGGCAAATCAATATGATAATGAGAGTTAGATATTGATACTATATTATTTTGTAGCTTTCCAATAGTGACTGTTTCATTTCAGGATTGCTTTCCTTTCAGAGGTAGGAAAAATACTTATTTTTAATGTGTGTGTCTATCAGCAAATATGGTAAAGCATGTTAAGGCCAAGCATGCTGAGCTGATGACATTAACTTATCCTAAATAAGTCTCACATGAGCCAACTGGTTCAGATTAAAGCCCCTTATTCACCATGATGCAAAGTACTTTTACAATAAAACAAAAACAAAACAAGAGATCACATAGCAAGGGTGTGTGTGCATACATGCCTATGTGCTGCAAGTTAATAAGTACATTGTGTAAGTACCATGAGACTGTGACTGTGCCAGTGGAGATACAAAAGAAGTAGCAGGCATAATCCTTATCATCAAGGATCTTACAAAATATAGTCTTGAAATTACTAGAAAATAGTTCTGATGCATTATATAAGCAAGGCAGGATAGTAAGAGTAAGACTGTATCTACCAGGGCCAGTGAGATACAGAATAAGAGAAAAATCACTATGAGGTAGAGTTAATCTGAACAAACAACACAGAGACTATGCAATCAAAACTATGGGTGGCCTGCCTTTTTACTTTTTGTGGCAAGACTCAGTATATATTGATATATCATTAAAAATCATTCATTTTGTTTGTATGCAGGCTGTTACCATCGACCACAGGAGACAGAGTTTTCTAAGACTTTAAAATAATTCTTGGAAGGTAATAAGGTCTGGTAGTTGCTTTCGATTTTCTAAGCAGAAACACAGTGTTCAAGTACCCTTTGTCTACATTCAGAATTGGGAGTAGGGATGTTTCCTGACACTGTGGAATATTTCACAAGGTTTCATCAAAATTTCAAAATATCAGTTTCTTCATGGTATATCACTTCAGGTCCCTGAGCAAACTGGAAGGGGTATGTTCTGTTTTGTTTGCTCTGGGTAGCCTATATCTCTGGAATGTCTGTTTCCTGTCAACTGCCACTAGAGGGAGGCTGATTAAGTGCATTTCATTTGTGAATGGAATTTTAAGCAACAGTAAAGGATTCTCACCAAACACACACAGCCCTTTCAGGCCTAATCCTACAAACCCAATTAAAGGTAATGGACACTCTATTTGATGAGGCAGTTCAGCTAAGCCAGCACTCTCTGATGGTAGCTAGAGAGGTTATTCAGAATTTTGCAAATGCCATCCATGTCTGCAGGAATTTATGCCTTTATATCAGCTGCATAGTAGAGCCTTCTATTTGCAACATGCAAAACAGTAACCACATTTCTTCTTTAAAAATGTATTAGGGAAGAAATTATGTACTAGAATATTAGGTTTCTTATAATAAGAGCTATAGGGACTTTAAAAATAGGTTTTGGTTGCTGGGAGTAGAAATTTGGTTGGGAGTGATAAATTTTCTGCATTTATTTATTTCTGAACATTTCCTTAAGCAGTGTGTGCAGGTAAATGAAAATATTATCAAATTTATTTTAAAATAGGACATAAGAACCAGAGCAGCGTTTCTCTAAATAGGGACTGCCTGCAATAAGATCACTTTGTAGGGGGAGTTGTTTAAAAATTCAGATCCCTAGCTTCACACTAGACCTGCTGAATCACTCTCTGAAGTTAGGGCCTGTGGATCTTTACTAAAAACAAACAAACAAACAAAACTGACCAGGTGTTTCTGATATACTCTAAGGTTTGACAACATTGGAAATCGAAATTGTGGAGTAATTACTTAGGAGCAGGTTTGGTTAGAAAGGGTTACGCAGAAGGGTAATGTGGGTTTGGAGTGCTGGTCAAATTTCTGACAGCTTTTTACCTCATTTGCATCTCAATGTTGTTTCTAAAAAAGGAAATGCTAAAAAAGGAAAGTGTCTCATAAAAGAGAAGACTAAAACATTGTGGCATACCCACATAATACTATACAACCATTTAAAATAATTTTATAAAATGATATATAAATGCATCTGGAAAGATATTCTTCTATTGTTAATTGAGAAAAGCAAGTCACAAAACACACATGTTGTGATTGCTTTCTTTTTTTATTATTATTATATTTTAAGTTTTAGGGTACATGTGCACAATGTGCAGGTTAGTTACATATGTATACATGTGCCATGCTGGTGTGCTGCACCCATTAAGTCGTCATTTAGCATTAGGTATATCTCCTAAAGCTATCCCTCCCCCATCCCCCACCCCACAACAGTCCCCAGAGTGTGATGTTCCCCTTCCTGTGTCCATGTGTTCTCATCGTTCAATTCCCATCTATGAGTGAGAACATGCGGTGTTTGGTTTTTTGTCCTTGCCGTAGTTAACTGAGAATGATGATTTCCAATTTCATCCATGTCCCTACAAAGGACATGAACTCATCCTTTTTTATGGCTGCATAGTATTCCATGGTGTATATGTGCCACATTTTCTTAATCCAGTCTATCATAGTTGGACATTTGGGTTGGTTCCAAGTCTTTGCTATTGTGAATAGTGCCGCGATAAACATACATGTGCATGTGTCTTTATAGTAGCATGATTTATAGTCCTTTGGGTATATACCCAGTAATGGGATGGCTGTGTCAAATGGTATTTCTAGTTCTAGATCCCCGAGGAATCGCCACACTGACTTCCACAATGGTTGAACTAGTTTACAGTCCCACCAACAGTGTAAAAGTGTTCCTATTTCTCCACATCCTCTCCAGCACCTGTTGTTTCCTGACTTTTTAATGATCGCCATTCTAACTGGTATGAGATGGTATCTCATTGTGGTTTTGATTTGCATTTCTCTGATGGCCAGTGATGATGAGCATTTTTTCATGTGTTTTTTGGCTGCATAAATGTCTTCTTTTGAGAAGTGTCTGTTCATATCCTTTGCCCACTTTTTGATGGGGTTGTTTGTTTTTTTCTTGTAAATTTGTTGGAGTTCATTGTAGATTCTAGATATTAGCCCTTTGTCAGATGAGTAGATTGCAAAAATTTTTTTTCCCATTCTGTAGGTTGCCTGTTCACTCTGATGGTAGTTTCTTTTGCTGTGCAGAAGCTCTTTAGTTTAATTAGATCCCATTTGTCAATTTTGGCTTTTGTTGCCATTGCTTTTGGTGTTTTAGACATGAAGTCCTTGCCCATGCCTATGTCCTGAATGGTATTGCCTAGGTTTTCTTCTAGGGTTTTTATGGTTTTAGGTCTCACGTTTAAGTGTTTAATCCATCTTGAGTTAATTTTTGTATAAGGTGTAAGGAAGGGATCCAGTTTCAGCTTTCTACATATGGCTAGCCCGTTTTCCCAGCACCATTTATTAAATAGGGAATCCTTCCCCCATTGCTTGTTTTTCTCAGGTTTGTCAAAGATCAGATAGTTGTAGATATGTGGCATTATTTCTGAGGGCTCTGTTCTGTTCCATTGATCTATATCTCTGTTTTCTTACCAGTACCATGCTCTTTTGGTTACTGTAGCCTTGTAGTATAGTTTGAAGTCAGGTAGCGTGATGCCTCCAGCTTTGTTCTTTTGGCTTAGGATTGACTTGGCCATGTGGGCTCTTTTTTGTTTCCATATGAACTTTAAAGTAGTTTTTTCCAATTCTGTGAAGAAAGTCATTGGTAGCTTGATGGGGATGGCATTGAATCTATAAATTACCTTGGGCAGTGAGGCCATTTTCACGATATTGATTCTTCCTACCCATGAGCATGGAATATTCTTCCATTTGTTTGTATCCTCTTTTATTTCATTGAGCAGTGGTTTGTAGTTCTCCTTGAAGAGGTCCTTCCCATCCCTTGTAAGTTGGATTCCTAGATATTTTATTCTCTTTGAAGCAATTGTGAATGGGAGTTCACTCATGATTTGGCTCTCTGTTTGTCTGTTATTGGTGTATAAGAATGCTTGTGATTTTTGTACATTGATTTTGTATCCTGAGATTTGCTGAAGTTGCTTATCAGCTTGAGGAGATTTTGGGCTGAGACGATGGGGTTTTCTAGATATACAATCATGTCATCTGCAAACAGGGACAATTTGACTTCCTCTTTTCCTAATTGAATACCCTTTATTTCCTTCTCCTGCCTGATTGCCCTGGCCAGACCTTCCAACACTATGTTGAATTGGAGTGGTGAGAGAGGGCATCCCTGTCTTGTGCCTGTTTTCAAAGGGAATGCTTCCAGTTTTTGCCCATTCAGTATGATATTGGCTGTGGGTTTGTCACAGATAGCTCTTATTATGTTGAGTTATGTCCCATCAGTACGTAATTTCTTGAGAGTTTTTAGCATGAAGGGTTGTTGAATTTTGTCAAAGGCCTTTTCTGCATCTATTGAGATAATCAGGTGGTTTTTGTCTTTGGTTCTGTTTATATGCTGGATTACATTTATTGATTTGCGTATATTGAACCAGCCTTGCATCCCAGGGATGAAGCCCACTTGATCATGGTGGATAAGCTTTTTGATGTGCTGCTGGATTCGGTTTGCCAGTATTTTATTGAGGATTTTTGCATTGATGTTCATCAAAGATATTGGTCTAAAATTCTCTTTTTTGGTTGTGTCTCTACCAGGTTTTGGTATCAGGATGATGCTGGCCTCATAAAATGAGTTAGGGAGGATTCCCTCTTTTTCTATTGATTGGAATAGTTTCAGAAGGAATGGTACCAGCTCCTCTTTGTACCTCTGGTAGAGTTCGGCTGTGAATCCATCTGGTCCTGGACTTTTTTTGGTTGGTAAGCTATTGATTATTGCCTCAATTTCAGAGCCTGTTAGTAGTTGTTTTCTAGTTTATTGAAAGTGAAAGAAAAGAATCTGAAAGGCTCAAAGTCTCTCACATTCTTCAGATGGCAGAGAAAACAATTCCTCATTAGATTTCTGATGTTATAATGTTCAAAAAGAGCAAACTAACTTTGCAAAAGAAGATTCCTTAGGTCAAATGTGGTCCTGGGTACAAATGAAACTAGGAGTTTCTCTATTTGATTTTTATCCACAGATTTGATTTAAAAAAAACCTTGGGGAAGCTCCCAAATTGATTGTGGGTTCTAAAGGGAGGGCTTTGCCAAATAAAGTCACTAACATGCAGGAATGGAATTCTTCACCAAATGGACCAGGCAAAAACAACCTCTGCCCTAATTCCCAAACCTAGAATGGGTTATCTTATTGGCCCTGGTAGAAATGCCTAATTGCCCTTTGGAGTAGTCTAACCCTATTTTCCAGGTAAGAATTTAAACACCAGGGTTTATAAATGAGTGTTCCCAGCTGAGGTGAGCCATCAGCTGAAAAGTGCTTGAGTGGAAAACTGGCTTAAAACGTTGCCTAGAAACAATTAATAGAAACCTGGATATTAAGAGTTTCGGACTGAATTCTATACAAGATGAAGCTGCTTCTCATGCCAGAAGAGACAGAAAAGACATGGCTCTTTGGAAAGTCTCTTCTCTTTCTATAATCTGTGCTGATCTGCAGTAGTGGTGACTTGTGATTTTACTTTACCAGATATACTAATTACTGCCCTAGGTAATAATACCAGAGAAGATTTTAGGACTCCAAAAAAAATTTATGTAACGTTTGTTAAAAGTCCAATAATTAGGAAATTAGCAAGTTAGGCATTAACTATAGAATTTTCCATGGTCTGTCGCTACCAGTGTTTCTCAACTGAACGTTTGCAATTATCTAACACATGCTAACTCTGTCAATATTTTACCTTTTATTTCTGGTTGGTAACCTTAGGAAAATAGAGCATGTTCTTAATCAAACCAGAGTTCCAGGTTTGGTTTCCTACTATAGTAACCTTGGCTCTGTCTCATGACCAGAGATCACACCCTAGCCACATATAAAGGCCATAAGGGGAACTGAAAGACTATGTGTATACTTTAGGTATCCTCATTCATCAACAAGTGATCATGTACTTGTCATAATCATGGCATGTTAACTGGAAAAAAAACAAAAAAGTAGAGGAGGAGCTGAAAAACTATATTCTGGTTATGATGGACCAATGGGGTTACATTAACACACTATATTTAATACATTTATTTAACATTTGGAGAGGTGCAGGGCAAAGGGGGTTTGCATCTATTCCATGCCTTAGCATTTTACTTCCACAACCTATGGTCTTAACTTCTGTTGCTAACTTAGTTATCACTATTCAAAATGTAAGAAAGAGAACTTGTTTGCTGATACCTCAGGGATCATAAGATTGTGGATTCTGACTAGTAATTCTCAATATGAAATAAAATTAATAGAGGACAAAATGGAGTAAAATTAACGGAGGCAAAATCTTAGTTGAGTATCCTGTTGTGTTACAAAGCTCATTGGACCATGGTCTGGAAGCCCGTATACTATTCTTGATGGTATTAATTTTTATTGTTTCTCAAATTTATTTTTAAAGCCTTGATGTCCTTTGAACAAGATAGCCTATGGAGCTCCTCTGTGGTCCCTAAGCCACCTTTACAAAACTTTAGGGATTTAATGAATATGGTTTGAAAAGAACCAAACTACTGGAAAGAAGCTCAATGGCCATCCATAGGAAAATTCATAGATGATAATCTCTTCATAAGAGGACGAACATTAAGAATTAACTAGATCTACGTATGTAACATGAATATGTTTCAAGCATGACATTTAATGAAAAAATAAGTTACAAAGGATACACAGCATAGGATACTACATTAGACAACTCTTATGCTACACTTCAGGTCCTCTTGGCCTCACAAGACTCTGGGGACTCTTGGGCACTTTTTCTTTCTTTTTTTTTTTTTTTTTTAAGATGGTGTTTCGCTGTTGTCGCCCAGGCTGGAGTGCAATGGCGTGATCTCGGCTCACTGCAACCTCTGCCTACTGGGTTCAAGCGATTCTCCTGCCTCAGCCTCTCAAGTAGCTGGGATTACAGGCATGTGCGACCACACCTGGCTAATTTTGTATTTTTAGTAGAGACAGGGTTTCACCATGTTGGTCAGGCTGGTCTCAAACTCCTGACCTCAGGTGATCTGCCTGCCTTGGCCTCCCAAAGTGCTGGGATTACAGGTGTAAGCCACCACGCCTGGCTTTTTTTTTTTTTTCTTTTTTCTGAGACAGAGTCTCTTACTCTGTCGCCCAGGCTAGAGTGCAGTGGTGCGATCTTGGCTCACTGCAACCTCCCCCTCCTGGGTTCAAGTGATTCTCCTGCCCTTAGCCTCCCGAGTAGCTGGGATCACAGACATCTGCAACCACACCCACTTTTTTTTTTTTTTTTTTGTATTTTTAGTAGAGATGGGGTTTCATTGTGTTGGCCAGGCTGGTCTCAAACTCCTGACCTCAAGCGATCCACCTTCCTCGACCTCCCAATGTGCTGGGATTACAGATGTGAGCCACTGCGCCCAGCCCAGGTGCTTTTTCTGCCCAAGCCAATTTTGTAGGGACTAATTCTGTTTGGGCTCAGACTGACTTTACAAGGGTACAATCTTGCTTCATGTCTGTTTTGTGTGACTTGTATGTCCTGCATGGAGGCCTCTCTATTGCCACTGAGGCATAAGAGGCCATTGGACTGGCTCAGCACCCTTGTCTACACAACTCAGAAGTGTGAGGGATGTAATGCTCCATGGGGAGACTCTGACCAATGGAGACTATTGCTGGCAGATCATTTCTTCTCCTCCTCTTCCCCAATATTTACTTTACTGAGTTATAGTAGTAAATACAGTCTCGAAGCAACTGGTCCCTAGAAATCAAGCAATCAATTGTGCTTGATACCAAGCAATGGCCAACTCAGGATCATACTTTCCTATTAACACTTTTTCCCCTGATTCACCTTTTCTTTCCCCTTACTTCTACAACACTGGGATTACACTACCAAATAGTAGTAGCAACACATAAGATTTTGCCTCAGGCTGTGCTTTTTTTAATGTCCCCTCTAATAAATCTCATGTTGAATTATGATCCCCAGTGTTAGAGGTGGGGCCTGGTGGGAGGTGATCATGTCATAGGGGCAGATCCTGTATCACTTGGTGATGTCCTTGTGATACTGAGTGAGTTATCGTGAGATATGGTTATTTAAAAGTGTGTGGCCCCTCCCCTCCCCTCCCCTCTCTTGCTCCTGCTTTCATCATGTGACGTGCCTGCTTCTGCTTGGCCTTCCACCATGAGTAAAAGCTCCCAAAGGCCTCCCTAGATGCCTAGCAGATGCCAGTGCCATGCTTGTACACCCTGCGGAACCATGAGCCAATTAAAACTCTTTTCTTTAAAAATTACCCAGTCTTAGGTATTCCTTTATAGCAATGTAAGAATGGCCTAACATGCTAGATTAAGACAGAGTCCATTTACATACATTTTAAAAACACTAAAAAAGGAGAGATTAAAGATGCTGATTAGATACAGCTGGGAGGTGCCTTTTCTGTGGAAAAGAACCAAAATATTGAGTATACCTGCACACTCTGACCAGATCTTTTGAGACAAAACACTGAAATTCAATAGAGAAGTGACAGAAGACACCCTGGTTGAAGAGGGATGAAGTGAGGCTGCCTGCTTGGTATTGTGAGATACCAGGACTGGCCCCCAGACCGGTGCCATTCCCAAGGAAGTGTTGAGGGAAGAAACCCCGGGACACCATATTCCCACTGTGGATCTCTGAGTTCCTAGCTACAGGAATTCCTCCAGACTCCTTCAGACCTTTGGACTGGCAGAGGGAGCTGCCTGGAGATAACACAGACACATTGCTTGAACCCTAGTAGAGCCCAAAAGTCTTCAGTGTGCTAGGCAGCGACAGCAAAAGCTGACTCTGAGCTCCCCCACCCCCACCCCAGAGCTTTGCATCCTGCCCTAAGTTGTTACAGGTCCTGCTGTCTGCTAGGCTTGGAGAGAACAGGGCCAGGGAATGCTCACATGCCCAAGACAGGTCCCACTGCCATTGCCATGGGGCTGAGGTACAGCCAAAGCATGAAATCCCACATCTGCTAAACCCTCCTAAGACTGCCGGTCTGGCCATTCCCACAGGGGAGGGGCCAACAACATAGCCTCCATTGTCCCGCCTAGGTGGTTTGTTGATGGCCTAGGTGCAGTTCACCCCCCTGTCACATGTGGTCCTTGACCTTGAGGGGCCAGTGAACAAATCCGCTGGCCTTGTCCCAGTTTCCCAGGACTTGAGCACACCATCCAGGTGGATGAAAATGAGATTCGTAGCCTGATCTCTAGCAGGGGAGGAGCCCTCACTGTCAGAATAAGAGAAGAGCACAGCTCGGGTTCATGTAATGGCATGGGAACTCCCTTCAGGAGACCGGGCCAGGAAGGGTGTGGCCTGATAGCCATGGTTTCTGCCTCAGGGAGTATCATGAATGCCTGGAATGGCTTGGCAATCTGGGTACAGATTGCTTGGGACTAGTCTAGTCAGTTGGGCCTGTTGCCAGCATTGAATACTGGAGGGAGATCTCCCAAGTCCAGGGTGCAGCAGCTGGGTGGGGTCCCATGGCTGCCTGCTGGGCTGATAACCCCTGGCATCCTTCTTACCCTGAGCGTGCTCTGTGGCACAGGAGAGGCGCCGCCACCCCCCACTGGAGGGTTGTCCCAGTAGCCCGAGAGCAGCCCCTAGACCCCTGCGAAGGTAAGTGTTTACGACTGCCTTGGAGAGCCTGGCTGTGGGCTTGCCCAACCCAGCCCTGCCCAGTTTTGCCCCCTCCAGCCACCTTGGTGGTAGAGTGTGGAGCAGGACCCCTGGGAGCCCCATACCCTGCCCATTTCAGGAACACCCTAGTACTTCCCCCATCAACAAAGGCCAAGTAAAAAGTCCACTGCCATCAGCGCAAATGCTGTCCTCGGCAATCGCCATCTACTGGCTGGGACAGCAAACTGCATGACCCATCACAACTGCAAATATCACTGTACAGTGCTCAGCTGGTTCTTGCCTGCTATCGCCACCTACTGGCCACTAGGGTGAACTGCGTAATCTAATGTAATCGCTGCTGAAAGAAGCACACAGTGCTGGGAAATGAGATAAGCTTCCCAAGGCCTCCACCTCTCCATCTCTGTTGGTGTGGCACAGCACACCACTACAACAACCTACAAACAACTAGCATCTTAGAAAACCACTACAGTAAGGCTATCTATAATCAATGAATTAATACAGAGTGTTGGTGCCCTAAAAGCACAAAGAAGCAAAGCCGAAGGACTCTACCCAACATACACAACAGTAACACACTCAAGCGGGGAAGAAAAAAATCCCACCGAAATGAAAGTAAGTTTAAAAATAGAAAGTGACAGCTTCTACACATGAAAAGGGACCAGTACAAGAACTCCAGCAACATGAAAAAACATAACGTTTTGACACCCCTAAAGGACCACACTAGCTATCTAGCAATGGATCCTAACCAAAATGAAAACTTGGAAATGCCAGATAAAGAATTCAAGGTATGGATTTTAAGGAAGCTCAGTGAAATACAAAGGAAAGTGGAGAACCAACACAAAGAAATCAGAAAAATAATTGAGGAGATAAAAGATTAGATACATATATTTAAAGAAAACAAACAGAACTTCTGAAAATGAAAAACTCACTGAAGAAATTTTAAAACACAGTTGGAGGCTCTAACAATAGACTAAACCAAGCAGAAGAAAGAATTTCAAGCTTGAAGCCCAGTCTTTTGAATTAACCCAGTCAAAAACAAAGGAAAAAGAATTTTTAAAAATGAACAAAGCCTTCGAGAAAAGTATGATTATGTAAAGTGACCAAACCTACAACTTATAGGCATTCCTGAAGTAGAAGAAGAAAATAATAAGAAGTTTGGAAAACGTATTTTAGGGAATAATTCAGGAAAAATTCCCTGATCTTCCTAGAGATGCAAACACCCAGATTTAAGAAATTCATAGAACACCTGACAGACACTATACAAGAGAAACATTGCCAAGGCATATAGTCAACAGACTATCCAACATCAATGTGAAAGAACAAATCTTAAAAGCAGCTAAAGAGAAATACAAATCACCTATAAAGGAAATCCCATCAGACTAACAGTGGACTTATCAGCAGAAACCTTACAAGCCAGAAGCGATCAGGGGCCTATTATTAGCCTCCTTAAATGAAAAATATGCCAGATAAGAATTTTAAATCCTGCCAAACTAAGGTTCATAAATGAAGGAGAAAGTATTTTCCAGACAAGCAAATGCTAAGGGAATTTGTCACCACTAGACTGGTCCTACAAGAAATGCTCAAAGGTGTGATAAACATGGAAACAAAAGGATGATACTTACCGTCATAAAAGCACATGTAAGTAGAAAGCTCACAGATCCTATAAAGCAGTTACACAGTTGAGACTTAAGGTAACTAGGAAACAAAACCATGACAGGTACAAAACTTCGCATGTCAATATTAACTTTGAACATAAATGGCCTAAATGTACCAATTAAAAGATATAGACGGGCAAGTTGGATTTAAAAAAAAAAATAAGATCCAACCACCTGCTACCTATAAGAGACCCACCAAATGTCTAAAGACACCTACATGCTCAAAGTAAAGAGATGGAAAAAATATATATTATGCAAATGGAAAACAAATGAGAGAAGGGGTAGCCATTCTTATATCTGATTAAAACACACTATAACAATAGTAAAAAAAAAAAAGACAAAGAAGGGCATTAAATAATGATAAAGGGTTCAATACAGCAAGAAGATGTAAGTATCCTAAAAATATGTGCACCCAACACTAGAGTATCGAGACTCACAAAACTAATACTACTAGACCCAAAGAAAAAACACTGATAACAATACAATAATAGTGGGAGACTTGAACATTCCAGTGACAACACAAGACAAGCCATCAAGGTAGTTGGTTTTCTGCCTTGATGACCTGTCTAGCATTGTCAGGAAAGTCAACAAAGAAACTCTGGACTTAAACTGGACTCTTGACCAAATGGACCTAACAGACATTTACAGAACATTCTACCCAACAACTGCAGGATATACATTTTTCTCACCTGTGCATGGAACACTCTCGAAAATTGACCATATGCTTGGCCATAAAGTAAGTCTCAATAAATCAAAAACATTGCAACCATATCAAGTATCATCTTGGACAACAGTAGAATAAAATTAGAAATTATTACCAAGCATAACTCTCAAAGCTACACAAGTACATGGAAACTAAATAATTTGCTTCTGAATAACTTTTGGGTAAACAACAAATGAAGGGAGAAATAAAAAATTTTGGGAAATGAATAAAAATCGAAACAAAACATACCAAATCTCTGGAATACAATAAAAACAGTGCTAAGAGGAAAGTTTATAGTATTAAATGCCTACGTCAAAAAGGTAGAAAGATCTCAAATTAAGAACCTAATGTCACACTTCAAGGAACTAGAAAAGCAGGAACAAACCAAACCCAAAGCTAGCAGAAGCAAATAAATAACAAAGATCAGAGCAGAACTAAATGAGATTGAGACCAATTAAATGATACAAGGAATCAACAAAATTAAAAGTTGGTTTTTTAAAAGAAAAAACAAAATTGATCCACCACTAGCTAGTTTAACCAAGATTCAAACAAGCACAATCAGAAATGATAAAGGTGACATTTAATGTTAAAGGTGTAGTTCTGATATCACAGAACTACAAGGAATCATCAGATATCACTATGAATATCTCTATGTGCACAAACTAGAAAACCTAGAGGAAATCAATAAATTCCTGAAAAAAAGACAACCCTCCAAGAATGAACCAGTGAGAAATAAAAATCCTAAACATACCAATGAGTAATGAAATTGAATCAGTAATAAAATGTCTCCCACCAAAAAAAAAAAAAAAAAGCCCAGGACCAGATAGATTCACAGCCAAATTCTACCAAATATACAGGTAAGAGTCAGTACCATCTCTACTGAAACTATTCCAAAAAAATCGAGGAGGGAATCCTTCCCAACTCATTCTATGAGGCCAGCATCATTCTGATACCAAGACCTGGCAGAGACACACACAAGAAAACTTTAGGCCAATATCCTTAATGAACATCAATGCAAAAATCCTTAATGAAATACCAGCAAACCAAATCCAGCAACACATCAAAAAAGCTAATCCACCACGATCAACTAGGCTTTATCCCTGGAATGCAATGTTGGTTCAACATATGAAATCAATAAATGTGATTCATCACATAAACAGAACTAAAGACAAAAATCACATGATTATCTCAATAGGTGCAAAAAAGTCTTTCAATAAAATTCAACATCCTTTCATGTTAAAAACTCTCAATAAACTAGGTATTGAAGGAACATACCTTAATATAACAGCAACCTATGACAAACCCATAGCCAACATCCTACTGAATGGGCAAAAGCTGGAAACATTCCCCTTGAAAATCAGCACAAGGCAAGGATGCCCTCTGTCACCACTCCTATTCAGCATAATATTGACATTCGTGGCCAGAGAAATCAGGCAGCAGAAAGAAATAAAGAGCATGCAAATAGGAAGAAAGGAAGTCAAACTATCCCTTTTTGCAGATAACATGATTCTGTATCTAGAAAAATAGCTTCAGCCCAAAAACTCCTTTAGCTGATAAATAACTTCAGCAGTTTCGAGATACAAAATCAAAGTACAAAAATCACTAGCATTCCTATACACCAACAACAGCAAAGCTGAGGGTGATCATTATCAATCCTCTGAAAACAAATGAGCAACAAATATTTTCTGGCAGTGTACTTAGCTCCATCAAAGGAGTGCTGGGTGAAATAAAAATGTTATGCTCTGGTCACTACCCTGATAGAAATCTTTAGAATCCTGTTAGAAAATCATTTCCAATGTCTGAAGCAAACCTGCAAACATTACAAGAATTAATTGCTGAACTGCTTGAGATGTACTAGATATGTTATTCAAATTTAGGTGTATTTCGTGGCACATTTCTGACATGGGTATTTCTAAATTTTCAAAATATATCGAGAGAAAGAGATTAACTCTCTGAAAATGTCTTTTTGTTCATGATTTCCTAGACAAAAATCCTTTCTTGTCATTGCTTTTGAAAAACATAATCTAGGCCCCTATTTGTATCATCACGGTTATCAAACTTTAATGCAGTGTCAGTGTTTGATGTGAAGATTAGATTGTCCTGAATTTGGCCAGTCTGGGCCATATGTGGGAGGCATTATAATTTGATTCTGTTCACTTAAGAAGTATATCTTTTAAAATCATTTGAGTGCAACACTATATTGAAATGATTGTTAGTGTTCTCTCTTGCATCACAGTTGATGTATCCCATCATATAAGGATGTTTTCAGACCTGTAAGCCCTCATATTAATAGTAAATCTTTGCTCATCTTTGAACTCTGGATTGACACACTGTTCTCTCATTTCCTTTTGAATTGTTCCACTGCTCAGGGTTCTTTGTGGCAAGTAAGCACCACTGTTTAGAACTAACAAATACCAATCAACTCAGGCTTAGGGATTCAACTTGATTAAGGACCAGTGAGATTTGTATATCTGTGTCTTTAGAGTCTACCTGTTTACCAAGCTGTACTGGACCGGGAGTCAGCTTTAGCTTTACATTGAACTAGCTGTGTGACTTTGGGAAAATTACTCTCTGGATCTATTTGGGAAAATAATTTATCTGGATCTTGGTTTCCTTATCTATAAATGAAAACATTTACACTAGGTTGTCTTAACTTTAAGATTCTGTAACTCCAATGCAAAGTAAACAAAGACCAGGTGAAACCATTTGGCAAACTTAATGCAAGCTAATTTCTCCTATTGAAGATAAGACTAAACTATCACCATTCCGAAGCCCACTCCTCTTCCTACCTCTCTTACAATTTAAATCTAACCTACCTTTGAAAGTCAACTACATCTCCATCACTTCCATGAAGTCTTTCCTGATAACACAACAACCTCCAGTGGTATCTTTTTTTCAATTATAGGATTAATTATCATCACTACACTTAGTCTTCTCTATCACCTTGTATTGTTGTTTAATTTTAGTGCTTTTGAGGTCAGGAATGATGAGTTATGAACATTTATATTGCCCAAAGCACATTGTCCAGTATTTCATATGCATAATAGGTTCTAGATTTGTTGAATTAATGTTGAAGGAATGAATGGAGTTTAAAAATCATTCTGAACCATTTTCCCAAATTCACAATGCAAAAGTGATTGAATTTTTCCCACCTTTCTTTCCCAAAAAAGATGCATAATTTTGACAATATTATACGAAATCTAAAGTACACTTTGGAATTTACCTTAAATATAAATCCCTTTCCTTCTAGTCTCCTAATTTTC
The DNA here is from genome assembly GCF_000001405.40 of Homo sapiens. Classification (NCBI taxonomy): domain Eukaryota; kingdom Metazoa; phylum Chordata; class Mammalia; order Primates; family Hominidae; genus Homo; species Homo sapiens. The sequence goes on from NC_000023.11 coordinate 104,927,687, forward strand.
CTCTTTAAAAAGATTGAGAATACTTCCTTTTTAGAGTGGCCTGCCGTAGAAACATTTGTATTTTCCTTCTATATTCCTTAGAATACAATGCATTTTGATCAGCCAGTGTATGAATGGCGTTTTGTTTTCTATTACCTTTTTAGGAAACATGACAAATGGCATTGTTACTCCTCAAGGGAGTGTTTGGTTACTTGCGCTCACCAGAGCCAGTTCTCTAGGATTTGATGGAAACAGATGCTAGCATTCCCATCACAAGGTGTATCTCCAGTGTATAAGTGTTGACAGAAGCAAAGTCAAACAATATTCAGGTCAACATTTAATTTTTTTATTTTTAATTATTGTAGGTTCATAGCAGGTATATGTATTTATGGGGTATGTGAGATGTTTTGATACAGGCATGCAATGCATATTAATCACATCATGGAGAATGGGGTATCCATCCCCTCAAGCATTTATCCTTTGTGTTACAAACAATCCAGTGTAACTGGATTGTTTAGTTATTTTAAAATATACAATTAAGTTATTGACTATAGTATCTCTGTTGTGCTATCAAATTGTAGATCTTATTAATTTTTTCTATTTGTTTTGTATCAGGTCAACATTTGATTAGATTCATTATAGATATTAGTCCAGCTTATTCCGGTTCCTTGAGAATTTGCCACCGAGTGTCTTATCAGTCCCTCATTATCCTTCTTAGTCTGCATTGAGAATGTGTTAGAACAAGTGCTTAGCAACTCAAAATTCATCTAGCCTGGGAGACTTGGAAGAAACATTTTAGCTTTGGCCTCATGCTGTGGGAGCCATGTTGTTTCTCTGTCAGGTTGAGGCTGTGCCGCACTTACGGAAATTAGCCCAAAAAAATTGTTTTCTCTCTCCTTTTCTGTACCAGAATGAGACTCCAGGGTATAAGCAAAATTGATGTTGCTTGAAGAAATTTCAAAGGTTCCCAACTCCCAGAGCTCAAGTAGCCACGGAAATAAGCACTGGCCAAAAAATGTACTTAGACTTGATGGTAATTGGGAACCATTTGAGGGAAGGGAACTAAACATGTACTACGTGATGTTACTTCGTAGAATAAGAAAGGCTTGTGTTGAATTGGTATTTTAAAGAATAATGGGGAAAAATTGGGCTTCTTTGTGTGGGTTTGTAAGGTGGTGTGAGGGCAGCGTGTTGGCAATACCTAGGCAGGATTGAAGGTGATAATATAAATTGAATATATTTCTGGTAAAGGATTTTTGAAAATAAAATAAACTAATGTTTTCTTAGATTCACTCCTACTTTATTTTCTTAAAGAAATAGTAACCCTTCCTATTGGTATGTCAGGAAAAGATAATTTGTTCTTAAAATTTTACTAGAAAGAAAAGTATATCATGTTCCCAAGTTGACTTGTATGCAAAATCAAGGTTATACTTTCCAAAATTAATGCACCTTGTTCCTCTGACCCCTTAGGCATAATTAGGGGTTTTGTGCTCTTACAAATGGACTTAGCAAATGTGGCACTGACATAATCATGGAATTCATGGTATTTTTCCCTTGTGATTATAACAATTTGGACCCCATCAAGAAACTCCTTATTCAGCCTTTCGTTTGTTCATAAGCTGACTTCTTTTGACTTAAGAGAAGTCAGCTTATATTAGTGCTAAGCCCAAAAGAACCTTCTGCAATCACACTGCGGGGGACCACTTTCTATGCCCTCTGCTCACATTTGTGTTCCAAATCATCAGTGTTCACTGGCCCAATTAGGCCCTCTCTAGCAACATTAGCCCTCAGAGCTTTGCTTGCCAATGTCAACATACATTCTCAGTTCCAGAATTCCACTGTCTTACCTCAAGTGTCACTTGAGCAGCCCAGGCTTTCTTATTATAGTGTTTATTTCTGTCACTGATTCATCATTTTTTATTTGTCTGACTCAAATCCAGGTAGTTTTGCTCAATCGATGGCAGGCTGTTAAACAGCATGTGTGTTTAGGGCAGCAATTCATTCATCCATTTTGACATGCACACCTGACATCTTCATTAATGCCCAGCACAAATTTCTCAGATTCCAGATCTGCTTGGTATCTCCATATTCCTTCTGCATCCACCTCTTTGCCACAAAAGACACTTCATGTAAATGTCACTTTTTTCAAGTTTTTCACATGTTCCACAGTGGAACCATATGCTTATAGAAATGATGCCCTTTTAGGTCTGTATCCAAACATAGCTTGTCAATGACTGCTCACAAATTCTAAGTCAGCTTATAAGCTTTTACACTTTTTCTGAAATGTTTTCTTTAGGGCTTGTAAACTTCTTCCCATGTTATTGCTTACTTGTTGTACCCCTGTGTTCTTTTTCGACATTAACTCCAACCACCTTACCACCTTTTTATTGCCCTTTCAATTCATCACATTCAGCTGAACTGCTGCCTCAGGCAAGTGCTTCCTCTCTATGTCTGTTTATTGAGTTTGGGGCAATCTCTGTAACAGAAATTCTGCTACAATGGTCTTTCTTCTATCCTATGACCATTTGCTAAGCTCTTGAAACATCAGTCATGTTCAGTTCTTAGAAAACCTACATTGAAGAAAAAATAGTACTGATAATTTTATGGAATTAATTTAATATTTATAGTCAGATAGTATGAGTTGCTTACCTGAAGATGTGCAGGGAACCTCTGGAGAGCCATACTGACAAGTAAGTTGTGGCTTAGTCTGTATGACTTGAGAGCTATTGGTTTTTCTTGTTCACATAGTTGTCACCATTATTGCAATATTATAAACATTTCCTGAGTGCTCACTATGTGATAGGCACTGTGTCAAGAACTTTACATGAAGTAACTATTCAATACTCACAGTAGCCCTTCAAAGTAGGTTGTATTATTATCTCTGTTTTACAGACGAGGAAGCAGAGAAAATCAGGAGGGTAAATGACTTATTTAGGGACATACAACAAATAAGTGTTAGAATAGGCATTTGAATTTAGGCAGTATAACCTCAGAGTTCACAAAACTCTTACCCTTCGTATTATACTGTCTTCTTATAATGATAGATAACATTTATTGAGAACTTACGATGAGCCAGTCACTTATGATGAGCTAGTATAGTTAGCCATATTGCATTCATTAACTTATTAAATCATTTCTTCAGCCCTTGAAGACAGGTGACATTATTTTTCTTTTACAGATGAAGAAACTGAGTGAGGCTTAGAGAAAATAAACAGTCTTTAAAGTGATTAAAGTGATTCCCCTAGTAAGTAGTAGAGACAGGATTTTAACTCCTATCCTCAACCATTATGCCATACTGTACCAATAAAGGACTAAAAACCGACAAACAGAAAAGTTGATCCATGGGTTCCTACAGCCACAAGCAAAAATCATACCTTTATTCCTGCTGCTTGCAGGACCTATTAGCTGGAAGATGTTGGGCTGTATCATCAATATCCATAATTTATGTATACTTATTCCTGGGATTAAAAATGGTGGGAATTCCTAAGAAGCAGGGAAGCAATACTTTTTTTCAAGAGAGTTGGTTTACCCAAAAATGACAGACTATCTTGCCAGAAGTAGCACTAAGATAGGGTGGAATAGAAGCTGGTATACCCCAACGAAAAGTGAATATAAATAAATATGTATTACAGTGGAAACAGAAACATGGCAAAAGAAAATGTGAAGCACGGGATTGCACTGTTATAATGCCACTTCTCCCCCACCTCCCCTAAAAAAAAAAAAAAAAGCCAGTGAACTGCTAAGATCTAGCTGTACCTGTCTATTTATAATGGAGAGATTGGTGCATTGAAAAAACAAGATTTTTGATTGGAGAAGGTTAGAAAGATGATTTAGGAATATGAGCTGCTACCCAAGCAAGACAGGCCAGGTTGGATTTCCACAGTGGGAGGCATGAAGACCCTGGGTAGTAGCGAAAGCTGTGGTATTATTTGTGAGAAGGCCAATGAAAAGATAGAAAAATACTCTGAGACATATTTTATCTACTTCTGAAATTTAATTATGACTGACTTTAATTTCAGGCATTATTTATTTCTACTTTTGAAAATGTTTAAATTATTGAAAATAAATTAAAAGAACTTTTTTATTATTGGTAGAACTTTATTAAAATAATATAGACATGCTTTCATTGGTCTAGCAGTCCTATGCTAAATTAAAATAAGGATCAAGAAGCTTTAACTTTACTTAAACAGTGGCATGCTGCTCTCAGTGACTTTGTTAATACTGTGAAAAGACTTTAAAATCTCAAATACACACAGACTCACAGATATGTGGGAAACTATGAGTGTGTGTGTGTGTGTGTGTGTGTGTGTTTGTATATATATATATATATATTTTTTTTTTTTTGAGACAGAGTTTCACTCTTGTCACCCAGCTGGAGTGCAATGGCGTGATCTCGGCTCACTGCAACCCCTGCCTCCCAGGTTCAAGTGGTTCTCCTCCCTCAGCCTCCCTAGTAGCTGGGATTACAGGCACCTGTCACCTGTCACCACGCCCAGCTAATTTTTCTCTTTTTAGTAGAGATGGCTTTTCACCATGTTGGCCAGGCTGGTCTCGAACTGCTGACCTCAGGAGATCCATCCCCCTCAGCCTCCCAAAGTGCTGGGATTACAGGCGTGAGCCACCGCGCTCGGCCACTATGAGTATATATTAAATGTAAATTGATATTAAATCCCAGGAGGATAGGGTCAGAAACCTATGCTGTAGGGTGGCATCAAATACTACAATTTTACAGGTAAAAAATCACACATACACACACACACACATGATGAAAGATCTTTCAAGTTCATTATTTGAAGCAGTCATGTGGATATTACTTGCTGCCAAATCAATCTATAATTCCAGTTTCTCTAGAAAAGTGGGTTTTCTATTATATAAAAGACTACAACAATGGAAATAGTCTGATTCATTCACAGTCTCACACACACACACAATCATTTATGGGCTGAGGATGTACATGTACCATGGCCTTCACATGCCCTTCAGGAGAAAATGAATTTTGGGGGAGAAACAGATGTTTTCTATTAAGTCAAGTTCTGTATGGTCGGAGTTTAAGGCAAAGAGTTAAGCTGAATATGGAAATTAAAGCCAATTTATCAAAGCATATTTTAAAAGACTTTCTTGTTAATACTAGAGTTTGGGCTGGGAAATTTCTGCTTCTTAACATACCGATGTTAGTAGGGATTTAAAGTTTGCTGCCAGGCTTCTCTTGGAATATTCTTCCATTGGCACAGCCCTAGAGATGCTAACTCTGAAAAACGGGATTTGGCTGGTAGCACCTGACACAGCCAATCTTGAATTTCCACTAAAGTATCTATGAAGACATAGAAAAATGATGAGAGCTCACAACAATGCTGATAATTTGGATTGACAGTCAAATTATTGCCAGAACCAGAGAGAAATTTCCACTAGCTAAAAATCAGGAAGAAGTAGATTGAAAAGTACAATCAGCGAACCACTCATACCATGCTGCTAGAAATTTGGTAAGCCAATATATCTTAATGTAAATGACGAGTTGATGGGTACAGCAAACCAACATGGCACATGTATACCTATGTAACAAACCTGCATGTTGTGCGCATGTACCCTAGAACTTAAAATATAATAAGAAAAAGAAGAAAAAAAGGAATAGGTCCAAAAAAATCTCATCTTTCCCCCCATGCAGTCTAAATCCTGGTTCCAAAACACACATTCTATACCCAGCAAAACAAGGAGTACTTGTCTTATTGCATGGAAAGTACTTTTTTAGATAGCTAGAAGGCTGGACACCAAACCCTAAAATATTGCTTTTTTCTCTATATATGCTTGAGCACTACTACTTCCAGCAAATAATTAGAGGAGAAGACATGAATGTGGATTTGGGATTTCTAATATGAAGTAGTGGTAAATTATCTTCAAGGTCCATTCCCCAGAAACATAATGCTATAAGTGGGAGCAAAGAACCTTGGTAGGAAGGTATTCTGGGTATTCTAGTTTTTCATGTATTCCATCAGTTCTGATTATCAATAAATCAGTCAGTTGGGTCAGGAGAGGATCCAATCTTAGTCCAAAGAAGGTGTATTAATGAAATCAAGTTAGACACCAAGAACAGACAGTTGAAAATATGAGATATATACATCAACCTATTGTCCCGTTGCATACTCGAGAAGGGGATTTATCTAAAACCCAGTTTGAGCTTAACCTAGGACAATTGTTGTCTCCTAAGTATTGGCAAGCATGGGATCAAGATAGATTGGAACTCCTTTGAAAATAAGCAATGAAAGAAAAAACAATGTGGAACATATGGAAAATTTGCAAATGGGCTAAAGGCAAATTATTTTGGAGATTTCAAGAAAGAACACATTTATAAAAATGGGTTTTTAAAGGAATCAGAAAAAATATTAGAAATTGATGATTTTAGCTAAAATGCAAGATAACATAGCTCTTATGAAAAAGCAGACTGTAAAATGTAGGTGTTCACAATCTTTTGTTAGGTCATGTGACACTTATAAAATTTTCTTTTTTGAGGAAATTCTGGACTCTTTCCTCATATAAAACAAATTTGTAAATACACTCACAACTTTTTTTTTTTTTGCATTCCGTTTCTGGGGTTTTACATATCCTCTGAAGCCTATGAACTTCAGTTTAAAACATCTGCCATCAAGGAACAAATCAAGACACAATGAAGATAATCAAGGAACTAATAAAAATTAGGCAACAAAATGAGACTATTAAAAATGTGAGATAATCAAGATAAGGAAAAATTACAAGAAATTAAAACTCAACCACAGATGATTATTATCAGTGGAGGCTGCAGAGAACAGAATTGACAATGCTGAAAATCAGATCAGTGAGAATGTCAAATATACTTGAAAAATCATCTCAGAAAGCAGTGAAAAAGACGAAGATATGACTCATGAGGGAGAAGATGATAAATCTGAAGAATGGATATCCAGTTTAATAATTTTAAGTATTCCTAAGAAAGAAATAAAAACAACTAAAGCCATAATGAAGCATATATTTAAAAAAACAAAGTTTCCTGAGTTGTCAAACAGCTTGAATAGGCTCATCGTAGTCTAGGTAAAATTAGTGAAAAGGGAGAAGAAAGCCACATGCTCTAAAGTTTCTTTTAAAGTCATAGATGCTACTGCAAATGGCATCTTCATGCATAATCACATATTTGTTTGGCATACAAATATAGATAGCCAACAGGGATTGTAAATAATACGAAATAACAGCAGAAAAATATATAGTGCCTAAAACCTTGTGCTGCGGAGTCAGGCCAGTTTTACCACTTAGTAGTTGTGTGGATTTCAATGAGATCAGTAACTCTTCTGAATCTGTTTCCACAGCTACCTCATAGGGCCCTTTGAAAATTAAATGAGGTAGTTTATATAAAATGCTTAATAAAAGGTCTAGCACTTAGGGGACACTGTGCCTAATAATATTGTTGCTATTATATTCAACAATCCACAATTGTGATATACCTAGATTGTTCATAATTTTTTGTTATGTTTGATGCTCCAACAAATATACCAGTCTCAGCAGTCTCTCAGTAACATTATTTTACATTCAATTCTGTATTAATTTCATTAGTAAAAATTCCAGTTGTTTTAAATTCCATTACTTTGCACATCAATTTGAACATTTATTTCAAATATTTATTGGGGCCAATTGTAGTTCTTTCTCTATGAATTGCCCATGTGTGACTTTTGACATTTTTTTTGGTTTTATAATCTCAGTCATTTCATTAAGACTTGGAAAATCCTATATAATCTAAAGGTATTTGCATATTAAAAACAAAAGGAAAACTTTGTTATAAAGTGTGCCAAAGTTTACAATATTTTTGGCCAGTGAAACCAGAGAGCATAATTTTTATGGCAGCAAGAAAATTGAAAGAAAGCTTCATAGAACAATATATGTATTCCTCTTGGGAGAATTTGTGACTTCTAGCCGAGGCTTTCCTTCAAACATGTGAAAATTAACATATCATCTGCTTTATCCATAAATATACTCTTCGGTGATCATTTTCACTTGTAAAGTGTGCCATACTTGCAGAGCCAAAATGTTTTTTTCATTTATTCTGTTCTACTTTCTTAGTAGGCACAGAGTGGACTGGATACTTTCCAAGACTGAAATTCAGTATGATCTTACAGGATCTCAGTTCTTGGAAACTTTGTTAATGTGCATGTAACTATTGTGACAGGGCAAGAATGCAGTCTACTAAGAGCAGAAAATTCTAAATTTAGGTGTCCTTGGCTCTGTTTTCTCAAGTTTTGTCAACATCTTCCATGCATATATTCAGAACTAAAACCTCTGTCATTGCTCTTACTGGGGCAACGTGTATCTGTTCTTCTACAGATGAGCTGCCTTAACCTCTGTGGTTTCTACCGAGCTCAAACTTGTCCATTGAAAGCATATTCTACACCGGGCATAGCTAATGTTGTGTTGTACATTCATTGATACTATGCTTTTCCCTCCCCTTTCAAAAGCACCATTACCTGTCTTCTCCCATTTCATTCCCTGTCAAATTTATTTCCCTTCTCCTGTTCCAAAAGACAAAGCCATATACCAGGCAGTAGCGTCCATCCAAGAGTATTTTTCAAACTGTGGATTATGACCCATTCCTGGATTATGAACTCAATTTAGTGTTTTGCAACCAGCACTTTAAAAATGACACAGAATATATCAGGGTGTATCACATATAGGAAGGCAAGTACGTTTTCATGAAACAAACATAGGAGTGTACTGGGTCCAACCTAAAGTGTATTTTGTTCTATGGGTTAAGGTCAAAAATGCTTGAGAAACAGTGCTATAAAGCACACTTCAGGATGCAAGACATAGATTTAGAGCTAATTTAAGGGACCTGTCAGCTGGGCAGCTGCCCTGGGTACCAATCTATAGAAGCAAAAATATTTCACAGGTACTAAAATATCACTGGAGATATAAGCAGATGGAGAAAATTGCATTTACCAGACTCTTTTTTTTTTTTTTTTTTTGAGATGGAGTCTCGCTCAGTTGCCCAGGCTAGAGTGCAATGGCGCGATCTCGGCTCACTGCAAGCTCTGCCTCTCAGGTTCACGCTATTCTCCTACCTCAGCCTACAGGCACCCGCCACCACGGTGGCTAATTTTTTTTGTATTTTTAGTAGAGATGGGGTTTCACCGTGTTAGCCAGAATGGTCTCGATCTCCTGACCTCGTGATCCACCCGCCTCGGCCTCCCAAAGTGCTGGGATTACAGGCATGAGCCACCGCACCCAACCTTACCAGACTCTTAAGTAGGAAAGTAGTACATGTGATAAGGTAGATGAATTGGTAGATAGAGTTGTATTGCTTAGAGCAGAGAGACTGGGCTCTGCCTCCAGTGATCTTTCTTTTCTCCATGTGCTTTCTCCATCTCCACACAGGGCTCAGCCTGCTTCTTCAATAGATGTTGAACAAATACTTTTAAACATTTGGTTTGAAGAGCTACCAAATTATTAGCCTGCTGAGTTTGCTCATATGTCTTGACTCAAGTCTGTATAGACCTTTAATTGAGAGGGGAAAATGCTATTGTAAGAAATGTATTTATTAGGATAGTAATAGCTGCTGTAACAAGTAAATCCTCAAATTTCAGTGACTTTGCACAATACAAGATTACTTCTTATTCAAGTAATGGTCCATTATCCATTACAGGTGTCAGCAAGTAAGTGAGTAGCTTTCCTCCAAAAGATGATTCAGGAAGCTAGATATCTTCCACGCTGTGACCTTCCCACAGAGCTTTCAGAGTCTTCTGTATCTAGCCCAAGGATGGAAAAGGAGAGAGTGGAGAAGACATACCCAGTTACTACAAACTCCCATTTGAAAGTGATACCCATCACTTCTGTTCACATTCCATTGGCAAGAATTGTTTACTTGGCCACACCTGGATCCAAGGATTGGCTGGGAATTGCAGTATCTGACTAGGCAACTGCCTTCCAGCAACATCACTACATTAAGGCATGGGGAGTGGGTGGCAGGCATGAATTTTTGATGAACATCTGGCTGTTGCAGTCACAATAAGTTATAATACCAATCAAGGTGTCTCTAGAAATTGTCAACACAGAATTTGGAAACATATTGCTCCTCCCATTACCATCTTTAAGCTCTTTTGCAGTGTGACAGGGTTATGTTGATCATTAATGCATTTATACATTTTTGTATAAAAGTAAGCCATTTCATTTTCTATCTTACTAAAGTAGTGATTTGGACATCTTTACATTTAGCTGCATATTGCTTTTAGTTTAAAATGAATGTAGTTGGCAAGCATGAAGTGTATAAGATAGTAAATCCTAAATTACAGGCAGCCACCTCATTTATTCAGCTGCTGATTTCCATTTGGTTGTCCAGACAGAGCACTTTGCATTATTTGATTTGTGATATCTGGATGCAAATGGCTTTAAGTTTTGATTAAACACAAAGCTTGAAAAGGTTTAAACAGTAAGCCAGTAATATTGAAAACATTACAATCTGGTTTAGATAAACAATCATCTGAATGAATTGGATATAAACATATTTATTTTGGGCAGGAAGCACTTGTTCAGAAATTTCTCTTATGATGTGACTTATTTAAGCTTCTGGACATCAAAATAGTTCATAATTATGGATGAAAATTGTTGGCAAAGACGTTACTGCTTTATTAGAATTCTTGTCCAATATCAATATGGTGCTATTATTTGATTATTGCTTTATCTTTTATTCTCTGATAATCAGGACAAAATATTGAAATTTGGAATATTCTAATAGCAATTAGAGTTTTCTTCAAGATACCTGTCAACAGTGTGTGACAATGGAACCCTGTGTTGCCTGTGTCTGAAATGCAATGTACAAATATCTTCAATATTATGAATGCAGATTTGTTAAATTACGGGTGATAAAAATGACTTTGCTTCAGTGAAATGATTCTAATTCTAAATTTATATAATGAATTATTCACTCTTCTTTCCCTTTTGTTTTCTGCTCTAGTTTAGTGAGCAGGTTCATTAAGTGCTAATATTAAATTCACTAGAGTATACAAAAAAAAAAAACCCAGTAATAGCATCCACATGGTTGATTAAATGGCAAGGTAGGAGGCTGGCCGTGGCGTTTAATTGGAGGCATGGGAGCTGTTGGTTTCTTTGTGTAATCTGACCCTCTGAATGTTGATTCTTCTAACAAGTGACCAAGGAAAAAAGGAAAGTGGTGTCATGGGAAAATAGCATTTGCACATTTCACAAATAATTGATAAATAACCATTATGAATGTAGTCATTACTTTACATCAGTGTTTGCAATGTGTAATTCATTGAAATATTTGTCTTGTACAACACTCCACAAGAAAGGGTTCTAGAAGCAAATAAGTTAGGGAAATGCTGGATTGTCTCTCAGAGATAATCAACAATGCATGCTAGCTTTTTTTTTTTTTTTTTTTTTTTTGAGATGGAGTCTTACTCTGTTGCCCAGGCTGGAGCGCAGTGGTGCGATCTTGGCTCATTGCAAACTCTGCCTCCTGGATTCAAGCAATCCTCCTGCCTCAGCCTCCCAAATAGCTGGGACTCCAGGCATGCACCACCATGCCCAGCTAATTTTTGTATGGTTAGTAGAGACGGGGTTTCGCCATGTTGGCCAGGGTGGTCTCGAACTCCTGACCTCAGATGATCCACCCACCTCAGCCTCCCAAAGTGCTGGGATTACAGGCATGAGCCACCACGCTGGGCCACATGTTAGCATTTTATGGGATTTCATAAATCCTTTAGTTGGGAAGCCTATTTGACTTTTTTAAACCTAGAGATCTCGATTTATTTTAAGCAGCCTTTTTTTTGGTTGTTTAGTAAATATTAAACCTAATCCCTGAATCTGCCCAACTTTTTATTTTCTTATAAGAAAGAGGTGAAAAATAATGCTTATAATTTTTAAAGGGCAGAAATATTTTTGTTTTGAAAACCAAAGTTGAGGTATATACCAAAAATAATTCAAAACAGGTTTTGAAACAAAAAATTCCATGGGAATGTTCATGGTGGCACTATTCACAGTAATCAAAAGGTGGAAACAATCCAAGTGTCTATCAACAGATGAATGGATAAAGAAAATATGGTAGGTCTGTATAATGGAATATTATTGGTCCATTCAAAGCAATAAAGTTGTGATACATGCTACAACATGAATGAACCTTAAAAACATGTTAAGTAAAAGAAGCCAGTAACCTACACCGTATATTATCTGATTTCATTGGTATGAAAAGTCTGGAATAGACAAACCTATAGAGAAAGGAAGTAAATTCATAGTCTTTTAGGTCTGGGGAGGTGGGAGGGTAGGGCTATGACAGCTAAAGGGTAAAGGATATATCTTTTTTGTGATGAAAATTTTGGAAAATTGGCTGTAGTGATAGTTGCATGTATCTGTGAATATACTAAAAACATTGAATTGCATGTTTAAAATGTATTAGTTGTATAGTATGTATAGTATGTGAATTATATCTCAATAAAGCTGATAAAAATGATAATCACCATTTGGTTAATACACAAATATCCGTAAGTTCCTCTTCTTAAATATGAAGCATATTTTTAAAAGGCAGGGATTATCCTGTTAAAGCTTCTCAGTATTTTATGATTTTTCAGTTTAAATCATCAATAGCAATATTGTACACCTCAAAATTGGTACATCATATAATAATATGGGCTATATGTGGATGGATATTTGTTCATATGTAGATATACATATTTTCAAGTGACCTGTTTTGGAGAAATATGTAAAGGTATTTAAAATTATATTACCAGCATACTTTCAAAAAGTTCTAGGGGAAATATAAAGCAATATTAGTATTATCCCTGACTTGTGGCAATTAAAGTAAATGCCCCACTAGAAGATACTTGGGAGAAGTTAGGTCTCAAGATTTTGTTGTGAATGTTAAGGAAATGCAGACTAATTTCTTATTTGGGGGTTTATTGTGGCTCTCGTCTCACTGGACCTTTAATCTTGGTTTCCTTCTCTAGTTCGTATACTTTTCTTGGATCTCTGAACATTGGAGTGCTTCAGGGCTAGTTGTTGGACCCATTCTCACTTCTTTTTTTTTTTACATTGATTTTTTATTTTATTTTATTTTATTATACTTTAAGTTCTAGGGTATATGTGCACAACGTGCAGGTTTCTTATGTATGTATACATGTGCCATGTTGGTGTGCTGCACCCATTAACTCATCATTTACATTAGGTATATCTCCTAATGCTATCCCTCCCCCTCCCCCCACCCCACAACATGCCCTGGTGTGTGACGTTCCCCACCCTGTGTCCAAGTGTTCTCATTGTTCAATTCCCACCTATGAGTGAGAACATGTGGTGTTTGGTTTTCTGTCCTTGCAATAGTTTGCTCCATGTCCCTACAAAGGACATGAACTTATCCTTTTTTATGGCTGCATAGTAATCCATGGTGTATATGTGCCACATTTTCTTAATCCAGTCTATCATTGATGGACATTTGGGTTGGTTCCAAGTCTTTGCTATTGTGAATAGTGCCGCAATAAACATATGTGTGCACGTGTCTTTATAGCAGCATGATTTATAATCCTTTGGGTATATACCCAGTAATGGAATGGCTGGGTCAAATGGTATTTCTAGTTCTAGATCCTTGGGGAATCGCCACACTGTCTTCCACAATGGTTGAACTAGTTTACAGTGCCACCAACAGTATAAAAGTGTTCCTATTTCTCCACATCCTCTCCAGCACCTGTTTTTTCCTGACTTTTTAATGATCGCCATTCTAACTGATGTGAGAAGGTATCTCATTGTGGTTTTGATTTGTATTTCTCTGATGGTCAGTGATGAGGAGCATTTTTTCATGTGTCTGTTGGCTGCATAAATGTCTTTTGAGAAGTGTCTGTTCATGCCCTTCGCCCACTTTTTGATGGGTTTTTTGATTTTTTCTTGTAAATTTGTTTAAGTTCTTTGTAGATTCTGGATATTAGCCCTTTGTCAGACGGGTAGATTGTAAAAATTTTCTCCCATTCTGTAGATCGCCTGTTCACTCTGATGGTGGTTTCTTTTCCTGTGCAGAAGCTCTTTAGTTTAATTAGATCCCATTTGTCAATTTTGACTTTTGTTGCCATTGCTTTTGGTGTTTTAGTCAAGAAGTCCTTGCCCATGCCCATGTCCTGAATGGTATTGCCTAGGTTTTCTTCTAGGGTTTTTATGGTTTTAGGTCTAACATTTAAGTCTTTAATCCATCTTGAATTAATTGTTGTATAAGGCATAAGGAAGGGATCCAGATTCAGCTTTCTACATATGGCTAGCCAGTTTTCCCAGCACCATTTATTAAATAGGGAATCCTTTCCCCATTTCTTGTTTTTGTCAGGTTTGTCAAAGATCAGATGGTTGTAGATGTGTGGTATTATTTCTGAGGTCTCTGTTCTGTTCCATTGGTCTGTATCTTTGTTTTGGTACCAGTACCATGCTGTTTTGGTTACTGTAGCCTTGTAGTATAGTTTGAAGTCAGGTAGCATGATGCCTCCAGCTTTGTTCTTTTGGCTTAGGATCATCTTGGAAATGCGGGTTCTTTTTTGGTTCCATATGAACTTTAAAGTAGTTTTTTCCAATTCTGTGAAGAAAGTCATTGGTAGCTTGATGGGGATGGCATTGAATCTGTAAATTAGCTTAGGCATTATTGCCATTTTCACAATATTGATTCTTCCTATCCATGAGCATGGAATGTTCTTCCATTTGTTTGTGTCCTCTTTTATTTCCTTGATCAGTGGTTTGTAGTTCTTCTTGAAGAGGTCCTTCACATCCTTTGTAAGTTGGATTCCTAGGTATTTTATTCTCTTTGAAGCAATTGTGAATGGGAGTTCACTCATGATTTGGCTCTCTGTCTGTTATTGGTGTATAGGAATGCTTGTGATTTTTGCACATTGATTTTTTATCCTGAGACTGCTGAAGTTGCTTATCAGCTTCAGGAGATTTTGGGCTTAAATGATGGGGTTTTCTAAATATACAATCATGTCGTCTGCAAAAAGGGACAATTTGACTTCCTCTTTTCCTAATTGAATACCCTTTATTTCCTTCTCCTGCCTGATTGCCCTGGCCAGAACTTCCAACACTATGTTGAATAGGAGTGGTGAGAAAGGGCATCCCTGTCTTGTGGCAGTTTTCAAAGGGAATGCTTCCAGTTTGTGCCTATTCAGTATGATATTGGCTGTGGGTTTGTCATAAATAGCTCTTATTATTTTGAGATACGTCCCATCAATACCTAGTTTATTGAGAGTTTTTAGCATGAAGGGTGTTGAATTTTATCGAAGGCCTTTTCTGCATCTATTGAGATAATCATGTGGTTTTTGTCTTTGGTTCTGTTTATATGGTGGATTACATTTATTGATTTGCGTATATTGAACCAGCCTTGCATCCCAGGGATGAAGCCAACTTGTTCGTGGTGGATAAGCTTTTTGATGTGCTGCTGGATTCGGTTTGCCAGTATTTTATTGAGGATTTTTCATCGATGTTCATCAGGGATATTGGTCTCAAATTCTCTTTTTTTAATTGTGTCTCTGCCAGGCTTTGGTAACAGGATGATGCTGGCCTCATACCATTCTCATTTCTATCTGCAGATTCCCTTTGTGATCTTACCCAGTTTCATGGTTTTAAGCATGTTTATGTTGATGACTCCATAATTTGTGTCTCTAGACCAGACTTCTCTCCAGAGCTCCAGACTTGTATAACCAACTTGACTACACCTTGTTTCCATTTGGATGTCTAATAGATATCTCAACAGTTAATGTTTCCCAAACTAAACTTATCTTGCTTCCAAATTCTGATTTATCCCATCTTTTCTTCTCAGTTAATGACTAATCTGTCTTTTCTGTTTCTCCAGTTGAAATCTTTGAGTCACCTTGATTAATCTTCTTTCATATTTCAGGCATGCTAACCCCGTTAGGGCTTTTATATTGTTTCCCCTACCTGGAATGTTCATCCCCTGATATGCATATGATTGCCCCCACCTCCTCCTTCTAGTCTTTGTTCATAAGTCTTCTTCCTTCTTAGTGACAGCCACATCAACCACACCACTTAAAATTGCAACTACTCAGAACCACAGATCTCCTGCCTACTCTTTTGTTTCTGTAAAACCACTAGCTAACATACTATAAAATTTACTTACCTATCATGTTCATTTTAAACTGTCTTTCCCCATTATAATGCAAGTTTCATGAGGGCAGAGATTTCTGACTAGTTTGTTCTCTTTATGTATTCACTGTGCCGGAAATTAAGACCAGCACATAGCACAGGATTAGCACTCAATAAATATTTGTTCAATAAACAAATAATACTATGTCAGGAAATAGTTTCTATTATTTTTGGTGACCCTAAAAGTGGCTCCTCATGTGTGGAAGTAGCTGATGTGGATTTACCAAAACAAACAAACGAAACACATCCTTTTATAGGATGTGTGGTGTGTGTTTTCTGACTAGACTAATGTACAATTTATGACAATCACCAAGTAGCTGTTCTTTAACAATATGCCCGCTATCCACAAACATTTCCAACTCTAAATACCAAGGAGTACTCTTTATCACTTTCTAAAAACATTTTGAATATTTATACCTCCTCTAGTAGAAAAGCAAGGACTTTCATTTCCGGATTTTTCTCTTCTTTCTTTTCTAAACATCTCCTCTAGAGTAAAATCAAGGACATTTTATATGAAAGTTTGGATTATGATAACATTTAATTATCACTCATATTTCACAGAGTGTATTTTTAAAAATTTCTTATGACTTTGTTCTCTTCTCAGGATTAACTTGTCTCTGAAAATAGATCTTTTACAGCCTAGCAAAGAAAGCAAAATAATATATGTGCACAATTAGCACAAATTGATCTTGCTATGTGAACTTTAATTTCAGAATTTGAGATTTAAATGACTCTTCTATTTAAATTGTCAACCTCAGAGTCTCATTAGTCTAAATTTTACATTTAATTTATGAGGACAATGCTGCCTCCTTAGAACTGGCACTTATACTCTAAGTTATATGATGTCTAGTGGGAAACGCTGGTTTAGGATTTCTTTTCCTAGGCCTTATTTTCAGCTATTTCATTAACTTATTATATGATCTTAGACTAATTATTTAATTTCTGTGCCTCGGGATTTTTTAATCTAATAATTCAGAGAAATATTCCTCTTCTGTATATATCTTAGAGGAGACATTAATGTGTGCTGGACGAAGCACAGGTTTCTGGGTCATAAAGACCTGGGTTGAAATTCTGCTCAGCTACTAACTAACTTTGTGGCTTTAGGGAAGTCAGTGTCACTGATCCTTATTTCTGTTAACTGTAAAATGGTGATAAGACCTACTTTAAAAGTTGTAAGGAATAGATAAATAATTTGAAAAGTAATTAGCATATGGCCAGAACCAATCTTGGTCCTCTGCCTGCTCTTTCTCTTCCACCTGCCTCTATCCTGGCTGTAAAATGTGTTTGGAGCATTACATTTTACATATGCATAAAGTGCCTGTCATTTAGTGGGTGCTTAATAAATGCTAGTTCAATTGGCTGTGACATAAGGTAATTGAGGTTACTAAATAAGGAAGGGTGAATAGTATAATGGTGGGAAAGAAAATGAGGAAAATGACAAAATAAAGTTTAAAGAAAAACATAAGAACTTAGTAAATATAATAAATATTACTATTTAACATAATAATGTACTGTTGGTTTGAGAGTGTTCACGTTCACAAATGCCTAAAATATTTAGTAAAGTCTCTACACCATGGATAAGACTATTATCCTACTGAGCCCTACATTTTTGCAAAGGTTTCATAAGATAGAATAATATATACTCATAACTAAGAAAATGTTTAAATGATCAAATCCAGTACTTTGCCCAACAGGTTTAGCAATCACCGCATTATCTGCTGCTAATTAGAATCAAGTGTATGATATACAGGGCTCATTAATTTCTTTGGAAATAAGAATCATAGGGCAATGCGTGTCTTTACAAATGGGTACCAGTTAATTTTAATAACTTAATGTATGCCTTCTTTTACATGCACCCAAAGTGAAATGTATAGTGTATACGAATAATATAAATGTTTGTTAATGCTCAGCAAGACAAAATTTTAGAATACGCCAATGAGCAGTTTCATTAATTACTGTCCTATTGCAATAAGTACATATTATTAACACATCTTTCTTTGATGTGATTCAGTATTAGTCATGGGTGAGTGTTAATGTGCTCCAAACTATATAGACCTTTTTTGAACTTCATACAACCCACTTTCTTTTTTTTTGTTGTTGCCTTAGGTTGGAATCAGATGGATACATGATTTTTTTTTCTTTTTCAGGATTATAAAAGTAGTCCCATTTTTAAAGAAAAAATCATAAATATGGTTTCATAAGATGGATGGTGATTTAATATTTTTTTACAAAGTCCAAATTATCATTTATTATTTTTTTATATTCCATGCTTGTGCATCTTCACAACGATTTTTTTTAATGTAAAAACTTTTTTCCCAGCACTTTGGGAGGCCGAGGCGGGTGGATCATGAGGTCAGGAGATCGAGACCATCCTGGCTAACAAGGTGAAACCCCGTCTCTACTAAAAATACAAAAAAATTAGCCAGGCGCGGTGGCGGGCGCCTGTAGTCCCAGCTACTCGGGAGGCTGAGGCAGGAGAATGGCGTGAACCCGGGAAGCGGAGCTTGCAGTGAGCCGAGATTGCGCCACTGCAGTCCGCAGTCTGGCCTGGGCGACAGAGCAAGACTCCGTCTCAAAAAAAAAAAAAAAAAAAAAAAAAAAAAACTTTTTAAAAAAATTATTATTATACTTTAAGTTTTAGGGTACATGTGCACAATGTGCAGGTTAGTTACATATGTATACATATGCCATGCTGGTGTGCTGCACCCACTAACTCATCATCTAGCATTAAGTATATCTCCCAATGCTATCCCTCCCCCCTCCCCCCACCCCACAACAGTCCCCAGAGTGTGATGGTCCCCTTCCTGTGTCCATGTGTTCTCATTGTTCAATTCCCACCTATGAGTGAGAATATGCGGTGTTTGGTTTTTAGTTCTTGCAATAGTTTACTGAGAATGATGATTTCCAATTTCATCCATGTCCCTACAAAGGACATGAACTCATCCTTTTTTATGGCTGCATAGTATTCCATGGTGTATATGTGCCACATTTTCTTAATCCAGTCTATCATTGTTGGACATTTGGGTTGGTTCCAAGTCTTTGCTATTGTGAATAATGCCGCAATAAACATACGTGTGCATGTGTCTTTATAGCAGCATGATTTATAGTCCTTTGGGTATATACCCAGTAATGGGATGGCTGGGTCAAATGGTATTTCTAGTTCTAGATCCCTGAGGAATCGCCACACTGACTTCCACAATGGTTGAACTAGTTTACAGTCCCACCAACAGTGTAAAAGTGTTCCTATTTCTCCACATCCTCTCCAGCACTTCTTGTTTCCTGACTTTTTAATGATCACCATTCTAACTGGTGTGAGATGGTATCTCATTGTGGTTTTGATTTGTATTTCTCTGATGGCCAGTGATGATGAGCATGTTTTCATGTGTTTTTTGGCTGCATAAAGGTCTTCTTTTGAGAAGTGTCTGTTCCTGTCCTTCGCCCACTTTTTGATGGGGTTGTTTGTTTTTTTCTTGTAAATTTGTTGGAGTTCATTGTAGATTCTGGATATTAGCCCTTTGTCAGATGAGTAGGTTGTGAAAATTTTCTCCCATTTTGTAGGTTGCCTGTTCACTCTGATGGTAGTTTCTTTTGCTGTGCAGAAGCTCTTTAGTTTAATTAGATCCCATTTGTCAATTTTGGCTTTTGTTGCCATTGCTTTTGGTGTTTTGGACATGAAGTCCTTGCCCACGCCTATGTCCTGAATGGTAATGCCTAGGTTTTCTTCTAGGGTTTTTATGGTTTTAGGTCTAACATTTAAGTCTTTAATCCATCTTGAATTGATTTTTGTATAAGGTGTAAGGAAGGGATCCAGTTTCAGCTTTCTACATATGGCTAGCCTGTTTTCCCAGCACCATTTATTAAATAGGGAATCCTTTCCCCATTTCTTGTTTTTGTCAGGTTTGTCAAAGATCAGACAGTTGTAGATATGCGGTGTTATTTCTCAGGGTTCTGTTCTGTTCCATTGGTCTATATCTCTGTTTTGATACCAGTACCATGCTGTTTTGGTTACTGTAGCCTTGTAGTATAGTTTGAAGTCAGGTAGTGTGATGCCTCCGGCTTTCTTCTTTTGGCTTAGGATTTACTTGGTGATGTGGGCTCTTTTTTGGTTCCATATGAACTTTAAAGTAGTTTTTTCCAATTCTGTGAAGAAAGTCATTGGTAGCTTGATGGGGATGGCATTGAATCTATAAATTACCTTGGGCAGTATGGCAATTTTCACAATATTGATTCTTCCTACCCATGAGCATGGAATATTCTTCCATTTGTTTGTATCCTCTTTTATTTCCTTGAGCAGTGGTTTGTAGTTCTCCTTGAAGAGGTCCTTCACATCCCTTGTAAGTTGGATTCCTAGGTATTTTATTCTCTTTGAAGCAATTGTGAATGGGAGTTCACTCATGATTTGGCTCTCTGTTTGTCTGTTATTGGTGTATAAGAATGCTTGTGATTTTTGCACATTGATTTTATATACTGAGACTTTGCTGAATTTGCTTATCAGCTTGAGGAGATTTTGGGCTGAGACAATGGGGTTTTCTAGATATACAATCATGACATCTGCAAACAGGGACAATTTGACTTCCTCTTTTCCTAATTGAATACCCTTTATTTCCTTCTCCTGCCTAATTGCCCTGGCCAGAACTTCCAACACTATGTTGAATAGGAGTGGTGAGAGAGGGCATCCCTGTCTTGTGCCAGTTTTCAAAGGGAATGCTTCCAGTTTTTGCCCATTCAGTATGATATTGGCTGTGGGTTTGTCATAGATAGCTCTTATTATTTTGAAATACGTCCCATCAATACCTAATTTCTTGAGAGTTTTTAGCATGAAGCATTGTTGAATTTTGTCAAAGGCCTTTTCTGCATCTATTGAGATAATCATGTGGTTTTTGTCTTTGGTTCTGTTTATATGCTGGATTACGTTTATTGATTTGTGTATGTTGAACCAGCCTTGCATCCCAGGGATGAAGCCCACTTGAGCATGGTGGATAAGCTTTTTGATGTGCTGCTGGATTCGGTTTGCCAGTATTTTATTGAGGATTTTTGCATCAATGTTCATCAAGGATATTGGTCTCAAATTCTCTTTTTTGGTTGTGTCTCTGCCTGGCTTTGGTATCAGGATGATGCTGGCCTCATAAAATGAGTTAGGGAGGATTCCCTCTTTTTCTATTGATTGGAATAGTTTCAGAAGGAATGGTACCAGTTCCTCCTTGTACCTCTGGTAGAATTCAGCTGTGAATCCATCTCGTCCTGGACTCTTTTTGGTTGGTAAGCTATTGATTATTGCCACAATTTCAGCTCCTGTTATTGGTCTATTCAGAGATTCATCTTCTTCCTGGTTTAGTCTTGGGAGAGTGTATGTGTCGAGGAATTTATCCATTTCTTCTAGATTTTCTAGTTTATTTGCGTAGAGGTGTTTGTAGTATTCTCTGATGGTAGTTTGTATTTCTGTGGGATCGGTGGTGATATCCCCTTTATCATTTTTTATTGCATGTCTTTGATTCTTCTCTCTCTTTTTCTTTATTAGTCTTGCTAGCAGTCTATCTATTTTGTTGATCCTTTCAAAAAACCAGCTCCTGGATTCACTCATTTTTTGAAGGGTTTTTTGTGTCTCTATTTCCTTCAGTTCTGCTCTGATTTTAGTTATTTCTTGCCTTCTGCTAGCTTTTGAATGTGTTTGCTCTTGCTTTTCTAGTTCTTTTAATTGTGATGTTAGGGTGTCAATTTTGGATCTTTCCTGCTTTCTCTTGTGGGCATTTAGTGCTATAAATTTCCCTCTACACACTGCTTTGAATGCATCCCAGAGATTCTGGTATGTTGTGTCTTTGTTCTCGTTGGTTTCAAAGAACATCTTTATTTCTGCCTTCATTTCGTTATGTAGCCAGTAGTCATTCAGGAGCAGGTTGTTCAGTTTCCATGTAGTTGAGCAGTTTTGAGTGACTTTCTTAATCCTGAGTTCTAGTTTGATTGCACTGTGGTCTGAGAGACAGTTTGTTATAATTTCTGTTCTTTTACATTTGCTGAGGAGAGCTTTACTTCCAAGTATGTGGTCAGTTTTGGAATAGGTGTGGTGTGGTGCTGAAAAAAATGTATATTCTGTTTTTTTGGGGTGGAGAGTTCTGTAGATGTCTATTAGGTCTGCTTGGTGCAGAGCTGAGTTCAATTCCTGGGTATCCTTGTTGACTTTCTGTCTCGTTGATCTGTCTAATGTTGACAGTGGGGTGTTAACGTCTCCCTTTATTAATGTGTGGGAGTCTAAGTCTCTTTGTAGGTCACTCAAGGACTTGCTTTATGAATCTGGGTGCTCCTGTATTGGGTGCGTATATATTTAGGATAGTTAGCTCTTCTTGTTGAATTGATCCCTTTACCATTATGTAATGGCCTTCTTTGTCTCTTTTGATCTTTGTTGGTTTAAAGTCTGTTTTATCAGAGACTAGGATTGCAACCCCTGCCTTTTTTTGTTTTCCATTTCCTTGGTAGATCTTCCTCCATCCTCAGGGACCCACTTGAGGAGGCAGTCTGCCCGTTCTCAGATCTCCAGCTGCGTGCTGGGAGAACCACTGCTCTCTTCAAAGCTGTCAGACAGGGACGTTTAAGTCTACAGAGGTTACTGCTGTCTTTTTGTTTGTCTGTGCCCTGCCCCTAGAGGTGGAGCCTACAGAGGCAGGCAGGCAGGCCTCCTTGAGCTGTGGTGGGCTCCACCCATTTCGAGCTTCGGGGCTGCTTTGTTTACCTAAGCAAGCCTGGGCAGTGACGGGCGCCCCTCCCCCAGCCTGGCTGCCGCCTTGCAGTTTGATCTCAGACTGCTGTGCTAGCAATGAGCGATACTCCGTGGGCGTAGGACCCTCCGAGCTAGGTGCAGGATGTAATCTCCTGGTGAGCTGTTTTTTGTTTGTTTGTTTGTTTGTTTTTGTTTTTGTTTTTTTTTTTGAGACGGAGTCTCGCTGTCGCCCAGGCTGGAGTGCAGTGGCACAATCTCGGCTCACTGCAGGCTCCGCCCCCTGGGGTTCACGTCATTCTCCTGCCTCAGCCTCCCGAGTAGCTGGGACTACAGGCGCCCGCCACCTCGCCCGGCTAATTCTGGTGCGCTGTTTTTTAAGCCCGTTTGAAAAGCGCAGTATTTGGGTGGGAGTGACCTGATTTTCCAGGTGCCGTCTGTCACCCCTTTCTTTGACTAGGAAAGGGAACTCCCTGACCCCTTGCGCTTCCCGAGTGAGGCAATGCCTCGCCCTGCTTCGGCTCGCTCAGGGTGCGTGCACCCACTGACCTGCGCCCACTGTCTGGCACTCCCTAGTGAGATGAACCCGGGACCTCAGATGGAAATGCAGAAATCACCCGTCTTCTGCGTCACTCACGCTGGGAGCTGTAGACCGGAGCTGTTCCTATTTGGCCATCTTGGCTCCTCAACCAATATTTTTAACTAAATTTAAAATTACAATAAACAGTTATATAACATTTGCTACAGTTCCAGATCTGAGATTCAGGAGATCTCTATTTGTGAAAATAAATTGATATGACATGTGATAAAGCCCCATTACCAAAAGGGAAATGAATAGGCAAGAAAATAGCTAAACCTAATAGTCAGGAAATGTAAGACCTAAAATTTTGAGATTCTATTTTTTCTTTTGTAAATTGAATGCACAACTCACTTAAAGTAAATGTAAAATCATTCATATTCAACTTTCTGAGCTGACGTTACCAAAAAAGTGAAAGTTAAAAATACTTGGCTTCTATTGTAAAATTGCAAATAAAACCCATTTCATGAAAGTGGCTTTAATATTTTGATGTTTGGCTTAACAGTTCAATTCAACAAACATTTACTCTGGGCAATCTACCATGGTGTTTAAGAGCATTGGCTTTGCAATGGAATAGACATGGGTTTGGTTTCCCATACCACAATTTACTGTCTTTGAGTGAATTACTCAACAACTAATTGTCTTAATTTCTTCAACTGCGTAGTTGGGCTTTCAGAGCCTACTTTGCAAGGATGTAGTAAGGATTCAATAGGAAAGTGCATGTGCCTGGCTATGGTAAGCACTCAGTAAATGGTAACTGCTAATGTCAACTATGTGCCAGACTCTATATGCTGGTTATACAAAGATTTAAAAAAGACGTTATCTGGCATTGATCTTTGAGTGAGCTACAAAAAGGCTATGTATTGAGACAGGACTGTAATGCAGCTGCCTTGACAACATGTTCCAATCAGCCACATTACTGAGTTGTCTGTATTGCACATATAAAAATATATAATATCAAATTAATGCTAAATGAACTCTGTATGTGTAAATGTTGAAGAATGTATGAGTTTTCCAGCCCTGATGCAAAATTATTGGTGGGGCATATATTGGCTGTGGTTTTTCAGCACAAAATACCCTTATAAAATGTATTTTGAGGAAATTCATTATACCATTAACATTTTTAGAGTGAGATCAACATTTTTTAAAAAGTAAACTTTGCTTTACTCTGAAGTGACTCACTTTAAAATAAAGTTGGCATTTTGGAAAATAGGCACAATTTTTGTTGCTCATGAGCTTTGCATGAAAAACTTGCACGAGGCCAAAATAGCATGCCTCAAGCATCTATAGGTTTATTGGGCAGTCTCTGTGTATTTCTTGATAGATAAAAGAGAGAGCCCTCCAGAATGCAGTCAAATGTGTAATGAATCACAAGAACACAACATGATTTATTTTAATGCAAAGAGTGAATTTACTTTAACAAAAGAAACATTAACACACAAAATAATGTTGTTATCTTATTAAGAGTTATGTATTATTTCCCAGAAGAGAAGAACTTTTGGGGTACACCCTAGGCCCTAATCAGTTAAAGGATATTACCTATATACTAGATTATATGGTAGATGGGCAAAAGATAGGTGTTTTTCATATCATCTGATCCCCTCATGCATTCATCAGCTGATAAAGCTACAAAAATACCATTAAAAAGAAAGATGCTAAGTCCTTCTTATGCACAACTTACAAAATTTAGTTTTCCAATTAATTTAGCATTTTATTCAGAAAGAGCTGTCAACTAGCAATATATGCTTACCAAATTCTGTTCAGAACTCATAATGGTGTCTCCCAAGGCTTAGCAGTGTTCTTCTGAATCAGAAATTCATTTATGTCTAGTGTCATGTTTAAGTGTGGACTATGTTTTGATCTGTTCTTTGCCAATTTGTCATTCTTGGATAGTGTATTAGGTGTGATTATCAATAATGCATTTGTTCTTCTTGGGTAGCTTGTAAAGGGATTCTGAAGGAAATTGCAAAAGGAAAGTTTTTTTTTTCTTTTAGTCTTCAACAACTCCAACATTGCAGGAACATGTGCTTACCTCCCATGGCTACCACGTTGAAAGGTTACTTTCATCATTTACTTTGTTCATGGCAGAGAGGTTACAGAATTGAGGAAGTCTTAGCCCTCTCCTCAAGGATGTTGTAGTCTATTTGAGAAGATTAACAAGTCAAGAAGTACATATTTACAGTGTGCTGAGTACTCTTATAGAAGAAAACACAGTTGCTGTGGAAACTCAGAGGAAAATAACATAACTAAGTTAGAGAATCCTTTATAAATTTGGATTCTCTATAAACATATATTTGGATAGATAAGTTCTGAGACATACATGCCACATATCCTACAGTATCTATGTTTACAAGTCATATTTTGGCATCCTCTTGAGTGGATTAACCCTTAACTAAACATTCCAGATGTTAAAACAATATGAAATTGTTTTGTTTATTCCAAGAAATTCATGCACCCAGGCTCAGAAAGAAGGTTGAGCAACTTTATTTGGCTTCTCTCTTATAATTCCCTGAAGCCAAGCTAACTGGCTTAGTATACAATGAACAATGAATCAAGAAAATAGGGGTAAGTTTCTAGATGGAACAAAGGTATTCATTATTATGAGTATAAATATTTTTTCTCTTATCAACTATTATCAACATAATACATGTTCTAATATGTTCCTGATTTTTCTGGTGATGTGAATCATAAATTTAGTCACCCTAATCAACAAGCCTGGCAACTTGGACACTGGCACATCTAATATATATTTTTGTAGCAAAACTCAAAATCCCACTTTCTTTTTCCTTAGCCATTTCTCTTTTTTGCACTTTCTTTGGGATGACTATTCTTCTTGGACAGTGAATTGAACAGTAGTGAGGAGGATAGAAGTTAGACTGTGTTCCAGACTCACAAAATTAGGCTATAGAAATCAAAAGTGTCCAGGGACAGTTATGCTGAAGACAGATTGAAGGGATATTCTTTCTTTCTGCCCTGGGCCAATAGGTCCAATGGAATTAATTCAGCTGGCCAGCTATTTTAAAAAATGTCATGTAAGTAAAATGGTTGCAAAGAAAAACTGCGTTACCTTGAAAGCACTCCATAGATAAAGCATATGTTTTACAGAGCAGACATTGACTCTAGAGAAGAGGAAAACCACAGTGATTTTTAATCATTAATTGTAATGACTCTTCAAATAATACATAAGCAACATGGGGAAGTAATTTTTCCCTTCTTGCCATCATTACCTAAAAAACCATAGCTGTTTTGAATTATATGATCAATTCAATTCATTACAAGTTTCTTGAAGGTCTGTTGGGTGCTATGTGCTAGAAATATAGTGACACACAAGACAGACATAGTTTCTCTCCTCATGGAGCTTCAAGTCTGATGGGCAAGACAGATATTACACTAATAGTTAGAGATTTCCCTCTTTTCTTTTATTTTCTTTTTCCTTTCTTTCTTTTCTTTTTTTCTTTTTTCTTTTTGGAGACAGGGTCTAGCTCTGTAGCCCAGGCTGGAGTGCAGTGGTGCAGTCATAGCTTACTGCAGTCTTGAGGGGCTCAAATGATCCTCCTGCTTCAGCCTCGCAAGTAGCTAGGACTACAGGCACTGACCGCCACACCTGAGTAATTTCAGGTTTGGTGACTGCTAGAGTATGAAAGTGTAAGACGGGTGGCCTAATTTAACCTTGGAGCAAGTAGATGTGGCCATATTGCAAGGCAGGCAACCCCCTAAATTGGGGCCTAGCCCCAGAAGTTTTTTGGCTTCACTTAGGAAAGAATTCAAAAATGAGCCTGTGGTGGAAGAAAACAGTTTTATTGAGGCAGCAGTGTTACAGCTCAGTGACTGCTCCTGCAGAGCGGGGCTACCCCATAGGCAGTATGTTGAGAATAGTAGCTCAGGGGCAGTTCTGCAGTCATATTTACAGCCAGTTTTAATTATATGCAAATTAGAGGGCAGGGTTTACTCAGAAATTCCTAGAAAAAGGGTGGTAACTTCTGGGTGTTGCCATGGTAATGGTAAACTGTCATGGTATTGGTAGGCATGTCTTGTAGAGAGGTGCTTTCTGTGCCTCTTTCCTGTTGTAGCCAATCTTCAATCTGGTCTGGAGTGGAGTCCTGCCTCTTAGCCAGAGATTCACTTAAGTTGTGGCTTAGAGATGGGAAAGGCAGAGGAGAGAATAGCCAGCCTCTATTCTTAGTAATTGTTAGTATAGCTGAAATATTCCTCAAGGTCACTGGGACACTTTCTTCAGGGGATATAAGGGAAGAACAGTCCCTAGCTGTTTAACATGCTTTCTATGTAGATAGTCCTTTCTAAGCTGCAGAGTCTGCTGTTCTTTACACCCCTCTGTCCGGACAACAGAAATTTATTTCAGCTCACCATTATATATGTTATACTCCCAGATATATATATATATATTATACTCCCATATATATGTATTATACTCCCATATATATATTATACTCATATATATATATTATACTCATATATATATTTATATAAAATACTCCCCATTCTCAGTATCCTTTTCTAGAATCGTTTAACTTTCTAAAAGGATTAGCCCTTACTTATTACTTGTGAACTCTTTTATTATGTTCTCCAAGAATTCTATAGCATTCTCAGACCCAGTACAATGTCTTCATCCTTCTTCCATTTGGTTTTAAAAGCTTCTGTCCCAGCAGGAAACACAAAGAGTTAAACTTGGATTCAACCGCTTCTATAGCTCATCCACTGAGAGTCTTCCATGCCAAACAGCGCATCATCAATAGGAGTTAGATTTCCCTATTAGTTAAAAATGACCAGAGAACATGAAAATAATTTGGGGAAAAAAATAGGGGTTGGAACTGTGAAATCAACAGTATTTGTTTTGAAATGTACCCAAAATGATCCAATGTTGCTTTCTGGGGTGAAGGGAAGTGTATAACAAAGAGTGGGAGATCAGTACTTTTTTATTTGCTCCACAAGTATTCTGTAGAAAACATGGTAAACTGTCTCTCAGGATACATTTGAGTGCTTGCCACAATTCAAAAGAGCCTGATCTCTTCTGTTGTGGCCCAGCTAAAGGGTGTAGAGGAGAGTCCTCCTTTTCCTTCACTCACAGCTTTCACTGACTTGGCAGATAAAGGGCATCCCTGGAATATGCTGAATTGAGGAGGGAGATCTGGCTTCTAACAGTCCCAGCAGCACTACTGACTGACACTAATCCTGGTTAACTCACTTCCCTTCTCTGGGCCTCAATTTCACCATCTGTAAAAACAAGAGGGGCCAGGTGTGGTGGCTCAGGCCTGTAATCCCAGCACTTTGGGAGGCCAAGGCAGGTGGATCACTTGAGGTCAGGAGTTTGAGACCAGCCTGGCCAACATGGCAAAACCCTGTCTCTACTAAGTGTGTGTGTGTGTGTGTGTGTGTGTGTGTGTGTTATGCCGGGCGTGGTGGCGCATATCTCAGCTACTGGAGAGGCTGAGTCAAGAGAATTGCTTGAACCTGCGAGGTGGAGATTGCAGTGAACCGAGATGCTCCACTGCACTCCAGCCTGGGCGACAGAGTGAGACTCCATCTCGAAAAGAAAAACAAAACAAAACAAAACAAACCCAAGAGGGTTCAACTGTAATTCTGTGGCTTTCTTCATAGCAGTAGGCATTCTATGGAGGCACCATTAGGAGAAATTCTGGTGGCCAAGGGTTTGCCACTGACGTACATACTCTGTCCTTTTTTCTCACTAAGAGCAGTTCTGGTTTTCTCTGCTTTTGTTTTCACCTTCACATACAATATCATTTGACCAAAGAGGTTCATATCTTAAAAAAAATTGTAAACCATTGTATTGGATGATTTTTAAGAACTATGACTCTTTTGCTGGCTTTAGGTATCCTACTCTAAGGGGCTCCTATGCTGCTGGATAGTTGAGAATATCAGTTAATAGGGGTGGAGGTGGCTTAGCTAGAAGGTGCTAAAAACATCCCTGAAGCCCTAAAGGGTTATAATTTCCCCTTCTTGCATGTATATTTGCTGCTGCTGAGTTAAGATATGACAATAGTAAAAACTGGACAGTCCTTTTGGGTATACCCAGAGGGGTTTCCCCATGAATGAAGTGGGCAGAGCTAACAGTCTAAGCCTGAAATGGTGTATGCTAAAGAGTAGAGGCACCAAGGGTGTCAAACACTGGTGCTGTCCACTTCTGCAGTGAGCTTGGAAATCCTCAGGCCAGGTGTTCTTCAGAATGCAAAGTCCCTGGAATTAAAGGAGGAAACAGCCTTGGAAAGCTTTGAGTTTGCAGGGGAGTTGCCCTCTTGTCTTTGGATGGGATCAGGGCAGGGACACCCATGCTGAAGAACTATCAAGGAAGGATAGCACCTGAGGGCCAAAGGATTAAGAGGCCAGCTGGGGGTTCAGAGGGAGGGAGGCAGATAATGCCTTTATGAACCCATTCCACCTGATTATAGTGTAATTGGATTTTGAGGGACTTCAAGATCCATGGAAACATCCCACTTGCTTTTATTTGGGATTTTGACTATCAGAAACTGGCAATTTGGGAACTTGACTTTATATTAGTTTTATCATTGCAACATTTTCTTTGGTTTCCTCTTCATTTTGCTAAAGTTTATTTTGAAAATGTCATATCCTTTGTTATTTTCCAAGGGATATGAATTTCTTTAGGAATATCCAAGGCAGGTCTATCGTCATTGGTGTGTGGCCTGTGTTATTGGTTGGTTTAAATACTCTTCTGGGCTGGGCACAGTGGCTCATGCCTATAATTCGAGCACTTTGGGAGGCCAAGGGAGGAGGAGAGGATCTCTTGAGCTCAAGAGTTAGAGACAGCCTGGGCAACACAGCGAGACCTCATCTCTACTAAAAATAAAAATTAAAAATTATCTGGGTGTGCTGGTGCATGCCTGTAGTCTCATCTACTCAGGAGGCTGAGACTGGAAGATCGCTTGAGTCCAGAAGGTTAAGGCTGCAGTGAGCTATGATTGCATCACTGCATCCCAGCCTGAGGTGACAGAGTGGGACCCTGTCTCAAAGTAAATAAATGAATGAATGAATGCTCTTCTGTCACTATCTTGAAATTCTTAATAAGTTTTGAAGAAAGGATCTTGGCTTTTCATTTTTGTACCAGGCTCCACAAATTATATAGCCAGTCCTTGCCCTTGGTATCCATTTTATCCTAATTTTACTAGGTTATATGGTTCATGAGTGGTACTAGGGAGAATAATAGACAGAAAGGGAGAGATGTGTTTTGTTCTAGGCCCCAGGTATCCAGAGTGTCATTGAACCTGACTACCAGGTCAGACTGCCTGGAAATTGATAGTCCTGGTGTTCAGGACTGGGGGTGGAATATTAAGCTCCAGAGGCCTAGGTATAGTCATTTCTGGGTTGCTGCTTAGGTAATTCATGTATATCACGTGTGAATTATTTTTAAGGTGCCTCATGTGATCTCTTTTGTAAACCTGACCACAGAAGCAGGGCAGATAGAGTGCTGGCTAAAGAGGATCTATTGCTGCAACTAGATAAGAAAAAAGAACCCCTCTAGTAGCTTCCTACCACTCTGGAATGCTACACACAGTACAGGTTGGTAAGTGAATGCTGCCATGTGCCTTGGATTCCTTCTTAGGAGAGGTACTAATGCATTATCAAAATTATTTAATTTTTATTATTTATAGGCTTCTTATCAAGCCTTCAGGATGAGGACTAATATGATTTCAGTGCTGTGGGTTTCAGAGAGAAGAAATCTATCTTAGGCTTAGCAACCTGGGGGTAAGTGCCAAGCTGATAAGCATGGCAGATTAAAAGCCCATTTTACCTAGACATACTGACACCAATAGTGTTGTTAGTAATTGACTCATCATCACTACGATACATATCCTGAGGTGTTCACCATGAGAAATATTGTGTCTCCTTTCTTTTCACAGGGTCTCCGTGGAATTAGTAACAGGGGATGCTGGTTTTATGGGGGCAGTCTGTGGATGTAGGGAGTTTTAAGAGAAATTAGCTTGCTAGTCAATAACCAGGGCTTTGCTTGTACCTCTCCTGATCAGATGAAGAATCATCTTTTTTTTTTCTTGCTCTGTTAAAAAAAATTGCAAAGAAAGCATGAACACCTTAACTTCTCTCATGCTAGGGAAAAAGCCTTAAGAAGGGTAGTACATCAGACTAGTGATGCCCATTCGTGTTAGCCTTTGTTATTTGCAGCTTACATGGCCTCATCTGGAAATGGGCTATCAGGTGTCGTCTTATTTCTAAGCTGGCTGTTACATTTAATACAAGTGGAGTTTGTGTGTAGGTCTACTGCACGTATTCTTGGTGCTCAGGGACTTATAGTGGTCCCTTACAGTTTCCGAAATCAATCTTGCTCTGAGATGGGGGCACCAAGTTTGCAGCATCTCCCTCCTACAGTCATTTAGAGTTATTGATTTGCATTGAAAGAAATGAAAGTTGGAACACTTTTTTTAAAAATAGACTTTTTTTCTAAGGGCTGTCAGGAAGATATGCCTCTTTTCCAATATTATGTGTGCTTGTTTGACTTAGTACGTAATTATTGAGGTTCTCTCTGGCATTTGAGGGTACCAATTGGGGATCACATCCCATGAACACAGTTGACCACATGTGTGCCTTCAGTTGGTGACCATCCACAGCAAAGGGCCTTACCCCTCTACCTTAAGATTTCATTCACTCTAGCTTGACAAAACATTGGGCAATCCCATATTATACCTTCCCTTCGCTTCCATTGCTCTCCCCAGAATGCCTTTCTCTGCTTTCTTTCTTTGTCCAAACCCATCTTTCAAGCCTCTCTCACATGCCACTATCTCCATGAAGTCCTCTCTAAGGATTTCATCTCAAACTATCATCCTATCCTTGAAATGTTGTATGATCATTAAGCTCTTACCATAATATTTTACATTTAGTTATCCTGTATCTTAAAGTTCTTTTTCTCATTATTATTTTAAGTCTTTGTAGCCATATAGCTCCTACTGGAAATACACTTATTTATTTTTTATCCTGCAGAGTACCTGCACCACTTAATAAATACACATTTGATTATTAAGTCAGTGAAAGGGTTCAATCACTGATGGCTTCATTATTAATGTAAATGTTATATGAGAAGAGCAGCATTTATATCTTCACTCAAATTAGCTTGTGAGGTTAACTCTAGAACAGAAAGCTGGGGAAGTCTATTGAAGAATACAAGGAAAGGAAAACTACCTAAGGTTTTGTTTAGAATAATCATCCAAAAAATGATCATCCTTGTTTTAAGATGAGAAAACAGACATAGAGAGGTTAACTGATTTGTCCAGATTGCACACCTAGTAAATAACAGAATGAAAACTTGAACCCAAATCCTTTGACTAAATGCTATGCTCTTTCCTATTGTGAGTCATGGCATCCTGGCAACCTTGGGTGTGTAGGTATGGGCTCTTTACTTTTTCTGTGTCATTCTTAAAATGTAGCACCCAGGAGAGTATGGGGAAGGGGAGCAGGGAGAAAAAAGAAATAGGTATGCATTCACATAGAAATTCAAATACTGGCTAATTGCAATATGTGAATCACAACAGTAATGTTAAGATCTCCTCATTTCCCCCCTCATTCTTACAACTCCTCCCCTTTCCCCATTTTATTTCTTCTCTTCACATTCCACCTTCCCCCTCCTCCCTCCAAGTATCTAATTATAGTTTTGCAAGAAAAATTACAGACTACATACTGCAATAATTCACACCTGGAATTTACATTGATTTTATGGCATCAAGCTCTGAGTGCCACTTTGCGTTGCATTCCCATAGCAACACCAAATCGTAGACTAGGAGAAAGAAAAATCTGAGAACTCAGCATCTGCAGCTCCTGAATCTCTTATATTTATGACTTGGCTCTTCCTTGACAAGTTGCCTATTTTTCTAACTTTGTTTTTAGAAAGCATACACAAATTAAAATGATCCCACTTCATATTTTGATTGCTTTGAATTTGAAAAATGCTTGAAAGGGTGTTGCTCTACAGTAACAGATTAAAAAAAAAGATAATTGGATGACAGACAGAAGAGTAGGTGTGAAAAAGTTTGTAAAAGCATCCTGAGAACTCTTGTCTCTCACACCTACTATAGTAAAAATCAAAGCAATCCCGGGGCCTCTGGCACATCCTTCTGCCTACAGTGGCCCTCCACTTGCTGACCTGTAGACTCAGAAGAAAGAAGCAGCCAGAGGTCAAACATTGCTGCCTTGAAGTAGGATCACATTTGTGCATTTCAGTTGACCTTCTGGATCCTGAGCCCTTTCCTTATTTTTTGTGTCTTGTTTGACCAGAGATCTGAATTAGCTTTTCAGATTTGTCTGAGTTGCTGGATCCTTTGTTTCCATCCACTCTGTGAAATGATATCTGTTTTTCTGCCAGCCATGTCCTGATACTAAACGCTGGTACTGTTAGCATGACTTGACTCTCCTTACTATGGGTAATATTTTTCAAGGTTCCTTCCAGGAGTCTTAGTTCAATTGTCACCTCATTTTAGAGTTCTTCCCTGACCGATTTATATAAAGTAGTTCCCTCTACCCCATTCCTCCAAGAACTCTCAATTCAACTACTTTGTTTCATTTTCCATAGAATATATGATTATATTATACATTAACTGAGATTCCCTAATGTGTTTACTGTTTCAGTGTCTGATCTTCCCCACTGGAATGTAAGAGCAGCAGCCTAGTCTGTCTTATATTCGACACTTTATTTTCAGTTCTTAGCACAATGCCTGGCCCAGAATAGGCACTCAAAAAAGTATTTGTTAGATGAATGAATGAATGAATGAGTGAATGAATTCCGCAAGTGCTTATTGAATACCTATTATGTGCTTACCGCATGATTACCCATTTTGGAAAATAGACACCACTGGCCTCCTGGAGAGTTTACCAGCAGAAATACCAGATATTAAAAGTCTAATGTGTACCATCTGTTTCGTTGCTTTCTGTCACTGTGGCCTTCACAGCAGTAGGAACTCAGGAACAGTTTCAGGCCTTCACAGGCTAAAATGTTTCCAAGGTGCTCTTCAGAGCTGGAGGGCTTAGTTTGCCTCACTTCTATGTTTCTACACACCTTGCTTTCTCCTAATTCACTATTGGGCAATCAAGTTATAAAAACATTGACATAGTTAAGTCTGTTTCCTAGTGTAGGCTCAAAATGATTTTGAAGGTAAGTAAATATACTTGGGAAATTGACAGCCAAGATTTCTGCCATGTGCAACCAAAGGAAAGGTTATTAATACAGTGAAGCTAGGTATATCTCTTCATGGTGACTAAGCTATTTTAGTAATTTTCTTTAGGTTTATTGACTTCTTTATTATAAGAAACAATGAAAATCTTAAGGAGAGTCACTCACTGGCAAGAGAAAAAAAAATCATTTGCCCTAAGTGCGGAGAATAGAAAACTAAATCATCCACTATTACTAATGACAACCACTACAAAGGCCATTTAGTGCGTAGCCTATGCTACACACTA